>NC_000007.14:103131779-103756779 GCF_000001405.40 Homo sapiens
ACACTGCAAGCAATGGGGAAACACTGAACACACTTAAAAGGCTGTGTACTTAAGGGCTGGACACAGTGGCTCATGCATGTAATCACAGCCATTTGGGAGGCCGAGGCGAGTGGATCACGAGGTCAGGAGTTCGAGACTAGCCTGGCCAACACAGTGAAGGCTCGTCTCTACTAAAAATTCAAAAATTAGTCGGGCGTGGTGGCGCGTGCCTGCAGTCACAGCAACTTGGGAGCCTGAGGCAGGAGAATTGCTTGAACCCAGGAGGCGGAGGTTGCGGAGACTCCGTCTAAAAAGAAAATGATGTACTTAGGGAAGACAACTCTGATAGCAGGATTAAAAAGAAAGGAAGTGGCTAAAAACTGGAGCTTGGGAGATGGATTGAATGAAAACAGAAGAAGCCTAGAACACCCAATAACACTGAACCACCATGCCACATATTTCACCTATTTCATTTAAACTCATGCTCCTAGCAAACCCTCAAGGTAGGTATTATAATCCCCACTTTTTAATAGTGAATAGCAACCCAGTCAAAAGATGAGGAGGCAGTGCAATGAGAAGAGAAAAAGCAGAATAAATCCAAGAGACAACAAAGAAGATGAATCAGTAAGACTTGAGAGTATTTGGATAGTCACAAATTTTGGACTTTGTAGGGCTGGTTGGTCAGGAGGAGAGTGGGAAGAGTCAGAAATGGCAGCACCACTAATCAAGGTGGATTGTGACCCAGTGAGTTTGAGAAGGGTTTGAGGTCATGGGAAAGCAAGAACCCAAGAGAAAGTCCTCATTGACACCCAAAGGAAATGGATTCAGGCTGCTTTAGGGGTAAAAATAAATAAATAAATAAAATAAAAAATAAAAATAAAAATAAATAAATTAGCCCACTGTGGTGTTGCAGGCCTGTAGTCCCAGCTACTGGGAGGATCCCTTGAGCCCAGGAAGTTGAGGCTGCAGTGAGCTGTTATCATGCCACTGCACTCCAGCCTGGGCGACAGAGCGAGACTCCGTCTCAAAGAAAGAAAGAAAGAAAAGAAACAAAAAGAAGAGAAAAGAAAAAATTGGTGCAGTGATCTTTCTTCTCTCTAAATAATAAGCTTTTTCAAAGTTGTCTATTCACACAATCTCCATTTCCTCACCTCCCATCCACTCAGTCTTTCACCCCAATCAATCTGTGGAAACAGGTCTCATTACCAAATAGCCATCCTCTCCTAACAAACCCCCTCCCCTAACACACACAAAGTCCAGTTTTCAGAAATGCTCTTTAAAAAACAAAAAACAAAAAAATCTGATACAAACAAAACGAAAAAACCTCCAAAGGGTTTTTTGAGGGCAAAGGTCAGCATGATGGTTCACAGGGTCTGTGTTTCTAACCTTACCCACACTCTCCACACTCTCCTCTGCTCCATAAACACGGCCTGAAACTATTTCCTCAGATGTATCATGTACCCACTTCAGGGCGACCAACTGCCACGTTGTCATATCCTTGGGGTATGGGGAAATGTATAGTCACAGGATTATGGACTGCCATCCATGACAGATGTTAAAGCAACACAAAATGATCAAACTATGAAACACCATTTCACACGATGCACTGTTGAAAGGGCAAGAAGGAGCAGAAGCACGTAAAACCTGAGCCTTGAAACTCTGGACTGGTTTTTCTGGAGGAAAAATACTGGGAGCCCATTTGCTGAATGTGCAAAATGACACGCTCTGCCAACAGGTGCTCCAGTGACAAAGGAGCCTCAGCCCGAGAGTGGGTCACACAAGAACGCTCCTCATGCCCAGTGTCTTCTGGGCACTCAGAAGACCACAGATAAAATGACAGAAAAAGTAGGAATGAGGAAGAGTGGGTTGTCTGTATGGTCCTGTGTTAACTAGCTTTGAGCTCTTCAAGCTTGACAAACCCCTTAACATATCTAGCTAGAGTTTCTGTAATTAAATGTGGCAAATTTCAAACTATTTCTTGTTATGTAACTGTTTCCAAAATTAACAATGTAAATGAAAATAATCCACCCTTGATTTCAGGCCAACACCAACTGAAAGTAGATGTGTACATGAATACACAAAAACTGTAAACAACCTGTGTTTCAAAAAGTGCTTTAAAACTTGATAAAGATCTTTCCATTGTACTGATTTTGATTCAATTTAAGATCCATGAATTCTGAAAGAGCAATCTAAACAAATAAGTAATAAATAAATAAAAATACCATGAATTGTAAGGCACCCTGATGTGTCATGTGCCACTAAGGAAGTAAAAATGTTATCAATTATAGTTAGGTCACACGTTATACATGACATATAGTGATATCAGTGGTGTTAAAATGTGAATAAAATGTCTATCTCAAAATGGATGAAATATAGCATTTTGTGTTGGAAAATAAATACGTTGGGACAGGAGTGAAAACATTGCTCTTGATAATTAAATATAATCAGAAGCATAATTAATTGCTCATCCTCTTTCCCTCTGTGAACAACAGTTAGTTATAAACATACCAAATGCTAAATTTGTTCTAGAAAACTAGAATCCAGAAGAAAATTTAAAGGTAACAAACCCCTGTGACAATTGTATTTTAAATATAAAATACAAATGTTCTAGCCAGGCACAGTGGCTCATGCCTGTAATCCCAGCACTTTGGCAGGCCGAGGCAGGTGGATCACCTCAGGTCGGGAGTTCGAGACCAGCCTGGCCAACATGGTGAAACCCCATCTCTACTAAAAATACAAAAATTAGCTAGGCATGGTGGTGTATGCCTGTAGTCCCAGCTACTCAGGAGGCTAAGGCAGGAAAATCACTTGAACCCTGGAGGCAGAGGTTGCAGTGAGCCGAGATTCCAGCCTGAGCGACAGAGTGAGACTCCATCTCAAAATAAATAAATAAATAAAAATAAAAAATAAAACAAATGTTCTTTTTTAAAGAACAATGTATTACAAAAAGGACAACATAAAGTCCATCTAGTAATTATCAAGGACATTCTCTACATTTTTTGAAGATTAATTGCCTATTTAAGAGCAAAAGGACTTATCCCTGTGTCTCCAACCAAAGAGAGGTCTGGGCTGTGACATTTGGTGAAGACAAGTCAGCCAAGTACAAATATTTTCTCTCAATAACTGCACATATGGGTAAAATGCTTTCAAAAAATAAGAATTCTCTATTTCAAAAGCAAATGTTTCATGCTTTCTTTTTTCAACATTTAAGATTTGCCAACTGCCTAGAATTCAATGCACTGCTTTATCATGTAAACAGCTAAAGAAAAAAATCACAGTAGTAAAACATACCTTTGGGATTTCAACACACTCATAAATTATGAAGCGGCAAATCATTCCCAGAGTAGACATTTAATAAATACTAATTGAGTTCTTGTCCATTACGTAACAACAAAGATGCTGATGTTAAATCTGGAAAGTATTCAGAAGTGTATTTTCAGATATCTCTGACTAAATAACATTAAACTTACTATTCTGTATTTGCTCTCCTTATCCTTATTGAAGAGAAAGGGCCCTTTTGATACAATGCTAGATAACATGGCTAATGAAACTACGTCAATTCACTGAAATGTCTGCAAAGGGCTTCAGTGGGGGTAAAATTAAACTGTTCCCATCCTTCACATTCAATAAGATTCCAGGCAATACTGGTATTACTCCCAGAGGCATTTAGGGAACCAGTGGGAGGGCAGATACATCCAAGCACAGGAAGTACACTGGATAATAAGAGGGAGAATGTTCTGTGGGAGGTATGTATACAACATTCATCAACCAAAAAAGTATTGCACTGTTATCACTGAACTTCATTCTTACCACACTTTATTGACTTAGCAAAACAACCAGTTTTGCTAAGAAGCTAAAAGAAAACAAAGCAAACAGAAGCTTAATATACAGGATCTGAGAGTATGACAACATTTAATAATAATTATTGCATCAAAAATAGAACATACACGCATAATATACATTTAGATATATGTACATATAAATCTATATATATATATATATCACCAAACAATTTATCTTCACTAGAGTGGAAAGAACACTAGTTAGGAGTCAGAAAAACTGGACTCCAGTTCTACTATTAACTAGAGATGTTAGCTTGCAGGGAGTAACTCAGCCTCTCTAAACTTGGGCTTATTCATCTGTTCAATAAAGATTGTAACTCCTAAACGTTGTTTTAAATGTCTGTTAGTCATTTAAGGAGACCATGAGTTAGTAGTTTAAAGTGCTATACATATGGAAATTGCTGGCTAGTTGTGGTGCCTCATGCCTGTAATCCCAATACTTTGGGAGGCCAAGGACAGGAATTCGAGACCAGCCTGGCCAACATGGCAAAACCCTATTAAAAAAAAAACAAAAAACTTAGCCAAGAGTGGTGGTGCATGCCTGTAATCCCAGCTACTCGGGAGGTTGAGGCAGGAGAATCACTTAAACCCAGGCGGTGGACGTTGCAGTGGGCTGAGATCATGCCACCGCACTCCAGCCTGGGTGACAGAGTGAGACCCCACCTCAAAAAAAAAATGCAAATTGTTGAGGCTGGGAGCAGTGGCTCACACCTGTAATCCTAGCACTTTGGAAGGACGAGGTGGGCAGACTGCCTGAGCTCAGGAGTTCGAGAACAGCCTGGCTAACATGGCAAAACCCTGTCTCTACTAAAAAAAAAAAAAAAATACAAAAAGAAATTATCTGTGTATGGCAGCCCGAACCTGTAGTCCCAGCTACTTGGGAGGCTGAGGCAGGAGAATCACTTGAACCTGGAGGCAGAGGTTGCAGTGAGCCAAGATTGTACCACTGCCCTCCAGCCTGGGCGACAGAGCAAGACTCTGTCTCACAAAAAAAAAAAAAAAAAATGCAAATTGAAGAGTAAAGAATATATGATAAATAGGACCTTTTGATCCAACTGAGTTGTTTTTCAGGTGAAAGATAAAACATTCTAGAATTTCATATGGCTTTAAAAGCCTAAGTTACTGAATTTTTTTCATTTTTCTTTCCTTAATTTCACGTAACAAGACTATAAAAGTAAGTAAGTTTTGTTACCTTTTAAAAAAATGTATTTTCTTTTGTTAAAACTTCAAATTTGTCGCAAAGCATTCATCCAATTATAGACAAAAAATTATTTTGACAAATAATTCACAAAGAAATGCCAACCAACCAAAAGCATTTAAGAGTCCAAATAAATTGTTTGTTTGTTTGTTTGTTTTGAGATGGAGTTTTGCTCTCATTGCCCAGGCTAGAGTGCAGTGGTGCAATCTCGGCTCACTGCAACCTCCACCTCCCAGATTCAAGTGATTCTCCTGCCTCAGCCTCCCAAATAGCTGGGATTACAGGTGCCCGCCACCATGCCCAACTAATTTTTGTATTTTTAGTAGAGACAGGTTTCACCATGTTGGCCAGGCTGGTCTCAAACTCCTGACCTCGTGATCTGCCCGCATTGGCCTCCCAAAGTGCTGGGGATCACAGGCATGAGCCACTGCTTCCGGCCCCAAATAAATAGTTCTGAGAGGAAAGAATGCAAAACGCAATTTGAATCTTTGGGATACAGTATATTAACAGACTTTAAGTCACCAAAATACATAAACACTCTAGAAGCTTCCTCTATAATAAGAGGTTTTCCCCATATGTAAGAAAGCAAAGCTTTCATTAGAATCAAAAAGAATGAAACAAGAGAAACAGCTGGCTTAAGAACAAAGCCTATTTATGAATACCTTTTACGACTGGAATCCTTAGGGTGATCAAATTAAAATATCATGTTACGGTAAATTTGGAAAACATGCATAAAATATTTATTGAAATAACATAGTTATCATCTCTTTAATACCTTAAAAAATAATAGCAAGCACAAAGTGCAGGTTCATTTCCGGTATAATCAATTATACCTAAATGATATACATAAGTATTTAATTGAAAAGGTCAGGCCAGGTGTGGTGGTGCGCATCTGTAGTCCCAGCTACTCAGGAGGCTGAGGTGGGAGGACTGCTTGAACCCAGGAGGTAAAGGCTGCAGTGAACTGTAATTGAGCCACTGCACTCCAGCCTGGGTGACAGAGCAAGATGCTGTCTCAAAAAAAAAAAAAAAAAAAAAGAAAAAGAAAAAGAAAGAAAGAAGAAAAGAAAGGAAAACCAAAAAAAGGTTGGGGGAGGACAAGGTAGGAGGAACAGTAAGTTGATGCCTGTGGAACTTGAAATGCGTCCTAAATATGTCAGATGATCTTTCTTTTTTGCTTTTTTTCTTTTTTTTTTTGAGACGGAGTCGCGTTCTGTTACCCAGGCTGGAGTGCAATGGTGCAATCTCGGCTCACTGCAACCTCCATCTCCCAGGTTCAACCGATTCTCGTGCCTCAGCCTCCCGAGTGGCTGGGATTACAGGCATGCGCCACCAAGCCTGGTTAATTTTTGTGTTTTTAGTAGAGATGGGGTTTCACCATGTTGGCCAGGCAGGTAGATGATCTTAAATGTTCATTTACTGTTCCTGAGCCAAGATTTTAACCAAAAAAAAGCTTCCAAAATGGGACTACTTTCTCTCTACTATCTCCATCTCATAATTACGTATACAAAAAGAAAACCTTCCAATTTAATGCATAACCTGTAAAGAAACGGAAAGGAGAAACATGTCTTCATAGCTCCTGGACAGGACAGAGAAAGAGGGAAAAAAGCACACTTTTCAATTCTTTCTGACTTCAGTCCAGTTCCCACTTTGACTCTACTGAATTCTACAGCCCTTTTTTTTTTTTGAGTCAGAGTTTTGCTTTTGTTGCCCAGGCTGGAGTCCAGTGGTGCGATCTCAGCTCACTGCAACCTCCACCTCCCAGGTTCAAACGATTCTCCTGCCTCAGCCTCCTGAGTAGCTGGGATCGCAGGCACGCACCACCACACCCAGCTAATTTTTTGTATTTTTAGTAGAGACAGGGTTTCATCATGTTGGCCAGGCTGGTCTTGAACTCCCGACCTCAGGTGATCCACCCGCCTCGGCCTCCCAAAGTGCTGGGATTACAGGCGTGAGCCACCACACCCAGCCTTCTGTAGCCTTTAAAAAGTCACTTAACATCATTGAGACTCACTTTCATTCATCTGTAAAATAGAGGACTGGGATGTATCTCTAAAGTCTCTCCACCTCTAAAATTCTAACAATCTTCGGCTGCACCAAAGAGCCAGCTCAGGCCACTAAAGAGCTGTCCCCTCTAACTCAGCCTTGGCCAACCCCTCCTATTTCCACTCCCTCAAATAAAATTCCCAGCTCAGGTCCAGCTGCCTTCCCCAGGCTGGACTGGCAAGGGATAAGCGAAGTATTTCACCTGAGAACAGCATAGTTATCTACTGGAAGAAAGTGCAATTTCACAGGTTTATCAGGTAGGCTAGGAGGTTATTAAGAGCCAGGACATATAAATCTGATACAAATAGCCATTAGATTTTCAAACTTAAAAAGATTCCAGATATTACCTGTAAGGGCTTCTACTTAAAGCATTTTAAAAGTTGCATTTAACAAACATTGTTAGAATGTCTACTTTATCTAAGTCCTAGCTCTCCAGTTGCTGTGGAGAATATGAACCCCTGACCTCCAGGGATTCAAAATCCATTAGGGAAAAAAATCATAAGAAACCATATAGATTTTGGCTCAGTATCACATTTACAGAAGTGTCAGCTCTGATTAATGAAAATGGTATAGACTTTAGAATAAGGCATTTCCAAAACATACTGGCCAAATTCTCAAGATGGTGAGGAATACTTTTCCTTAAGTGCTGAGCGGTCCACAGTGACAGCAAGAGTCCTGTGATCCAGCAGGTCAGAGACACTGAAAAGCTCAGAACTTTCTGAATTCAGCCAACAAGTTAAAGGGCGCTGATGGCAACAGAGAGGGTGATGGAAAGAAACAAAGTCACTAGAGAGGTTACTTGAACCCTGATTCACTCACAAATGAATTTGGCAAAGGGGCAGACATGTTATTCTGCCCGCAGTGTCATGCGTGGTCCATCCTCTGGGAGAAAAATGACAAAAAAATAAACGAACAGTGAGACTTTTACAGGGAAACAAGGCCCAGGACATGACTACATCAGACCCTGTTCAGCCATCTCCTGAGTCTTCTGTACACTGTAAATAACAGGGTCAGAGTGAGGCTAGAGATATCCCCAAAAGGTTAATAGAATCTTGAGGTTCTAAGGGACTTTAAGATCCCTGAGTTCAATTCAGTAGCCTCTGTTTAAGAATAGCAGAAAGTTTGTAGCAAATTATAAAAGCATATTAAAAATGAATATAACTAAAATATGCTTGAATGGGTTATCAGGAAAAACCACATTACCAGAAGATGGGGCAAAAGAATTGAAAACATCTTAAAATAAATGCTTCCCAACTTTGCCCCTCATCATCCTAAACCTCAGTTTCATAATTCCTAGCCCAGTCTCTGGCACACAGTACATAGTAAGCACTGAATAACTAAGCCACTGTTTCATTATGCTATAAACAGTAACAGTTTTAATGAGATAGTAGGATATACATGTATACCATTTTTGCATTTCTACACTAATGTGATAAGGAAGCTGAGGGAAATGGTATGAATAAACTGAAGCAGAATAAACTCTGGAATGTGTTTTTGTTCTATTTGAGTAAGAGAAGGCCTGATCTTGGAATTCACAGAACTCTTTTTTTTTTTTTTTTTTTTTTTGAAACAGAGTCTTGCTCAGTCGCCCAGGCTGGAGTGCAGTGGCGTGATCTCGGCTCACTGCAAGCTCCGCCTCCCGGGTTCACGTCATTCTCCTGCCTCAGCCTCCCAAGTGGCTGGGACTACAGGAGCCCGCCACCACGCCCGGCTAATTTTTTTGTATTTTTAGTAGAGACGGGGTTTCACCATGTTAGCCAGGACGGTCTCAATCTCCTGACCTCGTGATCTGCCCGCCTTGGCCTCCCAAAGTGCAGAACTCTTAATTCAAAACAGGATTCCTACCCGACCTCATAGTTCCTTGTGGCCTCACTAACCCTCCTGGAGTCACCAGAAGGCTCTCATTAGCTCAGAAGACTCATTGATAGTCTCCTGATTCTGAAAATAATAATCTACCTGACTTCCCTTTATCTCCCTTCACTGGCCCAAGGAGCAGAAGCTGAAAACTCATGATACTAATGGTGGCCACATGCAGACTCAGCACTTTTCCCAGAGCTTGAAGCTCCAGTTAAACAGATTCTTTTGCTCAAAGGAAAAATTTCCCACAATGGGAGCTGGCAAAATAGGCAAGCAAGGCCAGCTCTACATAAATCACGAGTAAATAAGTTTCCCCTAAAGCATTTCAGTATTCTTGCCTCTCTTACCCAAGTGACTCTACTATCATATTGTTCCCCCCATCTGCTTTTTCCATGGCCAAAACAGGTTTTCAAGAAAGATCTGATTTCCAGTGTGTGACAGATAAGGAACAAAGTGCAAATCCTCCCTAGATCATTTCCAGTCCACATGGGTACAAGCCCTGAAACCTCAAATGTACATCAGAATTACCTGTGGAGTTGTTTTTTTTTTTTTTTTTTTTTTTTTGCAAGCAGATAAAGGCTTATTTTACTTTAATGGCTGATCTATGTAATCACGGAGGCCAGTATGTACACACAAAGGGGCAGCTTTTATTTCTTGGTCTCTTCCTCCTTGGACAAAGTCTTGATGATCTCCTCCTTCTTGGCCTGGAGGTGCTCTTCATAGCTCTTGTGTGCTTCCTTGGTCTTAGATCTGCGGGCCTCAGCCTGATCAGCCAGGAGCTTCTTGCGGGCCTTGTCTGCCTTCAGCTTGTGGATGTGTTCCATGAGAATCTGCTTGTTTTTTAACACATTCCTCTTCACCTTCAGGTACAGGCTGTGATACATGCGGCGATCAATCTTCTTAGATTCACGGTATCTTCTGAGCAGCCGGTGCAGAATCCTCATTCTCCTCATCCACGTGACCTTCTCTGGCATTCGGGCATTGGCTGTACCCTTCCGCTTACCTATGCCCATATGCCTGCCCTTCCGGCAGGCCAAGGTGTTTTTCCGGCATCAAGCGGGGGAATGGACCATCACAGGCTTGCGGATGATCAGCCCATCTTTGATCAGCTTCCGGATCTGCTGACGGGAGTTGGCATTGGTGATTTCATTGGTCTCATTGGGGTCTAACCAGATATTCTTCTTGCCACAGCAGAGGACACTAGAGGCAAGCCTCTTCTGAAGCCTGAGCATACTCAAGGCTGCAGCCACAGCAGCGAAAGGAAAGAGCTCCCCTGTGGAGCTTTTTAAACTACACCAGAGGCTACTGAATCAAAATGTCAGGTGGGGCAGTTTCTCTAGATAATTTTTAAAAGTTCTGTGGGTGTTTCTGATATACAGGCAGGGTTGAGAACCACTGCTTTAAATCATTAGTCATTTGGCACAAAGTAAGACAAGCATTTAGGAAGGATCAAAGGGATTTTCTGGTATGCCAGAATTTATGCTAGCCTGGCAGCTGCCTACCGTAAAGCCAACTCTTACTTCCTGTTCAGCACTCCAAGTTAGAGAGGCAGCATCATCCTGAAACTGCTATACAGTGGGATGGGAAGACTAACCACATTGCTAGGTAGAAAGTTTAACAGGGGCCAGGCATGGTGACTCATGCCTGTAATCCCAGCATTTTGGGAGGCCGAGGCAGGTGGATCATTTGAGGTCAGGAGTTCGAGACCAGCCTGGCCAACATGGTGAAACCCCATCTCTACTAAAAATACAAAAAATAGCCAGGCATGGTGGCAGGCGGCTGTAATCCCAGCTACTTGGGAGGCTGAAGTGGGAGAATCACTTGAACCAGGGAGGCAGAGGTTGCAGTGAGCCAAGATCGTGCCACTGCACTGCAGCCTGGGTGACAGAAAAAAAGAAAGTTTGACAGGGCAAGGCTTGTACTCAATCCAACTGAGTCACAAATTTGACTCTGTGCCCCCAGGAAGCCAAGTCAAAAAAAGGGAAATATAATCAGTAATGATTCACATTGTCAATAACACAAAGCAGCCTGTACACAATGAGTGCACAATATTTATGGAATGAATAAATGAAAAAACCAGAGCTTAAACTCCTAATCACTCTTCATTAGGATACAGTTAATTGTTTTTTAAAAGATCTCCTGCTAGGAGTCAAATAATAGAAGCAAAAATGACCAGAAGACAGAGAGACAAAAGTCAACAGTGGAGATCCCCACCAACTCTGCTAACAAAAATTAAAACTGGCCAGGTACAGGGGCTCACACCTGTAATCCCAACACGTTGGGAGGCCAAGGCAGGCAGATCACTTGAGCCCAGGAGTTCAAGACCACCCTGGGCAACATAGTGAGACTCTGTCTCTACAAAAAAAAAAACAAAAAAACAAAAAAACAAACACACACACGCAAAAATTAGCCAGGTGTGGCGGGCTGAGATAGGAGGATTGCTTGAGCCCAGGAGGTCAAGGCTGTAGTGAGCCGTGATCATGCCACTGCACTCCAGCCTGGGTGACAGAGCAAGAGCTTGTCTAAGAATAAATAAATAAACATAAATAAATAAAAATAGAAAAGTCTTGGGGAATAATTGAGTAGTTAAATTCTATGTGGTAAAGCGGCAGCACAGTGGTAAAGACGAAAAGATGCCTGCCATAAAATCTAGTGTTCTTTAATCTGTCATGTATTTAGAAAAAAAAAAAATCTTCTCTTCCTTTTCTTCTCAGTAACAGAACCCGTTTTACTTAGGGTAACTATGCATCAGCTAAATGATGACATTTCTCAGCCTTCTAGCTAGGGATGGCCAGGTTGGTGACACTTTGAACAATGTGATACGAGCCTTTTATGGTGCTTCCAGAAGTCTCCTTAAGGGAAAGGGAGGCATTCTTCTCGATTTGTCCTGCATCTGGCTACCTGGAGCCATCTTGAGCCAGGAGGGTGCCACATCCAAGGAATGGCATCGAGGAGAGCCAGAAGGACTTCAGGGCCCACCATACCAAGCCTGAACTGTCCAACTTTGGACTTCTTTCATGTGTAGGAAAAACATATTTGAGCAATCTTTCAAATCACAACAAATTAATCCTAACTGATACGATTACCGTAACTGGGAGGTTCAGGTTTAGGGGAGCTATAAAAACACCAATGGTAACAAATGCCCAAAATACAGCTTTCCTAATCCATATGTGGGTGCCTTGATCAACACACTGCAGCCTTGAACTCCTGGCCTCAAGCAATCCTCCTGCCTTGACCTCCTAAAGTGCTGGGATTACAGACAGGAGCCACGGCACCTGGTCCATTTATCATTTACTAAGCATTTACTATGTACCAAGCACTTTAGATAATTATTATCCTCATGCTATAGGTGATGTAAAAGAGGCTCACAGAGTTTAATAGCTTCCATAAAGCAATAAAGTTGTTAACAGTTGGATCTAGGGATGAAACCCAAGTTGACCAGATGCCAAAGCCCATGCTCTTTCCACTAATCATGTTGAATCTACAAGGAAAATTCAATAAATTTATCTTGAGTAGATACCTAGGTTCTAAAGTTAGTAGCATTTTGCAAACAGTTATGGTCTCACTGACAAGGCTCACCTTTTCTTTTGTTTTGTTTTTTTGGCTTTCAACAAAATTTTCTCCCCTTTTGCAAAGTAAAAGGTACTTGGGAGATGCTCAATAAATACTAGTTCTCTTATAAATATAATTGCCCCTTTAATTTTACATGAAGAAGGTTTCAAATGCTATAACTTTCATTACTCAATTTTTCTAATTTACAGTTACATTGAAAAGAACCATCAACAAATAATTGGTTCTGTATTTTAGTCACATAAACAAAATACACATGGTACCTTGAAGACATTTCCTTTGCTTTCAAAAGGTGTCTCAGTTTATCCAGCATAAAACCACCTAACATGTTATCTTTCAAGCTGGGGAGAATGGCTAGTCAAGTCCCATAAAGAGAAACTGTCAGGTAGGAGGATCAACATATCTAGTTTGCCTGAGGATTTCCCAGTGTTAACATTTAAAGTCCTGCATCTTAGGCCAGGTGTGGTGGCTCACACCTGTAATCCCAGCACTTTCAGAGGCTGAATGAAGCAAGCAGATCATTTGAGGCCAGGAGTTCGAGACCAGCTTGGCCAACATGGCAAAACTCTGTCTCTACTAAAAATACAAAAATTAGCCAGGCATGGTAGTGCATGCCTGTAGTCCCAGCTACTCAGGAGGCTGAGGCACAAGAATTGCTTGAACCTGAAGGTGGAGGTTGCAGTAGGCTGAGATTGAGCCACTGCACTCCAGCCTGGGCAACACAGCAAGACTCTTGTCTCAAAAAAAAAAATTCCTGCATCTTGGGAACTCCCTTGGTTCTGGGAAAACCTGGAGGGTTGATCATTCTATGTCTCAGGTGACCATATAAATGCATAGTCATATCTTCAAAAAAATTTATAAATGTGTGCGCAGTTTAAACTAAATTGAAGATGAAGATTATAAAGTAAGATGTGAAGGTATTCGGGTGGCTAAGCAAAAGAAAAAAATTATAATGCTATACGTAATCAGGCTTAACTAAGACAATGTTGCTAAGAATACCAAAAAAGTTTATTAGATCAAATTCTTCATTCTGATGATATTCAATATGTGCATCATCAGTATTAGCGTTCACCCAGCTAAAAAAGAGGCTCCAAACAGCACATGTACATTTATATACAATCGGCATTTAGTCTACACATAAAAGTGAGACACTATATGAGGAAAGATTGAGAAAGAAAATCAACTTTCAGCCAAGAATTGTAAAGTATTTCATATCTGTGAAATGGTGGAAAAGCCTAATTTCAATGTTTCAATTTTGAGGTAATCATGACAGGCTAAACTCCTGTGACAGCAGAAATTAAAAATATGCACATTAAAGAGATTGGACCAGGTACATTCCCTCTAAGGTCCCTTCCAACTTGAACATTCCATGACAGAAGTCATCACTTGTGTGACCCTTTTACCTAATCGGTAAACCAAGTCAGGCCAGAGAGTTACATGACATTCCAAGGATCTAGCTCTGGCTGATGATGGAGCCTGGACTACGTATCAGCCATGCTGTCACCCTAATTATGCTTAAAAACACTTGGAACCGAAGGGGCATACAATCAGCATAGGAAGATAAATGACACATTTTACTTTATGTGGGGTATTTTACTTAGTTTGGCTTCAAGTTTAAAAAAAAAAAAAGAATTTGAGTCCAGAAACTCTTTAAGCTTTCATTGGCTACTTTTACCATAAAATAGCACAACATTCTGGAAAACACACACACACACACGCACGCACACACATATATGTTCAGAATATATAGACAGCTTAGTTTAGAGAGCTTTCCATGAGCTCTCTAAACAAACTGAAGGAACAAACACAGTAACTTGAACAGAGAACATCTTTGTAATTGAAGGACCTTCAAAATACAGAAAATAATAACTTTCAAAACTAATGACTGCTGTCATCCGGGTGTCCTATTAAGATGTGACCAGTTTTAGCTGGGTGTGGTGGCACATGCCTGTAATTCCAACTTCTCAGGAGGCTGAGGCATGAGTATCGCTTGAACACACGAGGCACAGGTTGCAGTCAGCCGAGATTGCCCCACCGCACGCTAGCTTGGGTGACAGAGCGAGACTCCGTCTCAAAAAAAAAAAAAAAGATGTGACCAGTTCAAGAGTGCTAGTGACAATGAGAAAGCTTGGTGTTTCTCTATTCATTCTTGTAATTGAGAGAGATTACAAAATCACGCAGAAGCCTACAGGCATTCAGTGTTAAATCAATATATTACTGTCCCTTAATCTGGGAAGGTGCCCAAATTAGATAAACACAAGAGTCTGCACCTTCAAGGGGAAAAATGGATTGTTCCAGGTAGCAGGCACAAACTGAGTTGTTTTTCAATCAAGATTTTGAATTATGCTGATCCATCTACATGCCAGACCTGTGCCTCCAGAGCCAACAGCACTGGCCATTCACAACCTGTTACCCACAGGCAGGGGTGCAATCTGTGAGTGTGTTGCTGACCAACGCTTGCTAATCCACACCCCTCCACTTTCGCTTCATTGGAACCCCGCTGTAACAAGAGTCTGCAGTGTATATATTCTGCTGAAGGCTGGGGCTGCTGAGCTAAGGTTCCTTGGCCAAATCACCAGACTCTCCCAGGCTCTTGGTGTCCTATTTTCCTCATCTGTGGAACAAGGCTCATATTTTATGTCTATAAAATCAAACTCTCTCTATATATATACATATATTTAAAATATTTGAAAGAGCTTTGTAAATGATAAAGTTATAATACATTATTTAACCAGCTGAGGTTGCAGAAGACTATCTCTAACATAAAACTGCCCCTGGGGATATATGAGTTCGTATGCAATCTGTCTCCAAAGTCTGTTAGTAAAATACTTAAATACACAATAAATGGTTAATAAATTCAAAAGACAAATCAAGCAAAGCACTATAAATTGTAGACAGAATTATTCAGTAGTATAGGCGTTAGAATGAAATATTACTTGAATCTTATGCTGGAAATCACATGGGTGATATTTTAATGCCAGTTTTATGCATGCCCTCACTGGCCTCCAGAATAAAAGTGCTCTTTAACGATTAATTATACATACAGTTCATTTCCCTAATAATACTTCAATGAAAACACTTTTTATGTGTATGCATTTCAACCTAAAAAGCCCAGATCAACAGTCCTCCAGCTATAGCTATATTCTTATTTACAAAGTGTAGAAAGCAATGGAAAAACTCACTATATCCACAGCTATCCATCACCACAAAGAAAAAGCAGAATGAAACAACAAAATTAAAGGCAAATACTGCTTTTCCAAACACAGACTAAATGTTCATAAAAATCCTCTCAGTTTACCAAACTCACAAATACTCAAAGTAACATAATACCCCTTTCGAACAAACACAAGAATGACTGTATCAACTAAAGTATAACCAAAACCCTGTGATGGAATGCTTATGCTAAAATGTTCTTCATATAGTTATAACTGGACTAATTTTAAAATTAGAATTTTGTAACATAGAATTTCTACAATATAATTTGGAATTCTGAGTGAAAATAAGGGTATGAGAAATACACTAAGTATTTTTATCTCTTGGAGACTTACCATAATTCTTGTAGCAGGAAAGCCTGCAGAATGTTAACAAAACAAAATCTCTGAAAATCCTGACTATATTTTCAGTTGACTTGAAACAAATTTAACCCCTCAATCTCTCCTTAAATTATTATTTTAAATAAGTACTTTTACCCTAAATTTCTTCTTTAACAGACCCAGTATTTTCTTGCAACAAAAATCACACTATTGTGGGATATAGGTAATCTTCTTTTTAAAGATTACATAACTTCTTTCTAAACGATGTCCATGTCTGCGGCTAATTCATAACCAATGTAACTGAAAATAGAAATGGAAATGTTAGAGATTTCCATTTTTTAACAAACATGGGAATTATTTCTCAATTTGAAGAACTGCATCTCAGGAATGACTTCCTGGACAAATTAATCAGAATTATCAAGTAGCAAACATTTCATGCTAAGCCAAAGCCAACCAGGTGAGTCAGTCATATTATAACATGTATATATAACAACGTACAGTAAAGGCAAAGACAAGAACTAAATGACTTTTTAAAAGGCTGTTAAACTTTACTCACTCCCTTAATATTTTCCAGGTTTAACTGACGTATAATGAATGCATGTGATCCCGGAACCCATGGAAGAGTATCTACCATATCGAGCTCTAGCTTGAAAAAAAAAAAAAAGGAAAAAACAAACAAACAAAACAACAACAACAAAAACCTATCTGAATACGTGTTCTGAAAAGCCCACAATAATACCCAATTTATAAGAAGCAAACAACCACAGAACAGAAAACTCAAGAAAGCACAGCCTTCCACCACCCCTCCCCAGCTAGCCCCATTTTTTTTTTTGCTCTTCATTTCCATTCCATAGTTAAATAAGTACACTTATTCCAAAATAAAAGGGGAGAAACCTGTTGGAATGGATTTTTAGAAGATAAACACTATAGATGAAGCAACAATAAGTTGCTCGGAGGAAGTTGTCGACCCATTCATTTACATACAACCAAAAGAAGATAAACCCACATGTATTCCTATCAGTGAAGATGCAACCTGGTAATTTGCAGGGAAGATAGGATCTCAAATCCCAGACAGCTACTCTCCCAAAGAGAAAAAAAATAATGCTGTGGCTCTTCACCGAGGCAGCTTCAGAGATGCAGGCTCCGCAACTCGCGAGGTGCGAAAATTCAAATGAAGCCCTGTCGCTCACAAGTGCGGCATCTCCGAGATGAGGGAGGGCTCGGGGACGGGAAACCCACTCTCAGCCCGCTCCACTTCGCCGAAGAATTCCAAACCACCCCAGGCTCAGCAGTGTGGATTGCTCCGCCCAGAGACCGTGGAGGAGGCAGCAGAGAGGTCACAGAGCACAGCAGGCGGGAGAAAACCGCCTCCCGCGAGGTCCAACAGAAACCACGGAGCTCCGGACACTCGGGATCCCGGGCCGCGGGCGCGCGGCCAGAGCGGCGGGGTGCGAGCGCGGGGGTGCGGACTCACCTCGCGCTTGGGGTGGCCGGGAGCGCGCGCCGCCTCAGTTCCGCGGCTTCCGGCCACAGAGTCCCCGCGCAAAGCGCCGCCGCGTAGCGGGAGGGGCGACCGCGGCAGGCGCTCGGGTTCTTCCTAACCCGAGCCCGCCGCGCTGGCTCCGCCGAGGACGCCAGCAGCTGCAGGCAGCGCTTCAGCTCTCGCCGCCTCGCCATCGTTGGGGCGAGTCGTCGCCGGGTCACTCCCTTATTATGACCTTCGAATCTGACAGCAGGGCCAGCGGTGGCCTCCTTCAGGCTGCCTCTCCAGCCCTTACCAAGATGGCCGCCCCTGTGGGCCGGGGCGCCGAAGCCATCTTGGTAAAGGAAGCGCCTGGGAGCACGCGGCCTGCCCCGGCCCGCCTCGCGACTCAAACACTCTGCAGGGACCCTCCTAAGATCAAATTGGTTCCCCCCGCTGTCCTAAGCCAGAGGCTTACTTTCAGATCGCATGAACGCATTCCTGGACACCAGCCACAGTTGCTAAAACTAAATGGGATCCTGCAGACCCATTGACGGACTGTCATAGCCAACTCAATCACAGTCGAGAAGCATTTGAATACTTACAGCCTATGGCGCTAGGATCCTGGTAGCGAAGAAACTAAACTCTAATTTGAAATGTTGTACAGTACGTATTGAATATTAATGGGAGCACGGCATTGTTCACTGTGTGATCGTTTACTTTTAAAATGATGTCACAGCCCCCTGGTACACACGGTTCTCATCTAAATTTGCATCTTTTTTAACGCTAGGATAACTATGAAAGAGCATACGATTGTGATTCTGAGTTTCTTACTGGATTTGCTTTTTAAACTGCAGAATGAAATTAGTTGTTTCAAGAAGTAAAGTACAGGCATGTCGAAGTAAAATTCAACAATGGGTTGTTGGGCAAAAAGATTATAAAAGTCCTGGGGTGTGCCAGGGTCAAAAAAAAAAAAAAAAGCTTGTCCCTGGGGTTATCTTGGCAAAAAAGAAACCACCACCACAGGTTCTAAATGCAGATAAGACTGGCAGAAAAATGCAGACCAAACTATTCTGCATTTTGAAAGTGAATGTGCCTGTGTGACATTGGAGGAATGTAAAGAACTGTATGTCAAGTGTGGACTTTATCTCCTCAGGCTAGCTTAGAGTGGCTGCTGAACTTAAGGGTGATTAAGAGCTGCTTGCACCTGGGTGGAGCTGAAACTGCATAAGGTGAATAATACCTTTGTGCAACAGAAGAAAAAAAAAAAAGTAACAGCATACATACAAACCCAAAGGGTAAGTTGAAGTTACTACTCAAAAGTTCTTCATAGTGTTCTTGACTAAGCAACGGAGAAGTAATCCCGGCACTTTGGGAGGGCAAGGCAGGAGAATCCTTAGAGCCCAGGAGTTGGAGACCAACTTGGGCAACATAGCGAGACTTCATCTCTACAAATAATAATTAAAAAAAAAAAAAAGTAGCCAGCCTTGATGGCCCGCCCTTGTGGTCCCAGCTACTCCAGAGGCTGAGGTGGGAGGATCGATTGAGCCTGGGAGATCAAGGCCGCAGTGAGCTGTGATCACGCCACTACACTCCAGCCTGGGCAACAGAGAAGACCCCATTTCCCCAAAAAAAAAAAAAAAGCTGGGCGCAGTGGCTCACGCCTGTAATTCCAGCACTTTGGGAGGCCAAGGCAGGAGGATCACCTGAGGTCAGGAGTTCGAGACCAGCCTGGCCAACATGGCGAAACCCTGTCTCAAGTAAAAATACAAAAACTAGCTAGGCATAGTGGAGCTCACCTGTAATCCCAGCTACTAGGGAGGCTGAGGCAGTAGAACTGCTTGAACCCCAGAGATGGAGGTTGCAGTGAGCAAAGATGGCACCACTGCACTCCAGCCTGGTAGACAGAGCAAGACTCTGTCTCAAAAAAAAAAAAAAAAAAAAGATGCCCTTTGTTCCCCTCACTCCCACTCTTTTTTTTTAAGTCCTTGTCCTTTATTGGTTAAGGCTGAGGGAAGCAGACAGACCAGTTGGACATAGTAGATGGGTGTGTGAGGTCAAAGTGCTACCTGAAAGCCAGCCAACCCACACTCCCCTAAGATGAATGCTAATGCCCTTCAAACTGTGGGCATTGGTTTCACACACAGCCTCTTCCAGGGATAAAAGAAGGGGTTCTTGTAAAGCCTCTTCTTTTTTCTTTTTTTTTTGAGACGGAGTCTCGTTCTGTCACCCAGGCTGAAGTGCAGTGGCCAGATCTTGGCTCGCTGCAACCTCTGCCTCCCAGATTCTCCTGCCTCAGCCTCCTGAGTAGCTGGGACTACAGGTGCCCACCACCATGCCCGGCTAATTTTTGTCTTTTTAGTGGACATGGGGTTTCACCATGTTGGCCAGGCTGATCTCGAACTCCTGGCCTCAAGTGATTTGCCCGCCTGGGCCTCCCAAAGTGATAGGCTTGAGCCACCGCCACCCGGCAGCTTCTTGTTTTCTTACCTCTACCATGGAGACAAGTTCTGGTTTTCTTAGGACAACTAGCTCTGGTCATAAAGATCTCTGGAGTGATCAAGTATGGTGGAGTGGCAGAGTGAGTGTTCCAAAAGGATAAGTAGAACAGGAGTCTTGCCCAGGCCCTATTACAACCTCAGTACCTTGAATGGCCTCCCCAGCCCAACCAGAAGTTGACAAAGAGGCATGAACCTGGTGAAAAGATACATGTATTTATAATTAGCCAGCTGGACTCAGTTTAGATGACCCCAATTTTGTTGGCAATATCCCAGTTTTGTTGGGTCAGCAACAAAGTTGATCCCAATTTTGTTGGCAATATCCAAAGCATTGTAATCAGGAGCCAGTGGAGCTTATGCCTTCTTCCTGCATCAGGCCTAATCAGGGCATGGACTTTGGCCACATCAGTGTCATAGAGCTTCTTCACAGCCTGTTTGATCTGGTGCTTGGTGGCTTTAACATCCACAGTGAACACAAGTGTGTTGTTGTCTTCTATCTTCTTCATGGCAGACTCAGTGGTCAGAGGAAACTCTGTGACAGCATAGTGGTCAAGCTTGTTTCTCCTGGGGACGCTCTTCTTAAGGGAGGAGACCACCCCTCATATTGTCTTATGCCCAGTTTCTGCCTCCAAAGAAAGAAAAAGTAAAAACTAAAAGGCAGAAATGAAATCCACAAGCAGACAGCCAGGCACCACACCCTGGGCCTGGTAGTTAAAGATCGACCCCTGACGTAATTGGTTATATTATCTACAGATTGCAGACATTGTATAGAAAAGCACTGTGAAAATCCCTATCCTGTTTTGTTCCGATCTAATTACGGGTGAATGCAGCCCCCCAGTCAAGTACCCCCTGCTTGCTCAATCGATCACGACCCTCTCACACACACTCCGTTAGAGTTGTGAGCCCTTAAAAGGGACAGGAATTGCTCACTCGGGGAGCTCGGCTCTTGAGACAGGAGTCTTGCCAATGCCCCTGGCCGGATAAACCCCTTCTTTCTTTAACTCGGTGTCTGAGGAGTTTTGTCTGTGGCTCGTCCTGCTACATTTCTTGGTTCCCTGACTGGGAAGCGAGGTGATTGGTGGATGGTGGAGGCAGCTCCTTAGGCAGCTTAAGCCTGTCCTGTGGAACATCCCTGTGGGAGACTGTGACCAGACCAAGCGACACGGATCCTGAGAGCGCTCCCGGGTAGGCATTTGCCCCGGTGGGACACCTCACCACAGCAGTGTGTGGCAGGCCCCCGTGGAGAATCAACGCAGTGGCTGAACACCGGGAAGGAATGGGCACTTGGAGTCTGGACATCTAAAACTTGGTAAGACTAATCTTTGAAACTTGCCCATTCTGTTTGAGTGGAAGCGTGGCCTGATCACCCATGGCGTGCCTTTATCGGCACTTTGGTTTTGGTTTTGGTTTTGACTTGGTTTGAATTGCTTGGCAGGACTGGTCTTGGGAACTTGCCCACTCCATTTGAGTGGAAGTGTGGCCTGATCACCCACAGCATGCCTTTATCGACACTTTGGTTTTGGTTTTGACTTGGTTTGAATAGCTTGACAGGATTGGTCTTGGGAACTTGCCTATTCCATTTGAGTGGACGCGTCGCCTGATCACCCACGGTGTACCTGTACCCGCACTTTGGTTTTTGTTTTTGACTCTACTTAGATTGCTTGATACTTTGGTTTTGGTTTTGACCTGGCTTGGATTTCTGGATACTCTGATTTTGGTTTTGATTTTGGTTTGGTGGAAACTGCAAAAGTGTGTGTGTGCCCTTTTTACCTGTTGTTTTCTTGTGTGCGTGTGGCGTGAGTGTGGTGTTTTGTCTCGAAGAAGCATAGGTCAGGCACAAATAAGCCCACCCTACCAGGAACTATGTTGAAAATTTTCAGAACAAAATGTAAAGGAGACTATGGAGTACTATGACACTAGGAAAATTTAAAACTTTGTGTAAATTAGGCTGGCCAGCGTTAGAGGTAGGTTGGCCATTAGAAGGAAGCCTGGACAAGTCCCTTGTTTCAAAGGTATGGCACAAGGTAACCTGTAAGCTGGGGAACCTAGACCAGTTCCCGTACATAGACACTTGGTTACAGCTGGTTTTAGACCCCCGCCCCCAACACACAGTGGTTGAGAGAACAGCAGCATAAGGGGCTGGCAGAGGCAGGGAAAGAACAGCAGAGAGAGAGAAAGGAAACAGACAGAGAGGAAAAGAGGCAAAGGGAGAGAGGAAGAGACAGACAAAGAGGGATTTAAGGAGAGAGAGAAAGAGAGAGGCAGAGAGAGAGAAGAGACAGAGGCAAAAGGAAAAGTCAAAGAGAGAGATACACAAGTAGTTGAGAAAAAAAAAAGTGTACCCTATTCCTTTAAAAGCCAAGGTAAATTTAAAACCTATAATTGATAATTGAAGGTATTCTCCGTAACCCTATAACACTTCAATACCACTTTGTTGTCAGTGTAAACAAGGGCGTATCCCAAAAGCACTGAGGCCATCCTATCAAAAATCCTTGACCCAGTAACCCGTGGATGGCCCAAATGCATCCAATCTGTAGCGGCAACTGCTTTGCTAACAAACAAAAAAAAAGGTAAGAAGAAAAAATAACTTTTAGGGGAAACGTCATTGTGATCACACCTCACCAGTTCAGAAGTATCCTAAGGAAAAAAAAGCGGGGGCAGAATTTATATTAAAAAAAGTATTATATGGTAAATTCTTGTCCTGAAATAAATTAACTGGTTGTTTAAAGAAAGAAATATTTGTAATAAGTCAGAAAGTTGAGGCATGTTGAAGAATTGTCTGCGAAAGTCATGAAAAAAAGTTATAAAAAATTTATGCAAAAAATGTTGTATAATTTAAAAGTAACTAGGCCTCCTGAATGTAAAACCGTTGAAAAAAAAAAAAGAAAACAGTTTATGTGCAAGGTGTATAAGAAAAGTAAAATATACCTTTGGTAAAAGGATTATAAGGAGGCCTAAGAATGTACATTTTTACCTACATTAAAAAGTTAAAAAGAATTATTGTTTTGAAGGTTTAAGCAAGTTTTAAAACGTTAATTGTAAAGAAAATGCTGTTTGTAAACATATTAGCTAAAGTTAAAGAGGTATCATCCAGTTTTTCTGTGAACTGGACAGTAAATTAAAAGCATAACAGGTTTTTCTTAAAGCACCAACCTGCTCTTTAGTAAAAATTATAGAAGGTTAAAGAGTCTATAAAATCTTTCCTAATAGTCAAACATTAAAAAATTAAGTAAATATGTTTACAAGGTTTTATTAAAATTAGGTTTAACATTAATAACACACTAATATAAAGATAAAATTTAGCTTATCTGGTATAAAAATCATGTGAGAAGCATTGTTAAATGTAAAATGGTATTTGGCTTTCTTTGGTTTAAAAACTAATAAAAATAGGTTCTAAAGGAAATTTCTCAGTAAAAAAGCACTAAGGACTATAAAGTCCACTGCCAAGGTCCCCATATTTAAAACAAAAGGTCAATTTTCTTAAAAATTATATACTTGGTTTATCTTCCACTTTCCTTTCTCGCAAAAAAAAAAAAAAAAAAAACTGAAAGTCTTTTAGCACAGGTACCACCCCTAGAATTTCTGGTAAACCAGCACCAGCCTGAAGATCACGTTATCATCAAAGGGTGGAAAGAAGAAAAACTGGAGCCAGCCTAGGAAGGACCCTACCTTGTGCTGCTAACCACCAAGACTGCTGTTCCTACAGCAAAAAAAAAAAAAAAAAAAAGGATGGATTCATTACACCCAAGTCAAGAAAGCGCTACCCCCTCCACAGTCATAGGCCATAGTCCCAGGGGAAAACCCTACCAAACTAAAGCTAAGAGAAATTTAACTCTTTTCATCTATTCTATTGCTCTTTCTTCTTTCCTCGTTCTATTGCTGACCATCTAGTTATTAACATAACCAAGTCGATTTCACCTCAAACTATTGCATTTAATGCTTGCCTTGGGAACTGGTCTTGGGAACTTGTCCACTCTGTTTGAGTGGAAGCGTAGCCTGATCACCCATGGCATGCCTTTATCGGCACTTTGGTTTTGGTTTTGGTTTTGGTTTTGGTTTTGGTTTTTGACTTGGTTTGAATTGCTTGACAGGACCGGTCTTAGGAACTTGCCCACTCCATTTGAGTGGAAGTGTGGCCTGATCACCCACGGCATGCCTTTATTGGTACTTTGGTTTTGGTTTTGACTTGGTTTGAATAGCTTGACAGGATTGGTCTTGGGAACTTGCCTACTCCATTTGAGTGGAAGCATGGTCTGTGAGGACTTGCCAAGTCAAAGACAGCTCTCTACTTCAGAAAAGCACTTCTGTCCCTCCTGACTCTCCTCAGACTGGGCATTAATAAACTAGGACCATTTAATCCAGGGAGATTTAGATAAAGACCCCAGTGCCAACAAGGAGTCTTGCCCCCCGACGTAGAGCTTTCATGCCATAGTTGGTCCAATGTTCTGTGGACCACTAAAGAGCAAGGATGGACTGCCCCAGCTGGTTTTGTAATTTCCTAAAACCATACATTCATTTTAGTAGAGGATGATAGAAGTTAAAGACTTAAAACAAACTTTAGCAATTAAGACAGGATACCAAGATGCAAATGCCTGGTCAAAATGGATCAAATATTCCATCTGCATGTTAAACAAAAGCAATTGTTATGCTTGTGCACATGGCAGGGCCAGAGGCCCAAATTGTCCCCTTTCCACTAAGGTGGTCCTCCAGTTGGCCAGGTGTGGGCTGCATGGTAGCTGTTTTCCAGGATTCTACAGCCTGGAGTAATAAGTTGAGCCAGTGTTTCAAACTTTCTATGATGAACTAAATGCCAGTACCAGAAACTACAAGAAAAACAAGAAATTTGTTTTTGCAATTAGCCGAGCATGTAGCCCAGTCTCGCAATGTCACTTCATGTTATGTATGTGGAGGAACTGTAATAGGAGATCAATGGCCATAGGAAGGCCGAGAATTAGTACCTACAGACCCAGTTCCTGATGAATTCCTAGCTCAAAAGAATCACCCTGATGATTTCTAGGTCCTAAAAGCCTCCATTATTGGACAATATTGCATAGCTAGAGAAGGAAAAGAATTCACTCACCCCATAGGACGACTTAGTTGTCTGAGACAGAAACTGTGTAATGGTACCACAAAAATAGTCTCTTGGTGGAGTTTACATCACACAGTGAGAAATCCGTTTAGTAAATTCCCAAAGTTGCAGACCATGTGGACCCACCTGGAGTCCCACCGGGACTGGATAGCCCCCACTGGATTATACTGCATATATAGGCATAGAGCTTATGCCAAATTACCTGACCAGTAGGCAGGTAGTTGTGTTATTGGCACTATTAAACCATGTTTCTTCCTACTGCCCATAAAAACAGGCGAAATTCTAGGCTTCCCTGTCTATGCTTCCCATGAAAAGAGAAGCATAGCTATAGGAAATTGAAAAAATGATAAGTAACCCCCTGAGAGAATCATACAATGTTAGAGGCCTGCTACTTAGGCACCAGACGGCTCGTGAGGATACCAGACTCCCATTTACATGCTTAACCGAATCATACACTTAAAATTCATATACTAAGTCCCCATCCCCAAGGGCTGACAGTTTCATTGGACAGGCAGGGTAAGCTAGAAAAAAATATATAGCAAAATATGTGATTCAGAGAATAAGTACTAAAAGATTTCCAAAGGGAAGAGATGATGGCCAACATGATTTAGTTTTCAGGGAATAGGCGAAATTTGGTCTAGGCCATGCTGGAAGGCTAGATTTTGTTTTAATAGAAGGGAACATGGCAAAGGAATTATAATCAGGGAGCTATATATTTCTAAAAACGCTTCCTCAGTGCCTGGCACACAGTCGGTGCTAATATGAACACTTTAAGCCTCTTCAGATGAGGAAGGAAGGGAAGAAACAACTAATGTAAGTTTCAGGAATAAGTGAATGGATTAAAGAGTGAATGAATGAGGTAACTAATGAGTGGAACATGAAATGCCTGGAGTACCCCAATCTGAAGCCTGGCTTTCAGAGTTCCCCAAATCTAATTGGGCCAGAGCAGGCTTCTCCCCCAAGGGTACTTAGTTCCCCCTACTATGAAGGTGGCTTTAGGAATACTGGGAGGCAAAAATTCTACCTCTGGCCTCCTCTTTGGGCCAGAACTTGCTTTCCTCCAGCTTGCTTCTGTTGACTCCTTTTCAGAGGCCTGAACCTTCCTCTCACCTGCCCCCAGACACAGGAAGATTTGGGACCAATTCAGCTGGACATCGTATGGTCGATCTCCTACCTCCATTATCTAGGGTGGGAACCTGGATGTTTCACACAATGTATCCTCTCACTCCTAAGCTGTTCCCTCTACTCAACCTTGCCTTATGCTTCCTGGGGTCAGAGATCTGTTCCTGATACACTCAGCTCTTCTCTGTAGCTTCCACCCCTTCCCAGAAGACCCTTCTCCTATGACAGGTTCATTCTCCCACAGCTCCACTCCCTCCCTCCCCAAGCCTTCTTTTTCCCTCCTGGAAAACTCCTCTGAACTCCTTTTTATCTCCGCTCTTTGTCACTAGTGTCTTGTGCAGACTGCCCGTCAGCTCACCCTTGACCTCACCAGCATTGGCCCCAGTCCTTCCAGCTCCTACCAGTGCTAGGAATGACTTCAACACTGAGCCTGTGAGCCCCTTGACATCCTCATCTCCAGGGACCTGCACTCCCACTTCATGTCATTGACCAACACTTATGGTCTCACCTTGCACCATATCATCACCCCAGTCTGGCTTTGCCTCTGCATTTTAAAATTCAAACATCCAATCCTCTACTGCCTCCAAGTCTGTTTGGTATTCTATCTTCATCCCAGGGCCTGTCACTGCACCTCCCTCTGCCAGGATCTTTCCTTGCTTGGTCCTTCTGTCTCATCCACGTGACAGAATGTTACTATCCAACTTTGGATCCATACCCATGCTATTTACTGGAGTGCTGGAGAAATCCCACAACTTAGAAGGCAGGAACCCTATGGATTCATAGTTTCCATTAGCAACTGGATCCCACATACTGGCTTCTACATTCTCCTAATTCCAAACTCCCAAGAAGATACAGCAAATGTCCACTAGTCTCTTAAACCTGCTACCCTGTCACCAACTCCCACACCCCTAAACATGGCCTTGCCTCTTACTCAATGGAGAAACTGGGCACCATCAGAAGGAGCTGCCACATACCCTCCGACTCACCAAAGAGTCTGCTTCTTACGCCAGTGTAAGCACTGAACAGGCAGGTGGGCGTATGGGTCTGAGACTGAGGAGAGCTGGCCTGTAGACACAGGTTTGGAAATCTTCAACAAAAAGACAATAATGAGATTGCCCAGGGAATGTGTGTGAGGTAAAAAGAGCCTAGTTTTTGAACTCTAGAGGACATCAATGTTTGTGAACAAGAGATATCTGTAAGGGAGACTGGAAAAGAGCAGCCAGAGAGATCACAAAACCCAGGAGCATGTGGGTCAGAGAAACCAACAGAAGGAAGTGGTCAGCTGACATGATAATGACTGGCGTGTCCTGTGAACCAGAAACATGGAGGTCTTTAACCATCTTGGTGAGAGCAGTTCTGTGCAGTATTAGATGAAGATGCCAGACTTCTGTGAACTTGAGTGTGACTGGAAAATCCTTCTGAGGAAAGCACAAGGACTCCTAGAAACCTCTGAGGAAGCAGAGATAGCAGGTATAAGGGACTCTGCCAAGGATGTCTATGCATGAAGGAAGGAGAGAGATCTAGTGGTTGCCTTGGGGAGATGCTGGTTTAGTGGAGAGTTCTAATGAAGATAACAGCCATGTGATTTGGGCATGCTTAAGACTGTAGAAAGGCAGCCAGAAGAATGGAGAGATGACCAAGCAGCTAGTTAGTAGAGGGAGCACCATCCCCTGGAAGAGAGGTTGGCTGTGTCCAGAAGAGGGGCTCCTCCTTGTGATGGGGTGTCTTTTAGTCACCTGAAACCCCAAGTCTGCTTTTCCTCCAGTCTCCTTACTCCAGCAAGTGGCACTACCATTCCCCCTATTCCTTTATCCAGGCAGTCATCCTGCTGATTCTGTCTCATTAATGGTCCTCAAATCAATTCATTGCTTTCCACCCTCAATGCCATGATCCACAGTCGTTTTTCCCGTGGTCTTCAGCAGCAGCTCTAACTGTCCTCTTTGCATCTTCTCTTGTTGCCCATCAATCTTCCAGAGAGCTGTTTCCAATATGCAAATCGAATCATGTCACTCCTTGTTTTGAAAACCATTCAACACTTCCAACTGTGTCGACATGGCTAACTAGGCCTTCAGGATCTATGTCACACACCGTCTTCCTGCCCCTTCTTCTCCAGCCTTGCCTCTCACCATTCCCCAGTGCCCTTCACCATTTCCCAGTGCCTCTCACCATTCCCCAGTGCCCTTCACCATTCCCCAGTGCCCCTCACCATTTCCCAGTGTCCCTCACCATTTCCCAGTGCCCCTCACCATTTCCCAGTGCCCTTCACCATTCCCCAGTGCCCTTCACCATTTCCCAGTGCCCTTCACCATTTCCCAGTGCCCTTCACCATTTCCCAGTGCCCTTCACCATTTCCCAGTGCCCTTCACCATTTCCCAGTGCCCTTCACCATTTCCCAGTGCCCTTCACCATTCCCCAGTGTCCCTCACCATTTCCCAGTGCCTCTCACCATTCCCCAGTGCCCTTCACCATTCCCCAGTGCCTCTCACCATTCCCCAGTGCCCTTCACCATTTCCCAGTGCCCCTCACCATTCCCCAGTACCCTTCACCATTCCCCAGTGTCCCTCACCATTTCCCAGTGCCTCTCACCATTTCCCAGTGCCCTTCACCATTTCCCAGTGCCCTTCACCATTTCCCAGTGCCCTTCACCATTCCCCAGTGTCCCTCACCATTTCCCAGTGCCCTTCACCATTCCCCAGTGCCCTTCACCATTTCCCAGTGCCCTTCACCATTCCCCAGTGTCCCTCACCATTTCCCAGTGCCTCTCACCATTCCCCAGTGCCCTTCACCATTCCCCAGTGCCTCTCACCATTTCCCAGTGCCTCTCACCATTTCCCAGTGCCCTTCACCATTTCCCAGTGCTCCTCACCATTTCCCAGTGCCCCTCACCATTTCCCAGTGCCCTTCACCATTCCCCAGTGCCCTTCACCATTCCCCAGTGCCCCTCACCATTTCCCAGTGCCTCTCACCATTCCTCAGTGCCTGATGCCCTCTCTTCCCTGGACATGCACACATATTGTTATCTTGGATGGCCACCCTTCTGTCCTGCCCAGGCCCTGCCAGTTCTCCTGGATGACTCTGGCTCAGTCTTCACATCTCACTTAGAACTCAGATCCTGAAGGAACTCTCTTCTCTTCCTGTAACCTAGACCTTCCCCTGTCATATCTCTTACCACACTGTTTTTGTTTTGTTTTGTTTTGAGATGAAGTCTCGCTCTTGTCCCCCAGGTTGGAGTGCGATGGCGCAATCTTGGCTCACTGCAACCTCCGTCTCCCAGGTTCAAGTGGTTCTCTTGCCTCAGCCTTCCGAGTAGCTGCGATTACAGGCACGCACCAGCACACCCAGCTAATTTTTGTATTTTTAGTAGAGACGGGGTTTCACCATGTTGGTCAGGCTGGTCTTAAACTCCTGACCTCAGGTGATCCACCTACCTCGGCCTCCCAAAGTGCTGGGACTACAGGCGTGAGCCTTACCACACTGTTTTATTTGTCCACTTATTTGTCTGATTTCTTTGTTACACTGTAAGCTTCTTGAGCCTGTTATGGGGTGAGGAAAGTGGAATTGGGCTGAGAGAAGTTGAACTTCAGTCCAATCCAATAGGGAACTCCGGAGCTAGGATGCCCCTTCAAACTCATTGCAAGTTGCAGTAAGGGTCCCAAACCTTTGACATTCACATCAACCTATTATCAGTGCTGACTGCTTCCAGTGAGCGGGAGTAACCTTGGGAAGGCAGCTCCCTTCAGCCGAGAGCAATTGCCAAAGAGGGACTCAGTTGGAAGCCCTTAGCCACCAACACCCCTGTCATGCTGAGGGGAGGAGGGCTTCAGACCTGAAGGAGGAATCTGGGTGGCCACCACAGCATCTGCTACCAATACCTTTGGTGGCTCAGGGCCACCAGATACAGCATAGGTGCCTATTAAATCTTTGTTGGTTAATGATTGATTACGTGATTAAATGAATTAATTAAATCACAGAAAACAAGTTTAATTACATTAAATGACTCGAGATTTAGGGCCTTAAAGAAGGGCAAATGTTTTATTTAGAAATAAAAAACTAGTGAAGGTTCTTGAGCAAAACACTAATGGATTTTAAACAGGATTTGAGGAACATTGTGCAAGTAGATATGTTATGAGGGAGTAAATTTGTGATGTGGGCGGTGTGGATGGCTGAGATGACAGCAAGAATGTGGACGGGAAGAAATCCTAGGGGCTGGGAGGCTGCTGCTTTAACAGGAAGGATGAGGTATGGCACGCCTGTAATATAATGTTTAGAGCATGACAGGACAAATATGAGACCAGCTGAAAGGTTAACTCTTTGGAAAATATGTATGATTGTACTTGACCTCATTACTATTAATAGGTTCAAGCAAAGATTCTCCCATTTTGAATATATTAAGTAATAGATTAGATGTAAATTCCTTGAAGGCAATACTGCATCCCCAGTGCCTAGGGCAGTAGCTACACACACTACATGCATAGTACATTTGTTGAATAAATAAGTGGATCAAATCTTGACTGACAGAACTCTAATACAGATTCCTAATGATTAGGAAACAGATTGGTGTAAGTCTAGACCTTCAAAGTATTCACTGTACATTTCTAAACTATAGTTACTTTAGAGTAATCTTGCAGATATATTTTAAAACTAAGAGATTTATTTGTTTTACTTACCAATCAGGCATTAATTCAATTCACCCCCTGTCCCCCCAGTGCCATGAATCATGGTTTGTTCTTAGGAAATGAACCTTAAGGAAATAGCTGGAAACATTTCATTGCCTTGGCAAGATGACCTGAAGCACACTCTGCTCAGCAATGCTGGAGTGGGTGAACTCCCTACTTTTACTTTTGCCAGCCAAGAAGCTCCCTGTTGTTACAGTATCCAGTTTGTAGCAGGCAACTGATTAGGGAGGAGTCGCTGGTAAGGAGTCTTTTGCTTTTAAAAGAAAACTAACTGACATGAATTCCAGCACCTGATTTTTGCACCTGGACTATGAACATCGTGTCTGGAGGAGTCAAGGCTGCTCTGGCAAGAGCTGAAGTATAAAGTGCAGTGAAATTGTGCTCTAGCATTGGCGTCTTGCTTGCAGAGCAGTGTACACCATACTAGGTTTCTAGCAGCTTTGGGAGGAATATGCCATGTGTGTTCTGTGCAGTCTCAGGAGGAATCAAAACAAGTGATTCCCAGTTGCCATTGGCCCTGAGTTAATGAGAGAATTGGAGGATAGAAGATAAAAAAAAAAAAAAAGACCTTAGTCCCATACTTTCTGGCCTACCCAAAATGGCTTCTTTTATGGATGCAATGGACAAAAGAGGAAGTGGCATCAGCTAAGCACACAGAGGAAGAAGTGGCATCAGCTAAACGCACAGCCCAAAATTCCATGGTTGGTCCATGGACTTCCACCCATGTTTTGAGGGTTTCCACCTCTGGTTGGGGGTGACTGAGGTTGTGGGGCTGGGTAATGATGTTAATGATATTTTACGGCCAGTGCTTTTCCTCATCCTGAGCCTGTCTCAATACTCAGTTGTTCAATGTGTGGAAATTAGTGAGGGTTAAGTTGGGCCTCTGGATTCCCCCAAAGAGATGCCACAATAATACCCCCCAGTGATTGTTTCAAATGATGTGTATTGCTTTGTGTGAATCAGCATTTAGTCACACTTGGATCTTAAACAGTCTTGAGAGCTAGTTGGAACTGCCCAATCTATGCTTATCATAGCACTGCAATTCACACGCAGACTTGGTGTTTGTTCTCCTTTCCTCATCTCTCATGAAAAAAAAACACAACTAGGACCGTAAGAACCGACACACAGTTCCTTCAATGTCAGCTTCAAAGTTCTAATCTGCAATATTATTTTCTTCATGAGAATTAGACTTGCATGGAGAATCTGATGTTAGTTACTTTACATAAGGCAGACAACCATGTAATACAAGATTTGGCCCTCCATAGCAATCCAGGACAGCCAGAGAATGCTTGGCTATCTCTGAAGCCCACTCCAGCCAAAGTGGGTAAATAATGAAATGATGGGATGCTAAACTTCCACTGTTCAGTGTGTTAAACGCAAACGTTCAAAAAAATTAATTTGTCTCACTCCAACCTTAGGTATTCTGAGTTTCTTTTCTGCTGTGACTATTTTGGACAAATGCCTGTAATCCAGAAACCATGGAACAAATAAGACAATTAAAGGAGAAAGAGTATAGTGAGACCAGGGGACCAAGGACCTTAACAAAGGCAGCCCAGGGAATGAAGACATGATGGAGGGAGAGGAGGAAAGCTAAGGGATGGGCAGCTCATTGGAAGCTGGAGGCAGAGGTGACACTGATGTTTGGAATCCCTCATGTGGCTGGGTATGATGCCTCAGGGAAACTTCTCTGGAGCCCCAGAACAGGCCACTGCTGAACCCCAAGCCTGCATCATCCCTTCACTGGGATTCCAGGCACAATTTTATTTTAAAGATGGCAATGCTGCTATAAAAAATAAAAGCAAGCAAAATATCTAGGAAGCTTGCTTAAGATGCGCTTTATCAGCTCCTGTCCCTAGAGAATGAGTTTCAGGTGAGGTCTTTGTCTGCATTTCTAGCCAGAGGACTATGATGCACATGGATCTTGACCGCACCTTGCAAAATGCTGGCCTGAAAGGTGGTTTAAGGGTCATTACTCCAAAGGAATCAGTTCTGAGTGTTTGGAGGTCACACTTCTCACTAAATTAAGGGTTTTTTTTTGTTTTGTATGTGTGTTTTTATAGATATGGAGTCTCACTATGTTGCCCAGGCTGGCCTCAAAATCCTGGGTTCAAGAAATCCTCCTGCCTCAGCCTCCCAGAGTACTGAGATTATAGGCATGAGCCACTGCACCTGGCAAAGGTTTTTCAGTTTTTTTTAACTTTTTGCTCCTGTTTTCCATTTTTTGAGGACAAATATTTTCTCATATTCCTGTATTAGGAATATTTAATAATCTATACATTTGTGAAGGACACATTCAGAAAAAGTAAACAAAATTTTAAGAAATCGTGGGAAAAAAATAGAGTCATATTTCCACAGTTTATCCTTCATCCTTTTTTTTTGCTTTTTTTTTTTTTTTTTTTTTTTTTTGAGACAGAGTCTCACTCTGTTGCCCTGGCTGGAGTGCAGTGGTGTGATCTCGGCTCACTGCAACCTCTGCCTCCCAGGTTCAAGCAATTCTCCTGCCTCAGCCTCCTGAGTAGTTGGGATTACAGGCGCCCAGCACCATGCCTGTTTAACTTTTTTTGTGTTTTTAGTAGAAACGGGGTTTCACTATCTTGGCCAGGCCGGTCTTGAACTCCTGACCTCATGATCTGCCCAACTCGGCCTCCCAAAGTGCTGGGATTACAGGCGTGAGCCACTGTGCCCAGCACCCCCCCTTTTTTTAGAATCATATTTTGGAGGAATAGCTATTGAATGTCCATCATAATTCTGTTTTAGTAGTTTAAGATGAATCTTGGAAACAAGTCTTAAAAATGTTGCCAAGAGAATGAGGTAGGTAACAATAGAACATGTACTATTTATAAAACTTTATTAAGAGGTTACACAGATATATTATTTTGGGATCTGTGGAGTTAGACTATTTCAGAGCTGGTGTCATCTAACCCTTTTTTTGGAACCTGAAATTGGGGGGAAAAGGAGTAATGACACTGCTCAGTGGATGCCCATAGGCTGCTGCCTCTCATCCCTGCAGCTCTGGCAACATAACAATTACCTGGGAGGCTCTGAGAAATGCTGGTGCCCAGATGTCACTCCAGGCGAATGCAATCAGAAAAGGATGGCATCTGTACCTTTTAGAAGTTTCTCAGGTGATTCTGCCAAGCGGGGAGCCCGAGACCCACAGCTTTAGGGAAAAGAGAAATGACCTCTTTGCTCATTCCTTATGATATGATAGATTTTTAACATATATATCTAAAAGTAAATTTATCTTTACCCAGGGTCTGTACAGTAAAAGGAAAAGATAATGAGGTAACAAGTAATGCAGAATGTCTCTCTGATCACAAGTCAAAATGTGGAAGTGCGTTTCACACATCAAAGGTGGGACTTCGTTCCTGGCACTGATCTCTATTTGAGCTCCGCTTTTGTAGACTCTACAACAATTAGGTTAGCTCATGAATGCTAATTTATCCCACAGGGCACAGTAGATATACAGTAATGGCTAGAAAATGGTTTGAAACTTTAACCTGGGATGCCAGAGGTTTGCCTCCCAGACCCCCACTTGTCTCCTCTGCTTGGCCCCAGCTTGGCTGCAGTGCAGGCAACCAGAGCAGGACTCACCCTATCTCCCCTCTCCCTGGAAGAGAAACAGAAAGAGCGTGATGATGATGGATGGAGGAAGGGAGAAGTGAATCAAGGTGCAAGACTGAGAGCTGATGAAGAGTCATGAAATATCTTGGAGAAAATTTTCTCAAATACCCTTTTTTCCTGGAGTTACTCAAGCACAAGATACATTTCTGGAGTCAGCCAAGAAACAGGCCCATGGAATTTTAAGAGTCAAGAAAACAAAAGAAATCCAGGCTTAGCCAGCCTATAGATTTGTGTATGGGCATGATACAAAGCATTAATGATACATTTGTTCTTTATGCCCCAAAATTAGAAGACTGATACACCATCAAGGAAAACCCCCAGAAAAGGGAAAAGCCTTACAATAGCAAATAAAAAGAGCCCTACAAAACTAGCCTTTACCAAGTTCTAGGGACTGTCTAAGGATATCACATATACTACCTTGTTTAATTCTCACAGGCGCCTACAAGATGCATCCTTTCATTATCCTCAATTTGTAGGAGAAAGAACTCAGAGAGGCTGAGGAAACTTGCTCAAGGTTATATCACTAGTTAGCGGTGGAGCTGGGGTGTGAACTCAGACCACTGTTCCTAACCCTTGACACTACACTGTCTTGTGAGATGGACAATTCATAAAAGATAACAACATGAGTTTTTTTCCCTTAAAACTAAAAATTGCTTCCTTGAAAATAAAGATGCTTAGAGCCGACCCTAAGAATCACAGCCCATCCTAAGAAAGTATGTTCAGTGCAATTGAGTGTGGCAAATTATGGGGATTAACTTGAATTCTCTTTATGTATTACAAAGTAAGTCATTAGTAGACTTTGGAACTCTGTTGTTAGTAACAAATGTCTTACACCCCAGCTCATTGCAACACCCCAGTGTGCTGTGATACCACCATGGCTGGGAACCATTGGCCTGGAAAATAGACCTAGGCAGAAAGATATTTATGTAACTGAGTTGAAGAAGGTAGCTGGAAGGTGCATGAAGCTAGACATTGGCAGTGTGTGTCAGGTGCTACAGCTTAGGGCCTTCCTGGAAAATGGGCAGGAAAAATAGACGGTGACAAAACAAACACATCAGTATTATGGGTAAGCCTGCAGAGATAAGTTCTGGGGCATTCTGCTGCCTGCCAAGACTACATAAGTCCCAGGAGCCACAGCATTTGTTGCATAAGATTAAATCACTCCAAGCTGAGAATTTCCCCCTTTAAAGGAATAAATGGCAAGCCATGGGGGAAAGAATGAGCCAACGCTTCTAGGACATGTGTGCCTCCACTTAGGCATTTTGGTCCCTTGACCCTCCAAGACATTGATGTGACTTTGGCCAAGTCACTGGTTGTTACCAAGAGGGGATGAAATACATGTTTCCCTAAATCCCTTCCAACTCAAAAAATATGGGATACTTTGAATAAAATGAGATTGGTACAAAATTCTGATTACCTTTGAGAATGTCTAGCTCTGATTGCTAGATTTTCACTGCATATTTTCCTCTAGCCTTCAATTATCTCCCAATAATTTACCCCCAAATCTTTATTACTTCAAATGAATAGACTTTTCATAGAGCCCTACTGCATCTCTAGTCCACAGACACTAAGACATACATTAGCATTATTAAATTGTAAGCCAAAGACATATCTATATATCTAAATACTGTGTTTGCATGCTTTCCCTGATCATTATGTACTTTTTCCCCATTCCATTACCACTTAAAATGCATTTTGTGATATTTCATTAAAGAGGCATAATTACATTAGAGAAGTTTGTTTTCAGACATCAACATGTGCCTTTGGGTTACATTTCACATTATGAAGATGGACTTAAAAGAGATAACACCATTTAGTGTGCTAATTATCACAAGATTCTCAAAGTGCGCCAGACTCTAGGTGCTTTTGCTGTTTAAGAAATGTGACTGTAAAAACTTCCACTCATGAAGCTTAGCATGCATTGACTACCTACTATGGATTGGGCTTGATATTGAGGATAGAGAAGAACAAAACAAGTCTAGCAGAGCAGGAAAGTGTGTGTGTAAATACGTTGTAGCCACCACCCTCTGGAGTGGCTCTCCATTTCACCAAGAATCCCTTAGGCCCTCCCCAGCAGCACTCTTTCCCCTTCTATGCCCAGGAGCCTGCACCACAATTGTATTATGTGATGTAGCCCTGAATGGATAATGGCCCCTGCACAACCAGGCAACATTGTCTCTCCCAGGAATTTGAACCTTTAACTAAGAGTTTTAATTTAGCCTGGGCAAGCCTGGTGAATGACAGACTCAAAACTGAAGATTATGGAGCAGCCACTTCTGCTTGTTATGTTGGCTGAGAAGTAGAAATATAGAAATAATCAGTGTGCAGAGTAGAGTGCAGCAGAGAGAGAGAAACAAGGATGGAGGAGGGAGAAAGAATAATTAGATGACTGAATGAATCCTGGAGAGCCTTGCTTCCCACCAGTTGTTGGTTCCAGACCCTCCAGCCGCATTCCAACACCCCAGTGCTTGAGGCCCCCTACATTTCCTTTTTTGTGGTTTTAGCCTTGATTTTTTTTTTCTTTGGAACCAAGAGTTCCAACTAATAAATGAGTGTAATAACTTGTTATTGGCATTATAATGGAAGTGGGTACAGAACAAATTTTAACCTATCTTATTTATACAAATAGAGTACAGATGTCAATTGTACTTAATGTTAAATAGGCCAATGACAACTCATTTTTGTTCTTAAATCCTTTCCACTATAAACATTTATGCACAGCAACATTTGCAAGACACTGAGCCTTGGCAGTGAGTGTAACAAGATGCATAGCAATGGTGGGCAACCTTATTTTGATCAAGAGAAAATTAGGAAAAAGCAAAAATTACTTACAGGCTATATTTCTCTCTCATTCAAAATGGCTTTATTGTTGATCTTATGGGGAAAATTGTATTTTTGCAACTCAGGTGATTTATTTATTGAAGAGAAGAATGCCAACAAGAAAACTTTTTCGGCCTCTGAAAGATTATAACATGTTCCGGTTTAAGGATTTGTAACTCCAGACAGCTCTAATTGTCCATCTCTTATGTTTGGACTGCACCTTAATTTTCACCACATGAGTTCATCTGCATTAGCCCCAAGTATCCTTCCATCCCCCTCATCAACAAAATCTGGCCCATGAGGTATTATTATCCTCATTTAGAGGATATGGAGAAATTAAGGCTCTGTTTCAAAGCAAGTCTGTAAATTCTTTAACATTCTTCCCATCAAGAAGAGAGATCTATCTCCTGCCCTGGAACATGGGCAGCGCTTTTGACTGTCTCCGTGCATATAATATGGTGGAAGTGACACTGCTTGACTTGTGAAGCTGGATCACAATGGGTTATTGACTTCCACCAGCCTGTCTCCGGGGACAGGTGACTTCATGTAAGAAGTCCAGCTACCCTGACAGAGAGTCCACATTGGAGGGAGCACACTGTAATAGACAGAGGTGCCTGAGGAGCCCCGGCTGTTCCAGCCGCCAGCTATTTAGGTCTTCCCAAGTCAGGCACCAGAGAGTATGAATGGAAAGGCCTTCAAGAGAACTCTAGCCCCAGCCATTGTCTGATTGTCACTGCATGAGGACCAAAAACTACCTAGCTGAGCCCCATCAACCCCTAAAGAAGTGAAAGATAGTAATGACAAATGCTTGCTGTTGTTTTATAGCACCAAGCTCTGAGTGGTTTGTTGTGCTGCAGGCTCCAAGAGAAGTAACTTTCTGAGAGCACTCAGGAATTTCTTAGTGGAACTGGGGCTAGAATCAATTCACTGCATTTAATGCAGTATTAACCAGACAACTGTGTTGGGCCCTGGGGACCAGAGAAGAATTAACACACAGCCCAAGCCTTCCCCTGGTCTGAGCTTCCTCTTCCCACCTTCATATTCATGGCAGCTTCTTCTTGCTGGGAGTGGGATAGAGGAGCCCTAGGGCTGCTGGCTTCTGGAAGGAACTGGCTCCAGGGCACCCTGGCTATTCCCTTGCTCCATGCTGTGTGCAGGTGGCTCTGGCACCAAGAGGTGGCACCAAACCTGCTGCCAGCCTTGGCTTTCTCACCAGTCCTGCTCTGATGAGTTGACAGGCTGTGTTTGGAATTGAGCATGGCGGTATTACAAAGGCAAGTGGGTACCACACAACCTGCCCGCAGTGTTGCTTTGTTCTGATGAATTACACTGAGTCCCTGGATTCACATTTGGCTGGATTGTCAGGAAAAATATGTGTTCTGGGTGCCACCTGATCTTTTCATCTAGCTTCTGTCCTCAGGTAAACATTCCCTGTTAAAATTCTAAATGTTCATCTGCTTCCTCTAAAGAGATTGGTAAAAAGGCATAAAACACCTAAGAATCAGTGTTACTTGTAATGAGCCCAGGGCTGCCGCAGGGAGCACCATATACATAGAATACCAGGTGAGTGAGTGGGGCCCTCAGGGCTGAAGTATTATGCTCTAGGCCAGAAAAAGGATATTTTCTTTTTATTCCTGGGATACAGATAATGTATTTTCACATAACAGCCACATGTTTCATGAATTAAGCCAACAAATATTTACCAAGTATCCTTTAAATCCTTTAGTATTTAAAGTATCATTTTTTGCAAAAAAAAAAAAAATATGAGGGCCAACTTATTTTTGCCTGTCATGAAATCAAAGGCCAATTAAATAATCATTTCCAAATTTATATTTCTGTTTTATAGGTTTTCTTTATTCAAGGCATTCTTGTACAGTAAAGGGCAGGAAAAGGAGAGGGAGAGGGAAAGGGAGAAGAGGAAGAAGGAGGAAGGTGTGTGTGTTGGGAGTAGGGGGAAGCTTTGCAAATGGTAAACCTGGGTTATTATTTGACTTTTGGTTAAAAAAAAAAGTTGCATCAAATTAAGCAGTAAGCAATCATGAAGCAGGCAGTGACATGCATAGAGCAGATTTTCCTAAATCATCTTCCCCAGAACACCAATTCGCTAAGATGTTAATAAGCATTTTCCAAATAAAGATTTTCATTTTTCAGATAAATTCAGGACCGGCTGCATCTCCACTCCTGGTGAGTGACAATTCGTTTTAGCATGTTAAAGGCTCTGGAAAATGCTAGGGTAAAAGCAAAATGAAACACAAAACAAGAAGCTTGATTGACTTCCTTTAGCCTGGCACCCCCCAGATGCTGAACCTCTGTTATTGCAGTCGCTGAGGAACAGAGCCCATGGCACATGTGGAAAATCCTCTGCTGGATGAGGTGACTGTGGGATGGTCTCTGCTAGCTCCCTGCTAGGTCAGAGTGGAGCACTGGAGAAACACCAGACTCTTACCCAGGAGGGAAAAGGTCTGTTTCTCTGGCATCCTGCCTTTTGGTAGGGAGAAAAACTTCCAGTTTGAGTCTGAGGTGAAAATTGCTTTCCCCTTGCATCAAAGTCATAGAAACCCTGATGTGCCGTTATACCATTCAACATTCCCATCCCTGCAGTGCCTCAGGCTTTTGCAGTTTGCCCTCCTCATGCCCTTTCCTGGATCATGACCTTCTTTCAGCTGCCATTCCATTTTCACAGTCATTTCCATGCCCCATTTGGCTAACTCACCACTCCCTCAAAAGGAGATGCCCAGGTCAAAAAGCAGAGCTTTGCTCCATGTCCTTCCTGGAGCCTGGAGACTCCTGCTGAGTCCAGAGGGAGCAGCGAGCATGCCAGAGAAGGGCCCCTGCTAGGGACTGCTTCTGCTGTGAACATTTGGGTCCTGTTCCTGTTCTTTCCCACATCTCTCCCAGATGCTGCCGCAACCTTTACATGAATGCTCAGCCTCAGTTTCCTCCTGTCTCAAATGTCCTTATTTCAGGGTTGGGATAAAGAGTAAAAAAATATGTTTAGAGTGTTAAGCCTAGTACCTGCCTGCAATAGGTGCTCAACAAGTAGATGCTATTACTGATCATCACTATTCTTGCCTTATCTTCCCAAAGCACCTCCATACTGAGGATACAAATGAGGTCAGGTTAACAGGACCAATTTAAATCTCACTGCTTGGCCTCATTTGCACCTGCAGACCTTCACACCTTCTCCACCTGTAAGCTCCAGGACAGTATTTCTGGGACTCTCCGGAGGGTGTCTCATGGGTATGTAAGAATGAGCCCGCTTTCTGTGCCACGCAAGCCTGCTCATGGCTCACTTGTCACCAGAATGCCCGCCACCAGCTGTCACAGCTCCACGGGGTGCAGGAGTGAGGCCCTGGCTCCACCTGGCACAGCAACTCCATGTTGGTGGTTATGGCCTGTGTGCCACCCATCTGCTCTTCTGTCCTAAGAACAGACAGTGCTGTGGTCTCTGAGCAGCCAGCTTTTTGTGTTACTGGCTGTTGGACGGGGGCCAAGTAGGGCTCCTTGAGATCTCCCATGTTAGAATTTACTGACAGAGTTTTTCTTTTTGGAATTCTCACCTTTTTCCTCCTTAGGAAAGGAGCTGGGCTAGGGACGGGATGAGTCACTTCCTTCACAGGGAGCTTGGAGTCTCTGCTGTCTTCACCACTGAAGGCTTTGTTGTCAGGTCCAGCGTCTTGCTCTGGCACTACCTCATGTGGGAGGTGTTCTCCCCTGGTGGTCTATTCCGTTCCTTACAAGCAGTCAGCCCCCATAGTGGGCCCAGACTGAGTCCTTTTCCAGGAGGCTCTTCTGCCTGTGCAAAGGGGCCACTGCCAGGCCCAGCCCTCAGTGCGCTGGTCTCAGTCTCAGTGGCCCCACCATGGTGCTGGCCTATGGGAGCAAACTCTCCCGCATCTCCATCCTCCTCACAGCACTAGCCACTGTGGTGACCATGGGTCCTACCCGATCCTGCTGGTGACTCCCTGCCACCATTGCCAGGACACAGCTCTTTCTGGCCCAGAGTGACAATTCTGGCAAATTTAACTTGATATTGGCTATCCAAGGACAAGTATATGGTGAGCACTAAGCACCAGGCATTGTGTCTAGCTTCTGGCTCTCATAGATTTGCTAGGATTCCCCTGTAATGGCGGTGGTGGTGACAGGAGCTTACTCTACCCTGGGCAGGAGCCAGGCTGCAAACCCAAGTCTGGCTAAATCAAAAGTCCAGGCTTCCTAGAGACTCACTCTCTCTTTGTTCCTTACTGGAATCTTTGCTCTTATTGTCACACCTGTGCCACGCAAAGCCCCTCAGGAGCTAGGCTGATCATGACTGGACCCCGCACAGTCTGCCCAGCATGCTCCTCACCATTGCCTCTAAGCTGGCCAGGACCCTGGGGGGCTTTCCCCATGCACTACCCTGACACCTTTCTGGGGCACCATGGTAACTATCCACAGCCCCTCCTGGAGTGTGTCTCTTCATCCTGAGGTCTAAAGTCCTGATAATCTCCCCCAGTGAACCTGCGGTTTCTCTGAGGAGCCAGGTCCTCTGAGGACATGGGTCCCCTGGTGACTGCCTTGCCATTACTGGACCTTCTCAGTTGAGTGTGCAGACCACATCCCATGATCCCTAAGGAGCATTAGCCCAGAGGAAACACCTGATCAATCCCTGCCAATTTACGCTAAAAGCCACCATTTAAAAAAAAAAACAAAAACCCTCATCAGGATGACCTCCTATACCACAAAACCTTGCCCTCAGCAGAACTCTCTATAGGTCTCAAAGGTGACAGTATGAAGCACTGCTGGAAATTCCCACTCTCCTAGCGTCCTATTTATTGATCACATAGCTGCCTTCCGGGGGTAGAACCACTGGGAAATGTGTATGAACAGCACTCATCAACCATCACGTTTTTATTTGGCATTAGCTCCATGCCCAGTGAAGTGCCAGGTACAGACTGAGATTCATTTAAAAAATAGAAAGCATGGTCCTGTAAATAATTTGCAATTAACCAGGGAGATACACTTATACTGGAGAATTGAAGAACAGCTACAATTACGCACTGTAAGTAGGAAAGTTCTACAGCTTCCCTGGCTTCCTCCCACTCTCAGCCCTGCAAGCTCACCCAAGCCGAGCAGCCCACTGGCTGTACCTCAAACATGCCAAGCAACTCCTGCCTCAGGGGCTTCTCCTGGTTATTCCTGTGTCCGGGAAAAACCTTCTCCCAGACCTTCCCAATACTCCCTGCCTCTCTTCCATCCATTCTGTGCTTCAATTCCCCTTCGCAGAGAGGCCTCCCCGGTCACTGTCTCTAAAACAGTTCCTCCTCTTACTCACTCTTCTTACTTTGCTTTAGTGTTTCTTCATAGCCCTTGTCACTACCAAATATCCCACTTGTTATTTACTTGTTTTTTGTGTGTGTATTAACTACATATATATTTCAGTTGAAAGGTCTGTTCAAAACTTTGATCCTTTTTGAAATTTCCTTGTTTTTTATTGTTGCATTTTAGAGTTTTTGAGTTTATTCTGTTTTGTTTACTGTAGTATCTCCAGAGTCTGGAATAGCACCTGCCACAAAGGAAGCTATTTCCTGAGGAAATGAGGGAATAAATGAAGGGATGGATAAATGAATGAATGAATGAGACAGACTATGCCTCGTGGTAGGATTTATATAAAATGAGAATAATATAAAAATAATGCAATTTTATATTTGCATATCACTCATTCCATATATGTGATTGTGAGATGTATCCCATCTGTGTGGTGTGTGTCTGTGGGTATGTATGTGTGAGTGGTGAGTTTGTGCATGCTGTTTATGTGGATCTAGCCAATTGACCACTGTGCAGGAGGAAGAACTCAGACCTTGGAGTCAGAGGAATCTGGCTTCACATCCCTGCTCGGTCACTTGTTAACTATATGACAGTAAGTATGTTTCTCAACTTTTCCAAACCTGGGTTTATTCACGTTAACATGGGGATAAAAGTACCTCTTTCATAGATTTGTTATGGGGGTGAAATGAGACAACATACAACGTAATTCAAACACCCTACAAATGAGAAATGCTTAGAAAAAACTGTTTTTTATATGTATGCTTTTCTTTTGATTTCCTAATTTTTAATTTACATAAGGTAATATTCACTGATTTTAGTGTATAGTTGTATGATTTTGGATCCCAATCAAGTTTTGTTTTTTTTTTTTTTGGAGACGGGGTCTTGATTTGTCGCCCAGGCTGGAGTGCAGTGGCACAATCTCGGCTCAAGGAGGACGCTACATAAGGGAGGGTTAGCTGCATTGGAAGGGTCTTCCACATCCCAGATTTCAAGCATGCTGCAACCAGGCCTGAAAAAAGACAGACATATATATCCATATTAGAAATGTATTCCTGTCTAGAGAAAATAGATACATAACACAACATCTAGATTTTCAGAGACAAATTTATTTCATAAGTTAAATATTTTAAAGCGTCATTTCAAAAAACAATTTCAATGTTTAGAAATTTAAAAAATAGAATGAAATTAAGCACGTTGCATTTTCGCATCTCATTTGACCAAATGAAAGACATATCCTAATAATAAAGCTTCAATATACATTCATAAATATATATGTAAAAGCACACTTTCAAGATGAAACAAACATAAATATAATTTCCAAGTGCCATCACCATCTAAACATAAGGCCCATTTGTAGTAAAATAAGACAAATTAAAACCTAATCGAATTCCTGATGAATTTCACATTTTTTAGCATAAACTGCCTTGGATTAGCATGAAATGATCCAAGGCAGGGACAGGAGACTCTTACGGCAATTTGTTTTCTTCAATGCTTTCCCATTTTGGGTGGCTCTATGACTGGGCTAAATGAGACACTATTCCTCCCTAGAGAGTAATCCTGCATGGCAGTCATTAAAGGGAAGGAGTCAGACAAAATTGATTTCTAATTTTTTAACATCTATATTGAAGTATAAGTTATACACAATAAAACTTCACCTATTTTATGTGTAAAGTTTGCCAGGTATGGGCAAATGTGTATACATGTGTAAGCACTACCACAATCATAATACAGAAAATTTCCATCACCCCCACAAGTTCCCTGTGCCCTTTTGCAATCTACCATCTTCCCCAAACATGGCCTCAGGCAACTACTGTGCTTTCTGCATTACAGTTTTGCTTTTTCTAGAATTTCATATAAATATATTATGTAGTCTTTTCATTTTTGGCTTCTTTACCATAGCATGTTTTTGATATTCATATCTGAGCTGTAGTTCCTACAACTTCTGTTGTGGTTCAGTAGTTCCTTCCCTTTTGTTGCTAAATAATATTTCATTGTATATAGAGAACACAATTTGTTTATCCATTTGCAAGTTAATGAACATTTGAGATGTTTTGAGTTTTTGGTGACCATGAACAATGCCACTATAAACATTCACGGACAAGGCTTTTTGTGGACATATGTTATCATTTCTCTTAGGGAAACACCTAGGAGTGGAATTGCTGGGTTGCATGGTTATGTATGATTAAGTGTGGATTTATCTTTATAAGCAAGTTCAAAACTGTTTTCCAGAGTAGATGCACCATTTTCCATTTCCACCAACAATGCATGAGAGTTTAAGTTGTATCAGTTTTTGTAATTTTAATCGTTATAGTATGGTTATGGATGATTCAAAATATCTTCTTTGGTGAAATTTCTATTCAAATATTTTGCCAAATTTTGTGTTGGTTCTTATTGAGGTGTGAGAGTTCTTTGTATATTCTGGGTAAAAGTCTGCCAGATTTTTTTAGCAGATGTATTAAGGCATAATTGCTCAATAATTACTCAATAAGCTGCACATATTTAGTATCCACTTGGATACATATTAACATAGGTATACACTTGTAAAACAGCAGCCACAATAAAAATCATGAACATATCCATCTCTCCCAAAAGTTTACTTCTGCCCTTTTGTAATCCTAATTATTGCATGCTTTCTTTTTTGTCTGGCTTCTTGTCCTCAGTAGAATTATTTTGAGATCCATCCATATTGCTGTATCAATAGTTCGTTCATTTTTATTAGTGAGTAATATTTACATTGTTTGGATATTCTAATAGTGTGTTTATACATTCATCTGCTGATAAATAAGTGGATTGTTTCCAGTTTGGGGCTAATACAGAAAATAAAGTGCTATGAACATTTGTGTACAATTCCTGGGATGGATATGTGCTTTCTTTTATTTTAATAAATACAGTAGTTGTATGTTTAACTTTTTATAAAATTGCTAAACTGTCTTGCAGAGTGGTTGTACCATATTACTTTTGCACCACTGGTGTATGAGAGTTCTAAGTCCTCCATAGTGTCAGCAACAGTTGGCAGTTCTTTTTTCAGTTATAGCTATTTTATTAAGTGTTTAGTTACATCTCACTGTAATTTTCATTTGCATTTCACAAATCACTAGTAACATCAAGCATCTTTTTGTGTGATTATTTGCCATCTGTCCCTTTGTCCCTTTTTTTTTCTTTTCTTTTTTTTTTTTCTGAGACAAGGTCTTGCTCTGTCGCCCAGTGGAGTGCAACAGCACAATCTCGGCTCACTGCAACCTCCGTCTCCTGGGTTCAAGTAATTATCCTGCTTCAGCCTCCCGAGTAGCTGGGATTATATGCGCCCACCATCACGCCTGGCTTTTTGTATTTTTAGTAGAGATGGGGTTTAGTCATGTTGGCCAGGCTGATCTCGAACTCCTGACCTCAGGTGATCCACCCGCCTCAGCCTCCCAAAATCCTGGGATTACAGGCGTGAGCCAACCACTGCGCCCGGCCTGTTTTGTCCATTTTTAATTGGGTTGTTTTCTTATTATTGGGTTTTGAGAGTTTTTTATACATCTAGAAAAAGTCCTTTATCAGACATAGGCTTTGAAAATATTTTCTCCCAGACTGTGGTTTATCTTTTAATTCTTCCTAATACTGTTTATAAAAAAGCAGAGGTTTACAGTTTTAATGAAGTCCTATTTATCAATGTGTTCTCTTGTGGATCATGATTATGTTACTGTATCTGAGAAATCTTAGCCTAATCCAAGGTTACAATAATTTTCTTCCATATTTTCTTCTAGAAATTTTATATTCTTAGATTCTTAGTAGCAAGTTACCTTCTACTCCTAGTTTGCTGAGGGTTTTTAATCAGTTATGGATACTGAATTGTGTCAAATACTTTTTCCTGAATGTACTCAGAGGATGATGCGTGATGATGCGGTCTTTCTTTCTCAGTTTGTTACTATGGTGAATTCACTTGATTGGTTTTCAAATAGTGAGACAACTTTGCATTCCTGGGATAAACTCCACTTGCACATTATGTATTGTCTTTCTTTAATATATTGCTGGATTCATTTGTTGCAATTTTACTTAAAAACTTCACACATGTGTTCATGATAAATTTTGATTGGTTGTTTCCTTTTATTGTAATGTTTCTCTCATGTTGGTATCAGGATAATGCTGACCTCACAGAACCAGTTGGGAAGTAATCCCTCCTTTTGAATTTTCTGGAATAGTTTGTAGAATTGGAATTATTTCCAGTGAAGATATCTGTCTTAAAGTTTTCTTTGTGACAATTCTTTTTACTACAAATATAATTTTATTAATAGATACAAGGTCATTCATAATAAGGTAATAGATATAAGATTTTCTATTTCTTAAGTGAGCTTTGATTTTGCATCTTTCAAGGAACTTGTCCATTTTATCTATTTTGTCCTACTTAGTGGAATAAAGTTGTTCCTAAAACTCCCTCATTATCCTTTTCATTTCTTCAGATCCTGTAGTGATAAAATCTTTCTTATTCCTGATACTAGTAATTTCTGTCTTCAATCTTTTAGTTTGGGTAGGAATTTATCAATTTTATTAATCTTCTCAAGAATCAGTGTTTGGTTTTACTGACTTTTCCCTGTTTGGGGAGGAAATACACACTGATTTTGATTCTAATCTTTATGCTTTCTTTTTCTTCTCCTTACTTTGGAGTTTACTTATTCTTTTATTTTTCTAGTTCCTTAAGGTGAAGCTGAGTGACTGATATGAGGCCTTTCTTCTTTTTCTATTATGGGCATTCAACATAAAAACAAATCTCTCTACTGCTGTATCTGCATCCCACAAACAGCGGGATGGTGTTCTCATTTTCCCTTAGGTCAACATACGTTGAAACTAACCCTCCTTTTGTTTCTTCTTGACCATGGATTATCTGGAAGTGTACTACTTAGTTTCTAAACATTTGAGGGAATTTCCGTATAGAATTCTGTTACTGATTTCTAATTTAATTTCATTGTAGTCAGAGATTGTACTTTACATGATCTAAAGTATTTTAAATGTGTCAATACTTGCTTTGTGGCCTAGAAAATAGTCTTTTTTGATAAATAGTCTGCGTGTGCTTGAATGTCTATTTTGCTGTTCTAGGGTGGTGTGTACTATAAATGTCAATTAGGTCATATTGGTTGATGGCGTCATTCAAGTCTTCCATATTCTTGCCAAATTTCTTTTTATTTGTTCTACAAATTATTTAGACAAGGCTATTAAAATTTCTAACTATACTGTAGATTTGTCTATTTTTTCCTAAAGTTCTATCAGTTGTGTTTCATATTTTTGAAGCTCTGTTATCTAAGTGCATAAATGTTCAGGGTTGCCACATCCTCTTGAAATATAGATCCCTTCTTCATTTAAAAATCCTTGTTTAACCTTGATAATATTCTTAGCATTCAAATGTACTGTGATGTTATTACAGTCACACCAGCTTTCACTGACAAGTAGTAGCATCACATGTCCTTTTCCTATCTGTTAACTTTTAACCTCTTCGTTTCTTTATATTTAAGTAAATTTCTTGAAAGCAGCCTATAGTAGGGTCTTGCTTTGCTATGCAATCTGACAATTCTTGCTTTTCATTTGTGGTGTTTAGAGCTATATTCGTTTCCTATTGCTGCTATAACAAATTACCACAAACAGTTGCTTAAAGCAACATATATTTATTCTCTTTCAAATTTTGGAGCTCATAAGTCTAAAATCACAGTATTGGCAGGACTCCAATCCTTCAGGAGGCTCTAGAAGAAAATCCACTTCCTTGCCTTTTCCAGCCCTAGAAGCTGGCCTCCTTCCTTGGCTTGTGGCCTTATATCACTCGAACTTCTGCTTCTACCATCACATCGCCTTTTTGATCTCTTACTCGTTTGCCTCCTCCTTATAAAGACTTTGTGATTACATTTGCCCTACCTGGATAATAAGGATAATCTCCACATCTCATGAGCATTAATTTAATCACATTTGCAAATTTCCTTTTTCCATGTGAGTAACGTAATTCACAATTTCTGGGAATTAGGACATGGCCATCGTGGGGGGCTCATTATTCAGCCTACCACAAGTCCATTTACACTTAATGTGATAATTAATATGGTTAGATTTAAGTCTGTCATCTCAGCGTTTTCTCTTTGTTCCATCTGATCGTCATCTCCCTTTTCCGCTTCTTCTGCCTTATTTTGGATTGAGTGATTTTTATAATTCCATTTTAATCTTGTTTGTTGCCTTTTGGGTTCTGTCAATTTTTGCTTCATTTATTTTGAAATTCTCTTTTAAGTTCATATGCACTCAAATTATTGTATCTTTCTCCTGTACTGAACTATTTTGCATTATAAAACATAGTTGTTTCTAGTAATATTCTTTGTCTTAACATCTATCTTCTCTGATATTTATACATTTTTCACTTCAGCTTTTCTAATGTTTACTCACATGATATCTTTTCCATTCTTTTTCCTTCAGCCAATATACATATCTATATTTAAAATGCACCTCTTGCAGGCAGTCCATAGATAGGTTTTGCTCTTGTATTCAGTTTGCCAATCTCCACCTTTTGTTAGGAAGAATTTAGTCCTCTTTCACTTTGAAATTACTGATATGGTTTGATATAGGCTTGCTATAGTGCTCTTTTGTTTTTTTAAAAAAACTTTTTATTTCAAGACATTTGGAGATCCACATTAAGTGAGAGATAATACAAGTAGCTCTTGTACAGTCTTTAGACAGTGTCCTCTGCCATGGTAACATCTTGAACATTTGTATAATATCACAGCCAGATAATTCACATTGATAGAATGGTGATAGAGAGCATTTCCATCACCATAGAGATCCCTTGTATAGCCACACATACTATACTTCCCCCACATTCCCACCCCACCCTAACCCCTTGCAACCACAAATCATCCATATCTATAATTTTGTCATTTGAAGACAGTTATACAAATGGAATCATACAGTAGGTAACCTTTGGGGATTGTCTTTTCTTCATTCAAACAATTCTCTGGAGATTCATCCAGGATCTTGAGTGTATCAATAGTTTGATCCTATTGCTGAGCAGTATTCCATGGTATGAATAGATCACTATTATTTAATCATTCACCTTGCAAAAAACATCTTGGTTGTTTCAGGTTTAGGCTATTACAAATAAAGCTGCTATAGACATTTTTCTACAGAATTTTGTGTGAACACAACTTTCCACCTTTCTGGGAAAAAATGCCCAATACAATTGCTGGGTCTTAAGTTAGTTATATGTTTAGTTTTTTTCCCCTTTTAGTTTCAGTTGACAAGTAATACTTGTACATATTTATGAAGTATAGAGTGATATTTCAATGCATAATTACAATGTGTAATGATCAAATCAGGGTAATTAGGATATCCATCACCACAAACGTTTACCATCTGTTTGTGCTGGGAACATTCAAAATCCTCTGTTCTGGCTTTCTTGACATATAACGATAAATTACTGTTAACTAATATTCACTCTACAGTGCCAGAGAGCACTGTAACTTATTCCTTCTATTTATCTGTAGTTTTTTATCTCTTAACCAACCTCTCCTTATCTTCTTCTCCTCCCTACCCTTCCCACTCAGCCTCTAATTACCACAATTCTACTCTACTTCTATGAGCTACTTCTTTGAGCTTCCACATGAGTGACAACATGCACTATTCATCTTTCTGTGTCTGACTTATTTCACTTAATGTATCCAGGCTCATCCATATCTAGGCTTGCCATTATGCTCTTTTTTTCCCCACTGTTTTATTTATTTTTTGAGTGGTTTTGATAGGGATGACAACAAGCATCTTTAACATATCATGATTTACTTACCATTTAAATTGGGTTATTTCTAGTAAATCGTACATTTCCACGGTTTACTCAATTTTTGTGCTATTGTCATGTATATTTAATTTCTGTCATAAACTAAAAAATATAATGGTATCACTTTTGCCTTAAATAATGTCTTTTAAAGATTTTCAGAGAAGAAAAACGTATAGTGATTAATATCCACATATTTACCTTTTCCAGCGCATTTCAGTATTTCTTGTATATCTGAGTTACCATCTGGCATCATTTCTCATCAGCTGATAGAACTTCTTGTCCATCTTGAAGTATAAATCTGTTACCAACAAATTATCTTAGATTTTGTTGATCTGAAAAATGTATTTTTGGCCTCCATTTTAAAAAGATAGTTTCATTAAATATAGAATTCTTGATTTTTCATCTTCAGCACTTTGAATTATCATTCCAGTGTCGGATAATTTCCACTATTTATGTTGGGAAGTCAGATGTTTATATAGCATATCTTTTTTTCTCTTATTTTCAAGATTTTTCTCTTAATCTTTGATTTTACCGTTTTGACTGTAATGTTCCTTGCTTTGGTTTTCTTTGGGCTTCACCCAGTTGGATTTGTTGAGCTTAGCGGATCTCTAAGTTAGTAGCTTTTATCAAACTTGAGAAATTTTCGGCCAACATTTCTTCAATATTTTTTCGGTCATGTTCTTTTTTTCATTACATCTAATACTAAAATTATGCATGTGTTGAACTACTTAATGTTACATAGGTCTGTGACTTTGGTTATTTTTCAATCTTTTTGGCTCCTGTTCTTTTGATTAACTATCCTCTCTTCATCTATCTTCAAATTCACTGCATTTTCTGTTCAAATGTTCTGTTTTCATCTCAAAATTGTTGTTGAGTACATTTAAATGATTTTCATTTTATTTATTATACTTTTCAGCTCTAGAATTTCCATGGGGGCTGGAGTGTTTCTATTTCTCTGCTGAGATTCCATAGCTCTTCACTCATGGATACCATGTTTTCTTTTAATTCATTGAATACATTTTTCTTAAGCCTTTGAATGTATTTGTAATAGTGGCTTTGCAGTCTTTGGCTGCTAAATCCAACATCTGGACCTACTTGAATCGGTTTCTATTAACTTATTTTTTTCAGAGTATTGGTCATACTTTCTCATTTTAGTTTGAATCTCTGAAACTTTTTGCACATTTTAAATGATATTTTGAAGTGACCGTAGAACCTGTTTTGTTCTTCTGATTGCCAATGTGTCATTCTAGGAGACAATTAATGTGCCTGAATTTCCTGTCATGTGCAGCAGCTAATATCTGTGCTTAGGAGCCTAAACAAAGGACTCATAAGATCAATTACACATCTTAGAATTTTATGATTTTTAGAGATTCAAAATTCAGAAATTAAAAAATTTTAATTAGGAATGTTTTCCTTAGGTCATTTTGGGTTTTGTCACTTTTCTTTTAAGTCTTACAAATCCAATATAATTCAGCTATAATACAGAATGCCAATATCTCACTTTGTTGTAAATTCAAATCCATATTACAGATATCTAATAAAAATTTTCATAAATATTTCAAAAATTATGAAAAAAGCTAAGTGGAAGATGTTAAATTGAAAAATCAGGATATTAAATATACTATAATGTTTGGAATTAAATTCTACTTCATTGATAATATAGTTTTATGTCTCTAGATGAAATAATTTAAACTAAGGTACCAGGATAATATTTTAATAAATTTAAAATAAAAATTCTTAAAGAATCAGGACTACTGTAATAAAGTGAAACATTTGTTGCTCAAAAATATACCATATCAGATAGCATAGGTTTAATACTCACTTAGTTCTCACAACACACCATGCCTCTTCTAAAACATAATAATTCACATGTAACTCCAACAATTTATCTCTTACTTCTTTGGCAGATTTTCCACTATATGTAGAATAAACTATTTTTGTCCAAGCCCTTTAAATTTAAACAATATTTTAAAAGATTTTAAAATAAATGATAATAGAATAGACTAAAAAAATCTTACTAGCAAATTGAAATCTCAATACTCACTGGATGGAACACTGATATACATGACTCAAAACAGCATCAATTATTTTGGGGATGGCAGTTTCCACATTCCTACTTATATTTTGAATGTAATAAAACTTACAGCAATTTAATTTTGCATATACTGCTCATTACTGTATAAGATAGTGTAAAGTTGTACTGGGTAGCAGAGAGCAGCTTAGGATATACAATTTTCTTCTCATAATTCACACAGTTTTCAGAGACTATATTCTGACAGAGACTGAATGTAGTGAAAACACATCTTTCAATGCTTAATTTCATCTAAAGAAGCTCTGACAAATACATGAATTGAAATTTAGTGTATCAAGTAGAACACTTAGACAATGGGCATCCAGGGTGTCAGAAGAGGTAGGAAAAGCACCTTCACAGAGTCTTGAGAAATGGGGATGGTCACCAAAATATGGTACAATAGGTGATTTGACCATAGTGGGAGTTCTTACAAAATCCTAACAAACTATCACTTATGCATTGGATGTTGCTTAGAATTTCAAGCATATGGAATGCTCAGTCACCACAGTGGTTTCCATGCCAGTTCACCGCAGTAGAACAGAGAGAGCATCAGGTACATTTCTAAGGTGTCTGACTCCAAGCCCTGGCTCCTAGACAGCAGACCTAAAACTTTTAAATAATTTAAACATTTGCCTCTAACAATAGGCCAAAAATCCACTTTTAAAAACGATTACCCTGACAACTACTAGAATAACCAAAATAATTTTTTAAACCAGCCATTTAAGGTAAGCAAAACTTTTAGACATCAATGGAAACTAGAGTTCTCATAATCGACTAGCAAAAATACTCTAAATTTTCATGAAAGCACGTAATATATAATAGCAAATTTCATGTATTTTTTCTACCTGTCACAAAAAGCTAGTCATTGGCCACCAGTAAGATCTAGAAATCATTTCTTAAATCAGAGTGGGGCTTCTGGTGTAGAGCAGGGGTTGGCAAACCATGGCTGTGAGTAAAATCCGTCCTACCTACTCTTCCAACTACCTAGTAGTTTTACTGGAATACACACACACATCATTTCTGGATGGTTATTGTCACTTTTTTTAACTTCCAGTATGAAAATGAGGATGAGTTTGTGTGTGTGTGTGTGTGTGTGTGTGTGTGTGTGTGTGTGTAAAAATTTTCCCAGTTCCTAAGAATTGGGAGTCGCCAAGTGAGTCTTGAAGAAATACTTATCAGCTGCCAACCTCAAGTCTGCATCTTCGTAATGTGGATGATTCACAATGGGATGAAGTGTAGACAGCTTGACACTTGCCATTGTAGGCATGGCACCTGCAAAGACAGCATCTGAAAAAAAAAAAAAGGATATATTCTTCAATTAAATGTTTCAAAGAAAATCAGAAGTTAAACTTACCTCTAATATGTGAACCCAAATTAAGAAGGATGATGCCTATTTACATGATCATGGACCTCATTCTTTTTATTAACTCAATAGTTATTCATTATCTACTATAATAATAGCTGACTTTTGTTAAATGCTATCTGGGTGCTAGAAATTGTGCTCCATATTTTAACAAGAAATCACTTAATTTTCACAATTCTAAGGGGTAGGTCCTCTGTTCTTACTTTGTAAAATCTACAAACTGAGCATGTGAGGGGTCTGAGTTATGCACTCATTAGAATCTAATGCCTGATGGTCTGAGGTGGAACAATTTCATCCAGAAACCACCCCCTACCCCCCAGTTCTGTGGAAAAAAATGGTCTTCCACGAAACTAGTCCCTGGTGCCAAAAAGGTTGCAGACTGCTGTTGTAGATGATGAAGAGACACAGCCAAGTTAAGTGACTTGTCCAAGACTGCACAGCTAGGAAGTTCCAGAGCCTGCCCTCTTAGCTGCTTCACTAAAGCTTCCTGCTATGCTAGAGCACCATGCTAACAGCAGGACTACAGACACACATGAAACAAAAAGAATGTAAAATGTCACATCTGTTCCAATAATGTGAAATGCCAGGAACTGAGAGACTGCTATGAAGGGCAAGTCTCATGGGACATTTTTTCAAATGACTTTTGTGGCTGGTGAACTGTGGTCCTGTGGATGTGCCATAAAAAAGGAAAGCATTGTTTTCTTCCCTCAGATCATCTTTCAGTTCTCAGAGTTACCATTTGACTTGACACCATTTATACATGCCATGAAATCATTTCATTACTTGCTAGTAGTACTTTTTGGAGTAATAACATGTATAAATTTGGTCATAAATAGAGATACATCAAAATCTATCTGGCTTCCATTTCATCTCTTGAAATACCAGAAGACCAAATGCTTACTTCCTGGTACTTTTGTATAAAAAACAATTACATAATTGTGAAGGTTACTATCATTTTTAATCAGCACAATAAAATCAGTAATAAAGATAAGACATATTATTCAGATCTACTATAAAAAACTATGTTGGAGAGGAGGTGGAGCATGATGACCAAGTAGAAGCCTCCACTGTTCATCCTCCCCTCAGGAACACCAAATTTGATAACGATCTACACAAAAAGCACTTTCATAAGAACCAAAAATCAGCTTAGGTACCAGCTTGGCCTCAGTGGGGAGCAGCACCAAGCAGGCTCTTGTGGTCCCCGATTCCAGGCCTTGGCTCTTGGGTGGCATTTCTGGACCTGCCCTGGGCTGGAAGAGAGCCCACTGCCCTGAAGGGTGAGTTCCAGGCCTGGCAGCACTCACCACAAGCTGACTGAAAGGTCCTTCAGCCTTAAGTGAATGTTGGCGGTAGCCAGGCATTACCTCCCACGGGCCTGTGGTAGTGGTGGAAATGAGGAGAGACCACTCTGCCTGGGGAAAGGGGAAGGAAGGGTGGGAAGGACTTTGTCTGGTGGTTTCAGCACCAGCTCAGCTGCAGTAGAGTAGAGCATCAGGTAGATTTCTAAGGTGTCTGACTCCAGGCCCTGGCTCCTGGACAGCAGCATCTCTGGACCTGACTATGACCTGGGGGATCTTGCCACCCTGAAGGGAAGGTCACCAGCCTGGTTTGCTTTGCCACCTGCTGACTGTTGAGCCCTACACCTTGAGCAAACTTAGGTGGTGGCCAGGCAGTAGTTACAATGAGCTTTGGGTAAGACCCAGTGCTGTGCTAGCTTCAGGTCTGACCCAACACATTCCCAGTAGTGGTGGCCACAGAGATGCTTATATCACCCCACCCCCAGCTCCAGGTAGCTTAGCACAGAGAAAGAGAGAGAGAGAGACTCCATATGGGAGAGAGTAAGGGAAGAGAACAAGAGCTTCTGCCTGCTAATCCTGAGAATTCTGGATTTTATCCAAGACCACCAAGGTAGTACCTCTAAGAGTCTGCAATAGCTTCAGCATTACTGGGCATGGGGTGCCTCCTAGTGCAGATACAGCCGCCGCGACCAGAAACTTAGATCACAACACCAAAGTCCCTTTGAATACCTGGAAAGCCTTTCCAACAAGGATGGGTACAAACAAGCCCAGACTGCAAAAACTATAATAAATACCAAACTCTTCAATGCCCAGACACCGACAAACATCCACAAGCATCAAAACCATGCAGGAAAACATGACCTCACCAAACAAACTAAATAAGGCACTAGGGGGCCAATCCTGGAGAGACAGAGATATGTGGCCTTTCAGACAGAGAATTCAAAATAGCTGTGCTGAGGAAAGTCAACGAAATTCGAGGTAACACAGAGAAGGAATTAGTAATCTTATCAGATAAAGTTAACAAATAAATCAAAATAATTAAAAAGCAGAAATTCTGGAGCTGAAAAATGCAACTGACATGCTGAAGAATGTATCAGTCTCTTAATAGCAGAACTGATCAAGCAGAAGAAAGAATTAGTGAGCTTAAATTAAAGACAGGCTGCTTGAAAATACACAGAGGAGGTGAAAAAAGAATAAAAAAGAATGAAGCATACTTTCAAGATCTAGAAGTAGCCTTTAAAGGGAAAAATCTAAGAGTTATTGGCCTTAAAGAGGAGGTAGAGACAGCAGTAGGAAGTTTATTCAAAAGTACAACAGAACTTCTCAAAGTTAGAGAAAATATCAATATTCAAGCACAAGAAGGTTATAGAACATCAAGCAGATTTAACCCAAAGACTAACTCAAGTCATTTAATATCAAACTCCCAAAGATCAAGGATAAAGAAAGGATCCTAAAGGCAGCAAGAGAAAAGAAACAAATAACATACAATGGAGATCTAATAGATCTGGCAGCAGACTTTTCAGTGGAAACCTTACAGGCCAGGAAAGCATGCCATGACATATTTAAAGTGAAGGAAAAAACCTTTTACCTGAGAGTAGTGTATCCAGAGAAAATGTGCTTCAAACCTAAAGGAGAAGACTTCCCAGTGAAACAAAAGCTGTGAAATTTCATTCACACCAGACCTATCCTATAAGAAATGCTAAAGGGAGTTCTTCAATCTGAAAGAAAAGGACCTTAATGAGGAAGAAATAATCGGAAGGTACAAAACTCACTGGTAATAGTGAGTACACAGAGAAACACAATATTATAGCAGTGTCATTATGGTATATAAACTACTTATATGATAAGTAGAAAGACAAAAAGATGAACCAATAAAAAATAACTACAACAACTTTTCAAGAGACAGTACAATAAGATATAAATAGAAACAAGAAAAAGGTAAAAAGTCGGGAGATGAAGTTAAAGTTTAGAATTTTTACTAGCTTTCTTTTGGCTCATTTGTTTATGCAATCAGTGTTGTCATCAGTTTAAAATAATGGGTTATAAGATATTATTTGCAAGCCTCATGGCAACCTCAGGTTTAAAACCATACAATTGATGTACAAAAAATAAAAAGCAATAAATTAAAACACACCACCAGAGAAAATCGCCTTCAATGAAAGAAAAAGAGGAAGGAAGAGAAGACCACAAAACAATGAGAAAACAAATAACGAAATGGCAGGGGCAAGTCCTTAACAATAATAACTCTGAAGGTAAATGGGCTGAACTCTCCAATCAAAAGACAAAGAGTAGCTGAATAATAAAACAAAACACTAAGAATCTGTTACCTACAAGAAACACACTTTACTTATAAAGGCAAATATAGACTGAAAACAAAGGGATGGAAAATTATATTCCATGCCGATGGAAACCATAAAAGAGCAGGAATAGCCATACTTGTATCAGACACAATAGATTACAAGACAAAAACTATAAAAAGAGACAAAGAAGGTCATTATATAATGATAAAGGGGTTCATTCAGCAAGAGTATATAACAATTGTAAATATATATACACCCAATACTGGAGCACCCGGATACATAAAGCAAATATTATCAGAGCAAAAGAGAGAGACAGATCCCAATACAATAATAGCCTGAGACTTCAACACCACACCTTCAGCAGTGGACAGGTCATCTAGACAGAAAATCAACAAAGAAACACTGAACTTAATCTGCACTATAGATCAAAAGGACCTAACAGATACTTACAGAACATTTCATCCAACATCTACAGAATACACATCCTTCTCCTCAGCACATGGCTCATTCCTCAAGGATAGACCACAAAACAAGGATAGGCCACAAAACAAGCCTTAAAACATTTTTTAAAAATTGAAACAACATAATGTATCTTCTCTGACCACAATGGAAAAAAAACTAGAAATCAGTAGCAAAAGGAATTTTGGAAACTCTACAAACATAGAAATTCAAGAATATGCTCCTGAATGACCGGTGGGTTAATAAAGAAATTAAGAAGGAAATTGAAAATGTTCTTGAAACAAATGATAATGAAAACACAACACATCAAAACCTATGGGATACAGCGAAAGCAGTATTAAGAGGGAAGTCTGTAGCTGTAAGTGCCCACATCAAAAAAGAAGAAAAACCTCAAATTAACAACTCAATGATGCATCTTAAAAAACTAGAAAAGGGCAAACAAAACCCAAAGTTAGTAAGAGAAATGAAATAATAAAGATCAGAGCAGAAATAAATGAAATTGCAATGAAGAAAACAGTATAAAAGATCAACTGGTTTTCTGAAAAGATAAAATTAACAAACCTTTAGCCAGACTAAGAAAAAAAGACAGAAGGCCCAAATAAATAAAATCAGAGATAATAAAAGGAGACATTATAACCAATATTGCAGAAATTAAAGGATCATCAGAGACTACCATGAGCAACTGTATGCCGATAAATTGGAAAACCTAGAAATGGATAAATCCCTAGATACATAAAACCTACCAAGATTGAACTATATAGAAATCCAAAACCTGAACAGAACAATCACAGGTAATGAGATCAAATCTCTAATGAAAAGTCTCTCAGCAAAGAAAAGCCCAGGACCTGATGGCTTCACTGCTGAATTTTATCAAACATTTAAAGAAGAACTAATATCAATCCTACTCTAACGATTCCAGGAAATAGAGGAGGAAGGAATACTTCCAAACCCATTGTATGAGACCAATATCACTTTAATACCAAAACCATACAAAGACCCATCAAAAAAAACTACGGGCTAAAATCTCTGATTAATGTTAATGTAAAAATCCTCAACAAAATACTAGCAAACTGAATTCAATAACACATTAAAAAGATTATTCATCATGACCAAATAGGATTTATCTCAGGGACGCAAAGATGGTTCAACATAGCAAATCAATGTCATATCAACACAAGAGGAAAAATCATATGATCATCTCATCTCCATAGATGCAGGAAAATCATTTGGTAAAATTCAACATACCTTCATGATAAAAACCTTCAAATAAACTGGGTATAGAAGGAACATTAATCAACATAAAGAAGCTATATACAGCAAATGCACAAGTAGTATCATAGTATCATACTGAGTGAGGAAACACTGAAAGCCTTTCTTCTAAGATCTGGGACATGACAAGGATGCTCACTTTTTACCACATTATTCAACATAGTACTGGAAATCCTAACTAGAGCAATCAGACAAGAGAAAGAAATAAAGGGCATCCAAATTTGAAAGGAAGAGGCCAAATTATCATTGTTCACAGATGATATGATCTTATATTTAGAAAAACCTAAAGTCTCCACAAAAAAAAAAAAACTATTAGAACTGATAAATTCAGTAATGTTGTAGGATACAAAATCATACAAAAATCATTAATGTTTCTATATGCCAACAGAGAATAACCTGAGAAAGAAAATTTAAAAAGTAATTCCATTTACAGTAGCCACATATAAAATTAAATACCTAGAAATTAACCAAAGAAATGAAAGATCTCTAGAATGAAAGCTATACAAAACTGGAGAAAGAAATTGAAGAAGATACAAAAAATGGAAAGCTATTCCATGTTCAAGCATTGGAAGAATCAATATTGTTAAAATGTCCATACTATTCAAAGCAATCTACAGATTCAATGCAATCCCCATCAAACTACTAATGATATTCCTCACAGAAATAGAAAAAATGATCCTTATGTATTCGAAAACACAAAAGACCTAGAATAGCCAAAGCTACCCTGAGCAAGAAGAACATAACTGAAGGAATCACAATACCTGACTTCAAATTATACTACAGAAGTATAGTAACCAAAACATCATGGTACTGCCATAAAAACAGACACACAGACCAGTGGAACAGAATGGAGAACCCAGAAAGAAATCCATACATCTACAGTAAACTCATTTTTTACAGCAGTCCCAAAAACATACACTGGGGAAAGGGCAATCTCTTCAAAAAATGGTGCTGGGAAAACTGAATATCCATATGCAGAAGAATGAATCTACACCCCTATCTCTTGCCATATACAAAACTCAAATCCAAATGGATTAAAGCCTTAAATCTAAGACCTCAAACTCTGAAATTACTACAAGAAAACTTTGGGGAAACTCTCCAGGACTTTGGTTTGGACAAAGATTTCTTGAGTAAATACCTGGGAAGCACAGGCAACCAAAGCAAAAATGAACAAATGGGATGACATCAAGTGTAAAAGCTTCTGCAAAGCAAAGGAAACAATCAGCAAAGTGAAGAAACAACCCAAAGAATAAGCGAAAATATTTGCAAACTACCAATCTGACAAGGAATTAATAACCAGAATATATAAGGAGCTCAAACAACTCTGTAGGAAAAGAAAATCTAAAAATCTACTTTAAAAATGGGCAAAAGATCTGAATAGCCATTTCTCGAAAGAAAACATACAAGTGGCAAACAGGTACATGAAAAGGTGCTCAACATCACTGATCATCAGAGAAATGCAAATCAAAACTACAGTGAAATAGCATCTCACTCCAGTTAAAATGGCTATTACTCAAAAGGCAGGCAATAACAAATGGCTGTTATCCAAAAGACAGGAAAAGATGTGGAGAAAAGGGAACTCTCATACACTTTTGGTGAAAATGTAAATTAGTACAACCACTATGTAAAAGAGTTTGGAGGTTCCTCAAAAAACTAAAAATAGAGTTACCACATGATCCAGCAATCCTACTCTTAGATATATACCCCAAAGAAAGGAAATAAATATTTAGAAGAGGTATGTGCACTCCCATGTTTATTGCAGCACTTCTCACAATAGCCTAGATTTGGAAGCAACCTAAGTGTCCATCAACAGGTGAATGGATAAAGAAAATGTGGTACATAGACACAACGCAGTGCTATTCAGCCATAAAAACGAATGAGATCCTTTCATAAAAAAAGAATGAGATCCTATCCATAACATGGATGGAACTGGAGGTCATTACATTAATTGAAATAAGCCAGGTACAGAAAGACAAACTTTGCAGGTTCTTATTTGTGGGAGCTAAAAATTAAAAGAGTTGAACTCATGGAGATCAAGAATACAATGATGGTTACCAGAGGCTGGGAAGGATAGTGAGGGGGTGGAGGGGAAGTGAGGATGGTTAATGTGCACAAACAAAATAGAATGGATAAGATGCAGTGTTTGGTAACACAGAAGGGTGACTATAGTCAACAAAATTTTACTGTACATTTAAAAATAACTGAGAGAGTATAACTGGATTGTTTGTAACACAAAGGATCAATGCTTCAGGTGATGGATACTCCATTTACCCTGATGTGATTATTACACATTGTATGCCTGTATCAAAATATCCCATCTACCCCATAAATATATACACCTGCTCTGTACCCACATAAATTAAAAACTTTAAGAACCCTGAGTGTTTACTTTCCAGTATAACTAAGCATTCTAAATGCAACTTTGAATGAAAATTTCTTTATATGCCTCAAATTTGAAAATATGTAAGCTAGTCAAAGAATGTGTATTTATTAATGGAGACTCAATAATTAATGATCACAAACTGTTAAGCTAGAGAAGTGGTTCTCAGGCAGGCATGATTTTGCTCCCTAGGGAGCAGTGTCAACTTCTGGAGACATTTTTCGACGTCATGCTATGGGGAGGAGGGAGGAGATGCTGTTGGCATCTTGTAGATAGAGGCCAAGGATTTCTTGTAATACATAGGACAGCCTCAATGCCAACTGTGCTAAGGTTGGGAAATGCTGAGCAAGAAGAATTGAAAGCCCAGGGCCAGGGTCTTCCAAAAAAAAACTAGGCACACCTGTCCAGCAAGAGCTGGACCCACTGAGTTGTCACCTATGGCAGACGGAGAGGAAGAAATACCCTCCCACTCCACCTTCTGTCTTTTTGGCTGTGAAGTAAATGAGCATAACAAGGAAAAATCAGATATTTTCCTGTCACTGTATGGAAGTCTCCATTTAGCCTACTACACAGATTAGAAAAAGGTATTCCCCTGACTTGACAGAGCCCCATTATACATGGCTTGATGAGTGGACCACAAGCTGGATTTAAGCTTTCACTTATCCTCTCAATTGGTCACCTTTGTGCAGTGCACAAACTATACAACTGTATATGGCAGACCTCAATATAAGCACTAGTTCCACTAATACTACAAAACTTCATACAGCTTTTAATATGTGGTAACCATGAGATAACTCATAATAAGAGTAATTAAAAGGAGAATAACTAACCTGCACAATGTGCACATGTATCCTAAAACTTAAAGTATAATAATAAAAAAATAAATAAAATTTAAAAAAGGAGAATAAGACAGATTGAAAAGAAGATCAAAGAAGAGGCATCTAAAAGTGAGACAGGGGTTTGTGGCAGTTATCTTAGAAGGATAAGTTGCCAAATGTAGGCTCTCTGTCAGGAACCCAATACAAACACCAGAACAAAGAAAGACACAAGAAAAGATTAAAAGGGCAGCTATTTTTAATAGCTTGGGAAAAATGGCTATAACTGGGGAGGGGCAAGGGAGAGTAAAGAAAGGGAGTGATTACCTTGAGCTCCTACGTGGAAAAAGTCAGTTGGGGATTACTTTTAAAATTCTAATTAAACTGGCTTGGCAGTTTAATGAGGCACTGTCACCTACACCCTTTGAAAGCTATAGACCAAATATCTTACTTAAAGCTTATAAAGATTTACCTTAATTAAGGTTAATTAGAAAAAAAGTGGCTATCAAATAAGAAATGAAACAAGCTCAGGAGTCATAAGAAAATTTAAATAAATCATAGTGAAGAACTTGTGCCAGAGTAAGTTTCCAAATATCAAAAATAATCTTTGATTTACAAATTTAGTTACAGAAAATGTTATAGACTTATTCTCTGGAAAAGTATTTAAAAATATCTATCTGCTTGAGGTAGTTCTGAATAAAGACAGGAAGAAAAGAGGGTAAGCTAAAAAGAAAATTTTAGAGTATTTAAAAGTAGGATGTATACTATCTCTGTGAGATGATTTAGTGAAGAAAATAGAATATCCAAGATTTTAACTCTTCTGCCAATGCCCTGTTTTACAGAATTAGAGGAGACAGCACTGATTGCAGTGACAGAAGCGGTGCCAGCTAACTCCCCACCATCAAAAGTATCTTCTGCTGTAGCCTGGCACAAGGTGTGAAATTTCATTTTTAAAGATTTACTTCTTTGATTTGTCATTGTTATGGTTAAAATGCTATAATGCTGTCTGAGGGTTAAAGGACATAACTTGTGAAAAATCATTAATTTCCTGGTGCTAATTTAAATTCTTTGATAATTATCTGGGAGGGGCTTAAAAGGAGTACAAAATTGCCTTTTGGAAGGGTTTAATTGATTGACATTGCAATAGTCTGCTCAAAGTCTGTGAGAGTATGAATGCCTATTTGTAAATCTGTCATACATACATACACACATATATCAGAAATGACAATAATTATATATAGTATACACAAATGTGTCTGTGAGTATGTTTGTATAAAACTAGCATATAACCAAATACCTACACACCTGGTACGGTATTGTATTTGATCCACTGTAAAAGTTCTTCCTGAGGCAAATCATTAAATTCTCCTGTTATGCTCCATTGATTACAGAGGTTTGCATAACCTTGTATTGACATCACTGTTAGAATGCCAAAGATAACATTCTCTCTGCGAACTCTGCGAAAAAGCCAGCCAAAGAGCTGAAACAAAAGAAACAATTTATTTCTAGTTCTTATATGAAGAGTACTGTAGGGTCAACAATAAATTCTCACCTTGTTACTCAAACCAATGTGAATTACCCTTTGATATCAGCACACATGTATACAGAATTATCATCTCCGATTGTTTCTAAAGCAACAAATATATTGGCATTACAGGGCCCAGGTGAAAACAGAACTTTCTCTCCCCTGGGAAGAATTAAGGAAGATATACCTGATCCTTCTAGTACTAATTTACTACTAAGGATTAAAATAAACAAATCACAACTGTGAAACATCTTAGAACTAAATCCTTTCATCCTTGGCTGCCTTTTGTGGACATGGTTAGTAGACAGGGAAGCCCTATTAGCATGATATATATAGATTCTTCTCAGGAAAACAGGCATTATGATATTTTAAGGCTATACACTCATAATAAAAACTAAGTAAGGTGTTTGTAGAAGTACCTTAGGCCCAATATTCTAGCAATTTATCTAGTTCTTTTGTATGTTAGATAACAGTGATAGAACCCCAGAATTTCTTATAGATTGTTCGAGCCAAACAGAACCATATTAGAGCAATTACTCTGCATCTACTCTGGTATTGGATGAGTATTTCAGGGTACTTTTGGTGAACCAGGAAACTCTTTTTTTTTTTTTTTTTTTTTTTTTTTTGAGGCAGAGTCTCACTCTGTCTCCCAGGCTGTAATGCAGTGGTGCGACCTCAGCTCACTTCAACCTCCACTTCCCAGGTTCAAGCAATATTCCTGCCTCAGCCTCCTGAGTAGCTGGGATTACAGGCACACACCACCATGCCCGGCTAATTTTTGTATTTTAATAGAGACAGGGTTTCACCATGTTGGCCAGGCTGATCTTGAACTCCTGACCTCAAGTGATCTGCCCACCTCGGCCTTCCAAAGTGCTGGGATTTCAGGTGGGAGCCACTGTGCCTGGCCACCAGGAAACTCTTTTTTTTTCTTTTTCTTTTTTTGAGACAGTCTCACTCTGTCACCCAGGTTAGAGTGCTGTGGTGCGATCTTGGCTGACTGCAGCCTCTGCCTCCCAGGTTCAAGCGATTCTCCTGCCTCAGCCTCCCAAGTAGCTGGAATTACAGGCACTCGCCACCACACCCGGCTAATTTTTGTATTTTTAGTAGAGATGGAGTTTCACCATGTTGGCCGGGCTGGTCTCGAACTCCTGGCCTCAAGTGATCTGCCCATCTCGGCCTCCCAAAGTGCTGGGATTACAGGTGTGAGCCACTGTGCCAGGCACTCTTACACAAACCTGAACTCTAAAAGGTTATGTTCATGGACAGGATATTAACAGAGGGGAAATGTTTGCCTAATCACTTGTTATAGAAATATCAATTAAAATCCAGAAATACTTTTCAAAGCCACTTGAAATTGCTTTTCTTGCTTATAGTGAATCACGAAGTAATATTTTAAATCATTTAACTTAGTTAAGTTAAAAACACTTAGTGTGTTTATATTTTGAATTAGTCAGCAAAGCCACGGTAACTACTAAGTATAGCTGCTATAGTTTTTATAGTATTGTTATACAAGAATGAATCCCTTACCCGTCAAGAGCATATCAAGGAAGCCATAACACACATGTGCTGTGTCAAAAACAGCTTTAGCCTCAAAATTAAAATGGCAAGGGCAGTAAATGCTAACAACTGCAATGTGTGAAAAGCCAGCTATAAAAACACAAATAAGACAAAATCACATTCTTACTTTTCATATTTTTAAATTAATGAAGTACATTAAAACTATATTATTCATTAAGACAAGGATCTTCTAACTTAGTAATAAGCCTATCAGTATTCATTCAACAATAATTTATCAAATGTCTACTATGTTCCAGGTACTCTTCAGGGTGCTTCAGATACAGCAGTGAGCAATTTCTGTCCTTGTATTACATTTAACTACATTTAGTAATGAAAGACAGACAATACATAGAAATAGCAAATAAATGAATCCATTACATAGTCTACTGTAAGGCAATAAGTGCAGTTGGCAAGAAAATGGAGCAGGCAGAGGAGGCAGGGAGAGGAGGAGGTGGTTTGAGGAGGCGGAGGACCAACACAGTGGGCCTCACTGTAAAGTGACAAAGTTACTAATGAATCCCTGATCCAAAAATCTGAAATCTACAATGCTCCAAAATCTGAAACTTTTGAGTACCAATATGATGTTCAAAGGTTATGCTAAAACAAATGCTCATTGAAGCATTTTGGATTTTGGATTTTCAGGTTAGGGATGCTCAACTAGTAACTACATTGTAAATATTCCAAAATTCAATAAAATCTGAAATCTGAAACGCCTCTAGTCCTAAGCATTTTGGATAAGGGATACTCAACATGTGTCATAAACTATCTCTATTAAGTTCAAATTCAGTTACCCACTCCTGTAAATTTGACCTTTACCTCAAGACCCACTTAAAGTTCTATCAAATAGGAAATATTTCCAGCCCACACTGATCTTTTCCTTTTTATGCCACAAAATAATTTTACACGACATAAAATGTTGTCTTATTTGTCTCCTTTGTAAAATTACACATACCGAAGGGCAGGAACATGACTTTAGTATCTTTTGTATCCTTCAACACTTCTGAGCTTGTCACTGACTGACCAGCAAATCTACGTGGTGGCAGATGGCCACCAGTCACAGGGCCAAGGGTGCCTGCCCCAATGGACTGTAGCTGATTAGCTCAGCAGGCTAGAAACCAAATGCTTGTTATTGTTAAATGAATGCAATTTAATTTAATTCTGTAGTATAGTCATAAATCAGCCTTCTAGCTTTTAAATCCTTATTACTATTCAAAAGTAAGAGCAGATGAAAGAGTGAGAAGGATCAGCAGAAATTTATCACCAATGCTGAACAACTCACTACTGATGGTGCATCAGCAGCAAGGTTATACCTTTGTCAATTACCCTCAAACTAGAATTTAATACACAAGTCTACCAGAGATTAAAATGAAAGCTTTACCTCACTGTGTTCAAGGAGCTGTTTTCTAGAATAAAACAAAAATATTATCTATTTACTGAAGGTCTTCTATACTATGAATACATAAAAATAAGATTCATTTGTTTGATCTTGGATTTTTAAAATGTGACTATCTCTAAACTACTTAGGAACATACATAAAAATAAAAATATCACATAATAGTACAAAAATTACGACAATTTAAAAGTCATAATTTATAGTCATCCTATTCAAGATATGTCAAAAATTTGTTCTTTGGTTAAGACAAAATAGATTTTACAGATCCCTGGAGATTGTACCTCTCATTAATAAATGAATAGGATGACCTTCTATTCAACCTATATATACAGTGTATACAATACTTTAGATGACCACTGAAACTTTTGAGTTATTTTCATTTTTCACAATTACAAATAACACGGACACTCATGCATAAAACTTTGTAAGCATCTCTGAATATTTCCTTAGCATAAATTTCCAGAAGAAAAATTATTGGGTAAAACATAAATATTTTTAGTTTCAGAAAAGTTGTCTCTTTACAAAATATTTATAGTACACCTACTGTATTCTAGGCACTGTGCAATGAAATGAATACCACAGTCCCTGCTTATCCTCCGATCCTCACTTTCCACAGTTTCAGTTACCTGTAGTCAACTGCAGTCCAAAAATATTAAACGAAAAGTTCCAGGAAATAAACAATTCCTAAGTTTTAAATTGTGCACCATACTAAACAGTGAAATCTCAAGTCACCCTGCTTCATCCTACCTGGGACATGACTCACCCCTTTGTCCAGCATATCCATGCTGTATACGTCACCAGCCTGTTAGTCATGTAGTTACCATCTTAGTTATCAGATGGACTCTGGTGGTATCTCAGTGCTTGTTTTCAAGTAACCCTTTTCTGACTTAATAATGGCCCCAAAGTTCAAGAGGAGTGATGCTGGCAGTTGAGATATGCCAAAGAGAAGCTGTAAAGTGCTTTCTTTAAGAGAAAAGGTGAAAGTTCTCAAAAGAAAAACATCATATGCTGAGGTTGCTAAGATCTACGGTAAGAACAAATCTACCCATGAAATTGTGAAGAAGAAGAAAAAATTAACGTTAGTTTTGCTGTTGCATCTAAAACTGCAAAAGTTATGGCCACAGTCCATGATGAGTGCTTAGTTAAGACGGAAAAGGCATTAAATCTGTGGGTGGAAGACGTGAACAGAAATGTGTTCCGATGGTGGCAATCACGTGTGTTACTCTCTGCAGTTTCAAGCATCCACTGGGGGTCTTGGGATGTGTCGCCCTGCAGATAAGGGCAACTGCTGTGCAGCATGAACAGTATGGAGACAATACTTATCTTCATGGAGTTTATATTAGAGTAAGACAAGAGGTAGGAGACTGCCTATTTTATTGTTCTCTTGAAAAGACTGGGTATTTTACTTTTATGAAAGGCTTTATAGCCTGCAGGGGCATTCTAATATGGATTTTGGGGGTGAAGAGACAAATAGGTGTGGAAAGTAAGTTCAGGGGTTCAGAGACCCATAGGTTTTTTAAAAGAGAAGTCAGGGGAAGGTCTCTTAAGGTAGTAGTGGAGTCCAAATTATTCTATGTCCCTTGTAGCTCCTACCCTTTGTATGCAGTAGTTTTTTTTTTAAATCGAAGACGGGGGAAGGTCTCTTAAGGTAATAGTAGAGACCAAATTATTCTATCTCCCTCGTAGCTCCTTCCCTGTGTATGCAGTTAACGGAGTGGGGTTTCCCCACTTGTCCCGCAATCTAGGCACAACAGATTCCTGTAGTGAGCTGCGTGCAAGGAAGAAGCCTGGTAGGTGAGTAATTATTATAATCACCAAGAACCCTGAAAGTAACTACTGATACTTTATTTAAATCAAGTAGCTAACTAAAAATGTGAATATACAACCAAATCCCAAGACACAAATATCATGAAAAGGAAACATCAAAATAAATAAGCAAAAAACTTGACCTCTCATGAAACAGCTAATGCAAATGAAAACTCCAATTATTGTTTTCACAGAAGTTTAAAAGGATAATGCACCCATATAATTAAAATAAGCTCCAGTGAAAAGGAGTTTTCAGAAATTCTAAGAAAAATATATTTGCCTAATTTAAAGCCTCAAAAGAAAGCTGAAGAGCAAAATGTACACAGCTGAAGTTGACAGTATTAAAGACTCAGTGATGATATTCTCTGAGAACACAGAAAGAAAAGAAATAGATAATATGATAAAAGCAATAATAGAAATTCAAAAAAGAGAGGCTAAAGTGAAAGAATAAGAGAACAACAACACACACACATCACCCCTCCAAACCTTATGTATTTCCAGAGAGAAAAACTATATAGGAATTTTCGTCTGTAATCCTTAATGCTAGAACGCAAAGAAGCAATGTCAAAAAAATGTTGAATGAAACCCACAAATATCTATTAACCAATCTATCAATCAAATATGAGGGCAAAATAAAGCCATTTTTCAGGTAAGAAAGCACCCAGAAAGCATGCCAATTCTACATGTCAAGGAAAAATAAATCAGTAAAATTTGAAGTCAAGTCCAAAGACTGCTGGTGTCTTTAATGTAAATGTTTAGAGACTTCTTAGAACATAACAGATAAGACAACAATCTAGAAAGTAAATTTCAGCATAACCTGGAAGGAGAGGGTGTCTAGGCAAGGACAAGTAGAAATATTCCAACAGCTCAGTGCTGAAGCAAGCAGGTCTCTAGGTACAGAGCCTGAGTATGAGTTCTGCCTCCACTACTCACTAGCTGTGTGCCTTTCAGAAAATTACTTACCTTCTTACTGGTTTCCTCATCTGTAAATAATGGGAATAACTGACTCCCTTCTCACAAGGTGACTGTGAGGATTTATTGAGTTAATACTGGTAAGAAGCTTAAAATACTGTCAGACACACAGGAAATAATAACTGTTAGCTACTATCATTGGTGGTAACAGGTTTTAGATGCTGATGAATTCTTAATATCAAGATGAATATATTTGCTAATAATTTAAGAGAAACCACCAGGAAATATAGAAATGGGATATAGCTAACAATTCAGCAAGTATCAAGAAAATAATTTTTGAAAAGCACGATGAATAGAAAACATAAAATCAGATGGCAGGGAGAAGTACAAACACAGCAGTTATCACAGTTAATATGAAAATGGGTTAAATTCACCAATTAGAAAACGAGTATTAGAGGAATTTGAATAGAAAAAATCTAACAATGAGAAATATACCTAAACCAAAATGTCACAAAAATGTTTAAAAAAAAGCATAAATACAGGTAAACCAGGAAAATCTATAAAAAAAGAAAGCAGATGTGGCAATATTAATTTTATACAAAGAAAAATTTACAGCAAAAAACCACTAAGTAAAGCAAAGAATATCCTTTATAATAAAAGTACAATCCTATAATAATCATGCAATGAACAACAGCACTATCTATATAAAGCAAACACTATTAAAATTACAAGACAATTTTGAAAAATTCATTTTTCATGTTGTATGTGAAGACAGCATTCTAAGAAAACAGATAAAATAGAAAAATAACTTGATGTACTAGACCATTTAGAATAGCACTATTAATAACATGATATAACATGTAACTTTGAACTTCCCCTAAATAAGAAATGAACATTTAAAAAATCCTCACAGAGCATTTACTAAAACTGAACATCCATCTCAATAAATAGCAAGTTAATTTTAAAGGCAAAATATACAACAGAAGAAACTAGTTAGACATTTTAAAAAATTATTATTATTATTATTATTATTATTATTATTATTATTGAGACGGAGCCTCGCACTGTTGCCAGGCTGGAGTGCAGTGGCAATCTTGGCTCACTGCAACCTCCGACTCCTGGGTTCCAGCGATTCTCCTGCCTCAGCCTCCCAAGTGGCTGGGATTACAGGTGCGTGCCACCACACCCAGCTAATTTGTGTATTTTTAGTGGAGACGGGGTTTCACCATGTTGGCCAGGATGGTCTCGATCTCCTGACCTCGTGATCCGCCCGCCTTGGCCTCCCAAAGTGCTGGGATTATAGGCATGAGCCACCGCACCCGGCCTAAAACTAGTTAGACATTTTAAGACATTCTTCTAAGTGATTTTGGATTAAATGATCAAAACTCAAATCACAGACTACACAGAAATCAACATTAATGGTAATGCTACACACATCATGGGATACAGTGTGCGTTTTCTTCAGAGAAAAAGTTATAACTTTAAATGTATTTACTAGGACACAATAATGATTGATAATAAATGATGTGAACTTTAGACACAGAAAAACAAAAGTGCACCAAAAGAAAAACTAAGGACATAAACATATAAGCAGAGATTAATAAAATGGAGAACAACCTTCATAAATATAAGGAATAAAACCAAAAGCTGGTTTTATGAAAAATCCAAAAAAGAATGACCTTGTTATGGACTAATGCAGCTGGTGACTTTCAGTTGAAGCCAATGTTCATTTACCACTTTGAAAATCCTGAGGCCTTTTTTCAGAATTATGCTAAATCTACTCTGCCTCTACTCTACAAATGGAACAACAAAGCCTGGATGACAGCACATCTGTCACAGCATGTTTTACTGAATATTTTAAACCCACTCTTGAGACCTACTTCCCAGAAAAAAAGATTCCTTTCAAAATATTATTGCTCATTGACAATGTGGCTGGTCACCCAAGAGCTCTGATAGAGATGGACAAGGAGATTAAAGTTGCAGGAAAGCAGGCTGGATCAAGGAGTCATTTCAACTTTCAAGTCTTGTTATCTAAGAAATATATTTCATAAGGCTATAGCTGTCATAGATAGTGATTCCTCTGATGGATTTGGGTAAATTGAAAATCTTCTGGAAATGATTCACCATTCTAGATGCCATTAAGGATATTTGTGATTCGTGGATGGAGGTCAAAATACTGACATCAATAAGAGATGGGAAGCAGTTGATTCCAACTTATTTTCTACTTTATCTGTCATTTTCTTAGAATGCTTTCTTCTCATATAACATTAAAAATGATTCCAACCCTCATGGGTGACACTGAGGGGTCCAAGACTTCAGCAGAGGAAGTCATTCCAGATGTGGTGGAAACAGCAAGAGAACTTGAATTAGAAGTAGAGCCTGAAGACGTGACTGAATTGCTGCAATCTCATGATAAAACTTTAATGGATGAGGAGTTGCTTCTTATGGATAAGCAAAGAGAGTGGTTTCTTGAGATAGAATCTACTCCTGGTGAACATGCTGTGAACATTGTTGAAGTGAAAACAAAGGATTCAGAAGATGACATAAATTTGGTTGATAAAGCGTGGCAGGGTTTGAGAGGACTGACTCCAATTTTGAAAGTAGTTCTACTGTTGGTAAAATGCTATCAAACAGCATTGTATGCTACAGAGAAATTTTTCACGAAAGGAAGAGTCAATCAATGTGGCAAACTTCATTGTCTTATTTTAAGAAATTGCCACGGCCACCTGATCAGTCTGAAGCTATCACCATTGAAGCAAGACCTTCTACCAGCAGAAAGATTACAACTCTAGTGTACATGTCAGGATAGACATTATCCAAAAAACAAAAGGTAGTAAGTGTTGGCAAGAATGTAGAGAAATTGAAATCCCTGCACAGGTGGAATTTCAAATGGTGCACCTGCTATGGAATACAGGATGGAGGTTCACCAAAAAAAATCTTTAAAAAATTAAAAGTAGAACTACCATAAAATCCAGTAATCCCACTTCTAGGTATTTATCCAAAACAGTTGAAATCAAAATCTCAACAAGATACTAGCACTCTCATGTTCACTGCAGTGCTATTCATAGTAGTCAAGATGTGGAAACCGACTAAATGTCCATCAACAGACGAATAATGAAAATGCGGCATACAAAAACAATGGAATATTGTTCAGCCCAAAAAAAAAAGTAGGAAATTCTTCAATGTGAGACAGCATGGATGAACCTGAAGGGCATTATGCTAACTGAAGTAAGCCAACCCCACAAGATATATAATGCAAAATTCCACTTACATGAGGTATCTAAAATAGTCAAAGTCATAGAGTGAAAGAGTGGAAGGGTGTCACCAGGGGCTGAGACAAGGGGAAATGGAGAGTTACTAGTCAACAGGCTTAAAGCTTCAGTTAAGCCAGATGAATAAGTTTGAGAGATCGACTATAGAATGTTATACTTATAGTCCACAATACTGTATTATACAATTAAAAAATCGTTAAGAGGGTAGATCACATGTTAAGCATTCTTACCAAATTTTAAAAACAAGTGTAGTTATTAATAAGGAGAAAAAATATATAATAATCCCCAAAATATTTTTAAAGCCATTTTTAAAAAATTTAACATTCATTTTTTACTGCTTTATTGAGTTACAATTCACACATTATACACTTTCAACATCTATCTTTAATTTAATTTTTAAAATTATCCTGGTTTATATAAACCAAAAGGAAACTTTCTTTTTTTCTTTTTTTTTTTTTTTTTGAGATGGAGTCTCACTCTGTCTCCCAGGCTGGAGTGCGGTGACACAATCTCAGCTCACTGAAACCTCCGCCTCCCGGGTTCATGTCATTCTCCTGCCTTAGCCTACAGAGTAGCTGGGACTACAGGCGCCCACCACAACGCCCAGCTAATTTTTTGTATTTTTAGTAGAGACGGGGTTTCACCATGTTAGCCAGGATGGCCTCAATCTCCTGACCTCGTGATCCGCCCACCTTGGCCTCCCAAAATGCTGGTATTACAGGCATGAGCCACCGCGCCTGGCCAAGGAAACTTTCTTAATGAAATAAAGGCTATCCATTATATACTAACAGCAAATGAAACAGTGAGACACTAAAGGCATTCTTCACTTTAGAGTCAGAAACAAAATAAGGGCAAGCCCATCATCACTGCAATTCAAAGTTGTTCTGGAAGTTCTAGCTAATACACAAGACAAGAAAGTAAAGAAGTATAAATATTAGAAAGTTATTACTATTTGTAGATTATATGATAACCTGCCTAGAAAATCCAGAGCATCAATGGAAAAACTATTAGAACCAGAAAGAAAGTTTGGTAACATGGCTAGATAAAAACGTGTTGCAAAAAAAAAAAAAAAAGTAAAGCAGCTTTCCTATAAACTAAAAGATCAGTATAACAGACAATCTAAAACAGACTCAAGTACAATGAGAATTGATAAGTGATAAAAGCTGACATTTGGAAAAAAGATTTATGCAATACTGTGTTGGGACAATACCTCACTAGAGGGGGAAAGGTAGACTCCTCTATGTCACTATACCACAAAATTAATGCAAGAGTAATAAATAACCTCTATGTAAATAGAAACTTATGAAAGAAAATATGAAAAAAAATTTCATGTTTTTGGTGTAGGGAAGTGTTTCTAAGCAACATATGAACCCAGAAAAAATATATAACTGTGATTGTACAGAAACTTTGAAGTTCTACAAAGCAGAGACCATAAATGAACTATAAGTTGACATTTTGGAAGAAACTGTGTAATACACATAAGAGACAAAATGTTATGTCTATGGAAAAAGCAAAAACATAACACATAGCCGGGCACAGTGGCTCATGCCTGCAATCTCAGCACTTTGGGAGGCCCAAGTGGCTGGATCACTTGAGGTCAGGAGTTCAAGACCAGCCTGGCCAACATGGCAAAACCCTGTGTTTACTAAGAATACAAAAATTAGCTGAGTGTGATGACGGGTGCCTGTTATCCCAGCTACTCCAGAGGGTGGGGCAGGAGAATTGCTTGAACCCCGGAGGCAGAGGTTGCAGTGAGCCGAGATTGTGCCACTGCATACACAGCAGCGAGATGAAAAGAAAAAAAAAAAAACAACCCACAAAACAACTTTTAAAGGTCAAAAAGAAACATAGTAAACAAACACATGAAAAGCTGCAAAACTCCACTGACATAGAATTTATACAATAAAATGAATTGTTTTTACCTATCAGAAAAAATTAAAAGCTTGATAACGATGTTGGTGGAGTTGCAGAGAAATGGACACTCTCATCATTATAATTTCTCAGTTTTAACAAATTCTAAAATATGCAGGCCTCATAATCAGCAGTCCAAATTCAAATATTTTATACTATAGAAATACTTAGAATAAGTCTACCAAGATACACAAACCAGGATGTTCAATCCTCAAAACATTGGTTTTTTTATGACAAAAGTTATATATAATCTAAACTTTCATTGATATGGGAAAGGCAGTCATGCATGATGGTCAACAATAAAATCCTAAGACCATTATAAAATATAATGAAGATCAAGGAAGAGGCCCAAGACACACTATTAAATACAAGTAACAAGTTACAGAATAAGTAGAATACAATTCTATTTTTTAAAAATATTGTGTTTCTATATGTGTTTTCTAAAATAAAACATACAAAGCTACTTACAATCAGCACTCAGGGGAGCAGATCTAAGAGAGGGGAGTATTCCCTCTCTTTTTGATACACTGGTTTTTCAGAATGTATTACTACTAGCCTCTGCTATTATTATTTTTGAGATTTAACCCAGAACCCTCTGCCCACACACAACAGGCCTGTCACTTTCAAATATGTAATCAATACATAGACTTCCATATTCTGAGTAATTATCTTCCATCCACTGATCCCTCCGAGTCTGTCACTTCCACATTACACCCTCTGCAACATATGAAGACAGTTGCCACATACCCTTCAATCTTCTATTATCCAGTTAAATATTCCAAGACCCTTCATGCACTCCTTATGGGAACAGTGTCCAGGGTTCTCCATTCATTCTTTTTTAGAATGCCAAGACCCATTTCCCTGGGCTCCATCTGTCCAGAACAATGTAGAATGGGTCTATTATCCCCTTTATTTTGGAAAGAATTTCAACAGACGCACCTAAGAGCTTAATTAGCTCTTCTGACAACCATACACAGCTGTTTATTAAAAATACAAGCATGGAGTATGGAGTTCATAGAAATTCTTTCTACTATCTTCACAATTTTTCTATAAATCTAAAACTATTCTATAAAGTAGAAGTCACAAAATAAAATCAAATATTCTATTTACAAATATAAAATGTAACTTGAAAATTACTATTAGGTACTATGCTCACTACCTGGGTACAATATACCCATGTAACAAGCCTATACATGTGCCCCCTGCATCTAAAATAAAAGTTGAACACTAAAAAACATGTCATTTGAGATCATATTTCCCTCAGAAGGAAATTTTCTTCACAATTTACTTCTTGAGCCTTGTAGCAATTTACTTATGTGTGACTGATATGATATATTTTGCTGGCATCTGCTTATGCTAGTGACATTACTAAAACCATCCAGAATTGTTATACAATAAATAGTTTCAACAATAAGTTTAGAAGAAAATTCATAAATATTCAGGAACACAAATAATTTTACCCCCTCTGAAAGTTAAAAAAAGAAAGAAAAAGAAAACCCTGACCAACATGGTGAAACCCCCTCTCTACAAAAAAATACAAAAATTAGCTGGGCATGGTGATGCACACCTGTAGTCCCAGCTGCTTGGCAGAGCTGAGATGAGATGATCGCGTGAGCCCAGGATGTCCAGGCTGCAGTGAGCAGAGATCATGCCACTGCACTCCAGCCTGGGTGACAGAGCAAGACTCTGTGAAAAGAAAAGAAGAGAAGAGAAGGGAAGACAAGAGAAGAGAAAAGAAAAAAGAAAAGAGAAAAGAAAAGAAAAAACAAGAGAAGAGAAGAGGAAAGACAAGACAAAACAGGGAGAGAGAAGGAAGGAAGGCAGGAAGGAAGGAAGGGAGGAAGGGAGGGAGGGACGAATTCCAAAAATTGCCAAGGTAATTTATAGATTCAATGCCATCCCCATCAAGCTACCAATGACTTTCTTCACAGAATTGGAAAAAACTACTTTAAAGTTCATATGGAACCAAAAAAGAGCCCGCATTGCCAAGTCAATCCTAAGCCAAAAGAACAAAGCTGGAGGCATCATGCTACCTGACTTCAAACTATACTACAAGGCTACAGTAACCAAAACAGCATGGTACTGGTACCAAAACTGAGATATAGATCAATGGAACAGAACAGAGTCCTCAGAAATAATGCCACATATCTACAACTATCTGATCTTTGACAAACCTGAGAAAAACAAGTAATGGGGAAAGGATTCCCTATTTAATAAATGGTGCTTGGAAAACTGGCTAGCCATATGTAGAAAGCTGAAACTGGATCCCTTCCTTACACCTTATACAAAAATCAATTCAAGATGGATTAAAGACTTAAACGTTAGACCTAAAACCATAAAAACCACAGAAGAAAACCTAGGCATTACCATTCAGGACATAGGCATGGGCAAGGACTTCATGTCTAAAACACCAAAAGCAACGGCAACAAAAGCCAAAATTGACAAATGGGATCTAATTAAACTAAAGAGCTTCTGCATAGCAAAAGAAACTACCATCAGAGTGAACAGGCAACCAACAAAATGGGAGAACATTTTCGCAAGCTACTCATCTGACAAAGGGCTAATATCCAGAATCTACAATGAACTCAAACAAATTTACAAGAAAAAAACAAACAACCCCATCAAAAAGTGGGCAAAGGACATGAACAGACACTTCTCAAAAGAAGACATTTATGCAGCCAAAAAACACATGAAAAAATCCTCACCATCACTGGCCGTCAGAGAAATGCAAATCAAAACCACAATGAGATACCATCTCACACCAATTAGAATGGCAATCATTAAAAAGTCAGGAAACAACAGGTGCTGGAGAGGATATGGAGAAATAGGAACACTTTTACATTGTTGGCGGAACTGTAAACTAGTTCAACCATTGTGGAAGTCAGTGTGGCGATTCCTCAGGGATCTAGAAGTAGAAATACCATTTGACCCAGCCATCCCATTACTGGGTATATACTCAAAGGACTATAAATCATGCTGCTATAAAGACATGCACACGTATGTTTATTGTGGCACTATTCACAATAGCAAAGACTTGGAACCAACCCAAATGTCCAACAATGATAGACTGGATTAAGAAAATGTGGCACATATACACCATGGAATACTATGTCGCCATAAAAAATGATGAGTTCATGTCCTTTGTAGGGACATGGATGAAATTGGAAATCATCATTCTCAGTAAACTATCGCAAGAACAAAAAACCAAACACCGCATATTCTCACTCATAGGTGGGAACTGAACAATGAGAACACATGGACACAGGAAGGGGAACATCACACTCTGGGGACTGTTGTGGGGTAGGGGGAGGGGGGACGGATAGCTTTAGGAGATATACCTAATGCTAAATGACAAGTTAGTGGGTGCAGCACACCAGCATGGCACATGCATACACATGTAACTAACCTGCACATTGTGCACATGTACCCTAAAACTTAAAGTATAATAATAATACAAAATAAAAATAAAAAAATAAATCTTTAGCTTACTGACTTTAAATTCTAATCATATATTATAATTTATCAATTTAAACTTTGAGTTAGTTCACAAATATAAATTTCTCCAAAACAAGTCCAAATACATGTAAGAAATCTGTAAGAATAATATTTTTAAGGAAACATTTAAGTTTGGTTCATATCTCCTTTCTTAATCATAATGCTAAAGTTTAATGCATATTCATTTGAAAAATTAATGCTACAGTAAATTATTTAATAATGGAATACTGTATGTTTTAAAAACAATGATGATATAATTACCTTAGATAAACGTTTGTAGCTAAAACACGCGAAATATCACCAACAGTCTGTGAATAGAATCAAATCAATGAAACTTTTGTAAGGAATACTGCAATATTTAAAATGCTCTGATTCATTAATATAAACACTCCGCCAAGGAAAGAAGTATTCTTTTAATGTTTAAGGGAGTCCTCAGGAACAGGATGGTCATACTATAGATGTCTTCCTTTTCTCCTTCTGAGAAGTGACTTCACATCATTGAAAACTAAATGACCTTCAGAAGTATCCTTGGGGTGAAAAGTAAGCCACAACAGGACAAATAAAGACTGAGGGGTTTATAAGAAAGCAGAAAGGAAGGAGTGAAACTTGGCTGGCTGCAGGGATGAGAGAGAGAGAGAGAGAGAGAGAGAGAGAGAGAGAGAGAGAGTGTGTGTGTGTGTGTGTATGAAACTTGGCCAGCTACAGGGATTTTTGTGTGTGTGTGTGTGTGTATATGTGTGTATGTGTGTATGAAACTTGGCTAGCTGTAGGGATGTTTGTATGTGTGTATGTGCGTGTGCGTGTGTGTGTATGAAACTTGACTGGCTGCAGGGACATGTGTGTGCGTGTGTGTGTGTGTGTATGCACATGCCCCTGCTAGTGCACATGCATAGTTCAGGTTGTGGTGTGTCTGGAAACTAGTAATGTATTTATAAGTCTTGGATCTTAATTTTTTAAAATATAGCAGTTGCAGATCTAGCTATCAGTTTCTCTCACATTGCTGACTCTCCGCTGAATAGTTAATTCATGCATTGGCCCCTCTAAGTGGAGCCTTAGAAGAATAATTCGACATTTTGCCTTGATGGAAAAGAAACAGGCCAGTAGAGAAAATCTTCATTCTAAGCCAGCATGGGCCGAAAGGATGCAGGGCAGTAAACCTGCTCACATTTTACTCATTCCTCCTTATTTCCTTTATCCTGACTCTTTCCACGTGGTCCGCAGGGAACTGGATCGAGGGTGAAACAACAGAGATGTCGAGGGAGATGCCTTTCTCACTCTTAAATTACTCACATCTCTGTGTAAACAAAGGAGTGAGAAGTGTGGCAACTAAAACTACATAGAGAAGATATGCAATTTGACTGTAAATACAGAAAACTCCTTTCAACAAGAACACAACTGGTATGGTGGTGGGGAAATCACATTATTGTTATCTGCTTAAAAGTATACAATAAATACATACTGGCTTAAGACTTCATAGCTTGTAAATAATATAAATAAAGATGGCTCAAGACTGCTTAAAAAAATACCCACTGTCTTTAACCATGCTTTTAGATAAACTCCACCCAGACCAAGAAAACCTACCAGTGGTATTTTAAAGATTATTTTTTTCATTGAGATGTTCTTTTCTTCTGTCATGAAAACAGTGAACATGTAGAAAAGTATTTTTTAATTAGCTATACAGATTTCTTCTACGCAGACTCACTCAAAATAGATCAAGACTTCACTGTGCTTTATATTTGAAAGATACTAACATTGTTGTCACTAGACTTTTCTTTCATAGCACCTATAAAAATTTTAATTCTTTAGACGTTTGTGGGATTATTTGCTTCATGTTTGCACCCCCACCCCCAATAATCCAGGATTGTAAGTTCCAAGACAGGAGCGGCCACGTTTTATTTGTCCGGGTGTACCTACAATGTTAATTTAGTCCTTGATACACAGTTGGTGACTGGTATATATCTTTTGAAAGAAAAAATAAGAATACCTTTTATCATGGCTTTTTATAAAAAGATCGATGATGAAAGATCTAAATAAAAAGCAAACTTTTAGAGAGAGGAAGAGTTCATCCTAAAAATAACATGGAATTCTGAGCAATTTGCATTATTATAGTCCTTATATTGATGCCAAAAACAAATAATAATTTGTTTAAAAATACCTTTTTAAAGATAAAACATGTAATCACCATAACAACTGGAAGCAATAATGTCTTTGTGTATATCAGCAGAGTCTGAAATATACCAAATTATTCAAAATAGTTACAATTTTTACATTAAATTAGTAAACATCTATGTCAAACTAAGTGCCATGATAACATTCCTTAAAAGTAAAAGGTTAAATTTCTTTGTCATCAGCAGAATATATATTTATTGTCTTCCATGCCTTAATGAAATAATTAAAATTATAAAAATAGTTATAAAAAGTATTCCAAAAATTTAATGAAAAATTTATTATTTTAATAAAACTAGAATTGCTATATCTATTTTTTCTTTTCTTTTTTTTATTTACATAATACTAAGTTTTAAAATGTGTGTTTACCGATCCCTGGGTCCTACATTGTAACTTTCTGTACTACACAGCTCCATTATTTTCATTAGTGAAACTAGAGCTAACAAGAAAGAAAGCTAACCAAAGTTAATGACTAAAACTATGCATAAGTACAGAAATAACATTGGCTAACTAATTCTGATGACCTGTTATTGTGATAAGGAGTAATTTACCATGTAACTAAATTATACATTTCTTAAAAGCAAGAAACCAGTTCATTTTCCTCTTTGTTGTGCTATAGCAAACCGCCTCATGGATAACTAGTGGTCAATAATAGTTTTTGAATGAATGGGATGACTGGTTGGATGGATAAGAGAAGAATGTAAAATTTTATTATTTACCACTAATTCAGAATTCATAATGATTACACAAGGAATAATCAATCCAGTAGCAACTTTGTTATGTTCTATGAAGAAAATTAAGCTACAAATAGAGGAAAGAGCCCTGGATTGAGAGTTCCAGAATCCATTAGAATCCATGTCCTGATCTTGGCTTGTGTGTGCTTTAGGCAAACCTTTTAAGCTTTTCTTTATCTGCAAATGAAAGAACTATATGGCATGGTCTCTAAGAGCCCTTCCTGATCTTGTGTTCCATGATTCTACAAAGAGGCCAATTTTTTTTTCTTTTTTTTTGATACAGAGTCTCACTCTGTCACCCAGGCTGGAGTGCAATGATGCGATCTCAGCTCACTGCAATCTCCGCCTCCAGGGTTCAAGCAATTCTCCTGTCTCAGCCTCCTACTCAGGCTGGGACTACAGGCATGCACCAACATGCCTGGTTAATTTTTGTATTTTTAGTAGAGATGGAGTTACCACCATGTTGGCCAGGCTGGTCTCAAACTCCTGACCTCAAGTGATCTACCCGCCTCAGCATCCCTAAGTGCTGGGATTACAGGGATGAACCACCACGCCCAGCCTATATTTTAAAGCTTTATAACATGAACTTTTTAAAAAGAATAATACCTTGCATTTGTATAATTTAAAATGAATTTTTATATGTTCATTAAAACTCATCAGTAGCATACCTTTCTTGGTAACACCTTGTTAAAAATGTTATAATATTTGGGGTGTTAACTGTAATAAAACTGAATTTCTTAAAAACAGAAACAAGAATTTAGACTTTTTCCTGAATGGTCCCATATTTCCAAGTGGCCTAGATTATTAAAAGTAATTGATTTGGAATAATAGTAATTATTATGGGTCATATAGTATGTTAAACACTCTTCTCAGATTATCTCATTTAACCATCATCAATAACTCTATAAGATAGAGGCTATCTTTTTTTTTTCAACAGACAAAAAAACAAGTGAGGAAGGTAGATTAGCAAAAGTTACAGTAAAAAAATATAAAATAAGTTGACTGTTTCTGAGCAAAAATTTTGAGTTTCAGATTTTAAAAAAACCTAGAGCAAAAACTCATATTAGTAGAGAAGGAAAAAAGAAACATTCATACCGCTTTTTCCATGAAGTCAAATTCGGGAGAACAGGTGTATTTTAAAGTATCAAAATCTGTATACCTTAAGATTCCGGCTGCTATAAGATCACTCAGGCAAATCTGGGAGAAAATAAAGTAAAATGAATTAAAATTACACAAATGATTATAGCCTTAGCCAGTAATACTTTATTGATGTAAGAATAACAAAGTTTATAGAACAGATAAATCCAATGTATTTAGACATCCCACTAAGAAAACAAAAAACTACAGTGAACCAAATATACGATGTGCTGACTTCTCAAGATAACTGAAAATAAAGAGAAATATCATGAAAAATGAAAAGTAGAAAGAAGTCAGAAAAAATAAAGAGAAGATGATAAAGAGTGAGCTAAAATCAATATCTGCTGAGAAGAAACCACCATGTAGTTAATTATATTTTATAATAAGACAATTTATCATGAAAAACTGTTTTACTTAACCTCTTTCAACATACATTGTAGGTCATAAGCTTTCTGTGCACTGTCATTTTCACAAAGCCTTGCAGACTGATTACAATATTTGGTACTTCTTGATGTTTTACAGACATATATTCAAACCATTGCATATGAGACCTGATCCTCATAAGAATTACAACAGTTATACACACCACTTTGATCTTTGACTTAGCTATTTGATCTCCAAGGCTAAAAGTAGATACCAACAACCAAACCCAATGCAGAACTTCTATTTTTCTACTATTATTTACAACCTGCTCTTGGTGAGACAATTATTTTTCCACAGCATCCTCAGAAGGCCAGAAAAAGGAAAATATTTGGCAAGTAAACTCTTAATTCAAATTATTTTATAGTGACAGAAATTATTTTATAACAAATTTGATGATTATGAGTGGTTTTCATTCAATTATTTTTCCTAATTTACCAGTACTCAAGGATAATTTAGAGTTGCACTTTATTTTTCTAATTTAGAATAGGCCTGGTGACTAATAGTAATTTAACCAAACCACTATAATTTCAGGTATTCCTCGTAACTGTCACATAAAGGAAGTCACTCAGGACTACCAAGGAAGTGTGTTTGCTTTTTTTTTTTTTTTAATTTGTAGGGCAGGCATGGTGGTTCACACCTGTAATCACCAGCACTTTGGGAGGCCAAGGCAGGCGGATCACTTGAGGTCAGGAGTTTGAGACCAGGCTGGCCAACATGGTGGAACCCCATCTCTACTAATAATACAAAAATTAGCCGGGTATGGTGGCACATGCCTATAATCTCAGCTACTCAGGAAGCTGAGGCACAAGAATCACTTGAACCCAGGAGATGGAGGTTGCTATGACCCGAGATTGGCCACTGCACTCCAGCCTGGGTGACAGCGTGAGACTGTGTTTCAAAAAAAAAAAAAAAAAAGATTTAGATTTGTAAAGAGCTGGGGGTCAACGTGAAGTAAGGCAAGAAACATAATCATGAACAAACTTAACAGATAAATAAATAACTTAGAAGGTCTAAATAAAGTTTATCATAAGACATATATAATAAAGTTAAAAACAATAAAAAGGAAAGGAGAATGGGGAAATGTGTCAGACATGCCAGAGAACAGCAGCAACAAATAAACTAATAAACCACCATGCAAAACTAGCAATAAATGGCAAATGCTTACATTTAGAAATTTTATTTAATATAAACATGTTGCATGTTGTATTGCATAGAGATAGCATTTGACCTTTTAGAGAAGTAATACTATAATCCCTTGCCAAAGTACATAATTTCAGCATCAAACAGGGCCCTAATTGGATAGCATTAAATGAGGTAAATTTCAAAATTGATTATTGTATGATATACTCATGTATGCTTATTTCTAAACAGAAAGTGCTAGAAATAAAAAGTAGATTCATGCATTGTTTTCTATTCCCTAAACCAGTTAGTTAAGCAGGGACTTAGGCCTTGAAAAGGGCTACTCTTTAAAACATTAACAAACAGAAATACTACATGAGAGATAAATGCTCTGCATGTATTTCCTAGAAAATGAAAAGATCAAAATTTTTTAACATTCTCTTTTTATATAACAAGAAAGGCCTTAAAACATCAAATCATACATTGATTTTAGTCCATACTTATAAATAAATAAAACAATACTGAGATTTTAAGAGTTCTATATTTTCAAAGCTTAGGACAGCCTCCCGTATGTTAACATCTGCAATAAATGGATAACTTATGATGTAAACAACTAATTATTTGTATTTTAACTGAAATATAAACAAATAACTACTTAACAAACTATTAATATGTTTTTACTAAAAGGGCAAGTCAGCATTCATGAATATTTTTTCTTTTTAGTGACTTTATTATTGACTCTGCCAATAACTCGTCTAGAGACCTTAAAGAAGGCACTTAACTTCTGTAAAATGAAGAGATAAGAATAGATGGTTTCAAAGTTTTCATTCAGCTACATATTTATAAGAACTTTTATGTTTTAACTAAAAAGTACTTACATGGTCTGAAACGCCTAAGATTTTAGATGTCAGAAATTTCAAAATGATTGTTCCACACCACCAGGCACTACCTTGAATTAGCTAGAAAATAAAATAGAAGTCCAGTATTTAAAACTACAAATCACCCAGCTAAAGTATTCAATTATATCTATAAATGACACAGAAAAAATTTAATTATGTGAGGTATAAATGGTGAAGTTTTTTAAAAAAGTTCCTTTAGAAAATCTTGTTTAAAAGCAAAGAATTAAAACTGATGACACTGGTATAAAATATATAGCAACACTAGAATTCTACATATCCTAAATCTTTTTTTTTTTTTTTTTTTGTCTTGAGTGAAAGGTTAATAGCCAAGAAAGAAAGAAGGAAGAAGAAAACAGCTCCCCGTACAGAGACAGAGGAAGGGGGGATTTGAACAAAGAAAAAACCCCGTGTGCATCGGAAAAGTGGCTGCTTATACATATCCTAAATCTAAAGGAAGTTTTGTTGTTGTTGTTGTTGTTGTTGTTGTTGTTGTTGTTGTTGTTTTGAGACGGAGTCTCGCTCTGTCCCCCAGGCCCGGAGTGCAGTGGCACGATCTCTGCTCACTGCAAGTTCCGCCTCCCGGGTTCACGGCATTCTCCTGCCTCAGCCTCCCGAATAGCTGGGACTACAGGCACCCGCCACCATGCCTGGCTAATTTTTTGTATTTTTAGTAGAGACGGGGTTTCACCGTGTTAGCCAGGATGGTCTTGATCTCCTGACCTCGTGATCCACCCGCCTCGGCCTCCCAAAGTGCTAGGATTACAGGCGTGAGCCACTGCACCCAGCCAATCTAAAGGAAGTTTTAAAAGGTTACTTCCTTTTGATTTCTGTTAAGAAAAGGGAGTGTTTATGTGTTTGTTTCCAAATATTATTTCTCAGCTGAAAATCCATTTTTTAAAACACTACCTTAAAAGTTCTTCTACCACTCCTGTGGAAATATATGAGCCCATCTTCAAGAAATAACTGTTTGAAATGTGAAAACTTAAGCTTTCCTTTAAGAAAGAGGAATATGAACTACAACGGCAATGAGGCTTCTGTGTTGTTGTTGTTGTTTATTTTTTGACTAGCCTTGATTAAAAAGGGAACAATTGTGTACTTCTGGTTAGCCTGGGGAAAGTTATAGCAGCCTAAATTCAAATCTCTGCATATATCAACCAACAAGTACAGCAATACAACCACATACATGGCAAAAAACTTCAAATTACCTATGAATGGAAAAGGAGGCAACGAATCTATAGAGTTATACCTCAAGTCCCTGACCTAAGCCTTTGCAGAGAATGAGGGGAGACCCATAAAAGGATAAAGAAGAAAAGGAAAGACAGGGGTCAAAATTGGAAATAAAATAACCCAAGAAAGAGAAAAGTCCATCCTATGTGTAAAAAGAGCTCTGGGAGATTGGTAAATGGGAGTACAGAGCATTAGGCAGTCCCTAAGAGTGAGTAGGGACAAAAACACCGATGTTAGAAAGCCATCATTTCTGGAAAGAAAGGAGGATAAAAAGGGGAGTGCAAGAAGGAAAAAGTATCCAGCAGGAAAAATGAGAACCCAAACCAAAAGACTATCCATCACTACTGCCATCAAGCACAAAAAAAGAAGAAAGTTATTCATTGAAAAAAATCACACTATGCTACATTTTCAGAAGAGGTTTGCACCTGGACTAGAAAACACAAAATAATTAATAGATGAAAAAATGCCTATATAAATATCCAAAGCTTCTTTAAGAAGATAACAAACATGAAAGTCAAATATTTCAGCTAATGAAATCCACACCACTGAATGATAAAATCTCGCAAAACAGAAGAAAATAATGCAGAATTAAAAGTTGAACTAAATATCCTCAAATGAGCATTCAGAAATATTAAAAAAGCAATTTAAACAAGAAATTCAAAAACCAAGAATAGAAATGGGGAAAAAAGCAGAAAGAAATAAAGAGTTTATTAGACATAGAAAGGAAATGGAAGAAAAGGAGAATACTATCAAAAAAAATAAAAACAATCACAAGATGATAAAAAGAAAAATTCAAATAATGAAGGAATTGAAGTAAAGGCACTAAAACAATGATGAAGAATGAAAATGATACCAGAGAAAGAAGTGAGAAGTATCAGAGAAAGTGGTAGAAATGGAAGAAAGGCACATAATTATAACCGGAGTGCCTGAAAAAGAAAACCACAGCAATGAATCAAAACTAGTGTTTAAATTATAATCCAAGAAAACTTTCCAGAAATAAAAGAAGACCTGAATCGACATTTGGAAAGGATCCAGGGGGTACTGGAAAAAATTAATCTGGTATGGTAAACTAACTCAAGACATCTTTCAGTAGAACTATGAAAAATGAAGAAAAATTCCTCAGAACCTCCAGGCACAAAAGTCACATAATTTATAAGGGACAGAAGAATTTGGCTAGCATCAGACTTGTTAAAAGAAACATACAAACCAAAGCAGTGGTGTAGATGCATTTTTAAGAAACTTTAAAAATTGAGAACCAAGGACTTTATATCTGGCCAATCTGTCATTCAAGTATAGACGTTATTTTAAAAAGTTTCAAATATGCAACAATTGAGGAAATAACAGTAACTTTCCTAAATTAAAAAAGTTTAAAATAAAAGAGAATCATATACAGAAACAAAGCAAATATAGTCAAATACACATAAAACTTACAACAAGGGTTTTCACATTATCTCACAAAGCAAAGACAGACTCAATTTATGCTACACAGGGAAGACAAACAAAAACAGATTCAGAAAGGTGAAAAATAGAATGATGGCAGCAGCATGGCAGGCAAATGCCATTTCCATATGGAAACTAAGGAATACATTTAAAGCAAGGATAAGAAGCAAATTCATGGCTTCAAAAGCTTTATCAATAAAAATGAAAGAGTGAAAATAAATGAATTAAATCCTTGACTTAAAAATCTAAATAAAGAATAACGAAATAAAGCAAAAAAAGTACACGAAAGGAAATGCTCATGAGAAGAAGAGTCTATTATATCTACCCCTCTGTGTATCTACTTTGCTGTTTTATATTTCTTCCCTACATTCTAGGATTCCTTCTTGCATTTCCTTTTTGTTTCCAGAACTTTTTAAATTTTAAGTTCCAGGGTACATGTGCAGGATATGCATGTTTGTTACACAGGTAAACGTGTGCCATGGTGGTTTGCTGCACCTATCAACCCTTTACCTAGGTATTAAGCCCAGCATTCATTAGCTATTTTTCCTGATGCTCTCCCTTGCCCTACCCTCCCCTGACAAGCCCCAGTGTGTGTTGTTCCCCTCCCTGTGTCCATCTGTTCTCACTGTTCAGCTCCCACTTATAAGTGAGAACATGCAGTGTTTGGTTTTCTGTTCCTACATTAGTTTGCTGAGAATAATGGCTTCCAGCTCCATCCATGTCCCTGCCAAGGACATGATCTCATTTCTTTTTATGACTGCATAATATTCCATGGTATATATGTATCACATTTTCTTTATCCAGACTATCATTCATGGACATTTGGGTTGATTCCATGCTATCAAAAAAGAGCTCATATAGCCAAGACAATCCTAAGCAAAAAGAACAAAGCTGGAGGCCTCAGGCTACCTGACTTCAAACTATATCACAAGGCTACAATAACCAAAACAGCATGGTACTGGTACAAAAACAGGCACATAGACCAATGGAAGAGAATAGAAAACTCAGAAATAAAACCACGTATCTACAACCATCTGGTCTTCCACAAACCTTACAAAACAACTTCAATTAACCATTCTTTAAGGTTCTCTGCTAGCCACAAATTATCTTAATTTTCATTGATTAGAGAATGTCTATTTCCCCTTCATTCCTAAAGGAAACATCTACTGGATATGTAATTCATCTTGACAAATGTTCTGCCCCAACCTTCTGGCTTCCTTATTTTCACATAAGAAGTCTGCTACAATTCAACTCAATTTTGCCCTGTAGGTGATGTGTCATTTCTCCATACCTGCTTTCAAGATTTTTTTCTTTTCATTTTAAAAGTTAACTTATAATGTATCTTTGCATGGATTTCTCTAGGTTTGTCTTACTTGGGAATCGCTCAGTTATCTTCACTCTGCAGATGTGTCTTTCACCACATGTGGGGAGTTTTAGCAATTACTTCTTAAAATACTATTCAGCCCCACTCTCTTTTTCCATTCCTTCTGAAATTTTGATGATACAAATATTAGATCTTCTGTTACTACACCATAGGTCCTGGAGGCTCTGTCCTTTTTCCTGTGATTTTCTCTCAATTTAGATTGGGAGATTTCTATTGTTCTGTCTTCAAGAGCACTGATTGCTTCCTCTGTAATATTCACTCTGCTACCAAGTCCACTTATTAAATTTTAATTTCAGTTATTGTATTTTTCAGTTCTATAATCACCAAGTTGTTCTTTCTTTTTTTTTTTTTTTTGAGACGGAGTTTCGCTCTGTCGCCCAGGCTGGAGTGCAGTGGTGCGATCTCGACTCACTGCAAGCTCCGCCTCCCGGGTTCACGCCATTCTCCTGCCTCAGCCTCCCGCGTAGCTGGGACTACAGGCGCGCACCACCATGCCCGGGTAATTTTTGTATTTTTAGTAGAGACGGGGTTTCACCGTGTTAGCCAGGATGGTCTCGATCTCCTGACCTCGTGATCCACCCGTCTCGGCCTCCCAAAGTGCTGGGATTACAGGCGTGAGCCACCGTGCCCGGCCAAGTTGTTCTTTCTTAAAAAAAAAAAATTCTGTGGTGAGCTTTTATAGCCTTTTCATTTGCTTCCAGAGTATTTAAAACTGCTCATTGAAGTGTGTTTATGATGACTGCTTTAAAAACCTTGTCACATAATCCCCACATCCTATTCATCTCAGTGTTGACATCTGTTGACTGTCTTTTCTCATTCAAGTTGTTATTTTCTTCATTCTTGCTATGATGAGTGGTTTTTCTACTGTGTCCAGTACATTTTTATATTATGTTAGAGACTGTGGATCCTCTTTTAAATTTCTATTTCAGCAGAGAGTCACTTTGTTTTTAGGTTTATCACGCAAGTCCTGGCCTACTTCTGTTTGCTATAGTTACAATGACAGTTTAGTTTTCAGAGCCTTTGCAGTGCTAGTGCTATTCTGGTCAGCTTGATTCATCTGGTGCCCTGGTGCTCCGTCTCAGCCCCAAATCATGCTACCAATGTAGGAAGAATGTACTTCCCATGTCGTGTTGCCATGAGGTGGAGGGTGAGAGACACCAGGATTGTGGGCTAGGAGGTCGGTAAAGAGCAGAGGGCTCCTTCCTGGGCTGCCTAGTCCTAGCAGGGCACCTGTTAGATCCCTGCTGCTGCTACCTGCATGGGAAGCCTTCTTGGAGGGAATAGTAGATACCAGACCCACAGCATGGAGAGCATTTCCCTGGACCCTCTTTCTGAGTGTCTTCTGCCACTGGATGGAGTTTCAGGAGATGGCAGCCTGTGGTGTTTTTCTGTGAGTTCTGAGGTACCTAACTAGTTTGCCTTTCTATAGCATTATGCTGGGATTGGAGCTATAGTTATGAAATCATGATTTCATACACACACACGTGTGCACATACGTGCAGTGAAAGGGCCTAGAAACAAGGACACACTGGCAGTAATGAGTGCACATACCACTCAGGTCTTGGTTTCCAAATACCATTCTCCTCTAAAAGGAAGCAGGGCTCCTTGGAAAAATGGCTGATTCCAAGGCTAGCACAAGGAAAATCAAGAAAAGCCTGGAGCATTATAAATTTATAAAGACATGTCAAAAAGACATCCAGCTTAGGAACATTCAAAATGGCTAGGCCTGGAACTGATATTTGTGTATAACATACGGTTTTTCTCATATAGATAGACTATTCCAGCATCATTTAGTGAAAAGTGACCTGCAAGACAATCTTGCTGAAATTGCTTTGAATCTGAACATCAACTGGGGAGAACTGAATTACATGAAACTTCATACATATAAATGTGTTTTATTTTTCTATTTATATCTTAGAAATTTTAAAATAAATTTCCCCATACAAATACTGTATGTATTTTGTTAGATTCATTCAGATCCTATGCATTTTTCTAATACATAAGGCATATTTAAAAAAATATGTTTTCTGTGTGTTGCCAAAGAATAGAAATGCAATTGATTTTTTAATATTAAACTTATATCTAGCCATGGTATTGAATTCTTCTAATTTCTAATAATTTGTCTGTCAATCATTTTATTCTTTCTAGGTAAATATGATACTATAATAAATTTTGCTTCTTTCTGTTTCTTTCCTTTTCCTATTATTTACTTTTCTTGCATTACTAGGCTACTTTGGACCTTTAATAAAATGTGAAAAAGCACATTTATCTTTATATTGATTTTAAACAGAACACTCTAAATACCTTATTATCGGTAAGACTAATGACTGCTGAAGAATTTTACTGGGTTGAGAAAACTGTTATTTATATTGTGTTAAATGTTTTCATTATAAATGGGTGTTCAATTATATCAATTTTATTTTCTGCATCTAATGGGATGATCATAAGACATTTTTCTCTTTTAATCTCTTAGTATGATAATTTACATTTTTGGATTTTCCAGAAACATCTTTGGATTCCTAGAATAAGCCAGATTTATCACAAGTGGATTATCTTTATCAGATATATGGCTGCTCTTGAGTTACTAATCTTTTACACTTTTGTGTGTAAGGAATGTTTTTAATCTAGGTGAAATTTTGAATCTATGCTCATGAGTAAGAATATCCTTTCTCATACTATCCTTATCTGGCCTTAGTACTGAGCTTTAGATTATCTTGGAGGTTTCATTTCCCTTCTTGTAATGATTCTCATGCCTCATGGTGCACACAAAGTTCCCCTTTGTAAATTTTGTAAATTTCAGCATGCGCTCAATTCAATAATTACTTTGTCACCAAAAATTGGCGTCTCCCATTAAACAGTGAATTTGCTTCTATTGACGTTAAACTCTAAAATGAATCACTTAGATCTAAAAATACCTTCCTTGTTCAGGTTGTGTGTAATAAATACTTATTTTTGCCAAAGATATACAGAGCTAAAAACAGAAGATAATACCTAGGGAGGCTTAAAAAACATGTAAGCTGAACATTTGGTTAAATCTCAACTTTTCCCTCCTTAGATTTTTTGTTTCTTTGATATTCTTGATTTTAAAACTTAGTCAATTCATGTTCTTTCCAGTCTACTATTGAAAATGTTGTTGAAAATGAAGACAGTTAATTTTCCTTTGAGTGCAGCCTTGGCAGAATTTTTTTTGATGTTTATGGACACACTACTATTTATTGTCATTTTTCAATAGTTTGCAACTGAAATTCTGACCTTCTTTTATTAAATTGCTCAATTTTTCTGAAGTGAAAGAATTATATATTAGAAGTGTAATGTCGATATGTGAATTTCTACAAAGCCTGCATGCCTAAGGACAGGTGGCCTGGGTAAAGAGTCAAATTGGTAGAACCAATAAAGAATAATAAAAAGACAAAAAAAGCATCATGCCATTCATTCAACAACTTAGTGGACAAATCTTTCTATATTTTCACCATAAAGGATGGGAGAATGCCTCCAACAAGGAGAAAATAGCAACTCCTTCCATTTTGTTCTCTTGTATTGTGTGTAGGAACCTACCTCCTCAACTTGTAACATTTCCAGACTTATCCTTTCAATATATAACATGTAAACATACAGTTCATTTCTTCTGTCACCCAGGGTGGAGTGCAATGGGGTAATCATGGCTCACTGTAACCTTCCAGGGCTCAAGCGATCCTCCTACCTCAGCCTCCTGAGTAGTTGGGATCACAGGCTCATGCCACCATGCCCAACTAGTTTTTCTATTTTTTGTAGAGACAGGGTTTTGCCATGTTGCCCAGGCTGGTCTCAAACTCCTGGGCTGAAGCTCTCTGTCCACGTTGGCCTCCCAAAGTGCTGTGATTATAGGCGTGAGCCAGTGTGTGTGGCCCAGGGTTTATTTTTTAATAGAAGAACATCACAGACCAGAGAAAAAGAATATTGTCTGTCTCATATTAAGAGAATTTAGGAGTTGCACTACCTGCCTAATAACTTATTTTACTAGGAAACCATGGAGGTAATATGGGCCATCCATCTGCATATTTGGGAAGAAGCCAAGCAAAAATTAGGTAGTGGCTGAATTCAAATTAGAAGGGGCTGGGAGACTGTAAGGAAAATGTTAAAAGGACAAAAGTAATAGAGTCTAAAGTTGGAAGCAGAAGGAAAGAGAGACAGATGATGGATAGATGCAGAGGAAAGAAAAGGAGAAAGCTGGCAAGAAACTACAAACTTGAGTTATGGTGAAGGGAAGGTTAACTGAAGCTAAAGAGAGAAACTCAAGACAAACACATTTTAAAAAGCAAGGCTGTATGGATATAGCAGAATGAAACACAAAGGAAGAGTGGCCTGAAAGTTAGTTGTGAAATATGTGAGCTAACTTCTTGAAAATGATTTCTAGTCCTTGCGAAGGACTATTTCCTTACATATCTATCTACCTTAGATAGTAACTATTTTTAAGACAGTAGCTATTTATTAATTATAAATCATTAGCATTTTAAAGCATATTAACTGTGTTCAGTTTATAGAAATAAAAAGTAGAATTTAAATAAACTGCATTAAAAACATTGAATCTTACCCAGCAGTTGAGTTTAGATACTCCCAGTTTTTGAATTTCATTTCTCTTTAGAATTATTGCCTAAAATGCACATAAGGGAAAATGAAACAATTCAACACAATTAACATTTATATTTTGTATAAATGGTACATTTCAAAAATTATATAGCCACCCTGTTCCATCTCAGCTATCACCAGCCATTTTCCTCCTTAACTGTTGATTTTTCAAATTTTGGACAAATTTTGGCAAATTTCCTTGAGGTGAGAGTTAAATGGTTTGTGTGTCAAAAAGTTGCCTCGTTATTTCCTCACTTAAATACCCTGGCCATTTTCTGCAGGATAATTCCTCTACAAAGATAAATGGTATGTGAGCAGATGAGAGCATCCATGCAAGTCTGTATGTCAGTTATCCAGCAACGTTAGTGAACTAAACTAACATGAAAATCCTTCCTCTCCAAACTGCCGAATAAAATATTTAAACATGTTTAAAAAATTTATACTCATGTGAAAGAGAACTTCTCCGATGCTAGAAAAAAGATTATTTTTAAAAAATACAGTATTAATCAGCAGAGAAGCACCACCCCTGGCAGTCTTTATAAAGGCCTGTAGAATAAGGTTCCAACTATAGGCTTGTATTGTAAGGGGAGGGCAGCAGAAGAGGCCTTGGGTCTATGCAAGGTAAGAAGTTGGAATTGAGACTAATACATAAAGCTAGGGTCCTCAAAACTATACCTGCAGTGCTATGAACTGAGTATTTGTGTCCACCTCAAATTCACAGACTGAATCTTTAATCCCCAGTGTGATAGTGCTTGGAGGGTGGGCCTCTGGGAAGTAATTGAGTCATGAGGGTGAAACCCTCATGAATGGGATTAGTGTGCCCGTATTACAAAAACTAGAGAGTTGATGTCTCTCTCTACCATGTGAGGACACAGCAAAAAGGCTTCTGTCTGCAAACCACAAAAAGGGCTTTCACCAAGAACCAAATCAGCTGGCACCTTGATTTCTGAACTGCTCAGCCTCCAGAACTCTGAGAAATAAATTCCTGTTGTTTAAGCCATCCTGTCTGTGGTACTTTTGTTATAACAGCCCAAACTGACTAAGACACACAGTGACTAAGAATACTTCACCTACCATCTCTACAAGTTGATAGGTTATTTGTTTATTCCCAAGTTTGGGGTGAAAACAGTGCGCTCATGAGAAACTGAATTCTTCGACTTGCGTATTATTTAGACTTAGATTCCAATTTTTTATCATTTAGTTGGTGAAGAAATTCCCAAAGTGAGCCAGGATTACTAAACTTCCAATAGGAAAATATAAATGTATCAGATTATTCATTGCAACATTGTTTGTAAATGCAAAAGTTAGGCAACAACCTAAATGCCCAGACATAGGAGAGTGACTGAATTACAGTAAATCCACAGTAGAACACTAGGAAGCTACCAGAAAGAATGAGGAAAATCTCTATGAACTGATATCCAGGATAGGCTGTTAAATGAAAAAAAAAAAAAAAAGGGGAAAAGGCTATCTTTAATATAAGAAGAGGAGATATAAAAAATATACATGTAACAGTTATTAGTACTTCAAAAAGCCAACTAAATGGGTCAACCAGAAAACTAATGAGATTTCTTACCTACAGGGAATAGGCAGTAACAGGGTGAAAAGAAAGGTGGAGAGAATGTGCTGGAAGGAATAGTGGGAAGTATTTTCTGAGTATAATTTTATATATATCTTCCTCATTGAAACATGGTAATGTTTCACCCAAAGTAACTAAAATCAATCAGAATGAAACTTCTGCTTCTGTCCAAGTTTGTATAACAGGAACCACATTTACTTTCTCACCCTAAAAAACTAAAATACCAAGCAAAATAGATTATAGAGACAACTATGAACAATTATATGCCAACAAATTAGATAACTTATAAGAAATAAATTTCTAGAAACATACAACCTACCAAGAGTAAATTATGAAAACACAAAAAAACTCAACAGATCTATAACTAATAAGGAGATTAAATCAGTAATAAAAATTTTCTCAACAAAGGAAAACCTCGAACCAGATGGCTTCACTGGAGAATTCTATGAAACATTTAAATAAGAATTCACACCAATCCTTCTCAAGCTCTTCCAAATAACTGAAGAGAACACTTCTATACACATTTTATGAGGCCAGCATTACTCTGATACCAAATCCAGAAAAAGATACAAGAAAACTACAGGCCAGTATCTCTGATGAATATAGCAAAACACACACACACACACACACACACACACACACACACACACACACACACAAATATTTCTTTTAAAAATGAGCAAAGCACTTGAATAAACATTTCTCCAAAGAATAAATACAAATGTCCAACAGGTATTTAAAATGATGTTCAACATCACTTATCATCAGGGAAATGTAAATCAAAACCACAATGAGATACCACCTCAAACCTGTTAGGATGGCCATTATAAAACAAAACAAACCAAAACTAAACCAGAAGTAACAAGTCTTCGCAAAAATGTAGAAAAATTGGAATGCTTATGCACTGTTGGTGGGAATATAAAATAGTGCAGCCAAAGGGCACATCGGGTAGTCTACACAGAAGAGTTTGCTTCAGAGAGCAGCAATATTAGCCATAAACTAACTAGTACTTTAATTCCAGCTAACAAATCTTAAAAGCAAGACCTGAAAAGATCAGCCTATGTTCAAGTGGCTTAACTGCATCACAGAAAAAAGCTCAAGAATATCTATAGGAATAAGAAAATAATCCAGCAGCTAACAAGGTAAAAGTCACAAAGCCTGGCATCAAAGTAAACATTGCCAAGCATGCAAACACTTAAGAAAACACAACCCCGATATGAGAAGAAGAAACAATTAATTGAAACTGACACAGATGACAGAATTAGCAGGTGGAGGCACTGAGGCAGTTAGTATAACTGTATTACACATGGTGAAGAAGTGGTAACAGAGAAAGAACATGTTAACTAGAGACACAAAAATACTTCAAAGATCCAAAATGAACTTTTAGATATGAAAACTACAGTGACTTAAAAGAGAAATACACTGGATGTGATTAACAACAGGTTAGATACTGCAGAAAAACAACTAGTGAACTCTTGAAGACACAGCAATAGTAACTATCCAAAATTAAATAAATAACAAAAATAAACATAGGCTCCATGAACCACTGAACAATTTCAAGCAGGCCAATATACATGTAATGAGAGTCCCTAAATGAAAGTGAGGTGGGGAGGCAGAAAAATATTTGAAGAAATAATGGCCAAAATTTTTCCAAATTTGATAAAAATTGTAAACCTAAAGATCTAAGAATTTCAATTAATCCTAAATACAAGAAACATAAAGAAAGCTATAGTAAGGCACATTATATAAACAAACTGCTCAAAATCAGTGGTAAAGAGAAAATCTTATTTCTAGCTAGGAATAGCTAGAGAAGTAACATATTATTTATAGACAAAAGCGTAGAGATGTCAACAGATTTCATAAGAAAAAAAATGCAAACAACAAGACAAGTCAAGCAGCATCTTTTAAATTCTTAAAGAAAAGTGCTGTTAACCTGCAATTCTACACCCAGGAAACATACCTTTCGAAAACGAAGGCAAAATAAAGACTTCATGACCAGGTGATTTGCACTAAAGGAAACGTTAAAGGAGGTCTTTCAGACAGCAAGAATACAGTAGGTCAATCTGGCTGTACACAAGTAAAAGGCACCGAAAATGGTAACTACAGGGTAAATATATAACATTTTAAAAATTTTAAATACTTTTAAAAGGTAATTTACTGTTTAAATAAAAACAAAAATTTATTGAGATTTCTATATCACATGTTTAAGTAAAATGTATGACAATAACATGAAATAAATTTAAAAATGTACTTTATCAAAATATGTGGGATGTTGATAAAGCAGTACTTTGAGAAAAGTTTATAGCACTAAACACCTGTGTTTAAAAACAAAAAACAAAAAACAGGAAAGGTCTCAAGTCAATGACCTTGCTTTATACCTTTAAAAAAAAGAAAAAGACTAGAAAAAAAGCAGAGCAAAACCCAAAGTAAGCAAAAGAAATGAGGTAACAAAGACTGAGTAGAAATCAATGAAACAGTAGAGCAAATCAATGAAAACAAAAGCTGGTTCCTTGAGAAAATTAATAAAATTGATATACCTCTAACCAGACTGATGAGAAAAAAAAATAGAACACAAACATCTAATACCAGGAATGAAAGAGGAACTATCACTACAGATACTATAGATACATAAAAGAAATAAAATATTATGCCTTTGTCAATGAATTTGACATCGTAAATAAAATAAAAAAATTCCTTGAAAGATACAACAAAAGTTCACTCAAGAGGAAATGGATAACACGAATAGCCTTATACCTTATTAATGAAATGGAACTTGTAGTTAAAAACATTCCTACAAAGAAAGTCCTAGATGGTTTCACTGGTAAATTCTACCAAATATTTAGGGAAGAAATCCTAAGGATTTTACACAAATTCTTCAGAAAACTGGAGAAGAGGGAACACTTCTTAACTCATTTTATGAGGCCAGCATTGCCATGATACCAAAAAAGACAAAGATGTCACAAGAAAACTATGAACCAATTATTGTCATGCACTTAGGTGCAAAATCGTAAGTACAATTTTAGAAAGCTGTATTCAACAAAAAATAATAAAACAGCATGACCAAAGTGAGGTCTATTCAAGGAATGCAAAGATGCTATAACATTTGAAAATCAACCAATATAATGCAGCACATTAACAAAACAGAAAAGAGAAACTATATGATATATCTTCAAAATTCATTTTTGAAAAAACTCAGCAAGCTGAACAGAAGGGAACTTCTTTAACCTGATAAAGGGCTTCTCTGAAAAATCCTATAGCTAACACAGTTACTGAAGGATGAAAGACTGAACAATTAAACAAAACTTACATTTCAAAATGAGCCATTTAAAATAAGATATTTAAAAATACTAAAATATGTGAAAGAATGACATAAATCAAAATCAGAAAAACTGAGAAATGAGCTGACAGAAATCAAATAATTTGAAATAAAACAAAAATAATTTCAGACATAAAAAACTAGAAGGAATATGAGGAAATGAACACAACAATAATGCCTTAAGAGCTATAAAAGGTGAAGAGAAGAAACTTTTAGAAATAAAAAAAGAAATAAAAGTATTCAAGAGAAAGTGATACGTTTATAACGTATCAAAACTTGTAACACTTTTAATAGCAACCCTTTTGGACAGAAGTAAAACAAGTACTCAAAGCAAAAAATAAAAGAGACAGCCGGGTGTGGTGGCTCACACCTGTAATCCCAGCACTTGGGAGGCAGAGGCGGGCAGATCACCTGAGGTCAGGAGTTCGAGACCAGCCTGGCCAACATGGTGACACCCCGTCTCTACTAAAAATACAAAAATTAGCTGGGCGTGGTGGCAGGCGCCTGTAATCCCAGCTACACGGGAGGCTGAGGCAAGAGAATCTCTTGAACCCAGGAGTTGGAGGTTGCAGTGAGCCAAGACTGCACCATTGCACTCCAGCCTGGGCAACAAGAGCGAAACTCCGTCTCAAAAAAAAAAAAAAAAAAGAAGAAAAGAAAGAAAAAGTAAAAATAAAAGAGACAAGAATTTTACATAGAGCCAACTTCACTTTCAAGTAAAAGGCGACAAAACAAACTGTGACAAACACATCAGAATTGAAGGAATTCTCTTGTAGAACAAGACTAAAATAACCAAGATAACTAGGAGATAACAACATAAAGACTGGTGATAAATAAATGCATATTTACTCACATAAAAACATGAAATAAGGTTGATAAGGCAGAAAGTACAGTATGCAATACTCTATGTTCTGACAATATAGATACAGAATTAGTTAAAAAAAATGGGTGAAGAGAATGAAAGAAGGATATGCAAAAAAGTCTTTATTTCTCATAATCATGTGCGTGGTGCAGTATAGCAATTCTCATGCATACACTTTGGGAGAAGGCAAATGGATATATGATATTCTATCATCCCCTGGCTTCTTGAGACCCAAGAGAAACAAAAAAAACAAATACAGGATAGAAAGAGTTAAGTAAAAACCCTATATTCTTGAATTTGATTTGGAAATACCCATCAGAACTTGTGAGCTAGTTTACCATAAATGCATGCACACACACACATGCACACACACATATTTTCATGGTAGATTTTTAAAGAAAAAGAGAGAGCCTGCAACCTATAATATTTCCTAGCTCTGCCCACTAATAAGGCCTAGAAACAATGACCTACTCAGTAGCAATGAGCATCCTTGGGTCCCAGACTGCAGTCTTAAAACACGATTTCCCCAATAAAGGCAAGAAGGGTGCCTTGCAGGAATGGCTTCCTCCAGGTTTTGGGCAGGAGTACACAAGAGAGACCTGGAAAAACTTGTCATACATGACACAAGTATGCTATCAGACCACCAGTGTCATGTCAGAGAACTTAGGAGAAACCTAAAGAGGCTCCCCTGGTCAACAAAGAAACAATCTGAGAATGAGTAAAGATATTAACTTCAATTAACTTGAAATACATCAAAAATGCTTAAATCCCTATGTTCCTAATGAAACCTAAACACACACATACACAGCCCAAAGAGCCCACATTTGGAAGATGACAGGGAATCAATTCATTATTTTTAAAACTTGCAAATAAAGAGGTAAATCAACATTTACTTTACTTCTCCTAAATGAACTTCAGATGACAGATTAGAACGTGACCACTTTGCAATCCCTAATGAATTAACAGATCCAGCATAAGGCACTGAAGGCTAGTACCATGAAGAGAGACATCATGTGCCTTTTAATGAAAGAACAATACTAAAGACTTGCAAAAGTGATCAAGCCTGAAGCAATCCAAGTTTCAGATCCAATTTCTAATATATCAAGCTATACCATGAGACAAAGAAACATGCTTAGCTACACCACAAGAACTCAAAAAGCAAAATCTGGACCATGAAATCCTCCACATGTTCTATGACTGTGGTTCTTCAACAAATAAATTTCATGAGGATAAAACCAGGCAGATATGCAGGAAACTTGTAGCTAAAAAGAGAAACTTAAGTGATGAAACTATAAAGGGATGCTGGAAAGTTACTATCACAGCAGTCAAGATAGTCATTATCGTTTTAGGGCAGTACAAGAGAGTGCTTTGGGACAGGTCACATGGAGGCTTCTACACTCATTTAGAAAGTTACAATTTTGATATAATGGTAGTTTAAGAATGTTTGCCACATAATACATAACACAGTCAGCCCTCCACATCCATGGGTTCCAGTTGCTGCAGATTCAACCAACAGCAGATAGAAAATATTTGAAATAATAATAATACAACAGTTTAAAAAGTACAAATGAAAAAACAATACAGTATACAACTATTTGCATAGTATTTATATTGCATTAGACGTTATAAGTAATCTAGAGATGATTTAAAGTATATAGGAAGATGTGCATAGATTATATGCAAATAACACACCATTTTATATAAGAAACTTGAACATCTGCAGATTTTAGTATCCACAGGGGTTGGGGGTGTCCTGGAATCAATCCCTGCAGACACGAAGGGGACATTGTACTCATCAGTATTAGCCAGCACTAAGTCAGCACACAAAACATTTGCTTTATGCAGTTTTATCTGTACTATATTTCAAAATAAAAAAAAGTTTTCATTAAAAGAGGTAGATGAGCACACTATTAGGAGTCCTCTACTCTGTAATGGTGAAATAGTTTGACAAAATGTTGGAAAGAAAGAGCATTTTTTCTGGGAGAGAAAGAGGAGGGATTACTATGAGGGAAAAAGGATATGGAAAGCAAAAATGTTAAAACATAAGGGCAATCCCAAAAGATTAAATCACTGCACCATACATGGAAAAGTGCTATATTTTGGCATTACCGTAGTTGGTATCATTTCTGATCAGTGTGGAGATGGGAGGTACAGGAGAATATTCTAGGTTCTGGCTTATAGATATCAGAAGTATAACTACAATGTAATAGAACTGACTTACTAAACCACCCTTCCAAACACATATCCAAAAGAGTGTCATTCCATGTAGTTCCCGTGAGGAGACTGCACACTTATTCTAATTATCTTGCCATCGCTCAAAGTAGTTTGGAACTACACTTTCTAAACTGCCTTCAGAAATAATTTAGTTATAGGTGCAAAATAATCAGTCTTATGACTTTACTGTCACACCATCGTTTGAGCAAGATCTGTATTACCCAGCCCAATCACACAAAATATTCACAAAATTTTGGTCATTTCCAAAAATCAAATCCACTCTTGAAAGGCAAGACATACTAAAGAATGTGCCATAGTCTGTGAAGGAAACTCAGAGGAGTTCCAAAAATGTTCTGGGCAATGGCAGTGTCACTGCAATGAGTATTTAACCTCCTCAAGTGACTTAGGAGAAAAGAAGTCAATTTTACCATAAAATGGGATATGATTAAAGTAAGTCTTATTACTTTATGATCATTTTTAAATATTTACTTGGGCACTGTCTTAAAAAGAAAAACTTCCTACTATAATATTTTTCAAGGATAAGATAAATAAAAAGCTTTGCTTGGGAAGAATTTTGTCATGTTGAGTGATAATCAGGAAAGGGCCTATTTATTCTCTTATACCTGTTTTAGACAGGAAAACATGCTATTTGGCAGTTTAAAAAAACCCAACTTTATGAACTAAACACTTACCCATGTCATTAACAAAGATGAAGAATAATAAGAAGATAAGTACATTGAATTTCCAAACATCAAAATGAAACTAAGGGTAACTGAAATCTGAAAAAAATGAAAAAAATACATTTTATGGTCATTACATATATTGGCATAATGCATATTTTGTAGGTATATAGCCATTTCTAATGCAAATTTATTTGCATAAAGATGAATGACCCTTGGCCAAATGATAATAGAACTTCAAGTCACTGCTAGATTCTAAGTATGAAAATTCAAGACCATAAACTCTATCTGGCAGAATTTAACTTTTTCTCCATCTGCTACTTGGAACAATGAAAAATAAGTCTATGATTTCTATTGTTTTAACAATGGAGTAATATAATAAGAAAGACTTAGTTATAAACACCAGTTTTACTAATCATATTTTTGTTAGACTTCAGGACTTCTATTATTTATGGAGCTTTACTAACTTTTTATGTTTCTAAGGAAGCTATGTTTGGGACCTAAGCCAAAAACAAAATCGCAAGAATATAAAATTTCAGTTAGAGTGTCATATTCAGGCAAAATGCTAAAAATCTCATGTCTGAGAAAGAAAAGGCAGTTTTAAAAGTAGTAATAATAATAAGTAAAACATAAAAATATAAGTTCTAGAGAATAAAACACATCTACAGTCCAGTTGAAAGAATAATCTGTTATAATATGTCATCTATAATATACATTTCCAGTTTTCCTTCTGGATATCACCAATACCATATGTATTAAATATTACCAAAGAGGAAGTACCCTATAAAACAGAATCACTTCGATTTTATAAACTCTGAGAACCTATCTTAATATTTGACTTATATATATTAAAAATGTTACCATGTTCATATAAATGATCTTCTGAAATTTGCTTGGTTCAATGTATCCCACAACATACATGGGAAATAATGATGCTATCTGAAATAATATAAAAAAGCAAAAGTGAAAAAAAGTATAGAAAATTAACACTTTACTATTCACAGGCAAAGTAAATATAAGAGGAGGGCTACAGTTCTAATAATGGTAAGCAAAGGAATTTGAACCAACCTTCCCACTAAGAACTAGAATGGCTAGGAAAAATATAAATATATAAATAAAAACATTTTTAAAATATGTATAAAAGCCACAGACTATTAACAAAGCAAATGAGGAATTAAAAAGATAGATGGCAATCTATACCAATGAGCATGACATTTTGGGCCACTTTTCTCCCAGAGGTATCTGCCAATTTCAACAGAGGCAGATGCCTGCCAGCTGAGAGGCAGTTGGAAGACCAACAAGCTGAGCAGGCATTTCAGCAGATTCAGCAGTCAGAGTGCACCAAGAAGGGTGCTTTAGTTTGGAGTTTCAAAAGGCCATACTGTAATAGTGAACCAGAAATCAAGCAGCCCTCAGAAAGACTGAAACGCATCTACGGATCATCTCAATCTGATTGCATAAAGGTGGTTCAAGATTTATTAGTGCTTTTTACTCGCCTCTCCAATTTTTCATATATAATGTCCAGCACCACATCAAAAATAACCCAGCATAGATGGAGATAAGACACTATCACTAACACAATAGAAATAGATCCACAAAAGATTTAGATCAGGGATCAGCACATTTATTATATAAAAGGCCAGATAATAAATATGTTATGCTTTGTTGGTCACATACAGTCTCTTGTATATTCTTTTTCTATTTTTGTTCTATAACCCTCTAAATATATAAAAACTATTCTTAGCTTGGAGATCACTCAAACACTTCTCTGGCATAATCAGATATATCTTCAAACTATGCTTCAAATGTTCAAGGAAATAACTGATAAGATTGAAAATTCCAGGAGAGCACAGAAGTCATAAAAAAAAAAAATTGGGCCAGGCATGGTGGCTCACGCCTATAATCCCAGCATTTTGGGAGGCCAAGATAGGAGGACGGCTTGAGCCCAGGAGTTCAAGAGCAGCCTGGGCAAGATGGTGATACCTCATCCCTACAAAAAATTAAAAAATTAACCAGATGTGGTTGCACAATGAACTAATTTTAACCTTAATCTACGAAAAACACAATTAAGAATAAAATCTTAAAGTACTCCCAGAAAATAACATTGAATTATCCCTCTGTAAGCATGAAACACACACATACAAAAAAAACTATACACATTAGTAAAGAAAAATAAAAGCCTAGTATATATCCAGAGAATGACTAGGAAATCATTAACAGCAATATCAAACTTACCCAATAACTTCTTTTTTTTTTTTTTTAAACTGAGTCTCACTCTGTCACCCAGGCTGGAGTGCAGTAGCGTGATCTCGGCTCACTGCAACCTCCACCTCCTGGGTTCAAGCAATTCTCTGCCTCAGCCTCCCAAGATTACAGGAGCCCACCACCATGCTCGGCTAATTTTTTTGTATTTTTAGTAGAGATGGGGTTTCACCATCTTGGCCAGGCTGGTCTTGAACTCCTGACCTCAAGTGATCCACCCGCCTCAGCCTCCCAAAGTTCTGGGATTACAGGCGTGAGCCATCGCGCCCGGCCCCAAAGAGCTTCTTAGTTTCATCAGTATCACTGGATTAATAAATTTGCTTGCAATGAAATGATGGTCATTAAAAATCTATTCCACTCTGTTGGCATGTGCAAATAATGAAAAACATAGAATAATGTCTGTGTTATAACCTGAAAGGGGCCAACTATTATGAAGTAAAACAGAGGGAATACTTTAAATATGCAGCACCAATTGAGCTGGGGTTATAATTTCATTCTTTGTAGGCTATTGGCAGCATGAGACTTCTTGGCAGAATTTCTCACTTCCAATATAGAATATTATTATTATCATCAGCATTTGTTATGTAGGAAGGAGCTCTGATGGAAAATCTTAGTATCATGAAATGTCATCAAAATTCTCCATTTACTCTCTGCTTCCCCAGTTCAGTTTCTTGTTACTAGTTATGTAGTTGCTTTAGAAACAGGATATGGGCTCAGCTCACTTAAGCAATGATGAGCTTTATGATTAAAGCTCGCAGAAACGGTGCCAGGTAAAATTCTGCTCCACAGATAAAACAGCCAACGTTTAGCTGGATTAGAAGCAGAACGTCCTGCTGTCAAGAGTAGGATTGGCCCTTAGCATGCTGTGTAGCTTGGCACCCAGAAGGATTCCCAGGACAAAAGGAAAATCTCTAGGTAGATATATACAGATATTATCTCAAACACCAAAAATAACATTTGTGAATAAAAATAATAGAAAAACTCTTTCACATGTTGAGCCTTAAAATCTGTCAAACTAATCAATATAGTAAAAGAATGTGGAATTATATTATTTCATAAAAATCATACCTTTAAGTAAACTTTATTTCCTATTTTGAAAATCTTTTAGGGCGTAAATGTAACCATATTTAAAAATTTCTATGGAAACAACCAAGTACATCTTGCATTCAATTTAATTAATATATGCAAAGGAATATAAATCCTTCTATTACAAAGACATGTGCACCCATGTCTTCGCTGCAGCACTATTCACAATAGCAAAGACATGGAATTAACCCAAACGCCCATCAGTGAAAGACTGGATAAAGAAAATGTGGCACATATACACCATGGAATACTACGTAGCCATAAAAAGGAACAAGATCAGGTCCTTTGCAGGGACATGAATGGAGCTGGAGGCCATTATCCTCAGCAACAGGAACAGAAAACCAAACACCACATGTTCTCACTTATAAGTGGGAGCTGAACAATGAGAATACATGGACACAGGGAGAGGAACAACACACACTGGGGCCTGTCAAGGGATGGGGTGGGGAAAACATTAGGAAAAACAGCTAATGCATGCTGGGCTTAATACCTAGGTGATGGGTTGATAGATGCAAAAACCACCATGGCATACATTTACCTACGTAACAAACCTGTACATCCCGCACATGTACCCCAGAACTTAAAATAAAAATAAAAATTAATTTAAAAAATCATCTTACCTGTGTAAAAAGTATAAACTGAGCAAATTGCCAGGGAAGCATAAAAGCAACATTGGAAAGACAGAGTGCAATGAAGGGCCTTCTATCATTGCTTGAGGTCCTTAATAGAGAGAATTGATACCAGTAAGTTTCACCCTAAAAATGGGCTGTCGCTGAAAAGAAAGACTAATAGCAAAATGATAAAATCTACATTATTCCATTACCTTTACTATAATACAACAAAATATAGTTAACTTTGTAAAGTATACTAAAAAGAACTTGAAATACTTCATTCCTTGCATGAAGCAATCAAAATTAGAGTTTTAAAATTAACATTGTAATTTACCATTAAATATTTTAAATACAAAAGCTCTTTTTCCTCTACATATGCATGACATTAGAAATTTATTACTCCAGCAAGGAGGTCAGAAAATAGGATGTGGTGCTGTCCCTGCACACCTCAACATGCTTCTCCTGTATGTGTAGCAACAACTTTTATATACCACCACTTTTGTGCTTCAAAAAACATTGAAGAGAAATGTAAGTGCTGACAAAGTAATAAGTTAAAAACTATGGGAAAAATTTAAGGAAAAGGAATCTTAAAAAATTAAAAAATCATTCTAGAATTCAGCTGAAGCATGTGGAAGTTTAAATTGTCCATTCTGCATTACTGAGATGTATTGGGAACCAATACCTTTTACCACAGAGAATTACAGTAACTTTTAGATATGAAAAAAGAAACACAAACATTTTACATAAATAATAAAACTGTAACTCTTCCTTTTATAAATTCTGTACTGGATTTTGATGAATCTTTGTACAATCATATATAAATTTTCAAAAACAAAATTCTAAATGTTCATATTGCTTACTAATCTTATCATAAAATACTCATTATGTACTTTGTAATCTTATATTTTTCAAACAAAAATTACTTTTGACTAAGACACAGAGTATAGCACATGCCCTCAATGATACAACCCTAAATATTCTAATTAAGACATTTTATTCCATGAAACCCCTGACTGACCAGACTGATATCACTTCAAAAAAATAAAAATAACCCACCTTTCTAGGAATTAAACTGGGAATGAGTAGCAAGGGGTGATGAAGAATGGGCAGCTTCCATCACCTAATCTTTGAGAGAAGGCAAAGTGTAGAGCAAAGATATAGAAATCTCAGTGAGGAGGAGGTTCCTAAATCCAAATTCAACCCCAGAATATACTTGTCAGGTTGGTAAGAAATCAGAAGTTGGCCTGCTCCATTCTCAAGGTTTGTGCCACCCCAGTACACTACTATTTACCACCCTTCAATTAGCTTTATCTGAGTGCCACAAATATTTGCATGGACGTGTGCAGTGTTCTGTGGTTAAAGAGATAAATATGGCATGGTCCCTGTTTAAAAGTACAGTGGTACTTTTAAATACATGTAATTGGCCAGGCACAGTGGCTCACACCTGTAATCCCAGCACTTAGGGAGGCTGAAGCGGGTGGATCACTTGAGGTCAGGAGTTCGAGACCAGCCTGGCCAACATGGTAAAACCCTGCCTCTACTAAAAATACAAAAATTAGCTGGGGATGGTGGCGTGCACCTATAATCCCAGCTACTTGGGAGGCTGAGGCAGGAGAATCGCTTGAACCTGGGAAGCAGAGGTTGCAGTGAGCAGATCGTGCCACTGCACTCCAGCCTGGGTGACAGAGCAAGACCTCATCTCTAAATAAATAAATAAAAATTTGTGTATTGTGGAAGATTCATAAATTTACTGTTTTAAAAAACAAGGAAGACAAACAAATGATTTTTATAGAAGGCAGAATCTCCCAGGGACTAGTAGGTGAAGAATGGGGTCCTCTGGGAGTTTGGAGGAGATAGTGATCATTATTTCATTCAGTGAGAGTTCTCATTAGTATTCTATCAAACTTATTTCTCTGATAAGGTTATTTATACTATTCTACCACTTATGGGGTTTTTTGTTCATTTCTCAGACCTCTTAAATATCTAAAATGCTTATAAATGTAATCCCTACAAAAAAAGTGTATCCAAAAAAAAAAGTTTGAAATGAAACTGGTTGTCCTGTTAGAAACATTGGTTGTTCAGAAATGCTTCATAAATATGTGAATATATATACTCCTTATCCATCTAACTCTGCATTTCCCAAATTCATTTGCACACAGAACACTTTTTTCATGGCAGTTATCAAAACCACAGGTTAGAAAACAATGTCAGAGAACTTAAACTGTGAAGAGAAAATGTAATTGTTTCTCAAAAACTTTTGAATCTTGGCAAACTATATACAAACACATACCTTTTGGTTTATTAAAACATAATGTAGTTATCTAAAACCTGTAGCCTACACTCTTAAACGGAGAGCAATTTTTACATAGCAATTTTGAATTATTTTCTTAACCCTATACTCAATTTACTTTTAAAATAACTAAAAAATGGTCTAAATTTGGTAATTACAACTTCATAGATTGAAGTATATATATGTAATATATATATTTACATTTTTTTAGAGGGAGTCTTGCTCTCTTGCCCAGGCTGGAGTGCAGTGGCACAATCTCGGCTCACTGAAACCTCCGCCTCCCGAGTTCAAGCAATTCTCCTGCCTCAGCCTCCCAAGTAGCTGGGATGGCAGATGCACACCACCATGCCCGGCTAATTTTTGTATTTTAGTAGAGATGAGGTTTCACCATGTTGGCCAGGCTGGTCTCGAACTCCTGATCTCAAGCGATCCACCCACCTCGGCCTCCCAAAGTGCTGAATTGAAGTATATTTTAAGAAACTTAAATTATAATTTATTTGCCTTTGTTTTATAAATCGAAGTTACCTGAGAATCAAAGTTAAAACATACATCTGAAGTACAAGGAAAGGATAGGAAAAACTTTCACGGAGAGGTGGTGTCCACATCACACAGGTGGCCTGAAATCAACAAAATGCCCACTTTACATCCTGTTTACTACAACAAACATATTAAAAAACGAGGGGTGAGTTTGTTTTAGTAATTTTAATACTAGGCTCACTAGATCCCATTTCTGAGTGTCTGGCATAGCTTCTCAGTTTTTGAAGCTCTCTCAACTCATGAGACCATTATGTAGTGAGCAGTTAACTACCATGTCCAGAAACCAGCTACAGATATATCAGACCGAGCAAAAGGAAGCCCAAGGGACAAACAAGATTGTACGTATAAGAGTTGTGAGAATTCTGGGACTGACCAACTAGATCCACAGCCCAGCCCTGCAGTATGATCCTGGCATATGATCCTGGCATCCCAGGCTTTGAGATATATGCATGCCAAGACAAATAGCTAAACGAATGTCACCTAGGTCATTCGCAAGCACCAAGAGAGTTTCTACATAACAAGTATGAAAGAATATAAATACACACTTCGAATAGCTACGATTGCCTCAGAATTTGTAAAATGTACCTTAAAAAAGGTTAAGTACATATTTTAAAAACAACTAGAAGTATTTGGGAACTACAAATGTGATGCATGTAATGAAAGTATTAAATTTTCAAACAAACTTTAAAATTACTTCTAAGACATATGGGTCAGAGTATTAGAAAAATTTTCCATCAAAAATTCTGAAATTCTAGAAAGAATGTGAACTCTTATTACTTTGCAAGAGTCTTAAAAGTTATTGCTTCTCTTCCAAGATACCAAAATTGTAAATGTTGGAAGAGGAATTATGATACATATAAGAAAGTCAACTTATACCAACAGTTGTCTGGAACACTCAGAGAAAAACCTTTGTCTTTAGGTCAGCACATTGTTGAATGACAATGCATTTGTTTGCTTTAAAATAATATATATAAGGCTTTTATGTATAATTTTTATGATTCCTTTATCTAACTGATTTTTAAAAATTAACCCAAGAGCAATGGATAAAAGTACTTCTGCCCTGGCTGGGCGTGGTGGCTCACGCCTGTAATCCCCAGTACTTTGGGAGGCCGAGGCGGGTGGATCATGAGGTCAGGAGTTCGAGACCAGCCTGGCCAACATGGTGAAACTCCATCTCTACTAAAAATACAAAAATTTAGCTGAGCATGGTGGCACATGCCTGTAATGCCAGCTACTCAGGAGGCTGAGGCAGGAGAATTGCTTGAACCTGGGAGACGGAGGTTGCAGAGAGCTGAGATCGCGCCACTGCACTCCAGCCTGGGTGACAGAGCAAGACTCCATCTTGAAAAAAAAAAAAATACTTCTACCCTATGTAACCTGTGTCATAACATATTAAATGTTTTGCTCCCAAGAGCTAGTAGTCAGAATCTCTCTCTTTTTCATTGCCATATCCTCAGCATTTAGCAGAGCATGGACGTGGTATGTACTCAATAATTTGTTGAATGAATCCATCGTATTTGAAATAAGCTTCTATGAGCTCTTTTTTAGGTGGACTATGTTTCACTGGGCTGAATTAGTAAGTTAATGTCTATTTTGAATTCAGCATTTTGCATTACTGAACAGACAGCATGATGTAACAGAAAGAAGTGAGGGAGCAGGTGGCAGTGTCTTAACTGTGTCCCTGCTGTCAGGCCTGAGGCCTCTTTCATTGTTGTTAAGGGGAGAGCAATGCATACAAAGTTTCAGTTAGGCAAGGTGAATAAGTTCTGGAGATCTGCTATACAACATTGTGTTAATACTATATTATACACTTAAAAATCTGTTAAGAGGGCAGATCATATGTTACTTACTCTGACCACAATAAAAAAGTTGAATATATATGTTATATATATATAATATATAAGTTTTTATAAAATATAACTATAATTTTATAATTTATAAAATATAAATTAATATATATGTGAGGTTTTAGAGGCAGACAGACATAGAATGGGAAATCCAGCTTCATCATGTAGTAAATGTGGAAAGTGGATAAGTAACTTAATTTTCTCTAAATTTAAATTTCATAACTTGTATGGCGAGGCTACCATCACCCACAAAAAAACTTTAGTGGGAATAAATCAGATAATGTGCATGATATGATTCAACTCAACAAGTACAATATTTCCTTTTCTCTACAGAATATATGCATATGTATATATTTACTAAAAATAAGGCAAGAGATTTCATGTTTGAAATTCTAGCTATTTAAACATTTCAATCAACATGATTAAAATATCAACTTATAACACAAGGGTCTTTAAAATATTGTGAAGTCATAAGTAGTATACAATTAAATATTCTTTTGATGAGTATATTTCCTTGTTCCTCTACAGCCTCTTCTATTTCTTAAAAATTGCTTTCTAGAGAACAAACCTCTCCATGGTTGAAAAAGAAGCACAGTACTGTAATAAGACCTCCCAGTTCAGTACCACTGTAAAAAAAAAAAAAAATAGAGTATACAATCAAAATTCATGTAAAATACAGTGAGTTTTTCACAAAATTACCTCAGAATTTAAAATCACAGTTTTCTATATTTAAAACATAATAGTACTAAACCATACCCATGTGGTTGAAGTTTAAATCCTGAATGTACAATTCTAAAAACTGTATGTATAAATTAATCTCAATTTTATAATTTATTATAGCTAAAATACTTTCTAAATAAAATACATAAGGTGTGAACATAATTTTTTTTTTTGAGATGGGGTCTTGCTCTGTTGCCCAGGCTGGAGTGCAGTGGCAAAATCTCGGCTCACAGCAACCTCCGCCTCCTGGGTTCCAACGATTCTCCTGCCTCAGGCTCCCGAGTAGCTCAGATTACAGGCGCATGCTGCCACGCCCGGCTAATTTTTTTACTTTTAGCAGAGACAGGGTTTCACCATGTTGGCTAAGCTAGTCTCGAACTCCTGACCTCGTGATCCACCCGCCTCGGCCTCCCAAAGTGCTGAGATTACAGGTGTGAGCCACCGCACCCGGCCACATAAAATCATTTTTAAGAAACAGGCTAGCACTTTAGAGTCTAGATCACATCCTTTGAACACTCTGAACAAAAGCAAATTTTTATCTTTTGAAATTGGATTTAAGGGACTGAGAGATGAAGACAACATTCTAACAGTTTCATGTAGCATTAACTTAGAACTATCTAAACTACTGCAAATATTCTTTACTTGAGTCCCAGAGAAGCAATAATGCAGAATACAAAAATCAGATGAAAGATAAAAACCATTTCTTTTGTTGTTGTTGTTGTTGTTTTGTTTTGTTTTGAGACAGAGTCTCACTCTGTCACCCAGGCTGGAGTGCAGTGGCGCGATCTCGGTTCACTGCAACCTCCGCCTCCCTGGTTCAAGCTGATTCTTCTGTCTCAGCCTCCCGAGTAGCTGGGATTACAGGCACATGCCACCATACCTGGCTGATTTTTGTATTTTTAGTAGAGACGGTGTTTCGCCATGTTGGCCAGGCTGGTCTCAAACTCCTGACTTCAAGTGATCCAGCCGCCTCAGCCTCCCAAAGTGCTGGGATTACAGGCGTGAGCCACCGCACCCGGCCAAAAACCATTTCTTAAATTGCCTTTTTGTGATCATGTCTGTGTATAAGAATGCAGATGCTCAATCCCACATCTGTATAGTGTTTCTATGCTTCCATTTATCTTTTCTCCATACACCACTTCCCTAGTCTAACACATTCTAAGCACCATGAGGACAGGGACAGGTTCTTTATCTGTCTTGTTCATTGCTATATCCCCAGCTTCACACTTGGAAGATTAATAAATATTGGTTGAATTAATGAAGAAAGAAAGGAAGAAAACAGCAGAGGAAGGCTCATGGGAAATGATTTACCATTTAATAAAGCTTCACACAGAAAATACAAAGGATGAACTTCAAAGAGGAAGAAATTGAAAGAAAGAATGTGTGAGCAGCAAGGACCAATTGTACATGGAGGAACTGAGGAAATGTGGATAAATCAAAGTAAGATGAGTTGGCGGGGGGTGGAGCCAAGATGGCCGAATGGGAACAGCTCCAGTCTACAGCTCCCAGCATGAGCGATGCAGAAGACGGGTGATTTCTGCATTTCCAACTGAGGTACTGTGTTCATCTCACTGGGGATTGTCGGAAAGTGGGTGCAGGACAGTGGGTGCAGTGCACCGAGCATGAGCTGAAGCAGGGCTAGGCATTGCCTCACCCGGGAAGCGCAAGGGATCAGGGAATTCCCTTTCCTAATCAAAGAAAGGGGTGACAGAAGGCACCTGGAAAATTGGGTCACTCCCACCCTAATACTGCGCTTTTCCAGTGGTCTTAGTAAATGGCACACCAGGAGATTATATCCCGCACCTGGCTCAGAGGGTCCTATGCCCACGGAGCCTCCCTCATTGCTAGCACAGCAGTCTGAGATCAAACTGCAAGGCGGCAGCCAGGATGGGGGAGGGGCGCCTGCCATTGCCAAGGCTTGAGTAGGTAAACAAAGCAGCCAGGAAGCTCGAACTGGGTGGAGCCTCCCGCAGCTCAAGGAGGCCTGCCTGCCTCTGTAGACTCCACCTCTGGGGGCAGGACATTGCCAAACAAAAGGCAGCAGAATCCTCTGCAGACTTAAATGTCTCTGTCTGACAGCTTTGAAGAGAGTAGCGGTTCTCCCAGTACGCAGCTGGAGATCTGAGAACAGACAGACTGCCTCCTCAAGTGGATCCCTGACCTCCGAGTAGCATAACTGGGAGGCACCCCCAGTAGGGGCAGACTGACACCTCACACAGCCGGGTACTCCTCTGAGACAAAACTTCCAGAGGAATGATCAGGCAGCAACACTTGCTGTTCACCAATATCCACTGTTCTGCAGCATCCACTGCTGATACCCACGCAAACAGGGTCTGGAGTGGACCTCCAGCAAACTCCAACAGACCTGCAGCTGAGGGTCCTGACTGTTAGAAGGAAAACTAACAAACAGAAAGGACATCCACACCAAAACCCCATCTGTACGTCACCATCATCAAAGACCAAAGGTAAATAAAACCACAAAGATGGGGAAAAAAACAGAGCAGAAAAACTGAAAACCCTAAAAATCAGAGTGCCTCTCCTCCTCCAAAGGAACGCTGCTCCTCACCAGCAACGGAACAAAGCTGGATGGAGAATGACTTTGACGAGTTGAGAGAAGAAGGCTTCAGATGATCGAACTACTCTGAGCTAAAGGGAGTTTGAACCCATGGCAAAGAAGTTAAAAACCTTGAAAAAAAAATTAGACGAATGGCTAACTAGAATAACCAATGCAGAGGAGTCCTTAAAGGACCTGATGGAGCTGAAAACCAAGGCACGAGAACTACATGACGAATGCACAAGCCTCAGTAGCCAATTCGATCAACTGGAAGAAAGGGTATCAGTGATGGACAATCAAATGAATGAAATGAAGCGAGAAGAGAAGTTTAGAGAAAAAACAATAAAAAGAAACGAACAAAGCCTCCAAGAAATATGGGACTATGTGAAAAGACCAAATCTACATCTGATTGGTGTACCTGAAAGTGACAGGGAGAATGGAACCAAGTTGGAAAACACTCTGCAGGATATTATCCAGGAGAACTTCCCCAGTCTAGCAAGGCAGGCCAACACTCAAATTCAGGAAATACAGAGAATGCCACAAAGATACTCCTCGAGAAGAGCAACTCCAAGACACAGAATTGTCAGATTCACCAAAATGGAAATGCAGGAAAAATTGTTAAGGGCAGCCAGAGAGAAAGGTCAGGTTACCCACAAAGGGAAGCCCATGAGACTAACAGCGGATCTCTCAGCAGAAACTCTACAAGCCAGAAGTGAATGCGGGCCAATATTCAACATTCTTAAAGAAAAGAATTTTCAACCCAGAATTTCATATCCAGCCAAACTAAGCTTCGTAAGTGAAGGAGAAATAAAATCCTTTACAGACAAGCAAATGCTGAGAGATTTTGTCACCACCAGGCCTGCCCTAAAAGAGCTCCTGAAGGAAGCACTAAATATGGAAAGGAACAACTGGTACCAGCCACTGCAAAAACAAGCCAAATTGTAAAGAACATCAAGGCTAGGAAGAAACTGCATCAAGTAACGAGCAAAATAACCAGCTAACATCATAACGACAGGATCAAATTCACACATAACAATATTAACCTTAAATGTAAATGGGCTAAATGCTCCAATTAAAAGACACAGACTGGCAAATTGGATCAAGAGTCAAGACCCATCAGTGTGCTGTATTCAGGAAGCCCATCTCACACGCAGAGACACACACAGGCTCAAAATAAAGGGATGGAGGAAGGTCTACCAAGCAAATGGAAAACAAAAAAAGGCAGGGGTTGCAATCCTAGTCTCTGATAAAAGAGACTTTAAACCAACAAAGATCAAAAGAGACAAAGAAGGTAATTACATAATGGTAAAGGGATCAATTCAACAAGAAGAGCTAACTATCCTAAATATATATGCACCCAATACAGGAGCACCCAGATTCATAAAGCAAGTCCTGAGTGACCTACAAAGATACTTAGACTCCCACACAATAATAATGGGAGACTTTAACACCCCACTGTCAACATTAGACAGATCAACGAGACAGAAAGTCAACAAGGATACCAAGGAATTGAACTCAGCTCTGCACCAAGCAGACCTAATAGACATCTACAGAACTCTCCATCCGAAATCAACAGAATATAGATTCTTCTCAGCACCACGCCGCACTTATTCCAAAATTGACCACATAGTTGGAAGTAAAGCACTCCTCAGCAAATGTAAAAGAACAGAAATTATAACAAACTGTCTCTCAGACGGCAGCACAATCAAACTAGAACTCAGGATTAATAAACTCACTCAAAACTGCTCAACTACATGGAAACTGAATAACCTGATCCTGAGTGACTACTGGGTACATAATGAAATGAAGGCAGAAATAAAGATGTTCTTTGAAACCAATGAGAACAAAGACACAACATACTAGAATCTCTGGGACACATTCAAAGCAGTGTGTAGAGGGAAATTTATAGCACTAAATGCCCACAAGAGAAAGCAGGACAGATCTAAAATTGACACCCTAACATCACAATTAAAAGAACTAGAGAAGCAAGAGCAAACACATTCAAAAGCTAGCAGAAAGCAAGAAATAACTAATATCAGAGCAGAACTGAAGGAGATAGAGACACAAAAACCCTTCAAAAAATCAATGAATCCAGGAGCTGGTTTTTTGGAAAGATCAACAAAATTGATAGACCGCTAGCATGACTAATAAAGAAGAAAAGAGAGACGAATCAAATAGATGCAATAAAAAATGATAAAGGGGATATCACCACCGATCCCTCAGAAATACAAACTACCATCAGAGAATACTATAAACACCTCTATGCAAATAAACTAGAAAATCTAGAAGAAATGGATAAATTCCTGGAAATATACACCCTCCCAAGACTAAACCAGGAAGAAGTTGAATCTCTGAATAGACCAATAACAGGCTCTGAAATTGAGGCAATAATTAATAGCCTATCAACCAAAAAAAGTCCAGGACCAGACAGATTCACAGCCCAATTCTACCAGAGGTAAATGGAGGAGCTGGTACCATTGCTTAGGAAACTATTCCAATCAATAGAAAAAGAGGGAATCCTCCCTAACTCATTTTATGAGGCCAGCATCATCCTGATACCAAAGTCTGGCAGAGACACAATAAAAAAAAGAGAATTTTAGACCAATATCCCTGATGAACATTGATGCAAAAATCCTCAATAAAATACTGGCAAACCGAATCCAGCAGCACATCAAAAAGCTTATCCACCATGATCAAGTGGGCTTCATCCCTGGGATGCAAGGCTGGTTCATCATACGCAAATCAATAAAGGTAATCCATCATATAAACAGAACCAAAGACAAAAACCACATGATTATCTCAATAGGTGCAGAAAAGGCCTTCGACAAAATTCCACAGCCCTTCATGCTAAACACTCTCAATAAACTAGGTATTGATGGGATGTATCTCAAAATAATAAGAGCTATTTATGACAAACCCACAGCCAATATCATACTGAATGGGCAAAAACTGGAAGCATTCCCTTTGAAAACCAGCACAAGACAGGGATGCCCTCTCTCACCACTCCTCTTCAACATAGTGTTGGAAGTTCTGGCCAGGGCAATCAGGCAAGAGAAAGAAATAAAATGTATTCAATTAGGAAAAGAGGAAGTCAAATTGTCCCTGTTTGCAGATGAGATGATTGTATATTTAGAAAACCCTATCATCTCAGCCCAAAATCTCCTTAAGCTGATAGGCAACTTCAGCAGTCTCAGGATACAAAATCAATGTGCAAAAATCACAACCATTCCTATACACCACTAACAGACAAACAGAGAGCCAAATCATGAGTGAACTCCCATTCACAATTGTTTCAAAGAGAATACCTACGAATCCAACGTACAAGGGAAGTGAAGGACCTCTTCAAGGAGAACTACAAACCACTGCTCAATGAAATAAAAGAGGACACAAACAAATGGAAGAGCATACCATGCTCCTGGATAGGAAGGATCAATATCGTGAAAATTGCCATACTGCCCAAGGTAATTTATAGATTCAATGCCATCCCCAGCAAGCTACCAATGACTTTCTTCACAGAATTGGAAAAAACTACTTTAAAATTCATATGGAACCAAAAAAGAGCCCGCATTGCCAAGACAATCCTAAGCAAAAAGAACAAAGCTGGAGACATCACACTACCTGACTTCAAACTATACTACAAGGCTACAGTAACCAAAACAGCATGGTACTGGTACCAAAACTGAGATATAGACCAATGGAACAGAACAGAGCCCTAAGACATAATACCACACATCTACAACCATCTGATCTTTGACAAACCTGAGAAAAACAAGCAATGGGGAAAGGATTCCCTATTTAACAAATGGTGCTGGGAAAACTGGCTAGCCATATGTAGAAAGCTGAAACTGAATCCCTTCCTTACACCTTTTACAAAAATTAATTCAAGATGGATTAAAAACTTAAATGTTAGACCTAAAACCATAACAACCCTAGAAGAAAACCTAGGCAATACCATTGAGGACATAGGCATGGGCAAGGACTTCATGACTAAAACACCAAAAGCAATGGCAACAAAAGCCAAAATTGACAAATGGGATCTAATTAAACTAAAGAGCTTCTGCACAGCAAAAGAAACTACCATCAGAGTGAACAGGCAACCTACAGAATGGGGGAAGATTTTTACAATCTACTTATCTGACAAAGGGCTAATATCCAGAATCTGCAAAGAACTTAGACAAATTTATAAGAAAAAAATCAAACAACTCCATCAAAAAGTAGACGAAGGATATGAACAGACACTTCTCAAAAGAAGACATTTATGCAGCCAACAGACACATGAAAAAATGCTCACATCACTGGCCATCAGAGAACTGCAAATCAAAACCACAATGAGATACCATTTCACACCAGTTAGAATGGCAATCATTAAAAAGTCAGGAAACAACAGGTGCTGGAGAGGATGTGGAGAAATAGGAACACTTTTACACTGTTGGTGGGACTGTAAAGTAGTTCAACCACTGTGGAAGACAGTGTGGCAATTCCTCAAAGATCTAGAACTAGAAATACCATTTGACCCAGCCATCCCGTTACTGGGTATATACCCAAAGGATTATAAATCATGCTGCTATAAAGACACATGCACACATATGATTATTGTGGCACTATTCACAATAGCAAAGACTTGAAACCACCCCAAATGTCCATCAATGATAGACTGGATTAAGAAAATGTGGCACATATACACCATGGAATACTATGCAGCCATAAAAAATGATGAGTTCACATCCTTTGTAGGGACATGGATGAAGCTGGAAACCATCATTCTGAGCAAACTGTCACAAGGACAGAAAACCAAACACCGCATGTTCTCACTCATAGGTGGGAATTGAACAATGAGAACACTTGGACACAGTTTGGGGAACATCACACACCGGGGCCTGTCATGGGGTGGGGGGAGGGAGGAGGGATAGCATTAGGAGATATACCTAATGTAAATGACAAGTTATTGGGTGCAGCACACCAACATGGCACAAGTATACATATGTAACAAACCTGAACGTTGTGCACATGTACCCTAGAACTTAAAAGTATAATAATAATTAAAAAAAAGAGAGGATGTTTTGAAGAAAAGCATTCCAAGATTCCTTGTTTGATTGGAAAAACGGGAAAGATATCAATGTATTTTATACTTGAACAAATCATATCTGTATGTTAAAATTTTATGGTTAGTCACCAAAAGAATGGAAGTAGAATATCTACCTTCCCAGTTAGTGTCAGTGGGGAGGGTAGCCATGGTAACAAATACAAAAGTTTTCCCCAAATTTCTATTTCTTTTGTTCCTCAAATGCCAGTTTCCAATCTCCTCACAGTTTTGATGACACCTCTACAGTCAATATTGGTTGACTCTGTATATCCTTCTTAAAGACTAGATAGAGCCTAATATTGTATTTTATATTCCAGGACTATATAACCAATTTAGAGAGAATAGCACCTCTTCGGTAGCCCTCCTAATGAAATATACTGATTTTTAAAGTTTTAGTCATTGTTGTGTAACATTTTCCATACGAAAAAACAAAAAAGATAAATACAAACCATTTTCAAAAACAGAACTTATTTATTGATTTATTTATTTTTTTATTTTTAGTTTTGAGACTGAGCCTCGCTCTGTTGCCCAGGCTGGAGTGCAGTGGCGCGATGTCGGCTCACTGCAAGCTCCGCCTCCCGGGTTCACGCCATTCTCCTGCCTCAGCCTCCCGAGTAGCTGGGACTACAGGCGCCCGCCACCACGCCCAGCTAATTTTTTTTTTTTTTTTGGATTTTTTTGTATTTTTAGTAGAGACAGGGTTTCACCTTGTTAGCCAGGTTGGTCTCGATCTGACCTCATGATCAGCCCGCCTTGGCCTCCCAAAGTGCTGGGATTACAGGAGTGAGCCACTGCTCCCAGCCCCAAAACAGAACTTTTTTAAAAAAATAGAACATTTTTAAAGCTGCCCAAACAATCTCAAAGCAATCCTTTTCCCTCAAAATACTTCAATGAGCTTATATTTTTTCTATATGGCATATAGAAAAGTGCATAACATTTCTAGCTCATAGAACTATTGTAAAAGGAACGTCCATGTAGTCGCCATATAATTAACTGAAATAGAGAAATTATTATACTGAGTCTCCACTTGCCAGCCTCCAAGATAAGAATCAGCTACTGACCTGATTTTTGAGATTATCAACATAACCATTTCTATATACATATCAAACTATGATTTACTTTAATCTGTTTTTAAACAACATACAAATGGAAGTATGGAGTATTTTTTTAAATTTTGTACCTGGATTCATTCATTCAAAATTATATTTGTAAGATTCAACCATATTGTGTGTAGCTGTATAGTTCATTCATTCTCATTATTGTATACTGTTCCACCATGTTAATAAACCAAAATGTATTCATTTCTCTGTTAATGGATATTTGGGTTGTTTCCAGTTTGAAGCTATTGCAAATAATGCTACTATATTATTGTATGTACTTCCCAGTACACATGTGCAAGACTTTTTTGGGAATATATACTTTAAATTAGAATTACTGAGTTACAAGGTATCTATATCTTGAAGGTTATCAGATAATGTACACTGTTTACCAAAACAGTTGTACCAATTTATATGTCCACCTGCGGTGGATGAAAGCTCATTTATCAATCTATTAGATGTGAGTTGGTATTTCACTGTGGTTTGAATTTGTATTTTCTTGATGACTAATGATGGTGGTCAACTTTACATATGTTTATTGACCATTTGGAGTTCTTCTGGGAAATATCAGTTCATAAACAATTTGTCCATTTTTCTATCAGGTTGTCTTTCCTCTTTATCTTCCCACTCTAATATAAACTTCACGAGGACAGAGATTTCTGTTCTGTATTCCAAGCACCTAGAACAGTGCTCCTGGTCACAACAGTCTTTCAATAAATATTTATCAAATTAATGAATGAAATTTCTGGATAGTAGGTGGGGCATATACTTTGTAAATATCTTCACTCACTTTGCGGTTTATTTTTTATCCTACAGTTCTTTTGAGGAACTGAAGTTCTTTTCATCAAATTTATCAGTTTTTCTTCATGACTGGATTTTTGTATCTTGTTTATGAAATCATTTCTTATTCCAAGTGACTTTTTCTATATTATACGCTGAACACTTTATAAATTTGTCTTTCATATTTGAGTGTTTAATCCAACTTGGATTTATTACTTATATAGTTCCAATTTCTCCTTGTTCCATATGATCTCCCAATTATTCAAGCACTATTTATTAAAATGCCTGTCCTTACTCACCAATCTGCGATACCCACTCTTCCATATATCAAATGCCTTTAAATGTACATTTCTGCTCTGGGCTCTACTCTATTGCAGTTATCTATTTGTCTATTGCTATGCTAATATCATAGTGTCTTTTTACATTAGCTTTATAATACAGCAACAATTGATAGTGCAAATCCTCCTTTTTCAAGAATACCTTGACTGTATTTGGCCCTTTGCATTTCTGAATAACTTTTAAATCAGCTCATCAAAGTCAACAAAAAATACGTTGGAATTTTGACTGGTAGAGCATTGAATCTATAAAGCTTTTAAATATCAAGTCTTCAATCAGTGAATGTGGAATATCTCTCCACTTAGATTTTCCTAGACATATCTCAGGAATGTTTTAATCATTTGCCCATAGCTGTCATATGTATCTTTTGTTGGATTTATTCTGAGGAATATCATGCTTTTAATGCTATTCTAAATAGCATCCTTTCAAAATTTCATTTTCTATTTGATGCTAAAGTATAAAATTTATAATTTTGAATTTTAATATTAATGCTTACATCTAGTAACATTGTAAATTTTCTTATTATTGCAAATACTGTATCCATAAACTTTTAAAATTTTTCTAGATACATGATGTAATCTACTTTTAAGAACACTTATTTCTTTTTTTTCAAGTTTTCCAATCCTTATACTTATTACTACTTTTCTTTTTATTTACCGTGCTGGATAGTATCCCTGGCACAATACTGACTATGTCATTAGTTTTCATTGATTCTATGCTAGTCTTTTTTATGCTGAAAACTTCCTAAAACAAAGAGTGTGTGTATTTACTAATCTCTGTATTGACAGAAGCCCCATGAAAACTCAATAAATATTTGTTGAAAGAGTAAAGCTATCAATTAATTTTAATTTTAATTTTAAATGTTTTGCACAACAAGAATACCATTGTAAAGAAATCTGATGATTCAGCTAGGAATATGCTCCACTGAAAGAAACAGAAAACCTAACAAAAGTGGCTTACACAATATGGATGTTGTTTATTATATCATTCAACAAGAAAATGAAAGGTAAGTATCTGTTGGCATTGGTTCAGCAGCAGAAGGATGGTAGGCCAGATATATCCGCTATTTTTATGACCTTTCCCTTATGGTCACAAGATGACTGCTACAGCTCTGGGCATGACATCCTAGTGTAATAAAAGCAGGAAGAAACAGAGAAGGGGCAGCTAAGTCTGTCCTTTTGTGAGAAAGGCAGATACTTTACTAGATGTAACCAAAACTGACTTCAACTTAGTTTTCATTGGCAAAAACTAGCTGGTATGGCTATCTCAGGGAGCAATTAAGTGTGGAGGCAAAACACATGACCGTTGAAATTAATTTCAACTTATCACCTGAGACCGGTCTCACTGCTGCTTCACTGTGGTACTCTTATCAAGATAGACATGCTAGCAGATGTAAGTGCCTGCCACATGTGATTCACAATTTTGCCTACTGCTTTCTTAATTTCATCCTTAGAGAATACAATTAGAAATAAGCTGCTACAACTGCTAACCAAAGATCTCCTCCAATGTTTTATTAATTTTACACATGAACTAGGAGATATTCCATTAAAGCCTTTGTTAGGAAATCTGTTTAAACAACAGAATAAAAGGGATGACTTTGAGATAGAATTTTAGTGACATCTCCAGTTTCTGGTTACATGATATTGGTTAAGCTTCTGAAAAATCAAGTAAATCCACAAACTTTCCTGATATGAATCTAATCTCATTAATTTTCCTTTTCATTTAATCAACAAATATCAGCCAGTCTGTAAAAGCCCACTGAAAGGTCTCTTAATTTAGTAGTAGTCTTACCTTAGGTATGTTCCATATATGAAGAACAATCCCATCATTAGTCCATTTAAAATAAAGATTACACCAACATAAAAGCAAGCAGGATCTCGCAATCCTTTGAAAAAATACAGATAATCAGTGTTTAATGAATATATGACTCCAAAGCAAGTGGGCATAATTATCTCAGTGCTTTGCAATCAAGAGCTCATGAATTTGCTGAAAGCATTTGCTTTCCAGATTGCTGCTGTATTTAATTCTTTACCCTTATAAGAGTTTGTGTGTGTGTGTGCTTGCAGACACATATATATGTGTGTGTGTATATATATACACATACACATATGTAAGCTCACCCTTAATGAGCGATTAGTTACACTTATACTTTATACTTTTTATAATTGCATTTATACTTTCCTCTAATGAATTACTATTATACTGTAATGATTTGTTGGGGATTCACATTTATTTAGGTGATGCTGCTGGTGTTCAGTGTCTGGAACTGTCTGTAGAACCACTTAATGAATATAAAAGAAAATCCATTACATTATTTTTATCTTTTGCTACGTTCTAGGAAGAGTTAAGATATGGTTTTGACCTTAGGGTACAGCTTTAGTCTATATGAAATGATCCAGTCATTTGATCCATTATTATGTATAGCTAGGATCTTAGTATATTCCATATAGAAGATCGTGTGTGTGTGTGTGTGGCAATATGTACTTAACAATCATCCCACATTTTTCTCAGAACAAGTTTATGATATTAGCTGGTATAAAAATACTTTTCTTATGGTTGAGAAAACAGAACATAAGATACTCAACTTGTCAAAGGTTATTTCACTTTAACTGGCTGGAGCCAAGGTCTGAAAGCTGGCCTTCTGATTCCCCCTGCCTCTCTGATCGCTCCTTTCAGTCAGTTCTAGTAACTCCTCTTGTTTTATGTACCACTCTTTAATATTGGACCACCTTAGGCTCTGTCATATGCCCCCTTCATTTCTCCATCTGCACATCCTCCATAAGCAAATTCTTCCACATCCATGGCTCCAATGATCTATATACAGATGACTCCAACTCTACATTTAATCCAGAACTTTCTCCTTATTCTTATACCCAGATAGCCACTTGATGTCCCCACTCTGAGGTCTCTCAAGTACCTCAAATTCATGCATACACAATGAAACATAACAATACAAACCTGCTGCTGTTCAAATGTTTCCTATTACTCAAAGGAGCTCAGTTACTTAAGCTAGAAACCAAACTGTGTTTCACATGATTCTTCACTCACCTTCCCCTCTCTTACCAAACAATTACCAAGTCTTGTCCATTCTGCTTCCAAAATCTCTCTCACACCCAGGCATTTCCACATTATCTTTCCTGCAATCACTTGCTGAGAATATAATTGTCTCCTACCTGGCCTCCCTTAACCTACTTTTGTTCCTTTACTAATATTTTTTCCATACCATTGACTAAATAATGTTTTAAAATGGAACTCTGTTAAAATTCTTCAATGGATAAAGTATAAAATCCTACACCAGTGCACCCCTTTCATGATCTCATCCTTGCTTATATTCCCAGCACCATTTCACATCATTTTTCTTCTCCATCGCTTCTAGGATTTCTAGCCTTCTTTCAGTTCTCTCTTGCTTCAGGATATTTGAATATATTATTCCCTATTCTTAAAATACTTATCCTCTCTTACTCCTAGTGTCGGTAACCTTATTTTCTTATTTGTAATATCCATCACAGTTGTAACTGCTAACAGCCCCCTTACAGCATAAACTCTATGAGGGTAAGGCCCCACATCTAGCTGGTTCATCTCTGTGTCCCAAGTGCCAAACACTAACCTATCACTTATTGGGAATGTAACTAATACCATAATTAGGTGATCATTTTCACCACTCAGACAGGGTCACACCTTCTAGCTGATTGAATCATTGCAAAGTCTTTCATTTTATGAGGCATTTTCTCCAATCCTTTACATTGTACACAAAAAAGTATAATTGCCCCTCAAACATCCTCATCAATTCTATTTTTACTGAGGGAATCAGTAAAAAATGTAAGGAAAATAGATTTAGTTTATATCCCAAGAGTTGAATGTTGTTACAAACAAGTCTAAAAATTTATTCATAAAATATAGTAAGTCATGTTGTTAAGAATTTGAAGAAATAAAGAAAAAACAACAGTGTTAGTGTTATGAAAATAGATACAAGTGGCTCTGAACGAGAGTCTCAAGGGACAGCACCATACTTGAATTGTAAAAGTGCTGAAATGCAAACATCTTAAATGGAAGTGACCACTATGTATCCTGGAAAGCTGTTAGATGATTCCAAAAGCGGTTCTTTGACAAAGAAACCAATGTAGAAGATAAATAGGAAGAGTTTTATTAATACTACTCATGGACTATGAGCATATATAAAAATGTAATATTTCTAAATCAATCTATTATGGCATATCCAATTTTTAAATATGTATGCATAATTAAATTTATACATTAGCTATTACAAATAGCTATTTGACTATTTAATGTATCCTCAAAATTTATATATTGAAGCTACCCCAAAAAACATCTTTCTGTATCTTCTCATTCTGAAATAGAAGACTAACTTATAGTCAAGGTTGCCTTACAATGGGATATGTTAATACTCAAATTCCAAAATTTATACTCAAATTTTTAAGTACACAGCCTTCTCAGAAAACTACTTCAAAATGTAAAATACTCATTGAGGTGAGTCAGTTCTAATGTTTTTTAAATCAACAACAGAATTTTACAATAATTCTTAAAAGTGAATCATAATATTATTAAATGTTTATGAATGTTTACAAATGACAGCATTTTTGGAGGAAACATGCCTTCACAGCTTTGAACTTCATTAAGAGGTTCTATTCTGGTGACATTCCAGCAGGTCTTAGTTTCTAGTCCAAATAAATTCACTATTCCCATGAATGTGCGATACCAGGAGGCTATGATTACCTTAAAAAAGATAAAAACAAAGAGATAATTGAGGTAAATACATTCTCTTCATAATAATAATAATAATAATAATATATACCATGGAATACTATGCAGCCATAAAAAAGGATGAGTTCATGTCCTTTGTAGGGACATGGATGAAGCTGGAAACCATCATTCTCGGCAAACTATCGCAAGGACAAAAAACCAAACACCGCATGTTTTGATATTAAAAAGCTTTATAGATTCAATGCTCTACCAGTCAAAATTCCAACATATTTTTTGTTGACTTTGATGAGCTGATTTAAAAGTTATTCAGAAATGCAAAGGGCCAAATACAGTCAAGGTATTCTTGAAAAAGGAGGATTTGCACTATCAATTGTTGCTGTATTATAAAGCTAATGTAAAAAGACACTATGATATTGGCACAGCAATAGACAAATAGATAACTGCAATAGAGTAGAGACCAGAAGCAGAAATGTACATTTAGAAATGTACCATAACTCATATGGTTATGAGTTCCGTGGGCTCTCTTTGTGCCTCATTTTCTCAGATTTGGAGTTAAAGAGGCTGGCAATCCAGAAATGCCAATGGGCACTGCTATAGTTTGAATGTGTCCCATCCAAAATTCAGGTATTGAAACTTAATGGCCAATGTGATAGTATTAAGAGATGGGACCTGCAAGAGGTGATTAGGCCATGAAGACTCCCCCCTCATGAGTGAGATTAAAGCTGACTTACTCTCCTACTGTCTGCCATGTGAGGACACAGTGTTCCTCTCCTTCAGGAAGATGCAACATCAAGGCACCATCTTGGAAGCGGAGAGCAGCCTTCACCAGACACCAAATCTGCTGGCGCCTTGATCTTGGTCTTCCTTGGACTCCAGAATTCTTAGATTCCAGAAATGTGACATATAAATTTCTATTCTTTATAAATTACCTAGTCTCAGATACTTTGTTCAAACAGCACAAAACAGACTAAGACAAATATACAAAAAGTACCCAAAAAGTCAAAAGTAAAAAAAAATGTGGCTCTACCCCTACCATATAAACAAAGGCCAAGTGGGGAAGCTAGACTTCCACCTTCCCTGGGCTTTTTTTTTTTGGGGGGGGGACAGAGTCTCGCTCTTTTCACTCAGGCTGGAGTGCAGTGGTGTGATCTTGGCTCACTGCAACCTCTTCCTCCTGGGTTCAAGCCAATTCTCCTGCCTCAACCTCCCAAGTAGCTGGGATTACAAGTGCCCACCACCATGCGTGGCTAATTTTTGTATATTTAGTAGAGACAGGGTTTCACCATGTTGGCCAGGCTGGTCTCAAACTCCTGACCTCAGGTGATCCTGAAAGCAACAAGATGGTGCCTTCCCCCTTTTCCCCTTCCTTTGCTTGAGTGATACCAGAGGTATCTAGTTAAAATAGCAGGTTTAAACAAAATCCAGTCTCATAACATAATACTCAAAATGTCTAGGTTTCAAGTGAAAATCACTCATCAAGAACCAGAAACATCTCAAACTGAATGAGAAATAAATGGATTCCAATACTGAGATGAAAGAAATATTAGCATTATCAAGGATTTTAAAGCAACAATCATAAATATACTCTAATGAGCATGCTTAAAACAAATGGAAAAATTGAAAAGTTTACCAGAGAAATAGATAGTCTCAGCAAAAAAACAGAAATCAATACTAAGAACATCTCTCAAAACCACATAATTACATGGAATTTAAACAACCTGCTCCTGAATGACTTTTTGAGTCAACAAAGAAATTAAGGTAGAAATCAAGAAATTCTTTGAAACTAATGAAAATAAAGACACAACATACCAGGATCGCTGAACACAGCTAAAGCAGTGTTAAGAGGAAAATTTACAGAGCTAAATGCCCACTTCAAAAAGTTAGAAAGATCTCAAATTAACAACCTAACATCACACCTAGAGGAACCAGAAAAATAAGAGCAAACCAACCCAAAATCTAGCAGAAGACAAGAAATAACCAAATCAGAGATGAACTGAATGAAATTGAGACACAAAACACCATACAAAAGATCAACAAAACCACAAGTTGGTTCTTTGAAAGAACAAATAAATTTAATAGACCACTAGCTAGACTAATAAAGAAAAAGAGAGAGAAGACCCAAATAAACACAATCAGAAATGACAAAGGAGATATTACCATTGACCCTGTAGAAAAGCAAAAAACTCTGAGAGACTATTACGAACAACTCTATGGACACAAACTGGAAAACCTAGAAGAAATGGCTAAATTCCTGGAAATATATAACCTCCGAAGATTTAACCAAGAAGAAATGAAAAATCTGAATAGACCAATAACAAGTTCCAAGACTGAATCACCAATAAAAAGCCTACCAGCCAGAAAAAGCCCTGGAACAGGTGACTTCACAGCCAAATTCTACCAGACATATAAGGAGAGCGGATACCAATCATACTGAAACTATTCCAAAAACTTGAGGGATTCCTCCCTTACTCATTCTATAAAGGCTAACATCATTCTGATGCCAAAATGTGGCAAAGCCACAATGTAAAAAAGAAAACTTCAAGCCAATATCTCTGATGAACATAGATGCAAAATCCTCGACAAAATACTAGCATACTGAATCCATCAGCACATCAAAAAGCTAATCCACCACAATCAAGTAGGCTTTATTCCTAGGATGCAAGGGTGGTTCAACACAGGCAAATCAATAAATATGATTGATCACATAAAAGAACTAAAAAAACCCCCACATGATTATCTAAATGGATGCAGAAAAGGCTTTTGATAAAATTCAACATCCTTTCATTTTAAAAGCCTTCAACAAAGTAGGCATTGAAGGAACATACCTCAAAATTATAAGAGCCATCTATGAAAAACCCATAGCCAACACCATACTGAACAGGCAAAAGCTAGAAGCATTTGCCTTGAGAACTGGAACAACAAAAGGATGTTTACGCTCCCCATTCCTATTCAACATAGTACCGGAGGTCCCAGCCAGAGCAATCAGGCAAAAGAAAGAAAGAAAATAAATCCATACAGGAAGACAGGAATTCACACTATCTTTTTTGTAAACAATATAATTTTATACCTAGAAAGCCCCATAGTCTCTGACTAAAAGCTCCTAGATATGTCTTTTTAAAACTTCAGCAAACTTTCCGGATGTAAAATCAATGTACCAAAGTCAGTAGTATTTCTATGCACCAACAATGTCCAAGCTGGGAGCCAAATCAAGAATGCAATCTCATTCACAATAGCCACAAAAAAAGTAATAAAAAACTTATAAAAGAATACCTAGGAATACAGCTAATTAGAGAGGAGAAAAATCTCTACAATGAGAATTACAAAACACTGCTGAAAGAAATCAGAGGCAATAAAAACAAATGGAAAAACATTCTATGCTCATGAACAGGAAGATTCAATATTGTTAAAATCACCATATTACCAAAAGCAATTTACAGATTCAATGCTATTCCTATCAAGCTACCAATGACATTTTTCACATAATTAGAAAAACTATTCTAAAACTTATATGGATATTCCTTCAACATAAATAAGGTTAAAGTAAATAAATAAGTAAATAAAATAAAACACATATGAAACCAAAAAATAGTTCAAATAGCCAAAGCAATCCTAAGCAAAAAGGACAAAGCCAGAGGCATCATACTACCCAACTTCAAGCTATATTTCAAGGCCACAATAACCAAAACAGCATGGTGCTAGCACAAAAACACACACATAGACCAATGGAACAGAATAGAGAGCCCAGAAATAAAGTCACACACCTAGAACCATCTGATTTTCAACAAACCTGACAACACAAGTCAATAGGAAAAAGGACTTCTTATTCAATAAATGATGCTGGGATAACTGGTTAGCCATATGCAGAAGACTGAAACTTCACCTTTCTTTTCCCCATACACAAAAATCAACTCAAGATGAATTAAAGACTGAAATGTAAAACCTAAAACAATGAAAACCCTAGAAGAAAACATAGAAAATACCATTCTGGACATAGACCCTGGCAAAAATTTCATGACGAAGATGCCAAAAGCAATTGCAACAAAACAAAGATTGACAAATGCAACCTAATTAAATTAAAGAGCTTCTACATAGCAAAAGAAACTACCAAGAGAGTAAACAGACAACCTACAGAAAGGGAGAAAATATTTGCAAACTATTCATCTGACAAAGGTCTAATATCCAGAATCCATAAAGGAACAAATTGAAAGTAAAAAAACAACCCCATTAAAAAATGGGTACTCTGTGCCACTCCCAGTCATAGCCTCCCATGCCTTGCTCAGCTCCAACATGGCAAAAATCTCCAGCCCTACAGAGACTGAGCGGTGCATTGAGTCCCTGATTGCTGTTTTCCAGAAGTATGCTGGAAAGGATGGTTACAACCGCAATCTCTCCAAGACGGAGTTCCTAAGCTTCATGAATACAGAGCTGGCTGCCTTTACAAAGAACCAGAAGGACCCCGGTGTCCTTGACCACATGAAGAAACTGGATGTCAGCAGTGATGGGCAGTTAGATTTCCCAAAATTTCTTAATCTGATTGGTGGCCTAGCTGTGGCTTGCCATGACTCCTTCCTCAAGGCTGTCCCCTCCCAGAAGTAGACCTGAGGACCCCTTGGGCCTGGCCTTCAAACCCACCCCCTTTCCTTCCAGCCTTTCTGTCATCATCTCCTCCTCACAGCCCACATGTCCCCTGAGCCCAGCATACCTACCACATCATGCAGGCCCCACCTGTGGATAGTAATAATACAATGTCACTTTTTTAAAACATGAAAAAAAAAGGGGGTGAAGGACATAAACACAAATTTCTCAAAATTAGATATTTATGTGGCCATCAATCATATGAAAAAGGGTTCAACATCACTAATCATTAGAGAAATGCAAATCAAAACCACACTAACCCAATCGGAATGGCTATTATTAAAAAGTCAAAAAATAACAGATGCTGGTGAGGTTGTGGAGAAAAGGGGATGCTTATACACTGCTGGTGGGAATGTAAACTAGTTCAAACACTGTGGAAAGCAGTTTGGAAATTTCTCAAAGAACTTAAAACTGAACTACCATTTGACCCAGCAACCCCATTACTAGGTATATACCCAAAGGAATATAAATTAGCCTACCATAAAGACACATGCACATGTATGTTCACTGCAGCACTATCCACAATAGCGAAGACATGGAATCAACCTAAATGCCATCAATAGTGGAACAGATAAAGAAAATGTGGTGGTTCATATACCCCATGAATATTACACAGCCATTATAAAGAACAAGATAATGTCCTTTGCAGCAACATGGAAGGAGTTAGAGGCCAGTATGCTAAGTGAATTAATGCAGGAACAGAAAACTAAATACTGTGTGTTCTCACTTATAAGCGAAGCTAAACACTGAGTACACATGGACACAAAGAAGGGAACAATAGACACTGGGGCCTACTTGAGGGTGAAGGGTATGAGGAGGGTGAAGACTGAATAACTGCCTATTGAGTACTATGCTTATTACCTGGGTGCCAAAATACTCCATACACCAAACCCCCACTGCATGCAATTTACCTATACAGCAAACCCACACATGTATCCCATGAACCTAAAATAGAAGTTGGAAGAAGAAAAAGTGTCAGCAGAAAAATAGAACACATAAAGAAAAGTCAAAATTTTCATAACTCAAAAATAAAATAATCAAAATTAAAAACCTTAATGGATTGCACAAGAGGAGAATGGCAGAGATAGAAGAAAATAACCAGTAAACTAGAAGACAGAACCATAGAAATTACTCAATCTGAGCAAAAGAGAAAAAACAGATGCTAACAGAATAAACAAACAAAACAGCCCTAGGGACCTGTGGAACTTTAACAAAGGATCCTACATTCATATCATTGGAGTCTTGGAAGGAGATGGGAAAGAGGCAGGGCTGAAAAAGAATTCAAGGAAATAATTACTGAGGCTGGTCCCGGTGGTTCATGCCTGTAATCCCAGCAGTTTGGGTGGCCAGGGCAGGCAGATTGCTTGAGCCCAGGAGTTTGAGACCAGCCTGAGCAACATAGTGAAACCCCATGTCTACAAAAAATTCAAAAAAATTAGCCAGGCATGGTGGTTGCCCATCTCAGGAGGCTGAGGTGGGCGGATCCCTTGATTCCAGGAGTCAGAGGTTGCAGTGAGCTGGAGTCAGAGGTTGCAGTGAGCTGAGATTTCACCACTGCACTCCAGCCTGGGCGACAGAGTGAGATTCTGTCTCAAAATAAATAAATACATACATACATACATAAAAAAGAAAGAAAAAGAAATAATGACTGGACTTCCCATATATGGCAAAAGATATAAACCTAAATATTCAAGGAGCTGAGCAAATCTCAAACAGAAGAAATCTAAACAAATCCACACTAAAATACAACATACTTTAGAAAACATTTGAACTTTGAACATTATACTTTGATACACTTTTGAAGACTAAATTTTAAAAAATACTGAAACCAACAAGAGAGAAACAAAACCTTACTTAAAGGAGAAAAAGAATTCAACTAACAGCGGATTTCTCATTAGAAACTATGGAGGGCCAGAACAAAATGGCACAACACTTGCTGAATGCTGAAAGAAAAAAACTATCGACCCAGAATCCTATGTCCAGCAAAAATATCCTTCAGTAATGAAAAGAAACTGCATTCTCTAAGAAAAACTAAAAAAAATTAAAAAATTAAAAAATTAAAAAATTTAAAAATTAAAAAAAAAATGCAGCCAGCAGAACTTTTACAACAGACATCTATTCTAAAAGTGTAGCTAAAGAAAATCCCCTAAACTGAAATGAAATGATAAAAGAAGGAATGTTGGAACATCAAAGAGGAAGAAATAAAAAACATGGATAAAATAAAACAGGCTTTCACTTTCTTCCTGAGTTTATAAAATATGTGTAAAACTTGAGTTTAAAATAAGTTTGATGATTAAAACATACAGTAAAATGACAGCAGCAACAGATTGTAATAAATTGTGGTAATACAATTGCTAGAACCACTAAAAAAAGCTTTGTAAAGTGATATATTTAAAAAATAGATAAATCAAAATATAATTCTAAACAATGTTCAAATAAAATGTTCTGCCACAAGAAGGTTAAAATAAAAGCAAACAGAAATTGAAAACCAAGAATAGAAACCACAAAATAAAATCACAGACTTAAACTCTAACATATTAATAACTATATTAAATGTAAGTGGTCAATTGGTAAACATACCAATTAAGAGATACACTGACAAATTGGATTTAAAAATATTACCCAACCGTTTACAAGGAACTCGCTTCAAATATAATAATAAAGTCAGGCTGAAAGTGAAAGGATGGAAAATGATGAATTTATCATAGACACAGTAATGAAAAGAAAGCAGAAGTGACGATGCCATTATCAGAAAAAAGCACAAATTATCAGAGAAGGAAGAAAAAGTCATCGTTAAATTATTTTTTAAAAAATTCAACAAGAAGACCCTGCAATCCTAAATGCATATGCGCCAAACATAGAGCTACAAAATATGTGAAGAAAAACAGACGTCAACGGAGAAATGTACAAATACATAATTTTACTAGGAGACTTCAGAATCCCTCTGTCAAAAAACTAGAATTAGTATTTTCAACTAATTCTTTTAGTTGATAGAAGAACTAGACAGAAATTCCCCCAAAATTGAGACAAACTCAACAACACTATGCAAAAGACCCTGTTTAAGAGAATGAAAAGGCAAGCTACAGACTGGGAAAATATATTTGCAAGCCATATATATGAAAAATAATTAGCATCTATAATATGTAAGGAACATCCTAAGGTCCAAAATTCATAAAACAAACAATTCAAATAGAAATGGAGCAAAATACATAAAGACACGTTTCACATATGGATGGCAAATAAGCACAAAAAGATGTACACCATCATTAGCCAATAGGGAAATGCAAATTAAAACCATAATGATATATCACTACATATGTGTAAGAATGAGTAAAATAAAAAATAGTGACAATACCAAATGCAGGTAAGGATACAGATAAACCTAATTTTGGTTGTGCTTAGGTTGTATCCATTGACTACTGAGTATGTAGCACAAGGAAATTTGCATAGCTTCATTCATTCAACAAATATGATATTGAATCAACTCCATATTCCAGGAAGTAGGCACCTGGGATACAGCTAGGAAATACATAATGGGCATGGGAAAACAGTAGAAAACAAGGTCATTTGCTGAGAGTGAAAGGGGGACAGGAGGTTTGGGATAACTGGAGAGAGAAGATATGAAACAGGCATCAAGGGGTTAGCAAAAGTAAGGCTCAAGGACTATATCTGGATCTGTGGCCTATTTTTGTACCAGTAATGTGAAAAGGACATTGTTTGTTACCTTTCCCCCAGCAGTTTAAAATAAGAGAGTGTAAGACTTATAGGGGAGATAAGGAAGAGGGGGGTGGGTGGGTTTCATGCCTTTCTCTAAGTGGCTCCTGTTCTCCCAGGCTTTACCATGGAGGATGCTTTCTGAGCACTCTTGCTAATCTTTTGTCAGCACCTTATGAGGTCTGTGTAAAAATGTCTGTAAGCAATTGCAAATACCCTTGCTAAGCCACACTAGGCATTTAGCCACAGTCTGACTGGTGAACAATTTGAGCTGAATTCTTTACCATTGTGTCTAGTGGCATGACCCATGTAATTAAATGCTTGTTTCTGTTCTCCTTGCACATGCTTTATCTTTTTAATTTATTTTGGGTTATTTGATTGCCCTGTGACCTCAGCTCCCTGACTGCTTCAGGAAAAGTTGTAAATCTGAAGACTGTCTGGCTTTTGTTTTTGTCGCTGCTGACATTGCTGGAAGGCCATGAGCAATGTTCTTTTTAGCTTTCTACATCCAAGGGAAAGCTGACCCAACATGATTAAATCCAACTCTCCATTTTCTCCGTGTTTATACTTGGGAATCTGATTATAGCTGGAGGAACACAATTCTGTTGGCTGGTTTTGTTTTCATTTCAAGACCATCCACCTCAAATGAAGCCCTTGGTGCTGCCCAAGAAACTCACATTATATCCCTAGTCTATTCATTCTGTTAGATAAGAGGTCAGCAAGCTTTTCCTATAAAGAGCCAGACGATAAGTATTTTAGGCTTTGTGAGATAGTCTCTGTCTCATACTCTTTAATGTGTTTACATTTACCCCTAGGTTTGCATATGCATGTTTGGTTTGTTTATCTATTCATTCACGCATTTGTTTGATATTTATCCTTTTTGATGTTCTCTGAGTTTCTTGGATCTATGGTTTGGTATCTGTCACTAATTTTGGAAAATTCTCAGTCATTTATTTTTCAAATGTTTATTCTTCCTCATCCCTTCCTCTCCCACTGGGATTCTAATTATGCATATATTAGAATATCTGATATGGTGTCACAGCTTTTAGATGTTCTACCATTTCCTTCCTCCACTTTTTTTTCTCTTTGCATTCCTATTGACCTATCTTCAAACTCATTGATTATTTCTTCTGCTGTGCTGTGTCTGCTGATGAGCTCATGTAAGGCATTTTTTACTTCATTTTTTTTATTTCTAGCATTTCCCTTTGATTCTTACAGTGTCCAACTCTGCTAAAATTAGCTATCTGATCTTGCATATCATCTGTCTTTTCCATTTGGGTCTTTAAAATATTAACCATAGTTACTTAAATCTCCTGTCCAGTTGTTCCAATATCTGTACCTTCTTTGGGTCTGCCTGATGACTGCTCTGTCTCTTCGGACTGTGCTTTTTCTTACCTTTAGGTATGCCTCATAATTTTTGCAGAAAGTTAGACATGTTGTAGAAGACAGTAGACATAGAGGTCAGTATTTTTATGCTTGAAATTAAGAACATCTTTCTTACCGTTAGGTCTTTATCGTAGGGATTTGTGTTAATCTAGTTAGGGTGGGCTGGATTTGAAGTTTGTAATGGCTATAGTTACCAAAGCTAGAGTTTGTTGCCGCTATGGACACTAACGATTTCAAATTCCTCTAGTGGTACCTTGTTTTGAACTTGGTTTTGGGTTTTCCTTTGTGCTGCTCCCTAGAAAGAAAATGCCTGGCAAAACTCACTCAGTCACATTCCACTGTGATTTTTACCAAAGGCTTGTTAATGTAATGGGGGAAGAGTGACAGGTTTTCTGATGCTCCAATTAAGCCTCAATCTTAGACAGGTACTCTGAATTTGGGATTTGGGGGCTGTACCCTTCGTAAGTGTTCCCTCCTCAAGGAATATGACTGTTTTTTAACATTTAGGTTTTTTTTTTCCTGCCTGTTCTCTTTCACCAGCTTCACTGGATACCCACCAGTGTCCTCAGACAATGGGTTTGATACCGTTCTCCCTGCAGATCATGGCTTTCTTTTCCTTAGGAGAGATTTCACAACATGGATGTGAGCAGAGTCCGAGCAATGATTGCTTTTCCTGTCCCCTAGCCAGCACCATAGGGAAAGCTTTCTCTAAATACTTCCCCAATCTTCTCTGACAGAGCCTGCTCACCTTCACATTTCATACCAGCTCACACTAAGCCTGTAACAGTTCATTAAAAAATTTCTGGTTTAATCTTTGTACCAGCTTATATGGCATTCAAAAGCCCCTATCTCAGTCAAGCAGTTCCTATTCCAGAATGCTCAGTTCTTTGTGCTTTCTGCAGGCACCTGTTCTTCTTGAAATTTTGTGTTGGTTGTCCTCTGACCTCAGTTTTCTGAAGGGTTCAAGAAAAGGTGTTATATTGCAGTTTGTCCAGCTATTTTCCTTGTTGTAGGAATGAGAGTGCCATCATTCCAGCTCTCTTCATCACCAAATTGACACCTAAAGCCTCCAGAAGCTAAAAATATAAATTAAGAGTTCTTTATATATTAGGTGTATTAGCCCTTTATCTGTGAGATATATTACAAATATTTTCTCCTGGCCGGGCATGGTGGCTCACGCCTGTAATCCCAGCACTTTGGGAGGCCGAGGCAGGAGGATCACTGGAGGCCAGGAGTTTGAGACCAGCCTGGCTAACATGGTGAAACCCCGTTCCTACTAAAAATATAAAAATTAGCCAGGCATGGTGGTGCACATCTCTAATCCCAGCTATTCGGAGGCTGAGGCTGGAGAATCGCTTGAACCCAGGAGGCAGAGGCTGCAGGGAGCCGAGATCACACCACTGCACTTCAACCTGGGCAATGAAGTGAGACTCTGTCTCAAAACAAACAAAAAGAAACCAAACAAATATCTTCTCCCAGTTTGTCAACTCTCTTTTGATTTTATTTCTTTTTTAAACTCTGCCTTGTTTTGCCTTTCCCATAGAAACCCCAATAAAAGCGATGGCCTAGGCTTTACCCTCAATACTGCTTCTGCCTGACCAAACTGTCTCTCTCCTGTGGCTCTGTGTGATGTGACTTGTCCTCTTCTCCAAGGCAGTATTACTCATAAATTCTTCTTTAGCGGTACTGATCTATCTGTGTCATCGCTCAGTCAACCACATATATTAAGACCTAGGCACAGAACAATTCTATTTCTATAAAATTCTAGAAAATGCAAACTAAACCATAATGACAAAAAGAATATTAGTGGTTTCCTAGGGATGGGATGTGGGCAAAGAGAGACGAAAGAAGGAGGGATTACCAAGGAGCACAGGGAAAGTTCGGGATGGAGGGATATGCTCATTGTCTTGACTGGTGATGGTTTTACAGGTGGGCCAAAACTAATCAAACTTTACACTTCATCTATATGACCAGCTATCATATGTCAATTATACCTCAATAAAGCTGTTTAAAAACATTTAGGGTATATCTACTGGAAAGTAAAACTGCTTTTAATTACAGACTGTATCATCATGTGCATAGAAAAATCCAAAGGATTCTACAAAAAAGCTACTAGAACCACTGACTTCATCGAGATGCAGGTACAAAGTTAATATTGAAAATCAACTATATTTCTATTCAAAAGCAACAAAAAATGGAAAAATAAAAATTTTAAAATAATACCATTTATAATAAAAGAGTACTGGGGAAGACTGTACATTGAAAAAATACAAAACATTGCTGAGACAAATTAAAAATAATCAACAAAATGGAGATCTATACCATGATCGTGGATTGGAAAATTCAATATTGTTAAGATGTCAATTCTTCCCAAATACATGTACAAATCCAACATAATCCCAATCAAAATCACAGCAGGTTTTTTTTTTGAGAAATTAATAAGCTGACCCTAACATTTAGATAGAAATGCAATTTTAAAAAGGAAAAAGTTGGAGAACTATCTACTTTCAAGATTTATTCTAAAGTTACAGTAATCAAGACAGTGTGGTATTGGCATAATTATAGATCAAGAGAATAATAGAATCCAGAAACACATTCACATATAATGTGGTCAACCAATTTTCAACGATTGTACCAAGACAATTAATTCAATGGGGGAAAAGACAGTTACCACAATGGAGCATTTTTTGGCATTCTGAAAATGTTTTGTAACTCAATTGTGGTGATGGATATATAGTTTCATACATTTGTCAAAACTCAGAGAATGGTACAATCAAAATTGGCACATTTTATTACATGTAAGTCATACCTCAAAAAAGCTGATTTGGTGACAAAGATTTATATATGTTGTTGACAGAAGAACAAATCCAAATGCTTATTAAACATGGAAATATATTTATCCCCATAAATAATAAAGGAAGTACAAATTAAAACAAAAAGCATATCACAGCCATCATAAGAGTAAAAATCGCAGGGTCTGACAATTCAAAATCTAATAAGGATATGAGAAAATTCTAGACAGCAGTGTGAACTGCTACATTTGCTTCAGACAGCAATTTACCAATATCTGGTAAAGCTGAAAAAGCACACACTCTATAACAACAATTCCACTTCTAGGTATATATCCTAGACAAAATATTGCACATATACAGAAGAAAACCATACAAAAATGTACATTTTAGATTACATTGCTTGTAATCAAAAAACTGGAAATAATATATTAAGATGGGGAAATACATAAACTTTACAATTCATAAAATGGTTAAAATTAAAGAAATATATATATACAGAAAGTTCAAAAATACAATTTTGAAGAAAAAATCCTACAGTGACACATTCAGTATGAGATCATTTATGTGGACTTAAAGCATATAATAAAACAATCTCTGAAAACAGAGATTGGATGGATACGCACACCAAATTTTAATAAAGGTATAAGTTGGACTAGGAGCAGAACAAAGGTGATTTTAACTGTATTTATAATATTTTAATTATTTTAAAATAGCTGATGCAAAAATGACAAAGGTTAGCATTTATTTATTTTAGATGGTTGATCACACATATTTGAATATTATTTTCTAAGTCTGTAGTTTTAAGCATTTCAAAATCTAAAGAATAATAATTTTTAAAAGCTATAAAAATATGAATAAAGGACTAGAAAGCAGTAACTTTTCATTAATATGCTGGATTCTGAGACAACTTTAAACTCAACAGTAGTATTTACCATGGTGTCAAATTAAGCATTTATCTTGAGTTCACAAACTGAGTTCACTAATTTTGTCTCCGTTTTTCAAATTTCTAGCATTTATAGACTACTATAACAACCATACTCTTTTAGGCTAAGTGTTGGAAAATAGTAATAGATTTCTGGCTGTGTGACTAAATAAATCTTACTTTACTAACATAACTCCAAGATCACTATTCAAGCTCATCACTCCACTGTCCCTTCACGTGGTCATCGTGCTCACCCACGAGGTGTCCAAGGCCAAAAGCCCATCCCTATTTAGAACTTTTTGGCTCCCATGACCCTCTTTTCCATTTGGCTTGTCTATTACCCTGGCCATTATTTACACACTAAGGTTCATTCTTCGAGTTCATGAGAGAACTGTTTCTGGGGTCTTTAAATTTTAAGAGGAACTTATGATATTCTACTCAACTATAAGGATACATACAATTAATAAACCTGAAACGTCCCCTCCCTTTCTTAACAAGATTGTGCTTACTATTTTTATCTGACAAAGAGGATCACTCTACAAATATTATTTGTCTCAAATTATGACTCACCTCTGGATAAATATGGAAGCGTTTTACTGCATTAATTACAAGAGGATATTCAGTAAGCCTGTCATTCATAATCATCCACAGTCCTCCCAAAAATGAAGGTGCTTCAATAATGGTCTTGAAGTAAGAATAATAAAGTCCCTTTTTTAAAAAAAAAAAAGGCACATATTGTCAATGTAATTAAAACTTTAAAATATTTATTTTTATCACTTCTTTAGAACTTTTTTTCTGAAAAAAGAAAGGTTAATAAGACAACTTCCTAATCACTCCTTGCTATTTTGCATTCTTGGACTTTAAAGAACACGTATTTTCAGGTGATCACTGTACTATTCTTTCAAATTTTCTATAGGCTTTCAAACTAAAGAGTTAGAGGGATGGTCAAACAATTTAAAGAGTTTCTCTAATAATGTCTTAAAATGTGTAGACAGTATATGTTTGATTTTCCCACATCTGGTTTTATCCCCCACATTTGAGATGCTTGAAGGTTGACATCTGATTAATTCTATCATAAACAGGGATGCCTTCATGCCTCTGTACAACTTTGCATATAGAAAATTACTTTTTTTCCCATGCTCTCAGGAAATAAAATATAATGACCATAAGCATCATGAGCAAGGAATCCAGTGCTTCTAGCTTAATTCATAGCTCCATCTAATCCTCTGTGCAAAGTGAAAGCTCAATGTCAATTGATTATTGTTGCTCACAAATGCTATGTACTAAAAAGCAGATTATTTTAGTGTCTTACACTTCAGCATATAAAATAAAGGCTTCATTAGGATAGTAAAAGTGCTGTTGAGTTAAAATTCATGGATTAACAACAGCATGTTGTGTCTTATTTCCCCAACAATTTCTTGCTTTCGCTCCTAAAATCTAAAAGCAAAAAAGGGCCACATTGTTTAAAATGCATTCTCCCTAAAAAATGCTTTATGCTATAATCATATCTGCCTAATCCAACACGAGTAACTACTAAATTACAGGTCTGTTTTAGCTGATGTCTGAAAGGCCATTATCTCATAGTTGATTGGCAAAATATGAATTCATAAAGAATTTTCCTTTCTGCTTAGGAGGATAACAAAGCAATACAACAATTAAAGGATATCTAATATGCAAAAGACTATATTTAGGGAAATATTAAATATATAAATAAGTTACTAATAACAGCTATTGTTTTAAGTATTCTGCTATGTGCTGCCATTCATTATCTCCCTTCATTTTCCCTAAACCCCTCTAAGATTGGCATTATTTCTATTGAGCAGACGAGATTACTGAGAATCTGAGAGGTGACCTGACTAGCCATCATACAATAAAGCATAGAACCGCTATTAGAATCCAGCGATCTGTCACCAAAGTCCAGACTCTGCCACAGTTACACTCTTTATTTAATAATATTTTATATTCTGTCTTTGGAAATACCTTTAAAATGTTCAAATGTCATACATATGTTAATGTATCCAATGCTTTGAAACTTTATGGGGCAATATAGGGATGAAAATTAAAAAGCAGTGACTGAGGGACCTGGCATAGGCAAAATCACAGAGACAGAAAATAGAGCTGGGTGTGATTAGTGTTTAGTGGGTAGAGTTTCTGTTTGGGATAGCAAAATGTTCTGGATGTGGACAGTGGTTAATAGTTGCAAGACAACATGAATGTACTTAATGTCACTGAATTGTACACTTAAATGATAAACATTGAAATTTTTTATTACAAATTTAAATCTAAATTTTACTATAATTTAAACAAAAAGCAATGGCTAGACTGAGGAGAGCCAGTTTCAATGCTTCACTAGGCCCCCGACCAGCTGTGAGCAGATCTGGAAGATGGACGGTTGTGCTGTCTTCTAAATGTAAAATTGCGCAATTTTGGCATTTGCTATCCCACTTACTCCTCACAATAATTATGTGAGATACGTACGGCAGAAAACTCCATTTTTAAGATTAAGTATTGAAAAACAGAAAATTATTTAAAAACTATATCAAAAGTTATCTCTTAAAAGAGATTATCTTGAAATCAAAAGAGAGCCAAATAATAATCGTCATCATTAAAAGGCCCAGGTAAAACATGGGATCTCCTAACCGTAGCCAAAGAGAAAGCAATTTCTGATAACATCTCATTTCATTCCCCTTTATCACTTCTTCAGTGCTTTCTTTGTCCTCCTTCCTCAGCTATTATAATTCATCTTTATTACCTTAAAAAGAAGTCTGCATTAGGAAAGGGTGAGAGATAATGAAGTAACAGAAAAATAATCTCAAACACTTTACTATTTAAATAATAAACCTGGGTAATAGCTTATGAAACAGTGCAGTTCGCCAAAAGTTCATTTCAATTCCTAATACATTTCTACCTCATAGTCTTGTGTCCGGAATTGGTGGGTTCTTGGTCTCACTGACTTCAAGAATGAAGCGGTGGACCCTCGCGGTGAGTGTTACAGCTCTTAAGGTGGCGTGTCTGGAGTTGTTCGTTCCTCCCGGTGGGCTCGTGGTCTCGCTGGGCTCAGGAGTGAAGCTGCAGATCTTCATGGTGAGTGTTACAGCTCACAAAAGCAGCGTGGACCCAAAGAGTGAGCAGTAGCAAGATTTATTGCAAAGAGCGAAAGAACAAAGCTTCCACAGTGTGGAAGGGGACCCGAGCGGGTTGCCAATGCTGGCTCGGGCAGCCCGCTTTTATTCTCTTATCTGGCCCCACCTACATCCTGCTGATTGGTAGAGCCGAGTGGCCTGTTTCGTCAGGGCGCTGATTGGTGCGTTTACAATCCCTGAGCTAGATACAAAGGTTCTCCACGTCCCCATCAGGGCAGCTAGATACAGAGTGTCGACTGGTGCACTCACAAACCTTGAGCTAAACACAGGGTGCTGATTGGTGTGTTTACAAACCTTGAGCTAGATACAGAGTGCCGATTGGTGTATTTACAATCCTTGAGCTAGACACAGAGTGCTGATTGGTGTATTTACAATCCTTGAGCTAGACATAAAGACTCTCCACGCCCTCACCAGAGCAGCTAGATACAGAGTGTTGACTGGTGCACTCACAAACCTTGAGCTAAACACAGGGTGCTGATTGGTGTATTTACAATCCCTGAGCTAGATATAAAGACTCTCCACGTCCCCACCAGACTCAGGAGCCCAGCTGGCTTCACCTAGTGGATCCTGCACTGGGGCTGCAGGTGGAGCTGCCTGCCAGTCCTGTGCCGGGCGCTCGCATTCCTCAGCCCTTGCGTGGTCGATGGGACTGGGCGCCGTGGAGCAGGGGGTGGTGCTCGTCGGGGAGGCTCAGGCCGCACAGGAGCCCATGGATTGGGTAGGAGGCTCAGGCATGGCGGGCTGCAGGTCCCGAGCCCTGCCCCGTGGGAAGGCAGCCAAGGCCCAGCGAGAAATCGAGCGCAGCGCCGGTGGGCCAGCACTGCTGGGGGACTCAGTACACCCTCCGCAGCCACTGGCCCAGGTGCTAAGTCCCCCATTGCCCGGGGCCAGCAGGGCTGGCTGGCTGCTCTGAGTGCGGGGCCCACCAAGCCCACGCCCACCCGGAACTCCAGATGGCCCGCAAGTGCAGCACACAGCCCCGGTTCCCGCTCGTGTCTCTCCCTCCACACCTCCCTGCAAGCTGAGGGAGTGGGCTCCGGCCTTGGCCAGCCCAGAAAGGGGCTCCCACAGTGCAGTGGGGGACTGAAGGGCTCCTCAAATGCCACCAAAGCGGGAGCCCAGGCAGGGGAGGTGCCGAGAGCAAGCAAGGGCTCTGAGGACTGCCAGCATGCTGTCACCTCTCGGTCTGGCTATTCTTAAACCACAAATTAATTCGTTAGAAGAAGAAACCTAACCGTTTCAATGCAAAAAGTCATCTCCCGTTCCAAAGATGAGAGGTGAGAGAAATGATGATCATTTTCAAAAAGTGTTACTAAATGTAACCTAGAAAAAAATGAAGAATCATATTAAAATAAGAACAAGTTTCAAAACTAACAGTAAAATAAACAATAAGAAAGCCATAAAAAAGAAAACAATAAATTGTTATAATATTAATTTTATAATTTGCTTACTAACTTGTATGTTTTTCGGCATTTATAATCCAGTATGGCACACACCTGAAATTCCTTAACTCAGTGGTTTTTAAGCTTAATTGTGGCCGGGTACGTTGGCTCATGCCTGTAATCCCAGCACTTTGGGAGCCCGAGGCGGGCAGATCACTTGAGGTGAGGAGTTCGAGACCAGCCTTGCCAACATGGTGAAACCCCGTCTCTACTAAAAACACAAAAATTAGCCAGCCATAGTAGTGCATGTCTGTAATCCTCGCTGCTAGGGAGGCTGAGGCAGGAGAATTTCTTGAATCCAGCAGGTGGAGGTTGCAGTGAGCAGAGATCATGCCACTGCACTCCAGCCTGGGTGACAGATAGAGACTCTGTCTCAAAAAAACAAAAACAAAAAAAAACCTTAATTGTATATCTAAAATTCTTGTGGCTTTTTTCACCCTTCCTTCCATCCCAGGCCTCTAAATCAGAACAGAGGCAGGTTAGTGTTTGTTTTTTAAGTTTCAAGTGATTCTAATGTACCAGCCTTGGGAAATACCTCCATAACTGTTGAAGAGGGTTCAGAATATAATTTTAAATAAAATTACTTTAGATCAAAGCAGACTTACAATAAGTATAATATCACATAAAAGATCAACTTTCAAGTGCCAAAGAATACAGGTGTGTACTTGAAGACCTTTTAGTAGTGAAACTCAACAGCTATAGGCAGTGAAGAAAAGAGCATATGTGATAAACAAAATTAGCTATGGCCAACAATTATGCTATAGCTAACTTATGTAGTCAGTACTTTCCAGTGAAGTTGAAAATAAAGCAAAGTTCCATATATTAACCCTGTTTTCCACTAACCCTTCTTTACATGTAGGCCATATGCCAGGGTACCAAAAACTGCAGGAATATTCCCTACCATTGCAGCCTCAGTTCTAACATCAAAATCTCCCTGCAGACTAAATGTCTAGAGCAGCACTGTGTCAATAGAACATAGGGGCAGATCTCATACCTCCCAAGGGTAGAAATCACTGAGCACAGGTAAAAATAAAATATTTCAGAAGGAAATATTATTTTACAAATTTTTATAAACACTTTTGTAAAATAATGTACACAGGCTTGCACACTGAAAGACTCAGAGCCATTTAACCATATAACCACTGCAGAATCTTTACCTTCTTTTTTACCTGATTTCCAATTGGCAGGTGTTACTAAAACTTTATCACCAAAGTTATTTCACTGGCTGAGTGTGGTGGCTCATGCCTGTAATCCCAACACTTTGGGAGGCCGAGGCAGGTGGATCATTTGAGGCCAGGAGTTTGACACCAGCCTGGCCAACATGGTGAAACCTTGTCTCCACCAAAAATACAACAAATTGGCTGGGTCTGGTGGTGCACACCTGTAATCCCAGCTACTTGGAAGGCTGAGGCACAAGGATCACTTGTGCCTGGGAGGCAGAGGTTGCAGTGAGTCAAGATCACACCACTGCACTCCAGCCTGGGAGACAGAGCAAGACTCTGTCTCAAAAAAAAAAAAAAGTTATTTCACTAGCAACATATAATTACCATAAAGTAAAGGAAGGTTTTAAATGAACTACACATGCAAAACACACTAGAAAAGCTAGATATTTAAAGAAACGTGTGGTGAATTATTTGGTAAAGCAAAAATATTTTAATTCATAAGTTACTATTCCCCTAATGCATCTATTTTGTAAATGCTGTTTCACATATGAGGTTTGTAAAAAAGCAAAATACATGTATAAATTGGTGCACATAAAGATGTTCTACAAATATAGCCAGAAGTTATTGTTTTACTGTATGCAAAGAGTGATGGCAATTTTTAATTCAAATGTTTTTAAATATTTCAAACTGAAACTACATCTTACCAATGTAGAATTGCCACAAAGACGGCTGGAATAAAGAAAAAAAGGAAAGTTATTAATAGCTGCTTTATTATAAAATACCATTAAAACAAGTATTTCAAATGTATTATTTTACATGTCTAGAAAGATAGCACACAAAGCAAGACCGCCAGCTAATCCTGTCTCTGTGAGCATAGGAAAAAATCCAGGACACAAAGCAAATTCTGAACAGAGCTTACCTCTCTGCAGCAGGGCTTGATAAGCAAAGGGAGAAACTTGAGAGGGTTTTTTAACTTCAGGTAATTGGTAAGAGTGATGGAATTATGGAAGATTGTGACCTTTTTTGTTTTTTTTCCAGTATTATTTTCTATTCCTTTATATGAAATTTTTAAAAGTAGTAAGTATATACAGTATGCTTCAGCTAGTTCTAACCAAGAGGAGCCACTCTAGATCAGTTTCTCTAGCATTCATCGGAAGATGATTAAATGCAGGAAATCACTTCCTCAGCAGCACATCTAAAAGCCCCAATGTGCAGCTCAACCCTTGATGAATTGCAAGCTTTTTGCAAGAGCCCAGACCTAGGAGCTACTAGATGGCCTAGGATACTAGTATGGAGTCACCTGGGCCAATGCCCCATGTATACATAAGACTTCACCTGGGAGCTGGGAGACACGGCTCTGGGTATGGAGCTTTTACAGGAGCTGCAAACACAGCCTGTGCCCCTGTTTGGTTGGGGAATTCCTTGTTTTCAATTCCCCTGGAGAGAGAAGAGTGGGGAATAGAACAAGTTAAAACACCACAAACTTTGCTGTTCTTATAGAGGTTCAGCAGCTTTTCTTGAATTAATGCCCTTTACATTGTTGTAAACCTTTGGTTAATTTCCAAAGTTTTGAAGGAAATGATTTTGATAATTTTCCAAGTATTTTCATTGTCGTCATGGAGGAGTGCATTTCCTTGGCTATTCCAGAAGTCCTACTTCCCTTCTGAGATTTTATAATGGTATTTCTTATGGTTATCCCAAATATACTTGGCAAGTCATCTTATAAACCACCAATAATAGCCTCTTAAAAATTCAAAAATTACTTCACTTGGCTAACAAAATAAATGCAAATTAATTCAATAATTATTGAAGAAATTAAATTTTTAAAAATTAAAAAATTGCAATGTTGAAATTCTCAACCATGCTTACCCAGATCTTTTCCTATATTACTAACTGTCCTGGGCTTATCTTAAACACTTCTCGGAAGATTTACTTGTTTTATACCAGGATAGGCAAAGTATGGCCCATGGTGTATTTTTGGACTGTCTGCAAGCACGGTTGCTATAATTTTTAAAAGGTTGAAAACTTTAAATGGTTGTAAAGATGCTCATTAATTGTTTATTAGGCTTCATTAATTTTAAAATATACAGACTATCCTGTTCAACTATATTTGTATCCTATTTCTAATTCTCCTAACAATTATATACACTGGCAAAAACTCTTCAGATGATACATAAGGAAAAGGTCAAATATAGTACCAAATTCATCCAGCTTTCCAAAGATGCTCAAAATCTTTCTGTCTCTCACTCCCTCCCTTAACCCACATACCACATATGAAAAAAATGATAAGGTGTAATGATGCCAGTATTCTAAATGCTTGAAGGGCTTATCACATGCCCTTTCCAAGCTGTGACAGAAGCATGTCCCCTGGACCCCAGCATCCTATCAATCTCACCTCTGAAGGTGACCCAGCCTCATACTTCACTGAAACAAAGACCATTAGACGCCAGCACTCCCAGCTTCTTTCATCTCCACTTTAACATTTCTCCATATAGTAATTCTTGCTTTTCTACTCCCTGCCATCTCAGAAAAGGAATTCTCTCTCCTCTTTTCCACAGTTAGCTTCTCACATTTGTGCCTTTAATTCTACCCTTCCAAATATTCCAAGACTTGCTCCACTAATTATTTCCTCTCTTGGAATCTTAATCTCATCCTCTTCCCTTGATCCTTCCCCTCAGCCTTTAAAACTCCTAGACCTTAAAACACTCTCTGCGATCTGACAGCCCTTCAAACCAATATACTCCCTATCTCTCTCTCTCCCCTGGTTCAATGACAAGATTTTTGGCCAACTTCTGTCTACTCGGACCTTGCTATTATTTCCTACTAGGGACCCACAAACCCTTGCTTGTTAAACTGATCTCCTTCAAGACTGAAGAAAAGCGCGATGCGCCTCCCTCCTAGGGCTCTCCTGACCTCTCCTTACCGATGCAGAGTGGTTCTGCTGGGGAACCACCGCGCCTGCAGTTCGTGCACCTCTTCCCGGAGCTGCGCCAGGGAATTACAGACGAACTGGAAGGGGCCGAGAAGGGCCTTGGCCACCACCTTTAGCTCCAAGCCTTTTCGCTTTTTCAGATTTGGGATCCTCCCCGGGGAGGACCTCCTGGCGCCCCCCGGCAGTTTCCCGCCGCCTAGGGCCGACTTTTCCACCTCCCGCTCCCGGGCGGGGGAGGCCCCGCAGGGCCGCTTAGACGGGCTGGGGCGGGAAGATTGCAGCGGCTTTGGGCTTACTCCTTGTTTCTTCATAATTCCTAGTGGAGCTGGGTCAATTTCAGGCACAGCCCAGCCGAGTCAGGCGAGGTCCAGAAAGGCCTGACTCGCCTGGCAGCCTCAACGGACTTGTCCCCGCAGCCGTTGACGAGCCGTTGACTAGCGGACCTCCTGGTCGTCATGGCGACTGTGAAATGTAGGGTGGGGCGCATGCGTTGGAAGCCATTCGCGCGGGCAGTCCCTGCGTGTCCCCCCACGTGCTCCCCAGCGCGCGCAGCACCCCCGCCTCCGCGCTTCCCCGAGCGTGCAGCTTCCGGTGAGGGCAGCCCCACGCACAGCCCCCCACACCCTCCCCAGCGCCTGCAGACTTCGGTGCGCGCAGTTCCTAAGCCCACATGCGCAGTTCTCACCTTGCGCGCAGCCTCACGTACAGCCCCCGACAGGCTCCCAGCCCCACTGGCGCAGAACCCATCACCGCTTGCCCTTCACGCGCTTCATTGGGAGTGCAGCCCCCACCCCGAGCGCACAGCTCCACGCAGCCTCTCCACACTCTCCCCAGCGCCTGCAGCACCCGCAGTGCGCACAGCTCCGCCAGTAGCTTCCCCGCGCGCCGCCCCTGCACCGCTTCGGGCCATAACCTTGCTGGCGACTAAGTCTGAAGAACTTCCCGTGGTTTCATTCTTTTCTTCGCGTTTAGTCTTAGCTCTGACATTTTAACCAAAAGGTTACACGTTAATTAACGAGGTATTGAAGGGGAAGATCTCAGCTGAAAGAAATGACTGTAGGAAGTGTGTCAGGGAAGCCAACGGAACCGCCGGCCCGCCGGTGGTGCTCCGGGCATTAGGAACGTCTCTGCTCTCCTACGATCGCTGAGGTATCGGACAGTCAGTGCCCGTTGCCAACACGGAGGGAACGGGCCGAGACTGCGGGCAACACGTGGCAGAGCCGGCGTGAGTCTGGTGGGTCTGATCCCAGAGCCTCAGGTTGACGCCCCTTCCTTGGCACGGGACAGCGTTTACTGAATCTTAGGGGAAAATGCTTTTCCAATAAGGTTCCTCAGAAGTCATCAGCCCTAGGAGCGGTGTGCTCAAGCGCTTTCAGCACCAGCCAGGACCAACTAAGAGGGGAGCGCTTAGCTCCCAGTCACCGCACAGCCCTACAAGAGGCCAAAGCGGCTGGCACAGATGCACTGGGGCCACTGACATTTTCCATGTCCTCTGTCACGGGCCACATGCTGGAGCCCACACCGCTTCACTTTCCATCTGTTTGATGATGGATCAAATTGAACTCCCATATCCTAACTGACCAGTCTAAAGCATGGCTCATTGTGGCCAGGTTAATTTTTCCTGATGCAACACAGCACAAAAATGTTCGTGGCCCACAAGTCAAGTCCTAGGCTTGCTCACCAATGCCTTCAATATTTGCCCAATATACCTTTTCAACTTTAATTTCCCACTTCCTCGGGCACAAAATCTTCCATCTCAGTCATTTCAGGTGAAGTCCACAGCCTGAGACATCATAACTGCTGAATTCCTTTATTCATGTGGAAAAGCCATCCCTTGGCTTTTACATCCTTTTCTCCCTGCCCATCTGAATGCTGTCACCTTCCAAGCCCCAGCCCATTTCTCCAGCCCATATTAATTATGCTTTTTCTCCAGCCCATATAATTATGCAATATATTCTTGCATTATCTTATCATCTTTGAAACAGAGATGCCTCATGATTTAGCTTTTATATATATATGTTTTTATTATACTTTAAGTTCTAGGGTACACGTGCACAACGTGCAGGTTTGTTACATATGTATACATGTGCCATGTTGGTGTGCTGCACCCATTAACTCAACATTTACATTAGGTATATCTCCTAATGCTATCCCTCCCCGCTCCCCCCACCCCACGACAGGCCCCGGTGTGTGATGTTCCCCTTCCTGTGTCCAAGTGTTCTCATTGTTCAATTCCCACCTGTGAGTGAGAACATGCGGTGTTTGATTTTTTGTCCTTGTGACACTTTGCTGAGAATGCTGGTTTCCAGCTTCATCCATGTCCCTACAAAGGACATGAACTCATCATTTTTTATGGCTGCAGAGTATTCCATGGTGTATATGTGCCACATTTTCTTAATCCAGTCTATCATTGATGGACATTTGGGTTGGTTCCAAGTCTTTGCTATTGTGAATTGTGCCGCAATAAACATATGTGTGCATGTGTCTTTATAGCAGCATGATTTATAATCCTTTGGGCATATACCCAGTAATGGGATGGCTGGGTCAAATGGTATTTCTACTTCTAGATCCCTGAGGAATCGCCACACTGACTTCCACAATGGTTGAACTAGTTTACAGTCCCACCAATAGTGTAAAAGTGTTCCTATTTCTCCACATCCTCTCCAGCACCTGTTGTTTCCTGACTTTTTAATGATCGCCATTCTAACTGGTGTGAGATAGTATCTCATTGTGGTTTTGATTTGCATTTCTCTAATGGCCAGTGATGATGAGCATTTTTTCATGTGTCGGCTGCATATTATTTAGCTTTTTTTTTTTTTCTCAAGATAGGGTCTCACTGTCACACAGGCTAAAGTGTGATGGTGCTCACTGAAACCTTGAACTCCTGGGCTCAAGGTATCCTCCTGCCTCAGCCTCCTGAGTAGCAAGGACTACAGGTGCAGGCCACCACACACAGCTAATTTGTTTATTTTTGTAGAGATGGGGTATCACTATGTTGCCCAGGCTGGTCTAAAACTCCTAGCCTCAAGCATTCATGCCGCCTCTGCCTCCCAAAGTATTGGGATTACAGGTATGAGCCACTGCACCTGGCTGCAAATTATCTGTCTTACATAGAGATCTCTAATCCGGTTATGGATACCTAAAACTTGCCTCAGTTTTTCCTTTGTCTTTTAGTAAAACAATTGGGAATTTTAAAAAATGCAATTAAACTATGTAACCAGCAGATGGCAATAATGATCTGTAAATCAAAATTTCAAAACTTAGTTACTTATTAAATTCATTCTTTAAAAAAAATCACTGTTCTTATAATAAATCCATTTACTAAATATGAAATGTAGGAAAATTCCAAATGTAACCCCACATAAAAATTACATTGCATATTTCATATGTCAAAATAATTAAGATATTCATCATGGCCAAGATTTAGTTTTCCAAATAATAATGACTTTGTTTTAATTGATTCGAATAATTTATTAGATTTAAAGTTTTAACTTTGCACAAATACATATATATAATTTAAGTGGATAGTTAAGTTCCATCTCTAGCCTCCAGGCTAGATAGAGGTAGTTTAGCAAAGACCATTTTGAAAACATTACAAACTTTTCCGGTTATAATTTGGTAATTTAAAATGTGAATTTCACTTTAATTGAAACTTTCTGCATAAAAGATTGGTTTTTATTTGTGCTGTCTCATAATTTCTTATGCATTAAGATACTTTTCCCCCTTTGTACAGTGCAAGGAGTTGGAATTGGCACCAAAGTATTAGTCTCTACTTTATCAGCATTAGTTATTCCCAAAGATGGTGGCAAAATTCTTAGGATCTCATAGTTATTTTATTTAGTAATTTTATTTATTTTCATTATACCTTTCTAAGACTTTTTCTACAAATTCAAACATGAAATACATCCTTTGTTTAATTTTGTAGCTCCATTTTTGCCTTCGAAAAATAGGATAGCCATAGGTATGTTCTTCTTGGAGCTTACTTATTTTCTAGGTAATTTCAAATGGTCTGCTTATAAATGTTAAAAGATCCTTTCAAATTCTTCTTCAGCAAGTTGCCTCCACTAAAAAAGTGTCTTTGGACATGTGTATTTTATAAAACAACTGCTTCAGTCTAAAACCTTTCTTGGATTTACATATCTTGGATTGACTCATTTTTAAATAGCATATTTGCTGCTATCGAATTACTTTACAGAGCCTCTTTAAATTCATATTGGATGCAGGTCTTCATCAAGGAGAAAGTGGAAAGACACCAACTTGCCGTGAAGCATACAGCAAGTTTAGATGTAAATGCATCTGTAAGTGATACTTTGCACAATGCTGTCTTTTGGACTATGGAAGAAAGGCATCTGTAATAACAAGTTGGAATTTCCAAGAGTTCCAATCTATTTTCTGTGTCCATGAGGGGGCTATCCACTCCCCACTCCTAACCCCCCAAAAAAACCCCAAAACCAAAAAACTAGAGCTCTGTAAGCCACCCATGCCCTGGTAGTGTAGTGCTCCAGGCCTATGTCAGATACGACATACCTTAAAAACAACTCCAGGCCTTTATCAGATAAGACATGCCTTATGAAGGCGTGTCTTATTCAAAGGGAGGGAGGTGATCCATAAATTAATTGGGAGATTCTTTCAGCTCCAAGTAGAGAGACTGCACAATTGCATAGTATATGCACATTCATTTGAACCAGATTGGTACTCAGTTATCACTGTTAAATGACTTAACCAACATATACACAACTATACTTATATACATGTACCACATCCCCAAATCTACAAAATCCATTTTTCCCTGGATTTGATGGTAATATACCATGTACAAACTCCATCATATTGAGATTATTTTTATTTACCACCAAAGTAACTAATATAAGAATTACTACATTCAATATCAATAAGCAAAAGCCTCTACTATATTAGTCCATTTTCCCCATTTAGTAAAAAAAAAAGTGCAGCTTGCTGCCAGTGCTCATTTAGTTGTACATAAACACTTTATTTGATGCTGAAGCAAATCTGACTGATTTTCAACATGAAAATGAAATATAAAAACTGTTCTTAGAGTTATTTATAAACAGAATTTGTCTCTAATCCTAATGTAACAGAAATGTAGATGATGATGTTACAGTAGGATTAGAGATGAGTATTTTTGGGGCAAACAGGAAATGATTTAAAGAATGAGTTTCAGAATATTTATGGGCAGATTAAATGCAAAACATAGTAAAAGTGCCAATGATACATAATGAATCTGTGTGCTGTATTTTACATAATATAATATTTTAGGTTGATTTAAGATGGAACTTTGATTATAATATAGAGTTGAAGATATATCACTAGACTAGGCCCAGTGTGCTTTGGCCAATTTACTTTGTTTCTCTAGTTCTGATTTCCTCAACTATAAAATACTTTGGATGACATGGCCTAAATAAGGTCTTTTAAACTTATTTGATTCTAGTTGGTATTTGTACAAATATTTAGGTAGATGCACCTGCTAAGTCATACAGTGGCCTGTACTAAGATCTCTTTTTACCACTTTTTTCCTTCCCTCCTCCTCTGCCTCCAGCTGTGTGTTCAGACTCCACCCTGAGGGTCTTACTCTGCAATCTATCCCACAGTTTGTCCTCTAGTACCTACACTTGTCATTGCCCACCCAGAGGGCTGAGCTCATCTCTCTCTCATCTCTTCGGCCCAGCCCCAACCTGGCCTCCCCCTTATCCCTGAACTTTATTCCTCTGATTCCTTCTCACCTCCACTGCCCAGTCTCTAAGTAGGGTGGGCCTCCTTGTTCCTATTTTCTAATTACTTCTATCTACCAGTAGCCTAAATGGCAACTAGAGAATAAGGAGGAGAGTGAGACAGCCCTAAATAAATAATAAGTGTTTATATCAAGACCACCAGACTTGTTGGGGTCAGCAGAGCTCTGCTTTCGCATAGGTATGGACCCATCCCCTAAAGATAAATATGAAACTTTAAAACGCTCTCATCTTTGGTACCATCCATTGAAACCCTTTTTGAGATACTTATTGGTGACAATTTATAATCCATTAGTAGAAAAACCATCGAGTTTTGCAGCTTTCATATTTCTTAATTAAGGCTGTATACCTGGGTTCAAAAAAAGCAAGGTAGACTTTTTTTAAAAAATTAAAATTTGGAAATATTTAAAGGGCTAGTGCGGTGTCTTAGTTATAAGTGTTAACAGAATTTAAATCTTCACTATTCCTAAAAGAAACCCCATACATACTTGCAGTCATTTCCATTCCTCCCTCCTTCCAGCCTCTGGCATGCACTAATTTTCCATCTCTATGGATATTTCTATGCTGGACATTTCACATGCATGGGATCATATAACATGTAATCCTTTTTGACCAGCTTCTTTCTCTTAGCATCCTGTTTTCAAGGTTCATCCATGCTGTAACATTTATCGTACTTCATTTTTTATAGCTGAATAATCTTCCATTATATTGATATGCCACATTTTATTTATCCATTTGTCAGTTGATGGGCATTTGGGTTGTCTCCACTTTTTGCCTATCATGAATGATGCTGCTATGAACATTTGTGTACGGGTTTTTGTGTGGACATATCTCTTCATTTTTCCTGGGTGTACACCTAGGAGTGGAATTGCTGGGTCATATAGTAAGTAACCTTTTTTTATCCTTTTCACCAATGGCCAGACTACACCATTTTATATTCTTACCGACAATATATAAGGGTTCCAATTTCTCCACATCCTTGCCAACTTGTTATTGTAATTATAATTATAGCCATCGCAGTGGTTGTTAAGCGGTATCTCATTGTTGTTGTTGTTTTACTAAGAGGCTATTTTTAGAGCAGTTTTAGGTTTACAGAACAATCGAGTAGAAAATCTAGAAGTCCCGTATATCCCCTCTCCCCCACACTGGCAGTCTCCGCTATTATTAAACTATTGCATTATTGTAGTGCATTAGTTACAATTGATGAATCAATATTGGTGCATTATTGACCAAAAAGTCCATAGTTTACATTGTAGCTTACTCTGAGTTGCAAAGTAGTATGAGTTTTGACAAATGCATGATTTCATGTGTCTGCTACTACAGTAGCATCACAGAGTTATTTCACTGGCCTAAGTATCACCTGTGCGCCATCCCTTCATTTCTCCCTCTTTCCCCCCAAACCGTGGAAACCACCAATCTTTTTACCATCTCTGTAATTTTGCCTTTTCCAGAATGTCATATAATTAGAACCACCCAGTGTATAGCTCATTTTTCACTAGCAATATGTATTTGAGATTCCTCCAAGTCTTTTCACAGCTTGATAGTACATTTCTTTCTATTGTTGAAAAATATTCCATTGTATGGATAATGGATGTACCACAGACTGTTCATCCATTACCTATTGAAGGACATCTTAGTTCTAAGTTTTGGCAATTATGAATAAAGCTGCTGTCAACAGTCATGTGCAGATTTTTAAGTGGACATAAAACTTTAACTCACTTGGGTACATACCCGGGAACATACTTGCTAGATCATATGATAAGACTATGCTGGTTTTGAAAGGAATTGACAAACTATCTTTTTAAATGGCTGTACCACTTTGCATTCCACCAGCAATGAATGAGAGTTCCTATTGCTCCACATCCTCACCAGCATTAGCATTGCTAGTGTTTTGAATTTTAGCTCTTCTAATTGGTATGTAGTTGTAGCTCATGTTTTAATTTGCGACTCCCTAATCACATGTGATGTTGAGCATCTTTTCATATGCTTATTTGCCATCTGTATATCTTTAAGTATCTGTTCAGAGAGATCCTTTGCCCATAATTTGTCTTTTCCTTACTGTTGAGTTTTAAGAGCTCTTTGTATATTTGAAATACGAATCCTTTATCCGATATGTGTTTTTGCAAATATTTACTCCGAGTGTGGCTAGTCATTTTATTCTCTTAACAATATTTTTCACAGAAGTTTTTAATTTTCATGCAGTCCATCATGTTAATTTTTTTGTTAATGGATTGTACTTTTGGTGTTGTACCTAAAACACCAAAACTACCTAGATTTTCTCCTGTTACTTTCTAGAAGTTTTATAGTTTTGCATTTTGTATTTAAGTCTATGATCCATTTAAGTTAATTTTTGCAAAAGATTTAAGGTCTGTGTTTGGACTTATTATTTTACATGTGGATATTCAGTTGTTCTAGTACCATTTGTTGAAAAGATTATTATTTCTCCACTGAATTGCCTTTGTTCCATTGTCAAAGGTCATTTAACTATATTTATGTGGGCCTAGTTCTGGGCTCTCTGTTCCATTTATCTAATTGTCTATTCTCTTGCCAATAGTACACTGTCTTTATTACTATAGTTCTGTAGTAAGTTTTGAAGTTGGGTAGTGTAAGTCCTCTGACTGTTTTTCCTCTTTAATACTGTGTTGGCTATTTTGGGTTTTCTGCCTTTAAATAAACCTTAGAATCAGTTTGTTCTTAGCCACAAGTAACTGGCTGGAATTTTGGTTGTGTTTGCATTGAATATATAGATCAAGTTGGGAAGAACAGACATCCTCACAATATTGAGTCTACCTATCCATGAACACGGACTATCTCTCCATTTATTTAGATCTTCTTTGATTTATTTCGTCAAAGTTTTGTAGTTTACCTTATATAGCTTTTGTGAATATTTTGTTTAAACCTATTTGTTCTTTTTTCTTTTATTAGTGATGATATATCTGTTTATTTCAAATTCCAATTGTTCATTTCTGGTATAAAGGAAAGCAACGGTCTTTTAAAGTATTAATCTTGTATCCTCTAACCTTGCTATAATTCAACCTTGCCATAATCACTTATTAGATCTATGAGTTTGTTGAAAGCACATTATTTTCTATTTTTTAAAAATATCAATAAAAATAGGAAGGAAAAGATCCATTAAAACTCCAAACAAACCGAACAAATAAACCCACTTGTATTGCGCATGAGAAAAACAGGTCAAGATTATTTTGAGGCCAGGTGCAGTGGCTCATGTCTGTAATCCCAGCACTTTGGGAGGCCGAGACAGGTGGATCACCTGAAGTCAGGAGTTTGAGACTAGCCTGGCCAACATGGTGAAACCCTATAGTGTTTTGTCTACTAAAAACACAAACATTACCCAGGCACAGTGGTGTGTGCCTGTAATCCCAGCTACCCGGGAGGCTGAGGCAGGAGAATTGCTTGACCCAGGAGGCGGAGGTTGTGGTGAGCCGAGATCACGCCACTGCCCTCCAGCTTGGGTGATAGAGCAAGAGTCTGTCTCAAAAAAGAAAAAAAAAAAGATTATTTTGAGGGCCCAGATCACTCTGGATTTTGGACAATGGGGCACCTTTGAAGTGATGTAATCTTCCCCCCAGCATTTTAGTATCACTTTGGACTGGTCAGGAATGAGTTAGAGGAGGGAAAGAGGCAATGCTGAGAAGCCAGGTAGGAGGCTGGTTTTAATTGTCTGGATCGTAAGTGATGGTGGTTTAACTAGTGTGGAATGGGGATTGAAAGAAAAAGATGGACTTGGGATACATTTTAGAGGTAGAATTAACAGAATTTGATGGCCGGGACTGGTGGCTCACGCCTGTAATCCCAGCACTTTGGGAGGCCAAGGCAGGTGGGTCACCTGAGGTCGGGAGTTTGAGACCAGCCTGACCAACATGGAGAAACCCCATCTCTACTAAAAATACAAAATTAGCTGGGCGTGGTGGTGCACGCCTATAATCCCAGCTACTCGGGAGGCTGAGGCAGGAGAATCACTTGAACCAAGGAGGCGGAGGTTGTGGTGAGCTGAGATTGTGCTATTGCACTCCAGCCTGGGCAACAAGAGCGAAACTCCATTTCAAACAAACAAACAAAAAAGAATCTGGTAATGAATTGTCTTAGATGGGAAAAACTTATATTTTGGGCAGGAAATGGGAGATCAAGGTAGGAATTTCTATTTATACTCCTTTGATATGCAAAATATAGGCTTAGAACCTGATATTAAGTGGTATTTTTTTTTTTTCTTTTCTGTCTATCCTTGTCTAGTTGGTAGGACATATTGAAAGAGACTGGCAATAAAAGCAAGGTAACAAAACAGCCACTCTGCAACAGACTGCCACATTTCTGGAGGTTTTTTTTTTTTTGAGACAGAGTCTCGCAGTGTTGACCAGGCTGGAATGCAGTGGCGCGATCTCAGCTCACTGCAACTTCTGCCTCCTGAGTTCAAGTGATTCTCATGCTTCAGCCTCCCGAGTGGCTGAGATTACGGATGCTTGCCACCACATCCAGCTAATATTTTACTATTTTTAGTAGAGGTGGAGTTTCACCATGTTGACCAGGCTGGTCTTGAACTCTTGGCCTTAAGGGATCTGCCCCCCTCAGGTTCCCAAAGTGCTGGGATTACAGGCATGAGCCACTGCACCCAGACACTTTTGGAGATTAAATAGGGTATTTGTCTATATTGCTGCATTATAAGTTAACATGAGCCTAGTGGCTTATGGTATTTCACAGTTTTCATGGGTCAAGAGTCCGAGAATGGGTCCTTTGCTCAGGGTCTCACAAAGCTGCAATCAATGCATCAGCCAGGGCTGGGGTCTTATCTAAGGTTTGGGGTCCTCTTCAAAGTTCACAAAGCTGTTGGAAGAATTCATTTCCTGGCAGCTGTAGAACTCCTGGTGGCTTGCTTCTTTAAGGCCAGCAGGGAGAATCTCTTACCTCTAGATCTTCTAACAAAGGGTTCAACTGATTAGGTAAAGTCCACCCAGGATAACCTCCTAGGTGATTAACTTAAAGTCAATTGATTAGGAGCTTTCTTGACATTTGAAAAATCCCTTCACCTTTGCTGTATAATGTAACCTAATCATAGGAATAAGATTCCATAGGGAGGGGATTATAAAGGGGCTTCGATTATTGGGGGACATCTTAGAATTCTGCCTATCACAAACTAAAACTAAAAAGAGATCAATAATAGAAGAGTTTCATGCCACCCTATAGATTTGATGGGAATTAAAAAAAATACTTTTACCATTAAATTTCTACTGCAAGATAAGAGCTCTCCACCCAAAACTAGTGAAATCAGCCAGGAGTGAAAAGGGGAGGATGCATGTAGGTGATCCAGGCAGATAGAAAATAGAACTGAGTAGACTACCTTTTCTCCCTGGAAGTCAATACTAAAGCAATGCTCTAGGTTACTTAATTGGAGAATCACCATCCCTGCATTTTCTGAATCTCCTATTATGTTTTCAGATACCAGACAACTGAGCGGATGTTGAAAATAGGTTCGGTTGACTTCTGTAAGAATTTTATACTCATCTCAATAATAGCATTTTGGGACCCAAGCGATTTGGTATTCTTGAAAATTTGTGTTGAGATCTTTACTAAAGCTTTCCCTCATGAAATTAGAATCTGGGCTCTGTTCCCTTTCCCCCGCTTCCACCTTACCAAGCCTCTTGCTAAAGGTACCCCTGGAGACATCTAGAGCAAGACATTTGTCTAGAAGGCCCTGCTGGTCTCCACAACAGATATACAGAATCTCCAGGAAGGTTTGTAGAATGAATGGAAGTTGGGGCAGAAACTCTCAGTACACGTCAATCCAGGGTCAATCAAGGAGCACCAAATAGAGGAATTCTGGAGAACAAAATGAGGAAACAATTCATGATTCAACCATCCCAGAAAGACCAGTGAGCACAGAAAGAGCTTCACAATTTGGGATCATCAATGACCATGGGGAAATGAAGTTGATGAAGATAAAAAATCAGGTTTCACTAGTATCATACAGGCTGGGCTTAGTTTCCTATAGAAGAGATATAGTGGCTTGCATGGGGATAAGTGGGAGTTTTAAAGAAATCCTTGATTATATAATAGTTGGTTTCTAATAGGCACAAAGCAGAAGCTTGAAGGATGTGAAATTGTTTGCATAAAGTGCCCATATTTTCTTCTGCTTCTGTCCTCAAGGACAAATCAGCTAACCAATAAAGCATATACACACATGGGGAGGGACATATACACTCACTCAAACTCAGAAACATTCAGAACATTAAAAAGTGCACAAGAAGGTTGGGTGCAGTGTCTCACACCTGTAATCCCAGCACTTTGGGAGGCCGAGGCGTGTGGATCGGTTGAGTCCAGAAGTTTGAGACCAGCCTGCGCAATATGGCAAAACCCTGTTTCTACAAAAAATACAAAAAATCAACCAGGCGTGGTGGTGCACACCTGCAATCCCAGCTACTGAAGTGGGAGGATAGCTTGAACCCAGGAGGCAGAGGTTGCAGTGAACTGTGATCATGCCACTGCACTCCAGCCTGGGTAACAGAGAGAGACCCCATCTTAAAAAAAAAAAAAAAGAAAAAGAAAAAAAAGAAAAGAAAAGAAAAAGGAGAAAACAGTGCACAAGAAGGATTTTGACAAAAGGCATATGGGGGCCATGGGCCACATTCCCAGGGATTAACTGTAGCCTTAGTTCCCGTGGTGATTATACATTCAACTCAGGGACTGCTTCCTACTCAGTGTAACCTCCATCAAGAGGCAGGAGACAAAAAGGAATAAAGCCGAAGCACTTCAATGACACCAGACTATGTACAAAGGCTGCCAGCACCACAGCCAGACACAGGGAGCTACTCAAACTGTCACATTACACATCTCATAGCACACTAATCACTCCCTCATCACCAGCAACCATTGTAGATAAGGCTGGATCAGAAACGCTTTATGAAACATGCAAAGATTTTTTTGCTCCAATTCATCTTCAGTTTCCTTTATTATGCTATTAATTATGGCCAGATGAACAATTCTGAGATTCTCTTCCTATTTCAATTTGTGTAAGAGCTCTGGTGATGTGTGTGTGTGTACTTGAATGCATGACTATAATACATAATTGTCAACAGATAGAAAGCAGTATTCTTCTCCCACTGTCCCCTTCCCATAAAAAGAAAAAGGTTTTGGAAATGTAACCTCATTTTTTTTAATTAAACTTTTTATTTTGAGATAATTGTAGGTCCACCTGTAGCTGTAAGAAATAATACAGAGAGATCCCATATACTTTTCATCCAGTTTGCCCCAACAATAACATCTTGCATGAATAGAAACAATATCACAACCAGGAAATTGACGTCGATACGATACACTGAACTGATTCATATTTTACCAGTTTTATGTGCGTTCATTTGTGTGTATTTAATGCTATGCAATTTTACATGTGTACATTCGTGTAACTAGCAGCACAGTTGAAATAGAGAATGGTCCCATTGCTTCAAGAACCTCTCATGCCACGCTTTCATAGCCATACTCATCTCCCTCTTGTCCCTGCGCTTCTCCCCTCCCCAGTCCAACCCTTGGGGAATCACGAGTCTATTCTCCATCTCTATAATTCTGTCATTTCAGGAATGTTATATAAATGGAATCATATAGCATATAACCTTTTGGTATTGTCATAATTCCCTTGAGGCCCATTCAAGTTGTTGCATTTATCAGTAGTTCATTCCTTTTGAGAGCTGAGTAGTATTCCGTGGTACGAATGTACCACAGTGTGTTTAACCATTCACCTGTTGAAGGACATTTGCATTATTTCCAATTATTGGCTATCATGAGTAAAGCTGCTATGAATATATGTGTAGATGTTTTTGTGTAAACTTCAGTTTTCATCTTTCTGGGATAAATGCCCAGGAGTTCAATTACTGGGTTGTATAATAAGTGGCTGTACTACTCTGGAGTTTTATATTCCCACTAGTAATGTATGAGTGATCTTGTTTTTCTATATCCTTGCCAGCATGTGGTGTTATTGCTGTTTTTCACTTGAGCCATTCTGCTACATGTGTAGCGATAGCTCATCATTTTAATTTGCATTTTGTAATGATTGATGATATTGGACATCTTTTCATGTGCTTATCTGCCATCTGTATTTCTCCTTCAGTGAAATGTCTGTTCATGTCTTTTGCCCATTTTTTTTCACTGTTTTTGAGAGGGTTTTTTTGCATAATTCAGACACAGGTCCTTTGCTGAATATGTGGTTTGCAAATATTTTCTCCCAGTCTGTAGCTTGTCTTTTCATCCTCTTAACAGCATCTTTTTTAGAGCAAAAGCTTTTAATCTTGTTTTTTTTGTTTGTTTGTTTGTTTTGAGATGGAGTTTTCCTCTGTCACCAGGTTGGAGTGCAGTGGCACGATCTCAGCTAACTGCAACCTCTGCCTCTCAGGTTCAAGCGATTCTTTTGCCTCAGCCTCTCAATACCTGGGACTACAGGTGCGTGCCACCATGCCCAGCTAATTTTTGTATTTTTAGTAGAGAAGGGGTTTCACCATGTTGGCCAGGATGGTCTCGATCTCTTGATCTCAGGTGATCTGCCTGTCTTGGCCTCCCAAAGTGTTGGGATTACAGGCGTGAGCCACCGCGCCTGGCTTTAATCTTGTTTTAAGCATTATATTTTTGATATCAGGTCTAAAAACTCCTTGTCTATTCCTATATCCCAAATATTTTATCCTACGTGTTTTTCTAAAAGTTTTATAGTTTTATGTCACATATTTGCATCCATGATTTATTTTGAGTTAATTTTTGTATAAAGTGTGAGGTTTAGGTTCATTGGGAGTTGGGGAGCGGGGAGCCGTGGATATGAACATCTAATTGTTCCAGCAGCATTTGTTGAAATGCTATTCTTCATCTATTGAATTGCCTCTGCACGTTTGCTAAAAATTAGTAGGGCATGTTTGCGTAGGCCTACTTGTGTCTTGAGATAATCACAAAAAAAGTAGAGGAAAATGACAAAGCTTTAAAAAGTTAGAGAGATGCTAATAAATATGAAGGACAGATAAAGTCATTCAGCATAAGGAGAGCTGCAGTCCTTGAAAAGATAACATACTGAATGGAATGCCAGAATATGTATTCAAAGAGACTTTCTCTAAAATGAAGGAAGAAGTGAAACTGCAGAATGAAAACATATTATGTTTTTGAAAATTTTGATAAAAATCACAACACAAAAATTACTCAACATTAAGATATAGCCTAGTTAAGTTACTGAACTTCAAGAATAATTTTTTAGGTTTTTAGGCAGATAAAACAGGTCACATTTAAGGGTGGTAAAAAAAGAAAAAATCTGGCTAGCCTCAGACTTCTCCAAAACATTTAACTCAAGAGCATAATGGAGTAATGTTTATAAAATTCTGAGAAAATGAAACTGTGACCCAACAATATTAAATCCAGACAAAAATGTCATTCAAGTATAAAGATAAAAGCAGACATCCTCAAACATGAAAGAATTAAAGGAATATGACATCCATGATTAAAATTTCCAAACAACAAAAATAGCAATGACTCTGCCAGTAAAATCCAGTCAGTGAAGAAATCATTTAAAATAGGCCAGGTGCAGTGGCTCACGCCTGTAATCCCAGCACTTTGGGAGGCTGAGGCGGGAGGATCACTTGAGGTCAGGAGTTCAAGACCAGCCTGGCCAAACTGGTGAAACCCCGTTTCTACTAAAAGTACAAGAAGTAGCCGGGTGTGGTGGTGGGCACCTGTAATCCCAGCTACTTGGGAGGCTGAGGCAAGGGAATTGCTAGAACCCCGGAGGCGGAGGTTGCAGTGAGCTGAGATTGCACCATTGCACTCCAGCCTGGGCAACAAGAGAGAAACTCCGTCTCAAAAAAAAAAAAAAGAAAAAAAGTTATGGATACTGTTGTGGGTGTAGGGCTATTTTGGGAGTAGTCAAATTCTTTGATTTCTTGGCTCTACTCTGGTGCACTTAATTTCTGTAGGCTTTATGTTCTAAGATATTGACTGTAAATAATGACTAATAAATTAATACCATGAAGTATATTAGAATTGAATACAAATTCTTGCTAAAACTTCCTAGGTGCTTCCTGTGATTATACCTACATGTTTTTGTATATATGTATGCATGTTTGTATTTATTTTTGGTTAACACACATTTGTTTTAGAAACATGAGAGAATAACCTTGGTCGTCCTTTATTACATTACATCATGAGTCTTGTGGACTGAACCTGCGAAGCATAGCAGCCGGGTAGGTGGAGGGAGATGAGTCTGGAAAGATAAATGGGAGTCAGATCATGAAGGGCCCCACCTGCCATGCTAAGGACCCTTTACTTTATTGTGACCAAGGGCTCCCTGATGGATTCTTCATAATGGGACTGCCGTAACAGTTTCATTTGTAAAAGATCCTATAGGTAGTAATGTGAAAAAACTGACAATGGGCCTGGAGTAGATTGAAGAGGCAGGAAAGGGGTGTATCAATTGAATGTGGAAGATGGAAAAAGAGAGGAGCTTCTGGGTGGTTTGGAGTTTTGGGCAAATGTAGGTATGATTGGCTGTTTGGCATTGCAAATATGGGAAGAGATTCAGGGGACACAGTGAATTCCCTTTTGGACAAGTTGATATTGAGTTTCCAATGGGGTATTCAAGTGTAGTTTCCTAGTAGTTGATGGTTAAGTGGGCTGGAGCTCAAGAGAAAGGCCTGGGTTGGGCAGACAGGTCTTGAAGTGGAGGGAAAAACCCAGAGGGAGAATGTTCAGTAGAAGAGGCTTAGAGTCCTGGCAAACACCAACTTTTAGGGCAAAATGTAGTGTTTCACAGCACAGTCTTTGGCGTTAACCTATTACTAGCAGGGTAACCTGGGGCAAGTTATTTGACTTCAGTGTCTTAATTGCAAAATAAGCACTATACCATCTACCTGAGTTAGAAAAGCATTTGCAATTTTTAGTTCCTTGAGAGATCTGTGGGCTGGGCGCAGTGGCTCACGCCTGTAATCCTAGCACTTTGGGAGGTGGAGGTGGGTGGATTACCTGAGGTTAGGAGTTCAAAACCAGCCTGACCAATATGGTGAAACCCCATCTCTACTAAAAATACAAAGTAGCCAGGCGTGGTGGCACATGCCTGTAATCCCAGCTACCTGGGAGGCTGAGGCAGGAGAATTGCTTGAACCCAGGAGGCAGAGGTTGCAGTGAGCTGAGATTGCACCACTGCACTCCAGCCTGGGCAACAAGAGTGAAACTCCATCTCAAAAACAAAAACAAAAACAAAAAACAGATCTGTGAATAAAGAGGAGTCCAAGAAGGTGCAGAGGGAACTATGAGGAGGTGGAGCTCTAGAATATATTGAGAAAAGAGAATTTCAAAGAAGCCAACAATGTCAAATCCTCCAACAGGACTGTAACATAAGTCTGTAAAGTGTCCAACTTTTAGCAATTAGTGACCTTACCAAGGGCAATTTCTATGGAATGAGATGAGCCATATTGTAGAGGTTCGAAGAGTGGATAGTGGTCAACACGGATACATCGTTTCCTCCCCTCACGGCATCTGTCTCTCCCACTAGACTTTTCCTTTAAAGGCAGTGACTTATGAATATTATTCCACTGTTTTCAATCAATTCCATCCACCAGTGAGATATATTGCATCAGGTTACCTTTCATTCCACCGCATTTGTGCCTTGCACTTAGTAGGCGATCGATAAAATAACTGATGATAAAGGGGCTTCTGCAGACTCCCCAATTCATTTGGTAAAGACCGCTCAGCATCATGGTCGGGCCCTGATTGCTTTCACAACCGCTTCGAGGAGTGTCATTCCCATCACGGCCACAAGGTGGAGCCCACCTCCCTGCTCTGGGACCTCAGGTCGCGACCCCGGAAGCACATCCTTCATCCTCTACCTTCCTTCTAGCAGAAATGGCGGCTGCGGCGGCTCGAGTGGTGTTGTCATCCGCGGCGCGGCGGCGGCTCTGGGGTTTCAGCGAGAGTCTTCTAATCCGAGGCGCTGCGGGACGGGTGAGCTTCCCTCCAGGCCGGTCCTGTCCTCGAGATCTCGCCAGACCCGGCGCAGCGCACCTGAGAGTCGGCGCCACAGATCCGAACAGTGGGTCGGGCAGGGCCTCCTCGACCCGGACCCGCCGGGCGCCAGGCGGCCTGGGGCTGCTGAACTGGCCGGGGGTGACTGGCTTGTGGCCACCCGCCAGGAGACCTGCTAGTGACGTGTGGGATGACCCTGGTTTTCGGCTCCTCCCGCCAGCTACTGAGGAGTGCATGTTTGACCACTAAAAACGTAGTGCTTGCAAATTGGGGAAAACTAAAAAGTGAAATGGGTACCGCTCCAGAGTTCTATTTTTGCCTAAGACTGAACTTCGTCCTCAGCTGGGCTTCCCGCGAACCTGGACATCAATGAAGTAAAATTTTTTATGTATTTGCATTTTTCTCATGAGAGAGCCTCTGACTTTAAGCAAAGGGATGTGAGACTTTTGTATAAGGGCAAAGAAAAACTGCTGAAAGGCGAATAGTTTCTGGCCGAAAAGCCAGTCATTTGCATTTTGAACATCGACCCATCTTCCTATCCTCTCTCTCTTTTTTTTTTTAACCATTTCCAAACCCTGTTGCTTTTCTTGAACAATGAAAACCCGAGTGTCAGTTTTGTCTTGTGTGTAGGTAGTTTTACATAGTTTCCCTCTCTTTTTTTTTTTCCTGCTTGTTTTCTCCATAATGAATATAAAACATTTCTAGGAGAGGTAGTGAAATAAAGTCAATTTCTCTCTGGGTAATGATAATAATTGCTCATCTTCCCTGAGGGAAGGGCATGTTTATAAACACGTTGCTGGCTTTAGGACAGTGGCTGGTGACAGATGTTTCTAGGCCAGGCAGAGATCTCAGTGGAACCAAAATTCAAGAAGAAAGATTCTTTTATAGAGACAGCCTATTTAAAATAGATTTGGTTTTAAAAGCAACATTTAATATCAGATTAGTAATGTGTTTTGCTTTGTCTCTTCCACTTCCTACCCCCAACCAGTCATTATATTTTGGAGAGAACAGATTAAGAAGTACACAGGCTGCTACCCAAGTTGTTCTGAATGTTCCTGAAACAAGAGTAACATGTTTAGAAAGTGGACTCAGAGTAGCTTCGGAAGACTCTGGGCTCTCAACATGCACAGTAAGTGACTCAGGCAACCTTCTCTAAGTGACCCTTCATTTAGCGTAGCAAATTGTTGATTTTAATCTTTAGCTTTTTCGTTGGCTGGTGGTTCAAAAAGGGTGACAGTTATTTTGCCTTGACAGATTTCCATGAGTTGTGAACCTTTTCTTCCAGTGGTACTTAGTTACAGGGTGCATATGTATCCTGTTGCATTGTCTGCATCTTGTTCTTGTAGCTTATTATTGATTATTTATTTTCAGTAGTATTGATAATAATGAAAGAAATATGTTTGCAGGGCTACTCTGCCAAGTGTTTTTACTGATGTCTTATTTGATAAAAAGCAATTGTTTGTAGTGGGCATCCTCACACCTGTTTTATAGTTAAGGAAGTGAGAGAAGTTAAATGGTTTTGTTCAGGTAACTCAGCTAATACATGACAGAGCCAGGATTTCAACCGAAGTTTTCTGACAGTCTCTGATGTTCTTGATACTACAGTTATTAATTGGCTGGATTAATGAGTTGGGCAAAGAATCCTCATTGAAGGTGGCAGGTAGATACTTGTAGCACCCAGCAGTATCCTGATCGAAATTTTTAAATCTCATAGTTCACAGGAATGAACTATCAATTCACTCAGGTCAAGAAAATCTTAGTGTTAAGACCAGAAAGCATTTGTCAGAAAAAGGAAGGAGACTGTTCCCCCCAACCTCAAATAAATAAAATGAATTTATTTAATTGTTCTTTGATTGCATTAAGGTTGGACTCTGGATTGATGCTGGAAGTAGATACGAAAATGAGAAGAACAATGGAACAGCACACTTTCTGGAGCATATGGCTTTCAAGGCAAGTTGTAAGACTTTACAAAAATGCACTCTCTTTAAGAGATAATAAGCACAAAGTCTCATTCTTTAGAGGCAGGGAGAGCTCTTTCAGTAGTATAACATGTTTTATGTTTATTTTTCCAGGACAGTATCTAAAATAAGTAGTGATAATTGCTTTGTAAAGCTGAAATGAAAACTTTCTCTTGGGATGCAGGAGTTATCTGAACGTATACCATTTCTGAAGCCTGATGTACCTTATTTTTTTTTATTTAATTTTTTTTGAGATAGGATCTGGCTCTGTTGCCTAGGCTGGAGTGCGGTGACGCAATCTGCTTACTGCAACCTCCGCCTCCTAGGCTCAAGCCATCCTCCCACATTTACTTCTGGAGTAGCTGGGAGTATCTATATATATATATATGTTTGTTTGTTTTTTCATAGAGATAGGGTTTTGCCATGTTGGCCTCGATCTCTTGGGCTCAATCTGCCTGCCTCAGCTTCTCAAAGTGCTGGGGTTACAGGTGTGAGCCATCGTACCATACCTGATGTACTTTAGAAACCAAATTTGACCCTGCATGAAACTAACTTATGTCCTCCATATTCATTATCTGAAGTAGAATAGATGAAGTATAAAGGGAGTTTGCATAATTTGTTTTTCCTCTTTTATTTCAAGGGCACCAAGAAGAGATCCCAGTTAGATCTGGAACTTGAGATTGAAAATATGGGTGCTCATCTCAATGCCTATACCTCCAGAGAGCAGACTGTATACTATGCCAAAGCATTCTCTAAAGACTTGCCAAGAGGTACTGTTATTATTTATACAGCAGATAATGTAATTTTCATGAGAATCAGGAATTATTTAGTACTATTTTTATTATGTCTGTTGTAAAAGAGTAAGTTCCAGAAATGTGAAAAAGCGAAACTGAATTCTGGGTGAGGGTACAGCTGATCTTATTTTTTTTCTAAATATGACAAATAGTAAATTATGGATGATGGTTTTTCTTAATATGTAGCAATAAAATAGAGATTATTTGGTGGGAATAAAATATTTTGTCAGGACAGCAGTTTGTTAGTTACCATGTTTGTAGACTGTTTTGACTCTCTTAAAAGTTATTACACAAAACATTTCCCAGTGGAAGAATTAACAACAAAATTTAGCAGTTTTAGAGCTAATTGGTAAACTCATTATTTTTGTTTAGAGAGATAGTCTCGCTCTGTCACCTAGGCTGGAGTGCAGTGGTGTGATCTCGGCTCGCTGCAACCTCTGCCTCCTGGGTTCAAGTGATTCTCCTGCCTCAGCCTCCTGAGTAGCTGGGATTATAGGCTCCTGCCACCATAGCTGGCTAGTTTTTATATTTTTAGTAGAGATGGGTTCTACCATGTTGGCCAGGCTGGACTTAAACTCCTGACCTCAAGTGACCCACCTGCCTCGGCCTCCCAAAGTGCTGGGATTATAGGCGTGAGCCACTGTGCACGGCCATTAGTGAAATTTTTAACCTTTAAGGTCCTTCTGTAGTTGTAGTTACTACTTTGCAATTTTGGATTCCTAATAGACTTTCATTAATAATGTTTAAATGGCACTTAACACAAGTACTTTTGTGTATATATTATCCATTTGATGTGCATAGGTGTTTCCACCTTGCAGTTGTGGAAATTGAAGCTCAGACTCTGACTTGCCCAGGATTGCATAGCTATCAGGTGGCTTACTGTGGACTCAAGTGCGTGTCTTCTTACCAGATTCATTTGCTTTGTCAAAACAATAAAATAAGAAACCTATCACTTGTAAATAACTAAAATACTTAATATGATACCCTAACTTTTGCATTAAAACAAAAATGACAGCAACGATGGAGGGTATGTTGGTTTGAATAACAAAACCAATAGAGACAGTTTTTGTCCCAGGACTAATTAGGGACCAAGAACATATGGCTAGGCCAAGGTTCTTTAAAGAGTTGTTCATTCCAGCCTAGTTCCTTCCTTTATTTACACAGAACAACAGGGAAGGCAAAAAGGAGAAACAGAAAAAGGAAGGATGAAATTAAACGACTTTTTTCCCCCTTTTCTCCTGGCATCTAGCTGGGAACGACAGAGCTTCTGCTAGTGGGAGTGGAAAAACAGGGGCTTTCCCTGAGGAATGCAAAATGGAAGTGCTCTCTGAAGCAGCTCCAACTTTGGGGATTTACTTGGGGTTTTTCACCCTTCACCCTGGGTGTGAAGCCTGGTATATGAAGTAATAATTAGATGTTTAGACTAATGGTCTCCAGGTTTTTATGATCACTTATTCTTTTTTTTTAATTTTTATTTTTTATTATTATACTTTAAGTTCTAGGGTACATGTGTACAACGTGCAGGTTTGTTACATATGTATTCATGTGCCGTGTTGGTGTGCTGCACCCGTTAACTCGTCATTTACATTAGGTATATCTCCTAACGCTATCCCTCCCTGCTCCCACCACCCCACGACAGGCTCCGGTGTGTGATGTTCCCACCTCGTGTCCAAGTGTTCTCATTGTTCAATTCCCACCTATAAGTGAGAACATGCGGTGTTTGGTTTTTTGTCCTTGTGATAGTTTGCTCAGAATGATGGTTTCCAGCTTCATCCATGTCCCTACAAAGGACATGAACTCATCCTTTTTTATGGATGCATAGTATTCCATGGTGTATATGTGCCACATTTTCTTAATCCAGTCTATCATTGATGGACATTTGGGTTGGTTCCAAGTCTTTGCTATTGTGAATAGTGCTGCAGTAAACATACGTGTGCATGATGATCACTTACTCTTATTGGTAAGAAAGTTGATCATATATCCTTAATGTATGTATACTTGTAAGTTAAATACATGTGCTACTATACTAACATATATTAAATACACATTTAAAAAAAAGATTCAGATTAAAACAGACTGGGAAATAGGAGCCCCCCTCCCTGCCTTTGGAAACTACCAGGGTAGACCACCAATCCCACATAAAGGAGGATTTTCACACAGGAATTCTTGTCCTTCCATTTGTCTATGGGCTCTTTCTCACCCATTTTACTGGACTCTGTTCTCTTATCTGGACAGATGGGTTTTATTTGGTTTTACAGATAATTTTTTCCTTTTGGTCATGATCTCAGCCACAGCTTACTATAATAGTTTGTTCTGTCATGTTCTTAGTATTTGAACATAATCAGTTCTGAGACAGTGCCCCTTAAAGTGAACTTAATTAAAACAAGCAACAACAGTTTGTAGTAGAGTAAAAAATGAAACCTAAACCAGACACGGTAGTACATGCCTTTAGTCTTGGCTACTTGGAGGAAGCTGAGGCAGGAGGATTGTTTGAGCCCAGGAATTTTGAGTCCAGTCTGGGCAGCATAATGAGACCTTGTCTCTTAGGGGAAAAAAAAGAAACTTAAGATTGTAAGTTTATTTTATAACATTAATCGTATTAATGAAATTTAGATTTATGATTGCAACTATGTACTAATTCTTCAAGAATGAAGCACAGTTTTTTTTTTGGAGAGGTATGCGCTTTTTCTGATAAAATTGCTTAATGGCCTAATATAACATGTTCCACTTCACTTTTGGCTTTTTGCAAATTAGGGTTTGAGAACACACAATTCTGTGATTCATTTGGGGCATATTTTAGATTGTAAGGATTCTTTTCTCTGTTGCCCAGGCGAGAGTGCAGTGGTGCAATCGCAGCTCACTGCAATCTTTGCCTCCCGAGCTCCACCCATCCTCCCATCTCAGCCTCCCGAGTAGCAGGGACTACGGGCACATGCCACCACACGAAGCTAATTTTTGTATTTTTTGTAGAGACAGGATTTTGGCATGTTCCCCAGGTTGGTCTGGAACTCCTGGGCTGAAGCCCATATTAGCCTCCCAAAGTGCTGGGATTATATAGGTGTGAGCCACGGTGCCTGACCAGTTCTTTGCTTCTTAACATAGCACTGTCATTGCTGTGGGAACTTGCATAGTAAATACTTGGGTGATACAAACCCTCTGTACATTGCTAGCTAGGTATTTTCAGACTAATATATATAACTTTGTAATTTTCATATAGAACAATCTATATTAATATGCAAATTTCCATAGCATTTTTTAAGTAGGTAGAGTCATTACAAGGTGATGGCAAATTTATACTTTTTCCCCAAGGAAAAAATCTTTTGTACTATAGGGGTTTATATGTTAAATTTTAATTTTGTCCTGTTAAGTATATCTGATGTTTTTCTCCTAGGCTAATCATTTAGTATTGAGTGATGGGTCAGTGTCATGATTTCTGATTTTGGTTTAATAGATTTTAATAGTGAAAGTTAAGATTGCTGGCACGTTTTCTTATATTTTATTTTCAATTAGCTGTAGAAATTCTTGCTGATATAATACAAAACAGCACATTGGGAGAAGCAGAGATTGAACGTGAGCGTGGAGTAATCCTTAGAGAGATGCAGGAAGTTGAAACCAATTTACAAGAAGTTGTTTTTGATTATCTTCATGCCACAGCTTATCAAAATACTGCACTTGGACGGACAATTTTGGGACCAACTGAAAATATCAAGTAGGTATAACAGAATTTCTTGGTGTATAAGGGAATTTATGAATGTTGAAAATAAACATTTACAAATTTTCAAAAAGTATGTTTCAGAAAGTAATTTTCCCCCTGGTAATCTAAGTGAAACTGTAGTTAGCTACATTTTAGTCCCACCTAGCTCCCAAGCACGTGAGTTCATAGGTACTTCGGGAATAAACCAGTAATGGTGTATTTTTTCTTTGATGTAAAAAAGGTGAAGTTCTTTGATGTGTTGCCTGTATCCTATTTCTGACTGCATTTTAGGATACAGTTATGGTCCAATTTGATTTCAGGTATATTATGTGAAGATCTGTTTTTTTTTTGGTTTCCTTTAAAAATTGTTTTACTTCATTTACAGATCTATAAGTCGTAAGGACTTAGTGGATTATATAACCACACATTATAAGGGGCCAAGAATAGTGCTTGCTGCTGCTGGAGGTTAGTCAATTTAAATTTCTACAAATGTTTTAAACACAGTTGTTGGAGTGGTATGCTTATTAGTTTGATCCTGTTGGGAGATACCCTAAGAATTTTCATTTACATAGCAAATAACTGATAGTGTGTAAGGGGAATGTGGAGCACTGGAATCAGAATTTCCCTCTATTTTTTTTAAAGTAGGTTTCATTTAGGCCAGGCATGGTGACTCACACCTGTAATCCCAGCACTTTGGGAGGCCGAGGTGGGCGGATCACGAGGTCAGGAGTTCAAGACCAGCCTGACTAATATGGTGAAACCCCATGTCTACTAAAAATACAAAGTAGCTGGGCGTGGTGACATGCGCCTGTAGTCCCAGCTACTCGGGAGGCTGAGGTAGGAGAATTGCTTGAACCCAGGAGGCGGAGGTTACAGTGAGCCAAGATTGCACCACTGCACTCCAGCGTGGGCGACAGAGTGAGACTGTCTCAAAAAAAAAAAAGAAAAGTAGGTTTTATTTATAGAAAGACTTAATGAACTGTTCAATACATAAGCGTACATAGTAGAACGTGCAAGAAAAGGGCAAAGGAGTGAACTGGGAGAGAGTCGGAAGATGGTGTTCTGTACTTTGAGAATTTTTTGAGATTTTAAATTATTTCTTGAGAACCAACTTCGTCCTTGTTCAAGCATGGAACGGGTATGTTCATTCTTTGATTTGTTCAATCATTCATTTAATAGATCTAATTTTTGGGAAGGAGAAGCACATAGGGAGCCATAAGAATGTTGAATGGGAATCCAAACATGCAGGTGACTTCAGAAGGTTTCCTTGAGGTCATGTTTGAAGCCAGTGAATGAAAAAAAAAATTGACAACAGATATTGCCAGATTTCCTGGCAGTCTGAATCTAGACAGCAGTACATTTTAATTGGTTTCCAGTTTTTTATTTTTTTCTTTTTAAAATACATTTATAGAAATAGAGATGGATTCTTAACTATGTTGCCCAGGCTGGTTTCAATCTCCTGAGCTCAAGTTATCCTTCCACCTTGACCTCCCAAAACTTGGGGATTACAGGCGTGACCCACCGCACCTGGTCTCCAGTTTTCATTTCTTTGTATTTTTTAATATTAGAGCAAAGCGAAGTGTTCTTTCGTGTTGTAAATTTTTCTCTTTTTAGAGATCATAATTTAAAAATTCTAGTTGCTCTGGATTGATTTCTGAGCTAAGTACCTGGCGGGTAATGGAGAAGATGAAAACATTAAATATCAAACATGTTATTCATTGTAGCTACCTTCATTGTACATGGCAGGAAGTGCACTCTGAAATTCTCTTGAGTAACATTGTTTCTAAATTGGCTCTTGCAGACTTGGGCTTAAGTGTTTGAAACTGCCTTGGAAATGGGACAAGAGACTTGTTAGATGGGTCCTCAACAACCAAGCTTTCTGGGACCTCTCTGCCATTGTTGGTGGCATGTGGACAAAATGAGTTTTACTTTGGTTCATGGGTTCATTTTGACATAGCTAAAATTGAGATATCTTTAGTTTAATGGCTTATAGATTAATTAGTATTCATTTTAAATACTACATAAGTGATGTGCCTTATAAATGATTGCATCTTAAATTCAATGAAATAGGCCAGTTTTAAGTTTCTGCTGACCTCTGAATTATGTCTTGGCTACCATTTATCTCTTCTAGGCTAATCATCAGGATGTATAGCTTTTATTTGCCAAATAGTTTTTTGTATCCTAGCTTCATTTATTATAAAATTATAATTTAACATTTTAATTGTAAATTAAGTTAAAGAATCTTAATTTGGGTCTCAAGTAAGGGATATAGAGTCTAAGTAATTCCTGAGTTTTTGCATTTGGATACCTATTGATGTATTCAGAAATTTAGATGACACTATTTTGTTCCTGAGTTCTTTTTTTTTTTTTTTTTGAGATGGAGTTTTGCTCTTATTGCCCAGGCTGGAGTACAATGGCATCATCTTGGCTCACCGCAAACTCCGCCTTCCGGATTCAACTGATTGTCTTGCCTTAGCCTCCCGAGTAGCTGGGATTACAGGCATTTGCCATCACACCTGACTAATTTTGTATTTTTAGTAGGGATGGGGTTTCTCCATGTTGATCAGGCTGGTCTACCTCTACCTCTGACCTCAGGTGATCCGCCTGCCTCAGCCTCCGAAAGTGTTGGGATTACAGGCGTGAGCCACCACACCAGGCCCTGTTCCTGAGTTCTGATAGCAGAGCATGGAGAATAAAGTTTATCTGTGTATCCAGCTTTCTTTTATTTATTTAATTTTATTTATTTTAGAGACAGAGTCTTGCTCTGTCACCCAAGTTGGAGTGCAGTGGTGTGATCTCAGCTCACTGCAAACTCCACCTCCTAGATTCAAGCAGTTCTCCTGCCTCAGCCTCCTGAATAGCTGGGATTATTACAGGCGCCTGCTACCATGCCCAGCTAATTTTTGTATTTTTAGTAGAGACAGGGTTTTACCATATTGGCCAGGCTGGTCTTGAACTCCTGATCTCAAGTGACCTGCCCACCTTGACTTCCCAAAGTGCCGGGATTACAGGTGTGAGCCATGGCACCCGGCTTTTAAAATTTATTTTATTGAGACAGAGTCTTGCTATGTTGTCCAGGCTGGTCTTGAACTCCTGAACTCAAATGATCCTCCCACCTCAGCCTCCTAAAGAACTGGGATTATAGGCGTGAGCCACCATGCCCAGCTCCAGCTTTTTAAAAATTAGATAGAGCCCATATTTGTATTTTCCACTAAAAAATTTTTTTTTTGAAAATTGGCATTTTTTGCTAGTTTGGATCCCAGAGGTTTTTATAATTTAATAGAAAATGATTTTGTAAAACGTGGAGTTTTCAAGTTGTCTTATTCTTAGCTGTGAATCCATTGGTCTGTTGATGAAAACTGTCATTTGCTCTACAAAATGAGAAAGCTGTGCAACCTCAAGCTTTGCAACACCAAGGAAATAGGTGTGCTATGTGAGCTTACTCTTAAATAATGGCTTTTAGTGAGTGTAGATAGTTCATGTGTAATGTACATCACATTATACCACCTAGGGTTTATTGTAAACTATATTGCTGCTAGATACATGTGAAAATATTTTCTTTCAATTTAGGTGTTTCCCATGATGAATTGCTTGACTTAGCAAAGTTTCATTTCGGTGACTCTTTATGCACACACAAAGGAGAAATACCAGCTCTGCCTCCCTGCAAATTCACAGGAAGTGAGGTAGGGCAAGCCTTCCAGCTAGTATTTAGCCTTTTGGATTCCTTGTGTTGTATTTACACATAAGTAAACAAAATGTGCATATTTCCAGTAGGAAAAGAATGGAATAATAGGAAAAGGGAAGAGGATGTACTCATTTGCTTACATTCCTTCCTCTTCCGTATTCTTTAACCACCTATTTTTCTTCCTAAGGAAGCAAGGTTTTTTTTGTTTTGTTTTTAAATTTCTCCATTCTAGTCTGAAAGGAAGCAAAGTTTTTAAGAGCAGTTTATAATTTGGTCTTTTTGTGCTTTTTCTTTGGCACTATGCCAATTTACATATTGTAATATCTGGAAGTAATCTTTTAAACCCCGTATTTTGACTTTCACTTCAGGTTTACTCTTGGCTCAGTTTTGCCCACAGTATGTTTTGGGAGGGGGTAGTAACTGTTAGAGCCAGAACTTGCAGGGGATCTACTAGTTATCAACTAGCTTTAAGCCCCACTAGCTGCTTAGTTTGCCATGTTGAGGATGATGCTCAAAGTAGTATCTGGAAAATGCCCTGATATTGGCAGCTGCCTAGAACTGTAGCATTGGCAGTACAAAAATAAACCTGTAACGTCAATATGACATTTCAATAGAAAAGTTCAGATTGAGGCCGGGTGCGGTGGCTTACGCCTGTAATCCCAGCACTTGGAGAGGCTGAGGCGAGTGTGTCACTTGAGGTTAGGAGTTTGAGACCAGCCTCACCAACATGGTGAAACTCCGTCTCTACTAAAAATACAAAAATTAGCTGGGCGTGGTGGTGCATGCCTGTAGTCCCAGCTACTCGGGAGGCTGAGGCAAAATTGCTTGAACATGGGAGGCCGAGGTTGCGGTGAGCCGAGATGGTGCCACTGCACTCCAGGCTGGGCGACAGAGTGAGACTCTGTCTCAAAAAAAAAGAAAGAAAAAGACAAATTCAGATTGACAAACACAAAGGATTGATTTCTACCAGTGAAATGATGCAACCCTTTTGACCAGGTAAACCATGTGGTGCCTGTCTGTAGTAAAATGCTTTGGGAAAAGTAATTTTTCCCTAATTTAGTCTTAATTCTTCTAGATTAAACTCAACAATGTAATGAGGCCTGATAGTTAAAAAATCAAAATAGAGTCCTGGTGTGCATTTTAACTTTGCAGTTAATGGGACTGGTGATTTTTTCCTTGTTAATAAGCATGTTATATAATGTTAATCTTAACTAGAGGTCCTCCTGCTTTATCTTAACTAGATTCGTGTGAGGGATGACAAGATGCCTTTGGCGCACCTTGCAATAGCTGTTGAAGCTGTTGGTTGGGCACATCCAGATACAATCTGTCTCATGGTTGCAAACACGCTGATTGGCAACTGGGATCGCTCTTTTGGGGGAGGAATGGTAAGTGATTTTAAAAGAAATTTTCCATAACAGATGGAAGATTATCATGTTTTCTTAAATATAAGTTCTTTGTAAGAATCCTTTTTTAAAGTGGCAGAATAGAGTCTTGTACTGTGAATTCTGACTTAAAAATATAAACTGATCCTGGATTGCATGTGGGCCAGAAAAAGTTTCTTTTTTTCTTTGCCACAAAGTTTATTAGTGGCAAAATTTGAATAAGGACAGAATTAGCTAGAAGTACTATGTCAATGTTAATATCCTAATTTTAATAGTCAGTAGGCCCTCTATATCTGTGGGTTCCATATCCGTGGATTCAACCAACCATAGGTGGAAAATTTTGGGGAACAAATGGATGGTTGCATCTGTACTAAACATGTATGGACTTTTTTTTTGGTCACTTCCTAAACAATATAGTATAACAACTATTTACATAGCATTTACATGGATTGGGTATTTATCTAGAGATGATTTAAAGTATACAGGAGAATGTGCTTATATGCAAATATTACATATACCATATTACATGAGGGCTCTAGCATCTGTGGATTTTGGTATCCACAGGGATCTGGGAACCAATTCTCCACAGATACTGAGGAACTATACCAAGGTGATGTAAGAACATTAATTTCCTTGTTTTTCACAAGTACATACTAAAGTATTTGGGGCAAGAAGCATCACATCTAAAACTCAGTTGAAAAAACTTGTATAAAGAGAATAAAGCAAACATGGTAAAATAACAGGGAATCTAGATAAATGAAATTCTCTGTACTGTTTTTGCAACTTTTTTGTAAGTTGGAATTATTTCAAAACACATTGTATAGATTTGTCTTTACTCATAGATTTCTCCAAAATACATTTCATCTAAATAATCTTAAGCTTCATATGCAATATAACTTTGAATCTTTAAGCGTATGTAGCCAAGAGTCCTAGAAATTGGGTTGATAATAGCCATCTAGTTTTAGAAGTAGGTATAGCTACTACATTAATTATAAGGACTCATTGCTTTTATAACATGAATTTCTCCAGGGGGTGCACTGGGTAAGTGAGATAATAAACACAATTCTTAGTCATACTGAATTTTAACTCTACTACTGAGATGTTGAATAAAACTAGGAAACAGCCTCTAAGGATATTCACTATTTTCCACACACTCCATTTTTCTTTCTGTATTTTGGACATGTATAATTAAAATTCTCTTGGAATTTTTTTTTCCTTGCAGAATTTATCTAGCAAGCTGGCCCAGCTCACTTGTCATGGCAATCTTTGCCATAGCTTTCAGTCTTTCAACACTTCCTACACAGATACAGGATTATGGGGACTGTATATGGTTTGTGAATCATCCACTGTTGCAGACATGCTACATGTTGTTCAAAAAGAATGGTGAGAAAAATAGCTTTAAGTAATTTAAATTTTGCCTTTAATTCGTTTTAAACTAGTTTTTTATTTATACTTTATGGTGATTTATGGTAATTTTACCTTTTAATTAAGAGACCTAGATAAACAGTAGTTGCCATGTTTTCAAAGGTTGCAGTTGGTTTTTCCTAAGTCTCAAGATGTGAAGCTGATTTATACTATAGAATTTTTTTTTTTTTTTTTTTTTGAGATGAGGTCTTGCTCTGTTGCCCAGGCTGGAGTGTAGTTGTGCCATCTCGGCTCACTGCAGCCTCCGCCTCCCAGGTTCAAGCCATTCTCCCACCTCAGCCTCCCGAATAGCTGGGATTACAGGCGCACCACCATGCCCACGATGCCTGGCTAATTTTTTGTATTTTTTAGTAGAGATGGGGTTTCACCATGTTGACCAGGCTAGTCCTGAACTCCTGACCTCAGGAGATCCACCCTTCTCAGCCTCCCAAAGTGCTGGGATTACAGGCGTGAGCCACCACACCTGGCTGAAAGTTTTAATCTTTCAGAAGCAGGTTAATTCAGAAAGATGATCCTAAAAGTTTAAAAGCCAACTAGAAGTTGTTTGGAAAATATCTCTGAAAGTAATCTGGTTGAAGGGAAAGTAAATCTGAAGTTGCCACTGCTAAAAGAAAACAAAGTATATTGAGTCGATAGATGGGCAGAAAGGCTCGCAGCTTCTTGGAAAACATTTAGCTCTGGTTCCTTTCCTCCACTATTCTTAATTGGTTTACATCTTTCTAAATCTAGTCAACTAGGATGTAATTATTGTTAAAAATTAGATTTAAGTTAGACTCTACTCATTGTTTTCAGAAACCAATGAATGACCCACTGACTTAACCCATAGCATATCAGACTCCAACAGATGAGGACTCATGAAGTCTCAAGATGCTTATAGCATTTCTGAAAATGTGATCAGCCCATTTGTATAAAGCCTTTGTCTGCTAATGTGTAATTAGGCATGTTTATGTATCATTTTTGAGAAATTAATACTGGGGAAAATAATCATTTTAGCTTTTGCTTAGCATTGGAATTAAATTGTAATCACCTGTATGTTTTGTGTAGAAGATGGCATCATCATTCTTAGGTCATTAACTCATGAAATACAACATTTTCCAACTACTACTGTTTTTCCACGTTTTTTAGGATGCGACTCTGTACAAGTGTCACAGAAAGTGAGGTTGCACGAGCCAGAAATCTTCTGAAAACAAACATGTTGTTGCAGCTTGATGGTAAAAATAAAGATATAGGTTCTGTTTTCATATGGTTGATCTGTATTCCAATAGTTAATTTTTCCTTCTCTTTAAACAGGTTCAACTCCAATTTGTGAAGATATTGGTAGGCAAATGTTATGCTATAATAGAAGGATTCCCATCCCTGAGCTTGAAGCAAGAATTGATGTAAGTAGTCCTGAGTTACTATTGGGTCATGTGTAAAAAGATCCTTGTTACAAAAGCTGAGAATATGTATCTTTCATCTTGCTTTAGTTTTAAAAAGTTCCAGGTATAGACTTTGTTTTTACTACAAACAGCTGAATGACAGTGTCTTCCATATTTCAGGCTGTGAATGCTGAGACAATTCGAGAAGTATGTACCAAATACATTTATAATAGGAGTCCAGCTATTGCTGCTGTTGGTAAGCCTGGCTTCTTTTCTTCTATGCAAAAAGTTGGCCAAGTACTTTTAATTAACTCTTCTTTTTAATCCTTAGGTCCCATTAAGCAACTACCAGATTTTAAACAGATACGCAGTAACATGTGTTGGCTTCGTGATTAAAATGCTCCTAATCAAGATTGTTTGAACACATGTATTTATAAAACAGAGCTAGAGAAAAATAAAAATGAACATGTATATACATTTGGAAATTTGAATTAAATACTGTATCATACTTTCAAAGGATAAAAAGACTACCCCTCTGAAGGTTGTTTTGTATTAATGGTCAGTCTTTGTTCTCTGAGAAATTATGTTGGAAGCAGCATACTTTCAAATTATTACCATGAGTATAATTTTAAGAATGAAAATGTTTACAGTATTTTCAGTTTTATTATAAAAATGCACACACAACAAAGATTGTCATTTCTTGGCTCTACTTGCATTCAGCACTTGTTCTTGAGCAGCTTTCTTTGCTTTTACCATCTCGACAAGTTCCTAGGAAGGGAGAAAGGTGTGATTTAAGAAGTTGCGATTTAAAAACAGACATTTTAATCTAGTGTTTGGTGTAAAGAATTCAAGCAACTAAGATAGATAGTACTAAATATACTGATTTCATTATCTGCCAGGGCCTAGAAAGTTTCTAAGGTTGCTCATTTCTTCCTCATAATATTGACCCCATAACTACTGGTTTTGAAATAAGCACTATATTATTAACCACTTAATAGACATAAAATATGAGCTATATCACCCAAGCTACAATTTAAAATACAACAATCTATAAACGCTTAAGTCTGCAACCTTGTATCGTTTCATGCAGTCCTTCTTTGTCCTGCCAGGCACCGCTTCTGCTATTTTTTCCCATCTTTCAGGTGTATTTACTGGGTATGTTTTCAAAGCTTGTTCCAAAAGCTTCTGTTCTTCTGTTGTCCAAGGGGTGAAGTCTGTATATGGACCTGATTAAGAAAAATTTTTATTTGAAAACTGTCTTTGAACATGTTCTCAGACAAGTCTTGTGGTCCACAAGTATTCGCTAAGTGCCCATTTCAATCTGGGATGTGTCATTTTGAAAATAAACTTGTAGAGATGAGAGATACATATAGCCCTCTGAGTGTTAATAAGAGAAAAAATTTCAGATAGCTCACATCCCAGAAAATAAAATCTCAAAGGCTTTTAAAACACAATAGTAAAGATCTACCTTGTACTGTTTATCTCTTAAAAATCAATGTAATACACTCACCAGACTGGTAAAAAGCCATATTTAAATTTATAGTACTGTTGGACTCTTGGACTCAAAAACACAACCACAATTCATTAAGAGTTCTGATAAATCTACTTCCTTACAGAATAGGTAAAAGAGCTTCCTCACAGTTAAACTTTTGCTGGATAGAAACCCTGGAAATCATTCTTGTTTTACACTGAAGGAAACAAACCTAGCAAAATTAAGCCAAGTGCCCAAGGTACCAGTGCTGGAGAGGCAAGCTGAGATTAGATTGTGTTGTAGTGTGGTGTTCTCTTCGTCACATCTGCTAAAATCTTGGGAGCCGATGCTGAACACTTCCAATAACTGCTATTGTGGTTCTTCAACTAAACCTTGTATATTTCAGAAAACATCTAAGATGTGTGTCAGAAACAAATATGTTTCTTAAGGATGTTAAGTATTACACAGTCCACTTGTGTAGGTAAAAGTAGAATGTTAAGTGGTAGAAAGCTGATTTGGTTAAGTTAATGGACTTCTGGCAATTTAGTTATTTCAGACTATGCAGTGACAACACAGACTAATACTACCAGTAGCCTGACTACTACTAGAAACTGCGGCCTGTGAGATCTGTTAAAAGTTAAGCCTAGAAACCAAAGTTCCTTCCCAATTAAAGAAGGAAAAACAAAACAAAACAAAACAAAACCACCACCTATTCAAAACAAAGCAGAGAATTTGTATAATATTTGATGGTACCTAAGGTGCCTAAGAAGCTTTTTTGAAGGTAGCTTTTAAGTTCTAGGAAGTCTTTTGTTGAATTTCCTTGTATTGGTTTAAAGCCCTAAATACCATAGATTTTATTTCCTCTCTTGGAAAAAAGATGGAAGTGACATGGCAGTATTTCCTGCTGTTCTCCAGTTACTTCACAATACCAAAATAAATTAAACGTACTGTTGCAAAACTCCTATGAGAAATCACTATTCAAAAAATGGTGCCAGCTTGCTGTTTAATGGTACAACTGAAGAGGAAGGAGCCTTCCCATTTCCATAAAAGAGGCAAAGGAGTCATACCCACATAGCACTACTGCCAGTCACTCTTGCCTTCACAGGGTCACCTCTCCTCACAGAAAGCAGACTGGACAAATATCAGGGCCCACCTCCCTCCAACATGGAAACAAGTCCCCCTAAGAAAGAGCTGAGACTAGTGTGCTAATACCTGTTGTATTTTGTGGAGATAAAGGTGCAGGAGAATAAACTCCTTTATAAAGAAGTGTCTTTCAGGTGTTCTGAAACCCTGCCTTGTTACTTACCTTTATTAAAAGAACCGAAATAATGCCTAACTCAGCCAAACAAGTCACTGCTGATTTTTGCAATGATTTTCCTCCCCTATATTAACACTGTAAGTCTCATATCTTTAAGTTGAAATTTTGGGATAATAAGCAAGATTAAAGAATATAGGTAAAACTGGGACTCTTAGAAGAAAGAAACAGCTTATGTATAGTCAAGTCTATTAATCCAAAAGCATCTTTCTGCGATTAGTTTAAGAAAGGATTGGTGGCTCACAAAACATGAAGTGAAAGAACTTTTTCCACATAAACTGCTTTCAAACCTTGTCATAGCAAGAAAAAAATTTATATCACATCCTAAACAAAGACACACGTGATCAAGAGTTTCACAAGTATACCCACCCATATAATGGGTGTAACACTCATTTTCTATTCAACACACTAAATTGACTTCATGACCCAGTGATGGGTCATGATTTGTAACATGAAAAGCATTGGTCTAGAGTAATCACAACACCCAAGATAATATCAAACCCTAACATTTTTTTTTTTTTTGAGTCTTACTATGTTTCCTGGTTTTGAACCCTAACAATTTTTAACATTTTATTTTGAAATAATTTTAGAGGAGTAGAAAGAATCCCTGTATACTCTGCCTACATTCCCCAAATGTGAACATTTTCATATTTGCTAATTATTTTTACCTATATGTACAGACATACTTTGAACCATAAGTTACAGACATGATGCCTCTTTATTCCTTAACACTTCTGTGTTTTTCCTTAAACATAAGGACATTTTCTTATATAATTACAGTACATTTCTCAAAATCAAGCAATTATCCCGATATAACACTATTCTTTAGTCCCAATAATATCCTCTAACACTGTTTTGTAAAACCTGGTAAGCAAAACAAACAGCCCCCTTCTCTAATGGCATCTGAAATGGAACAACTGCAATTCTCCATTTTTAATGGTTAGGTGAAGTAAATCTTTGCCCTGGAAATGTTTGCTTACAGCTTCCAGTCTGCTAAACATTTTATTTCCCTATCATTCTGAACATAGACCCTAAGTCTTGTACGTCCAAGCAGCACAGATACATGGCTAGCATTTTCTACGTTTAGAAAAGCAAAATTTACCTTCAAATCGTTCTGAAGGCGTTGCGTTGTCTGCTTGAGGTACCACTCCATGTTCTTTTTTGAACTTATCAAATGCCTTTTTATTTATGTCATCTTTTTGATGAGGGTCTGAGAAATGAAAAAAATTTAATACTTAACAGATCATCATTTAATCTTTCATTAAATTGCATAAGTTATTTTAAAAATAGGTGTTTAAAGTAACAAATGGACTTCTCAAAACTCACCAAGTTTTTGGAGACTCTTTGCTTTGCCAATAACATCTTTGGCAGTTCTTTTGACTCCAGAGGAAGAATGTATGTTCATGTAATTAGCAATAACTTCCCATCTGATAGGATATATTATACAATAATATGAATAGTAGTAAGGAAAAACAAAATGAAACGACAAAAACCATTAGATTTTTACTGCAGAAAGGTTATAGTATGTACAGAATGAGCTCAGATTGGTGGTCTAATTATGCTGCTACTATAAATTCCTGTTGCCTGGACTACGGTTTTTGCTTTTCATGTGTTTAAATCAACGATAATCTTGGTTTTAAGTCCATACATCTTACAGATTTGGTGTACAAATCAACATAAATAAAACCACTTATTTGTGTATACTGCCAGTTTAATACATTTCTTCAGAAGATCAATCATTCTGAAAACAGCCTCGGTTTCATCTATAGAATTAGGGACGCTGGATCTCTAGGGCTTTCTTGCAGTTAAACTCAAGCTCCAGCTTGAGGTGGGAAAAAACAAAGAGCAAGACTGTAAAAGAAAAACTACAGAAAACCTAATCCCTAGAACAAGCCATGACAGAGTAAGCCAACATAAATCAAGACTTGTCTCATGATCTTCAATTTCCTGAGAAACAAGTATTCTGTCATATGTATATGTGCATGTGTACTGATGCAATGGGTAAGACTGACAGCTTCAAAATGCACCTCACTTTTCACACTTTTCTGCTGTGGCACAGAATTTATCTCTGCAAGTTTCTGTGATAACAAGTGCTGCTATTTGGAGTCTGTCTACATTATCTCCAGGCTCCAGTGTGAGTTGAAGAAAAGTTTCATTAAAACCAGTACCTTGAATTTGTTCCAGCAGGGAACAGATTCACAGCTTTAATTAGTAATTGTAGATCATCTTCTGACCAATTTTTACTTCCATTTCCACCTCCACCAGTTGATTTCTCTGTGTTCTTAGATGCTTGTCGCATACGAGCCTCAGCTTCCTCTTTCTCTTTTCTGATTTGCTCATTTATTTCTTCTATCTGCACAAATATCATAAGTCAGGGACTTAGAAGTATACTGTATTGCTATTCTACACTCTCTTCCTGGCTAGGGCTTTGTGGTCCTCAACTCTCAATGTCATTCTCACTCTGACCCCATACTCCTCTCAGGCCAACCCAAAAAGAAGCACCAGCTTTTCACTCTGGCTTCCAGTCTGCATAGGTCTGCCTGAGGGACCAAGAACTGCCCACAGCCTGCCTGATTTTCCCAGTACTCATGTCATGTGACTTCCATTAGCCTTGGACACTAATTGACAAGTCTGTGGGTCACTGAGTTATTCATCCACAAGGCCATTTCAAACCTCTCTTCAAACTCATATTCACCCTTTCTGCAGACAATCTCATTTATTCTCTACCAAAAGGTGAAGGCATAGCAAAATGGCCTCTTTTATTTTGAAGCTCTACCATTTACATTGTTCCTTCTAGACTACCTTCAAACATGCACAAGTAAAAAAAGAACCTTTATTTGCCCTTGTTGCTTCTGTCAGCTGCTATCTTAAGAGTCAGCTTTGGCTCATTTCTCCCCTTCAATCCCTTAGAACCAGTAAAGTCCCAATAATGCTAACCTTGAAAAATTTTTTTGATTCCCATCATCACATTCATAGTGCAGGTTCTTTTTCTTTCTTTCTTACTTTTGAGGCAGAGTCTCACTCTGTCGCCCAGGCTGGAGTGCAGTGGTGTGATTTCTGCTTACTGCAACCTCCGCCTCCTAGGTTGAAGTGATTCTCCTGCCTCAGCCTCCCAAGTAGCTGGGATTACAGATGCCTGCCACCATGCCCAGCTAATTTTTGTATTTTTAGCAGAGATGGGGTTTCATCATGTTGGCCAGGCTAGTCTCAAACTCCTGACCTCAGGGGATCTGTCTGCCTTGGCCTCCCAAAGTGCTCGGATTATAGGCATGAGCCACCACGCTCATAGTGCAGATTCTTAAATAAATAAGATTCTTGTAACTAGTTACATCTATCTGATGCACCTTATCCACAAACGTCAGATTAGTAGTACAATGTTGAACCTTCTGTTAATCAAAGATTTGCAGTAATGGAAACTAGTCAACAAGGTATTAAAAACCTGATCATTGGTTCTGCTTTTCCTAACTGATTTTGTTTCCCACTCCATTTCCCCATAACATTTTTTTTTTGTCTGTTTTTTTTGAGACAAAGTCTCGCTCTGTTGCCCAGGTTGGAGTGCACCGACATGATCATAGCTCACTGCAGCTGTGACCTCCCAGGCTCAGGTAATCCTCTAACCTCAGCCTCCTGAGAAGTTGGGACTACAGGTACACGACACCATGCCAGTTAATTTTTGTATTTTCGGTAGAGATTTTGTTTATGTTGCCCAGGCTGAACCATACTTTATACTTCTACTTCTATTTTATAGTTTGTGGTATTCTTCTGACCTTCATTTTAACTCTGTCCTTCCTTTCAGGCTGGTTCAAACTACACTGAGCCTTCCCTGGTCACTAAAACTTGTGGCCCTTCCTATCCTACACCTCATTTACTATGGGCTCTCCATCTTTTGGTCCTTAAGGTTCTTCTCAGGTTCTTCTCAGCATGTCCTTTGTGGTGCAACAGCATTAGGCATTTCTCCAAAAGAACCTAGGCATAGTGCTATATATAGTAGGTACTAATACTTGTTGAATTGAATTGAATTTCTGGGCCTGTTTTCTTATCTGTAAAATAAAAGGTATAGACTAGACAGAACAAAGATCTCTTTTGGTTCTAACTGTTATTACCCTATGAAAATACTCAAGGAATAATCAAAACAATTATTTTTTTCTAATATGATTTTGCAAAAGCTATGCTTGTGATAGATACCACAAATCAAACACTAAGTATGGTAAAAACCATAAACATCTAATCCAACTTAAATCAACAACAGCACCTTACTACATAAACAAAATGCAGACTGGGCATGGTGGCTCATGCCTATAATCCTTTGGGAGGCCAATGCGGACGGATCACTTGAGGTAAGGAGTTTGAGACCAGCCTGGCCAACACAGCGAAACCCTGTCTCTAGTAAAAATACAAAAATCAGCCGGGCATGGTGGCACACACCTGTAATCCCACCCGCACTCCAGCCTGGGTGACAGAGAGAGACTCCATCTCAAAAACAAAAACAAAAACAGGCTGGGCGTGGTGGTTCACACCTATAATCCCAGCACTTTGAGAAGCCTACATGGGCAGATCATGAGGTCAAGAATTCAAGACCAGCCTGACCAACATGGTGAAACCCTGTCTCTACCAAAAATACAAAAATTAGCCAGGTGTGGTGTTGTGCGCCTATAATCCCAGTTACTCAGGAGGCTGAGGCAGGAGAATCACTTGAACCCGGGAGGCGGAGGTTGTAGTGAGCCAAGATCGTGCCACTGCACTCCAGCCTGGGCAACAGAGCAAGACTCTGTCTCAAAACAAAAAACCAAAAAACCGAACACATAAAACAACAACAACAAAACAGTGGGAAACATAAAGAGAAATCAGATACTCCCTGCACTTGGTGACTTATATATTAGGTGAAGAAACAGGTCAAAGCAGAATTAAATGCTACATATAGGTAGGAGTGATGTGTTCCTCTATTACCTGTTTTTCCAAAGCAGCCTTTCCTACTTCTTTTGTGCATGATGTGAGTGTTTCATTCAAGCACTGTAAGCTAAAGAAAAAAAAAGAAGAAATGAAACTTTATCCTAAGCTCAAGTGAAGACTTCAATAGCAGTTCCATAGGTATACCTTGCCAGTTCAAGCCGATCACAAAGTTTTTCCACTTCTTCCATCATTTTAACCCGCTCTGCCTCATTATCAGAAAAATGATTCCAGGTCTAAAAGCACAAACACAAAAATAGTATCTACACTCAAAAATACATCCATCAACATAATTACAAAGCTGTAATCCCAGCTACTCGGGAGGCTGAGGCAGGAGAATCGCTTGAACCTGGAGGCGGAAATTGCAGCAAACTGAGATCACGCCACTGCACTCCAGCCTGGACAACAGAGCAAGACTCCATCTCAAAAAAACAGACAATGACAACTGAACAGGTATAATTTTATCTCAGTGTAAATGTTTTTAACTTTTTCTTTTCTTTGAGACGGAGTCTCACTGTCGCCCAGGCTGGAGTCCAGTGGCACGAAATCGGCTCACTGCAACCTCCACCTCCCGGGTTCAAGCTATTCTTCTGCCTCAGTCTCCTGAGTAGCTGGAATTACAGGCGCCTGCCACCACACCTGGCTAATTTTTTCTATATTTAGTAGAGACGGGGTTTCACCATTTTGGCCAGGCTGGTCTTGAACTCCTGACCTTGTGATCCACCCGCCTCAGCCTCCCAAAGTGCTGGTTACAGGTGTGAGCCACCGCGCCCGGCTGTTTTTAACTTTTTCTAAATTTCAGGTGTACATATTTCAGTTTTCAACCCTGATAGTTTTTTTCTAAACATAATCATCTTACCATTATCAAACCAAAAAACAAGTTAATATTCTAAAACTGTCCCAGCACTTTGGGAGGCCGAGGCAGGCGGATCGTGAGGTCAGGAGATCGAGACCATCCTGGCTAACACAGTGAAACCCCGTCTCTACTAAAAATCCAAAAAATTAGCCGGGCGTGGTCCCAGCTACTCGGGAGGCTGAGGCAGGAGCATGGCGTGAACCCAGGAGGCGGAGCTTGCAGTGAGCGGAGATTGCGCCACTGTACTCCAGCCTGGGCGACAGAGCAAGACTCTGTCACAAAATATATATATATACACATATATATATATATATATATATTCTGAAACTGTGTCTATATTCATATCTTCAGTTATCTCAGCATGTCTTTTTTTTTTTTTTTTTTTTGAGATGGAGACTCTGTCTTGTTTAGTTACATTTGCATAGTAAAGAAAAGAAATACATTTATGCTTGGCCAGGTGCAGTGGCTCATGCCTATAATCCTAGCACTTTGGGAGTCCAAGGCAGGGGGATCACTTGAGGCCAGGAGTTTGAGACCAGCCTGGCCAACATGGTGAAACCCCGTCTCTACTAAAAATACAAAAATTAGCTGGGTGTGGTGGTATGCACCTGTAATCCCAGCTACTTGGGTGGCCAAGGCATGAGAATGGCTTGAACTTGGGAGGTGAAGGTTGCAGTGAGCCGAGATGGCGCCACTGCACTCCAGCCTGAGTGACTGAGACCCTGCCTCAACAACAACAATAACAAAAACTTAATTAGAAAAAGTTTTTTTGGCTGGGCACAGGTGGCTCATGCCTGTAATCCCAACACTTTGGAAGGCTGAGATGGGTGGATCATGAGGTCAGGAGTTCAAGACCAGCCTGGCCAACACAGTGAAACTCTGTCTCAACTAAAAATACAAAAAATTAGCCAGGCGTGGTGGCAGGCACCTGTAATCCCATCTACTCAGGAGGCTGAGGCAGGAGAGTTGCTTGAACCCAGGAGGCGGGGGTTGCAGTGAGCCAAAATCGTGCCATTGCACTCCAGACCAGGTGACAGTGCGAGACTCCATCTCAAATAAATAAATAAATAAAAATAATTTTTTTTTTTCAAGAAATATTTTGGCTGGGTGCAGTGGCTCATGCCTGTAGTCCCAGCACTTTGGGAGGCCAAGGCGGGGAGATCACTTGAGGTCAGGAGTACAAGACCAGCTTTGCCAACATGGCGAAACCCTGTCTCTACTAAAAATACAAAAAATTAGCCAGGCGTGGTGGCACACGCCTGTAATCCCAGCTACTCGGGAGGCTGAGGCAGGAGAATCGCTCGAACCCGGAGGCGGAAATTGCGGTGAACTGAGATCGCGCCACTGCACTCCAGCCTGGGCGACAGAGCGAGACCCCATCTAAAAAACAAACAAACAAAAAGAAGTATTTTTGCTTAATAAGCAACTTGATTTACTTGTGCCTAGTGTTTGTTCAGTCTGATATACCTTGCATGAGTTTCGAAGTTTTTGCCTTTCCTTCTTAATGGCTTTTTTCTGGATATCTTTTTCCTTCTTTGCCAGCAATGCTTGCTGTCTGACTTCCTCCTCTTCTTTCTCCTTAGCTAACCGAGCAGCTTCTAATTCAGCTTGTCTTTGCTTTAAAAAAAGGGAGTAAAATCATTTTAATAGGTACAGTAAAATTCCTAAATGTTTTATAATTTTAAAAATTTAAACTTTTAATAAATTATATTAGGAAAAAAGGCAACATAAACTTATTGAAAACTGAAGGATGAACTCGGAAAGACAGCTGGTAAAGATCTATAAACATTTATTAGAAAATGTAAAATTGACATATTAGAAATAAGCATAATATTAAAGGAACTTATGACACAATTTTTTGCTCAATAAAAACGTGCTGGTAAGGAAGATCTCTCAATTATACCAACTGGTCATGATTCATTCACAGTAGCACCCAATTCTCTGCTTTCGAATTATAGTTTTTTTTAAAAAAAGATGTGAAGATTAAAGTGAAGATTAAAGATTTCATAAACATTTAAAGTCCACCTTCATTAAATGTTGTCTTACTTTTTCTTTAGCTTCTTGCTCCTTCCGTTTAGCTTCTGCTTTTGCTTTCTTTTCTGCTTCTTTCTTGGCTTTTTCTTCTTCCTTGAACTTTTTTATCCTTGGATCACAGCTGTATGCATTGTCTAGCAAAAGAAAAAGTTAATCTCATTTTGAATTTCTAACATTTAGGGGACTTAAATCAATTCTACTTACCAACTAATGTTCTTATTCTGTTCATTTCTTCTTTTTTTCTTTGTGCTCTTGTTGCTCTGTTCTGCTTTTCAATCCATCTCCTCTCATCACGACTATAAAATAGAAAATATTGGAAACAAACTACTGCTTATAGATGCTATGACTGGAAAATGCAATATTTTATAAAATATTTATATGTACATAACATCCTAGAGGTTAAAATGCTGTGTCATTACTAACATTAAACAATGATTTTTTTTTTTTTGAGACAGACTTTTGCTCTTGTCGCCCAGGCTGGAGTGCAATGGCGTGATTTTGGCTCATTGCAACCTCTGCCTCCCAGGTTCAAGTGAGTCTCCTGCCTCAGCCTCCGGAGTAGCTGGAATTACAGGTGCCTGTCACCATGCCTGGCTACTTTTTCTATTTTTAGTAGAGACAGGGTTTCGCCATGTTGGCCAGGCTGGTCTCGCACTCCTGACCTCAGGTGATCTGCCCGCCTCAGCCTCCCAAAGTGCTAGGATTACAGGAATGAGCCAGCACGCCCGGCCTAAACAGTGGTTCTATTTAATATTAATTTTGGTTATTTTTTGCACATTCATGTCAAAAGCATTTCTGCACACATACAAAAAAAAAATTAATAAAACCTAGGTTAAGCAACCAGAAGAAAAAGATTTTGCTGAACTGAGCTATCTGACATTATATTCCTTGGCAATTTCTTAAGCATATCCTAACCAATTATTGATCTGGGCCCACCTAGTTTAACTTGTGAGAAAGGATTTCAAAATATTAAAAAATTGTTTAAAAAAGATGTACAAAGAGAAAATATGAAAGAAAATTTACGTGACAATTTTTACATCATCACAAATACCAGAGAACCAAATAAATACCTTCCATTATTAATGATTTGCATACATACCATTCTGCTTTTTCTTTTTCTTCTTCATCTAAATAAGAAAATTCTCTCCAAGAATCAAAATTATACCTAATATAGACAGAAATAATACATGATCAAGACAGAATAAATGAAAAAAAATTCTTTTTAATGCAAGTGAATGAATTTGTTTTAATGGATACCTTTCCTTCCCTTCTAGTATTGAACTAAGGTCAAGTCTTTCTCCTTTTTTAAGGACATTGCATTTGGTATGAAAATCTAAAATGCACATATCACTCCATAATCAAAACCACACCGCCCTGCTATCTCTTCTTTGTTAGGTTTTTCGCTTGACCAAGACCTATTTTTAAGTTTTCCTTGCCTTCAATTTCGCTAGTCTGTCAAGTCTGAAGGTAACCCTAGTAGTGGTTATCTCATCTCCAGTTTGTATCCTCTGAAGGTAAAAGCAATTACAACTGATAGAACTAAATCTTGTTATTTTTGTTCTATGTGATTTTATGTTTTTGTATTTACTAGACATTTGATGAGAAAATGTAGCACATATAAAATGGCCACTAACTATTGCGCATATTAAAAATTAGTGAATTAGTTACAGAGACAAATAGCACTGTCTCCTTCCTCATGAACTCAAGTACTTTTAGTAGGAAGTAACTAAATAAAAATGTACTTATTTTTATTCAAATGACTCCCCAATTTTCATTTTTTACTACTATCATGTGCTTGATATCTAGAAATCTCATTAATAGAAAATCTTAAAAGTGTAAATATCACATAGGTAACAGAGTGCTTTTGTTCAGTGAAGGTTCTGCAATTTGTCCATCTGAATTAATTTATAAACAATCAAGTACTTATTGAATACTTTTCCTTTTAAAAAATGACAGCATCATACAAACAGTATATTCACTTACCAGAAAGAATAAAATATATCTACATCTTCAAATGATGAATTCATATCACCAAGTTTAGGAACATTTTTTTTATTTGACCATCTGAAATATCAAAGGAAATATTCTTACAATTCTTCAAAAATTATGTACAACAGTTCAACAAACAATTTAATTTATTAAAAACAATAATTTTTACTAATTCCTCTGATTTCCCTTCCCTACAAACTCTACAACTCGAAGATGGAGCTGGAAGGTCAGCAGTGGGGCATGAAACAATGCAGGTGTGCGAAAAGTGAGGCCAAAGATAGACTGGGGTGAGGAGAGAAACAACGGGACAGACTTCTAATCACAGGTTATCTTCAGTTCTATAAAATACAATGCCATAGCAGCTGCTAGGCAGGCTAGAAAAAATGGCAGCTAGCCCCTTTTGCCAAGCTCCTGTCCCTAAATAGTCAGCACAACAACAACCTGTAGGCCTAGCCCTTTAAAAATGTTAATATTCACAGAGGGAACTAATTTCCACCTCATCACCACCACCACCTTCCCCTTAGAGCCAGATTTCTCGGCTCAGCACTTCATTGATCACTGGTGAAAAGGATCCTGAAGCAGCTACTGATCCATGTTTTCTACTCTGTGAAATCATTACACAGAAAAATATACTACTACTTTTTACCACCTCAGCACTGCTATAAAACAAACGTGGCCAGGCGCGGTGGCTCATGCCTGTAATCCCAGCACTTTGGGAGGCCGAGGCCAGCGGATCACCTGAGGCCAGGAGTTTGAGACCAGTCTGGCCAATATGGTGAAACCCCGTCTCTACTAAAAATACACAAATTAGTGGTGGCAGATGCCTGTAGTCCCAGCTACTCAGGAGGCTGAGGCAGGAGAATTGCTTGAACCTGGGAGGCAGAGGTTGCGGTGAGCCGAGATTGTGCCACTGCACTCCAGCCTTGGCAAGAGAGCAAGATACTGTCTCAAAATAAAAAAGGAAAAAAAAAAAACCAAAAAACAGGTGAAATCCAAGGGAGAAAGGATGGCGGAAATACTAGGTGGCGCCAAACCGCTAATCAAAGTGGTTCTCAAATTTGGCTGCACAGAAGAATCACCTGGGAGCCTTAAAAATCCCCACAGAAATTCAAACCAATAAATCAGAATCTTTCCAGGTGGAACTCAGGCATCAGGAGTTCTTCCTGTTCTCCAGGTAATTCCAATGTGCAGCCAAGATGTGCTTTAAGGGAACCTGCCAATGCAGATGGAAAAAAAAGATGTAAAATAATATTGGTACATAACTATTTTAAAACAAACTTTAATGAAATAAAATACGTATGCTTTAATCGTAACTATAAATAATGTTTTGTCAAAGAAGCCTTATGATAATCAGATGATCAAATAAAGAACAAAGGATTTCTCAACTGACAATGAGTCAGAGAGTAGTATACCGATTGATAAAGAGGAAATCAAAGAATGGAAAATTACTGTCACCTAAGTGTAAGAATCACACTATAAAAGTCAGATACTGTTATTTCTCTCAAAGCAAAATTTTTTTTTTTTGAGATGGAGTCTTGCTCAGTGTAGTGGCATGACCTCGGCTCACTGCAACCACTGTCTCCTGGGTTCAAGCAAAACTCCCGTCTCCGCCTCCCGAGGAGCTGGGATTACAGGCATGCACCTCCACGGCCAGCTAATTTTTGTATTTTAGTAGAGACAGGGTTTCACCATGTTGGCCAGGCTGGTCTTGAACTCCTGACCTCAGGTGATCCGTCCACCTCGGCCTTCCAAAGTGCTGGGATTACAGGTGTGAACCACTGTGCCCAGCCCAAGTAAATTTAAAAGAGAAACTTCCCATAAATTGTACAGAAATTTTACTATGGAAATGTAGAACTTCTGTTTAGAAAGCAATATAAATGAGAACAGTAAGTTCACCAGAAGGGCTGAATATTGCAGAGAAGGAGGAGGAGGAGGAAGAGACAGTGGAAATAATCTATAAATGAAACTATTATCAGAGGGAAAGAGCAGAAACCTGGAAGACTACAATAAACAAGCCAACAGGGCACTATGATCAAAAGGGATGCCTTAACTTACCTGGAATTCCTTTCAAACACTGGGGTAAACACTTCGAAGAAATTATCCTTTGCTTCACTTTTAGAAGGAACTGAGTTATCAAAAGTAGGATCTACACTGTTAAATGCTCGTCTTTTCACTGGATCAGATAACATTTCATAAGCTGAGAAAAAAATTGTTAAGATCACATCACCATAACTTTACCTATTTTTTCCTGCAAGAAAACAAGTATTTCCCTCCTTAAAACATAGAAGTCATTAATTTTCATATTTGAAAATTTTGTTTGCAGGTTGGGGAGGATTTAATTTAGGTAACAACAGCTTTAGCACTACTGGATATAACTGGACTTAACTCCTTCTTTATTTTTCTAGTAGACAAGTGACAAAACAATAAATATCACCCACCCCTCAAGAGAAAAGATGACTCTGGGGAAAAAGAAATAGCTAGTAAGTTAATTGTTAGATCCCAAGGTTGTAAAAGATCGAAGGATCTTAGGCTTCTGGAGCACTGTGTAAGAGAACTGGCAAAGAGTAAATATGAACGGTGTGCATACAACTGTTCAAAAATTAGCATCAAAGTGTAAAATCACATTTAAGGAAACATTTAGAAATGGTGGTAACCTACATTAATTTGCTTAGTGATGTGTATGTAAATAGCAATAAGTAACTGTAGGGTCTGTACTAGGATATAATCAACTTCTTGATTTAAACTAGGCTAGCAAAACATCTAAGGAACAGTTTAGTCCCATAAAGCATCTGAAACGAAAAAAAAAAAAATCTTAGTATTCTCATCATTAAATAGAACACTTACATGAATTAACTGTAGGATGAGCTTCTGATAAGAATCACCTGGGGATCCTGTTAAAATGCAGATTTTAATCAGTAGGTTTGGGGCAGGGCCTGAGACTGCATTTCTAATAAGCTGCCAGGTGTTGCTGATGCTGCTGGCTGGGGACACCTCACTTTGTGTCGTGAGGCTCTGGGGTGATGATTAGAAAGAACTTGATATAACTAAAATGTTTTAAAATGTCAAAGGATAGTTGAATGAACTACAGTATGCATAAGAAACCCAATCCCAGCAATTAATAAATAACAATTACTATTAGAAATTCCTGACTCTAAAGCATTTTCTTACCTTTAGTTATGCAAGTGAAGTAGTCATTATCTCCTTCTTTTATTGGTTCACCAGCTGCTTTCCGTTTGTCTGGGTGATGTTTTAAAACCATTGCTTTATCTACAAAACCAGTCAGATTGAGATAATTTGTCACTTTAAGCACCAAAAATAAAGATGAGCTACATGTAGACCATTTCTAAAATCATAAGGCTAATATTAGAATCTTTTCTCCCACAGTAAAATATATGCTTATTCAATGTGAAAATTATAGAGAAACTGATTTATTTCTTCTTATTATTTTTTGAGACAGAGTTTTGCTCTTGTTGCCCAGGCTGGAGTGTAATGGCACGATCTCGGCTCACTGCAACCTCCGCCTCCCGGGTTCAAGCGATTCTCCTGCCTCAGCCTCTGGAGTAACTGGGGTTACAGGTGCCCGCCACCATGCCCAGCTATTTTTTTGTATTTTTAGTAGAAACAAGGTTTCACTATGTTGGCCAGGCTGGTCTCAAACTCTTGACCTCAGGTGATCCACCCGCCTCGGCCTCCGAAAGTGCTGGGATTACAGGTGTGAGCCACTGAGCCCGGCTTGAAGTAATTATTTTAAGAATTAGCCAAAGTGCCCCTAACCAACGACAATGACTCTTAACATTTTGGTGTATTTCTGCATAGACATTTTTGTTTTCTTAAGCATATGCTTTAAAAAATTCAGGTGTAGGCTGGGCATGGTGGCTCATGCTTGTAATCCCAGCACTTTGGGAGGCCGAGCTGGGAGGATCACTTGAGGTCAGGAGTTCAAGACTAGCCTGGCCAATATGGCAAAACCTGGTTTCTACTAAAAATACAAAAACTAGCTGGGCGTGGTGGTGCATGCCTGTGGTCCCAGCTACTCAGGTGGCTCAGACATAAGAATCGCTTGAACCCATGAGGTGGAGGCTGCAGTGAGCTGAGATGGCGCCACTGCATTCCAGCCTGGGTGACAGAGTGAGACTCTGTGTCAAAAAGAAGAAGAAGAAAAAAACAATTCAGATGTAATCGTATGTACTAATTTATATTCTGCTTTCTTCAGCTTCACATTATAGCGTTTGCATTTTCCATGGTTTTTTCCTTGCAAACTCTTCAAATTTTTCTTTCAAATGACTGCTTAATACAGTATTTCAAGTAGATTTGTTATAATTTAGGCATTTCTCTACTGTTGGACATTTGTGCCATTTCCAATTTTGCATTATTATAAATAATGCCAATTTGAATAATTTTAAATGTAAGTGTTTTTCCTTATTTAGGATTCTTTCTTCTTAGGATATAATCACAGAAGTGAACTTCATGAATGGAAATGGAACAAGTTATTTTCCAAAAGGCAAACTATTTCATACTCCTACGTGAACATCCTTTTACCACAGCCTCAGCCACAGTACGTCTAATTATTTAAAATTTGTGATTATCGCTGGTGGTCAACAATTTTTTTGTTTTTCATCCTTTAACTGGAAAAAGGAGGGGCTGTCTCAGTTTTTCTTCTGACTCTGTGTGTCACTTACAATTAATAATGCTAGCTGTTAACATCTACATAGCAGTTGACATGTGCCAGGCCTGTTTACCAGTTAATCTTCTCCATGATCCTATGAGGAAAGTGCTATTGCTGTCTCCATTTCATAGATGAGGAAAATGAGGCACAGAGGAGACGTTATGTAGCCACTACCACTGCAACTTGCTCAAACTTCCGGCCAAGTCGGCTCTAGTCCAGACAGCCTGACTCCTCAGCCTGCGTCTGTATGCTGCCTCTCCTAATTCATTATGTTTATTAATAATTTTTCCCCGTTTTGTTAACACTTATGTTTCAAAAACAGTCATCTTTATTTACATTGACTGATCATTTCTTTTGTAATTTCTTCTAGTACTTACAATAGTTCTAGTTTCATTAACATTTCCTATAGACTGAAAAAATTTTTTAATCTTTTTGGAATTTTAATATAGTCAAGAAAGTATCTAAACTTCTCATTTTTCAAAATCTTACTGTCATTTAATAATCCTTCCCTTTTCCACTGATTTGTGACACTATAATAGTAAATTTTACAAGGGCTTGTTTTGGTTACTTATTCTTGCCCTGGGGTTATCTTTAAACTGACCACAGCTTTCTAATATATTTGATCGTAACTTCCAAAAACTGTGTAATTTTTGCTTATTTGTCTTGCATCTAGTCACTTAACTCTCTTTTGCTTTTCTAGGCAGATCCTATATTATCTACAAATAATATATTTATTTCCTTCTTTCCAATAGTTGTCTCTTATTTAATAACTTAACTCACTGACCCAAACTCCCAAAATAGCATAAAAAATAAAAAGCAGGCTGCTTCACCCCTGGATTTTAGGTAATAGCATTAATGCCACATAGCTAAAAGTTTGCTAGCTGTGGGCCTGAAACAGTTATCAAAGTAGGGAATTAACTACATTTCTTTTCAAAATTCTTATCAAAACGGAATGGGTGTTAAACTGTATTCTATGTGCTTTCACTACCTACTCAGGAAATCACATGGATTTAATATTATCTGAGCTATAATTTTGCTATATTAATATACTTCCTAAGTTGGATTCCTGAGAGAAACTCTATGTGTTCATGAACACTATTATTCTTTTAGTGTACTATTAAATTGCATTTGTTATTTTATTTTTTTTTTTGAGACAGGGTCTCACTCTGTTGCTCAGGCTGGAGCACAGTGGCACCCAATCTCAGCTCACTGTAGTCTTAACCTCCCCGGCTCAGGTGATCCTCCCACCTCAGCCTCCCAAGTGGCTGGGATTACAGGTGCTCTCCACCATGCCTTGCTAACTTTATTTATTTATTGAGATGGAGTTTTGCTCTTGTTGCCCAGGCTGGAGTGCAGTGGCACAGTCTCAGCTCACTGAAACCTCCGCCTCCTGGGTTCAAGAGATTTCCTGCCTCAGCCTCCTGAGTAGCTGGGATTACAGCCATGTGCCACTACGCCCGGCTAATTTTTATATTTTTAGTAGAGACAGGGTTTCACCATGTTGGCCAGGCTGGTCTCGAACTCCTGACCTCGTGATCTGCCCACCTCAGCCTCCCAAAGTGCTGGGATTACAGGTGTGAGCTATCACACCCAGCTCTTTTTTTTTTTTGTAGGGGAGGGGTTTCGTCATGTTGGCCAGGCTGGTCTTGAACTCCTGGGCTCAAGCGATCCTCCCACCCTGGCCTCCCAAAGTGCTAGAATTACAGGCCTGCGCCACCACGCCTGACCACTATTTTTTCATGATACAAGTATCTGTACACACTTATGGGGTGCATGTGATTATTTTGTTCATAATACATGAACAAAATCCATTTTTTTTTTTTGAGATGGAGTCTCACTCTGTTGGCCAGGCTGGCATGCAATGGCACAATCTTGGCTCACTGCAACCTCCACCTCCTGGGTTCCAGCGATTCTCCTGTCAGCCTCTGGAGTATCTGGGATTACAGGCACCTGCCACCACGCTCAGCTAATTTTTGTATTTTTAGTAGAGACAGGGTTTTGCCATGTTGGCCAGGCTTGGTCTTGAACTCCTGACCTCAAGTGATCCGCCTGCCTCGGCCTCCCAAAGCGCTGGGATTACAGGCGTGAGCCACTGTGCCTGGCTCATTTTGTGCATAATTCATGATACATGCATAAACCACGTAATGATCAAGTCAGGGTATTTGGGTATCTATCAACTTGAGTGTTTATTATTTCTATGTATTGTGAACATTTCAAGTTCTGTCTTCTAGCTATTTTGAAATATACAATACATCATTGTTAACTATCATCACCCTACTCTGCTACAGAACACTGGGACTTATTCCTTCTAATTGTATGTTTGTATCCATTGACCAACCTCTCTTTATCCCTCTCCTCCCAATACCCTTCTCAGCCTCTGGTATCTATCATTCTATCTACTACCTCCACGAGATCAACTTTTTAAGCTCCCACTGTTCTCAAGAGTGAGAACATGCAATATTTGCCTTTCTGTGCCTAGCTTATTTCACTCAACATAATGACCTCCAGTTCCATCTATATTTCTGCAGACGTTTCATTCTTTTTTATGGCTGAGTGGTATCCCATTGTATACATATACTTTTCTTTATCAACTAGTCTGCTGATGGACACTTAGGTTGATTCCTTATCTTTGTTATTATAAACAGAGCCACAATAAAAACATGGGAGTGCAGGTACCCCTTTGACATACTGTTTTCTTTTCCTTTGGATAAATATCCAGTAGTGGGAACGCTGGGCTATATGTTAATTCTATTTTTAATTTTTTGAGAAATCTCCATACTAATTTGCACAGTGGCTATGCTAATTTAGATTCCTACCAACAGTGTATAAAAATTCCCTTTTCTTAAATTTGCTATTTTTTTTTTTTTTTGAGGCGGAGTCTTGCTCTGTCACCCAGGTTGGAGTGCAGTGGTGCAGTCTTGGCTCACTGCATGCTCTGCCTCTCGGGTTCATGCCATTCTCCTGCCTCAGCCTCCCGAGTAGCTGGGACTACAGGCACCCGCCACCACGCCTGCCTAATTTTTTTGTATTTTTAGTAGAGACGGGGTTTCACCGTGTTAGCCAGGATGGTCTCGATCTCCTGACCTCATGATCCGCCCGCCTTGGCCTCCCAAAGTGCTCGGATTATAGGCGTGAGCCACTGCACCCAGCGAATTTGCTATTATTTTTAACATTTTAACTGGTTTTTCTTTTTCATTATATTAATAGGAATTGTTTGTAGGATTTTTTGGGCTCTCTTTGCTAGGTTTTGCATACTCAGATTACATTAAACTTTACAACTTAACAAAATGAATTATTCCAAAACAGTTTATGATTAACCGATTCTCCAATTACAAAATAAAACACCAAGTTTATATTCAGCATTAGAATTTTTAATTCTTTAACACTTGAAACAATTCACCTGAAAAATTATCTGGGCCTAAAAATTGTTTTTAGGAGTAAATTCTTTGGTAACTTTAATGTTTTTCATCCTTTTTTTTTTGCGGGGGAGGGGATGGGGACAGGGTCTTACTATTGCTCAGGGTGGAGTGCAGTGGTGTGATCACGGCTCACTGCAGCCTTGACCTCCTGGGCTCAAGCACTATCTCAGCCTTCTGAGCAGCTGGGACCACAGGCACGCACCACTATGCCCAGCTAATTTTTGTATTTTTTGTAGAAATGGGGTTCTGCCATGTTGCCCAGGCTAGTCTTGAACTACAGAGCTCAAACAATCCACCCACCTCAGCCTTCTAAAGTGCTGGGATCAAAGGCATGAGCCACCATGATTAGCTCTTTCTGTATTTCACTACGTTTTGAGTATCCTGTATCTGAAATGCTTGGGACCAAAAGTGTTCGGGATTTCAAATTTTTTTAGATTTTGGAATATCTGCATTATACTTACTGGGTGAGCATCCATTCCAAATCTGAAAAGCCAAAATCCTCCAGTGAACATTTCCTTTGAAGTGTCATGCTGGCACTCAGAATTTGGAGCATTTTGGACTTTGGAGTTTTGGATTAGGGATGCTCAACTTGTATTTGTTTATTCTTCTTATAAAACCCAGTTTGGGATACTGTCTTATTTATTTTCTTCCTACATCTTCCTTTGTGCTATTCTTTTAAACCTCTGAATTGAATTTCCACCTTATCTTTTCCCTCTTTTGAAAAAAGTAACAGAATAGGTTAAGGCAATGAATTTACTTAAGGTACAGATTTAGCTGCCAGTCCTTAAGTTTTGATAAAGCAGTAATCTTACTTTTGTGGAAAAAAAGTCTATTAGCATAATTTTTATTTCTGTCTAGGCTCAAAAGAATATATTTAATTTCCAAGTGACTGGTATTTTTGGTTTGTTTAATCATATCTGTCTGATTCAGCGGAGATAAAACGTAGATAAAATAAATGCCCAGATTTTAAGCATTCATTAAGTTCAGTGAGTTCTGACAATCATATACACTTATGTAACTACTATCCAAAGGAAAATATAGGCCGTTTCCATCATCCAAAAAGTTCCCTTGTACCCTTTTCCACTGGGCTCCCATCCTCTACCAGCTGAGGCAACCGTTTTCTGATGCCTGTCACCACTTTTGCATGTTCTTGAGCTTCAAGTAGATGTAACTTACAGTATGCCTATGTCTGGCTTCTTTTACTCATGGTTTGAGATTCATCCATGTTTTTCTGTGTATTGGCAATTTGTTCTTTTAAAAATTGCTGATTAGTATTCCACTGCACCAAAATATATAGCAGTTTGCTTATCTATTTCCATGTTATTAAATATTTGGGTGATTTCCAGTTTCTGGACATTGTGAATAGGCTGTTGTGAACATTTTTTTTTTTTTTTTTGAGACGGAGTCTCGCTCTGTTGCCCAGGCTGGAGTGCAGTGGCGTGATCTCAGCTCACTGCAAGCTCCACCTCCCGGGTTCACGCCATTCTGCTGCCTCAGCCACGCGAGTAGCTGCGACTACAGGTACCCGCCACCACGCCCAGCTGATATTTTTGTATTTTTAGTAGAGATGGGGTTTCACCGTGTTAGCCAGGATGGTCTCGATCTCCTGACCTCGTGATCCGCCTGCCTTGGCCTCCCAAAGTGCTGGGATTACAGGTGTGAGCCACTGTGCCCGGCCTGTTGTGAACGTTTTTGCAGAAATCTTTTGGCTGGGCACGGTGGCTCATGCCTGTAATCCCAGCACTTTGGGAGACTGAGGCAGGTGGATCACTTGAACTCAGGAGTTCGAGACCAGCCTGGTCAACGTGGTGAAACCCAGTCTCTACTAAAAAATACGAAAATTAGTCAGACATGTTGGCAGGTGCCTGTAATCCCAGCTACTTAGGAGGCTGAGGCAGAAGAATGAGGCAGGAGAACCACTTGAACCCTGGAGATGGAGGTTGCAGTGAGCCAAGATCACGCGACTGCACTCCACCCTGGATAACAGTTAGACTCCGTCTTAAAAAAAAAAAGAAAAGAAATCTTGAAAAAAAATTTTTTTAATTAAAAAAAAAAAAGAGAGACAAGGTCTTGCTATGTTGTCCAGGTTGGTCTTGAACTCCTGAGCTCAAGTGATCCTCCAGCCTTAGTCTCCCACAGTGCTAGGATTAACAGGGATGAGCCACCATGCTTGGCCTATAGAAATCTTTTCATGAGCATAATAAAATTATTTATTTCAACATATACTGCAAGGGTTCAGAAACAGTGACAAATATTTTTGGTATTTTTTTGGGCATTTTTTGAGGCAGTTTCCCTCTGTCACCCAGGCTGGAGTGCAATGGTGCAATCTCGGCTGGCTGCAACCTCTGCCTCCCAGTTTCAAGCGGTTCTCGTGCCGCAGCCGCCCAAGTAGCTGGGATTACAGGCATGCGTCTCCATGCCCGCCTAATTTTTATATTTTTAGTAGAGACGGGGTTTCGCCATGTTGGCCAGGCTGGTCTCGAACTCCTGACCTCAGGTGATCCACCTGCCCCAGCCTCCCAAAGTGCTAGGATTACAAGTGTGAGCCACCGCACCCGGCTCCTACTTCACACTTAATTAATTTTCATTACTGACATTCAAAATATACTCAACAAAAATAAAACTTTGCTTGTAATATGAAGCAAGCATTCAAAGGACATCAAATGGTACCAGATTTACATTTTTATTAGGTTTGTGCTAATAATTATAGATTTGCAAACAGTAACTTTGCATTTTAACTTTTAGATAGATTTTCAGAAAGCAATGAGTAGCAACTGTGTTTTACAGTGACAGAGGTGAGAGAATGACAGTTTCTTTCTAAATAAAGACTGACGGAATATTCCACAAGGGTGGTAGAGAGTAAGTTAGAATTACCCTTATTGTTAACAATCTCTACACTGGTGCTGCAAAATTTTTGGCTAGAGAATACATATTCAAAAGCTGAATTTCTTTTCTTTCTTTCTTTCTTTTTTTTTTTTTTAATGAGACAGAGTCTCACTCTCTCACTCTGTTGCTCAGGTTGGACTGCAGTGGTACAATCTTCGCTCACTGCAACTTCCGCCTCCCAGGTTCAAGCGATTCTCATGCCTCAGCCTCCCAAGTAGTTGGGCTTACAGGCATGCGCCACCGCACCTGGCTAATTTTTGTATTTTTAGTAGAGATGGGGTTTCACCACATTGGCCGGGCTAGTATTGAACTCCAGCCTCAAGTAATCTGCCTGCCTTGGTCTTCCAAAGTGTTGGGATTACAGGTGTGACCCACTGTGCCTGGCTAAAAATCAATTTCTACAAGGCCAATAAAAAGAGTGGATTTAGGCTGGGTGCGGTGGCTCACGCCTGTAATCCCAGCATTCTGGGAGGCCGATGTGGGTGGATCACCTGAGGTCGGGAGTTCGAGACCAGCCTGACCAACATGGTGAAATCCCGTCTCTATGAAAAATACAAAATTAGCCGGGCGTGGTGGCACATGCCTCTAATCCCAGCTACTCAAGAGGCTGAGGCAGGAGAATCGCTTGAACCTGGGAGGCGGAGGTTGTGGTGAGCCAAGATGGTGCCATTGCACTCCAGCCTGCGCAACAAGTACGAAATTCTGTCTCAAAAAAAGACAGTGGATTTAACAGAAGCATATGAATGCTTCTTTTACAATTTATTGCACATTTTTAATCTTCTGAGAAAGAATTCTTTCACCTTAAAACACAAACTATTCTCACAGTTCTATTATCAATTCTAATTAACAAATTTATCTGTACTAAGACATATTTGGTATTTGTATGCTATTCTATTTTTTCGGAAACAGAGTGTCGCTCTTGTTGCCCAGGCTGGAGCGCAATGGTGCGACCTCGGCTCACTGCAACCTCTGCCTCCTGGGTTCAAGCAATTCTCCTGCCTCAGCCTCCCAAGTAGCTGGGAATACAGGTGCCCACCACCACACCCAGCTAATTTTTTTGTATTTTTAGTAGAGACGGTGTTTCTCCACGTTGGCCAGGCTGGTCTCATATTCCTCACCTCAGGTGATCAACCCGTCTCGGCCTCCCAAAGTGTTGGGATTATAGGCGTGAGCCACCACGCCCGGCCAATGCTATTCTTTCGTATAGTAAAACTTTGCAAACACTTGTACGTGGCAAATGGACTTTTCTGGCATTTATTTATACTGGAATAACTATTCACATGCATTACCATATGCTTTGTCTAGACTCATGCCAGCCTTTAAACAAATCCAGTTTAAAATAATCTGATAAATTCCTTCACTTTGTTAAAAAATATTTCCTGTGATTTTCCTAAATGTAAGCAGTAATGGGGACGATTTTGAGTTCATCTACTATGCTAAGTATTGACTAATAATTTTTACCACAGGCATTCTTATTCAGTCATCTTCCTCCACATATAATACTTCCTCTTCTTGACAGGCCCTGACTCCCTGCTCCTTTTCCATGTGGCCACAATCTTACCCTCTCTGACCTCAATATCCATTCTCTAGAGTGGAGGGCAGAACATTCTCCTAAGATAGAAAACTGATCACCTTCACCTCTTACCTCTTTCACTAAACTTTATTAATCAGTTGAACTGATCACGTGTATAAGAAATTATGTCCACAGGATTGCAAAGCATAGGACATTTAGGAGCATTAAGGGATGGTGTTTTATAAGGCATATGAAGACTGGGGTCCCAACATTACCCTCTCCCATGCCAAATTATAACCTTGTCAATGAAAACAACAATAAAACATCAGACAACTTTTCTTGGACAGAAGACAGGGTGATATCTACAAAGGTGTGACCTAAGATTACAAAATAACGTAAAAAAAAAACCAAAAACCAAAAAACAATAAAAAGGCAGTATCCACTAAGTGCAGCTGCTATACTTCTAAAGAGAGGTGAAGTATTATTTTTTAAAAGCTTGCCATTGGAGGAGTATTTTGTATCCACACACACACACCCATCCTAATTTCTTATCCCTAATGGGAAAGTCTATATGTAAAATGGATTGCTTTCTTCTGATTCTGAAGGCAGGGGAGACCGTGGTTTTTTGCTTGTTATGACAATATAACACATGCTGTTAAATGTAGTTATGGCTGCAGACTATGATACTGTATATCTTTTAAAAAGCATAGCCAGCCTGTTCCTATACAAGATATTTGATTATTTCAAAATAACTAAGTACTTACGAGCTGCTTTGATCTGTCTCTGTGTAGCCTTGTATCTCACATGGCCAAGTCCAAGAACTGCATAATGATCTTGGTTCTGGAAAAAAAACACAAAAGGGAGTCAAATTTGAAATGAAGCCAATATATTCCATCCCTTGTGTTCTGGTACCTTAATAAGCATTTCCCAAAGTGACATTTCATCAGGAGTCCAGTAAGAGGTTCTGTATAAACCAGGGTCTATGGTCAGGTAAGGTTGAGAAATGTGGATTAGGCTGGGTGCCATGGTTCATGCCTGTAATCCTAGCACTTTGGGAGGCCCAGGTGGAGGATTGCTTGAGCCCAGGAATATGAGGCCAGCCTGGGCAACAAAGTAAGATCTCTGTCTCTACAAAAAAATTTTTAAAAATTAGCTGGGTGTGGTGGTGTGCACCTGTAGTTCCAGCTACTCAGGAGGCAGAAGTAGCAGGATTACTTGAGTCTAGTAAGTAGAGGCTGCAGTGAGCTGTGATCATGCCACTGCACTCCAGGATAGGCGACAGAGCAAGACCCTGTCTTTTTTTTTTTTTTTTTAATGATTTTAAGATTTTATTTTATTTTTTTGAGACGGAGTCTTGCTCTGTTGCCCAGGCTGGAGTGCAGTGGTGCCATCTTGGCTCACTGCAACCTCCGCCTCCCGGGTTCAAGCAATTCTCCTGCCTCAGCCTTCCAAGTTGCTGGGATTACAGGTGCACACCACCACGCCTGGCTAATTTGTGTATTTTTAGTAGAGACAGGGTTTCACCTTGTTGGTCAGGCTGGTCTCGAACTCCTGACCTCAGGTGATATACCTGCCTTGGCCTCCCAAAGGGCCAAGGGATTACAGGTGTGAGCCACTGCACCCGGCCAAGACCCTGTCTTTAAAAAAAAGAAGAGACAGGCTGGGCATGCCAGCTTACGCCTGTAATCCCAGTGCTTTGGGAGGCTGAGGTGGGTGGATCATGAGGTCAGGAGTTTGAGACCAGCCTGGCTAACATGGTGAAACCCTGTCTCTACTAAAAATACAAAAATTAGCCGGGCGTGGTGGCGCCCACCTGTAATCCCAGCTACTCGGGAGGCTGAGGCAAGATAATTGCTTGAACCTGGGAGGCGGAGGTTGCAGTGGGCCAAGACTGCGCCACTGCACTCCAGCCTGGGCAACAGAGTGAGACTCCGTCTCAAAATAAAATAAAATAAAAAATAAATTTAAAAAAGAGGTAAATGTGGACTATTATACAGCCTCCTTGATGATTTGTATGCACAAAGGCCTAAGAAAGGCTCTGAGAAGTCCTGTAATTAGATTTAAAAAATAAACAAACAGAAACCTGTAAAACCTAGCATTTTCCAAACTTACTTGACCAAAGACCCCTTTTTTCTCTTAGCACCTGTTGATAGCTTATGGCCATCCTATGGAACTTATGGCTACATGTTCTTGTTTACTTATTATGTCACTGGAATATAAGCTGTGTGTAAGCAGTAATACTGTCTTGTTCAGTACAGTATCCTTGACACCTAGAACAGTATCTGACATGGTGTTTGATCCATATTTGATGAATGAAAATAAACTGAACAAGTGAATGAACTCTGCTACCTTACTCTGATACAATCTACTTCTTTCTATACCAAAGACCTTCTCCCTCTTATAGATCTCAACACTCCCCAGTTCTGTCTTTTCCCGACTCTGCCTTCTCCTGAAGTTACTATCTTCTCTCATTTTCTTTACTACCCAGCTTTGAAAGAGTACTTTACACTTTGATCCTACTTCATCACTTCCTAATCACTCTTCATTCACTGTAATCTCTTGCCTTCCCGATCATTTTACTCAAACTGCTTTCAATGAGGACACCGAAACTTTTAGTTTGCCAAATCCAATGGTTTTTTTTTTTTTTGAGATGGAGTTTCACTCTTGTTGCCCAGGCTGGAGTGCAGTGGCACGATCTCAGCTTACCGCAATCTCCACCTCCCAGGTTCAAGCGATTCTCCTGTTTCAGCCTCCTGAGTAGCTGGGATTATAAGCATGTGCCACCATGCCCGGTCCAGTGTTTTTTAAAATAATTTTTCATGTTATGTGATTGACCTCTTTCTGAAGCAGTGACACAGGTGACTCTTCCCACGCCCCTTTTTTTGAGATAGAGTTTTGCTCTTGTTGCCCAGGCTGGAGTGCAATTGTATGATCTCGGCTCACAGCAACCTCCACCTCCTGAGTTGAAGTGATTCTCCTGCCTCAGCCTCCCAAGTAGCTGCGATTACAGGCATGTGCCACCACGCCTGGCTAATTTTGTATTTTTAGTAGAGATGGGGTTTCACCATGTTGGTCAGGCTGGTCTCGAACTCCTGACCTCGGGTGATCTGCCCGCCTCAGCCTCCCAAAGTGCTGGGATTACAGGCATGAGCCACTGCACCCTGCCTCTTTTTCCCTCTTGCTCCTCCCTTAGTTTCTGGAAGAATACGCTGCCTGATGTTTAGGAAGTATTTCTTCAAATAACAAAGTGTCTTTTTCTTTGTTTTCTTTCTACTTCTGTCACCCTTCTTAGTATCTTCTGCTGTTTTTCCTCCTCTTCCTACCCCTTAAATATCCATGCTCCCCAATGTTGTCTTTTTCTTTTAAAATGGATGAGGTGGTGGGAGAATCAGCTAACACTTTCTGAGTGCTTACTTTTCTAAATGTTTTATACATATGCTTTAGCTTATTTAGTCCTCTAAACAACCAATGACATAGGAACTCTTATTATCCATTATTTGTTTGGCATTTATCATGCAGCAAGTACTAACTTAAGTGCTTTATAAGCATCCTTTTATTAATCCTCAAGGTAAACCTTTGAGCTGTTAACAATCTCACTGTAGCAACAAGGGAAATGAGGTACACACATATCTGGGAACTTTCCCAAGGTCGAAGTGCACCAAATGGCAGAACCAGATTTGAATTCAGGCACTCCAATTCCACAGCATACGCATTTAACTATTATACAAGTACCTACTAAAGCATTATCTATTTGTTTATACTTTTGTCCCTTGCTGTTGTCATTCAATTCCTCACAGCAACCACCACTATGTGCCAATGACTTCAAAAAGTCTTTGGCTGTAACCTCTTTTTGGAGTCATAGACCAATTTCTAACCATCTACTAGACAGCTTCACCACTATGGTACCAAAACCTCAGTCTTCACATAGTCAAACTTGGACACAAACAGCACCTCCCACAAACATTCTTATCCTCATCCCAGCATTGGTTACTGACCACACACTCTAGCAGGTCACTCAAGCGCTAATGCTGGGAAGGACCTCTGAATACTTCTCTTTGTCTTGTGCCACACAGCCAGGGTCACCAAAGCCTGTTAATGCTACCTCCAAAAAAGGCAAATCTGACCCCTCTTCCTCAAAACCCAGCCACATAGTAAGTTCAAGGATTCAGTCACAGGTCTGCCTTAGTGCACTAGCCCTATAACAGTAAACTATTCACTTCCCCTCCAGTCCCTTGCCCCCTTTCAAGCAATTTCCTGTACTGCCAAGGGAATTACTTTTCTAAAATTAGCTAAGAAACTTTTGATGGTATCTTACTGTCCCAAAAATAAATTTTAATTCCTTCTTTAGCATGGTATAAAAAGGACACAACAGAGTTTGGTCTAGTGTCCTTTTAAAGACACTAGATTTCTCATCACCATACCGCATGTACCCTATACGACTTATCAATTCCTCAAGAGGCACTACATATTCTTTTACTCCTTTGTGTCTTTGTATATCTTACTCCTTCTGCCCAGAATACTTTTCTCACTTCTCTGCTTCACTAATTGCTGCCTGTCCTTTTAAGACCGGTGCAAACATTATCTTTTCTGTGAACTCTTCCTGGATTTCTCCAGCAGAGACAGTATCTCATGGCTAGTGCTAATGCTCTCAAGACTTAGTAATAAACAGATGCTAAATCATAGTTATCTTGCTGAATCATCTTAAAACATGTTTATTAATGGAAAACTCATAAGAAAATTGTCTATGTCTAACAAAGCATCTGACTGAACAAAATATTCAGATATTAAATACCTTCCAGTCTTTGGGATCAAGTGTTTTCAGCATGGGAAACTCTTCCAACTGCAATTCTTCATCTTCTGATTCCTCGGATAACTCTTTCTTATCCTCCAGTTCCTGAAAAGAGGCAGAAGCATTTCTGTTTCTCCTCTTAACAAAAGCTTCAAACCATCTTCCCACAGGTTCAACTTGACAGAGTGTAGAGGCTGTGATTGAAAGTGTTAAGAGAGGCTTCAGTGTATCGCATGGAATAAATATGTTTCAAGGCAATTAATTTTTTCAGGAAATAAAATCAAAACAGTGATACCAGCATATACTTTTAAAACCACCGACTACGAAAATAATTGCAGTCATCCAGTTTACATGAGGGTTAGCAAGAAATTATCCTTTCCTAGTATTAAAGAGTATTTAATCAACCTCTTCCAGTTATCTGACAAAACAAAAAAAACTCAGTAATGTCAATGATAAATCAGTACTTTTTTGGGGATATGAGTAAGGTGAGGAACAGGAAGAAATGTTGCAAACTACTTTACTTTTAGACAAATTATTTATTTTTTTACTTTTTTTTTTTTTTGAGATGAAGTTTTGCTCTTACTGCCCAGGCTGGAATGCAATGGCGAGATCTCGGCTCAATGCCGTCTCCACCTCCCGGGTTCAAGTGATTCTTGTGCCTCAGCCTTCCAAGCAGCTGGGATTACAGGCATGCGCCACCATGCCCAGCTAATTTTGTATTTTTAGTAGAGATGGGGTTTCTCCATGTTGGTCAGCCTGGTCTCGAACTCCCGACCTCAGGTGATCTGCCTGCCTCGGCCTCCCAAAGTGTTGGCATTACAGGCGTGAGCCACTGCACCCACCTGGACAATTTTTTTTTTTTTTTTGGGACGGAGTCTTGCTCTGTCACCCAGGCTGGAGTGCAATGGCGCGATCTTGGCTCACTGAAAGCTCCGCCTCCCGGGTTCAAGCGATTCTCCTGCCTCAGCCTCCCGAGTAGCTGGGACTACAGGCACCCGCCACCACCCCCGGCTAATTTTTTGCATTTTTAGTAAAGACGGGGTTTCACCATATTAGCCAGGATGGTCTTGATCTCCTGACCTCGTGATCCACCCACCTCGGCCTGCCAAAATGCTGGGATTACAGGCGTGAGCCACCGCGCCCGGCCTAGACAAATAATTTTAATAAAGTAATAAATAGTGATAAATTGTCACGAAGAGCTAGCCTCACCAAAAATAAAAAATCTAAAAACAACTCAAACTATCTTTTTATTTTTTGAGACGGAGTTTTGCTCTTGTTGTCCAGGCTGTAGTGCAATAGCGCAATCTCGGCTCACTGCAACCTCCGCCTCCCGGGTTCAAACGATTCTTCTGCCTCAGCCTCCCAAGTTGCTGGGATTATAGGCGCCCGCCACCACGCCCAGCTACTTTTTTGTATTTTTAGTAGAGACAGGGTTTCACCCTGTTAGCCAGGCTGGTCTCGAACTGCTGACCTCAGGTGATCCACCTGCCTCGGCCTCCCAAAGTGCTGGGATTATAGACGTGAGCCACCGCACCCAGACAACTCAAACTGTCTTAATTATTAAAATCTTGAATATAGCTCTTAAAAATTTTAAGAATTCACTAACAAGAATTTGTCCTGAAAGCAATTTTCCAAGCAGCAAATGGGAATTTACTAATGCAGCTAAGCTGTAGTGGAACAAGCTCTCAATCTGAAACCAGACACTCTGGGTTTTAGACTAGGTCTGACAGTGGCTATGTGACCTGAAATGAATCAGGATGTCTTCACCTGTAAAATGGGAACAATACCTATTTATCTCATTCAGTTCCTAGGAAGCTTGAATGAGACCACAGAAACTCTCTGAAATTACAAACTTGTAGTAAAGGTATCATCTATTCCTGGGAAGTGGGGGTAAATCACTGTACATGTGTATACTAGCAATTCAAAAAAGGAAAATCCCTGAACAACTTATTTTAAGATTTCCTCCACCTTACACAGGAGAGGATTAAAACACTGTCAAAAAGGTACTACCTGTGTAGTATGGGTGTGTGGCTTTTAAGAACACTGCCTTTTAAGCCTTTTGCTCTAGTTGTAAGAGGCACACGGAGACACATAAATGCAACACGTGCCATGGGTTATGTTCAAAATCACATTCAACAAGCGCCTATGTGACTGGCTATGGGAATTACTGTAGATCACTGGACCTGAAGACTCTTAAGTTTACAATACTCATGACTGTCCTGGGCCATAAAACTAAAACCTACAGCAGCAGGACAAGTTTCACTTGTAATAACTGCCTTTCAAAGTCTACGCGGATCTTTTCAGCAGCACAGTCTTTGAACACCGAGTATGAGGAGCGGTGTCTGAGTTGTGACATTTAAAAAACAAGGCCGGAGCAAACGTAGAGAGGGAGAAAGTTGTTTAAGAGAGCGCCAGTAGCAAAGCTTTGTACGACCCCAGGCACGTGGGGTGCTCGCTGCGCGTAGTCTTTCCACCGTAGGCAAGGAGATGCTTATGAGAACCTTTCTGGGGTGCTGGGGGGTTCCGTCCCGAAATGCTCAGCCCAATCCATGAGTCAGCAGCGGCGAGAGGAGGAAGCAACGGTAGGAGCAAAAGGAAGGCACCCCTCACCCTCCTTCCTTCTAATCTAGGGTAGGATTACTTTAAAACACGGAGCAAAAAGGCACTCGTCACGGCCCCATACGGCCCCGGGGCTAGTCGCCAGGGTCAAGGGTAGAGAGAGCCCAGGGTTGCCGAGGCGGAGGACTGAGGCAGGGGCAGCTGAGGTGAGAAGGAACCGAGGTTGGGTGGGCACTTACCAGAGGTCAGAGCGTGGGTGATGGCGGTGCCCCGGCCGTCCGCGGCGCTTGGCAGAAGCAGCATGATGGCGCCGGGTCTAGCCCGGTGGGCGCAGCGGCTCACGTCCCGGGCGGAGGGCGCTTAGGGTCCCCTCCAGCTCTACCTCTCACTCCGAGCCTCGCGCCTTGGCTCTAAGACGCCCAGGAACCGGCGCATGGAGACGACCAGTAAGCACTTCCGGGATGGATCTTTCGTGGTGTGGAGGCCAGTCTCACACCCTCCCACCCCCGCCAACGTGTGCGGTAACCTAGTTCTATACTGACTGAGATCCGGCTGGAGACCAAGTCGCACGAGAGAATGGTTCCTAGGCGCATCAGTTTTCCTGTAAAAAGGATTATATTCCACGTCCCAGTGCAATACATAGAACATAACCTTTAAAAGCAGTTCTTTTTATATTATCTTTAAGTTCTTACTGCTTTATGTATTAATCTGAACCTAATCAGTGATTTTCCCAGGAGCGCTATACTTTTAAGTAAAAAATGAAAATACCTGTATGAACCAGTATCGACGACTAGTATATACATTTGCGGAGAATTACGTACGTGTATTTGTGATACATTTGTGTTTAACTTGATGATGATAATAGCAGCTAATATTTGTCGTGCTATTACTAATTTACCTGCATTATATCTTTTAATACTCGCTTGGAGAAGAAACCTCTCTCTAGTGTGTTAGATTGTATTCCAAGGCCAGCAATATTTTTACCTTGTTCTAATGAAGTTTTTATTCAAGATATTCCCAATTATAGGACTCTGGGACTTAATTTTTTAATGTATAATAAAATCAATTGTATTCCTACTATATGCTTCCTTCTAAGACTGCAGTCAAAAGCAAAAACTAGCAAAAACAAACAGTGGGTAAAGGCTCACCCCCAACAGCAGTATCTGAAACAGGTTCAATAAAATAAACTTGATATGCCACTCTTTAGCAAGGACCACCAGAAATTAGTAAATTAGAAAATAACTTACTAATTTCATTATATTTTCACAATTAAAGTTTTTAAATATATTATATATATATATATGTATATTTTTTTTTGTAGAGACAGGGTCTCACTATGTTGCCCAAGGTGGTCTTGAACTCCTGGCCTCAAGGGATCCTCCTGCCTCAGTCTCCCAAAACTCTGGGATTAGAGGCGTGAGTCACTGTGCCAGGCCAATTAAATACATTTAATTGGTCTGTATATCTGCTGCATGATAAAATTGTCACTTCAAAACTGACTTTTCAAAAATTGAACTAAGGGAGGCTGAGGTGGGAAGATCGTTGAGGCCGGGAGGTGGAGGTTGCAGTGAGCTGAGATCACACCATTGCGCTCCAGCCTGGGTAACAGTGAGACCCCGTCTTTAAAAAAAAAAAAATTGAACTAATCTTCTGCCCCAAAACCTCTTCCTGATCCCTACTAATGCAACCACTGTTAAAACATGCTCCAAGGTGCAAAGTAACCTGACTCCACTTTCTTCATATTAATATATTTTTTTCCTCACACCTCCTCCCATTCAATTTTACCATTAACTCTAACATGGGTTTTTGTTTTTTTGTTGTTTTCTTTTCTGAGACAGAGGCTTGCTCTGTCGCCCAGGCTGGAGTGCAGTGGCCTGATTTCGGCTCACTGCAATCTCTGCCTCCCAGGTTCAAGCGATTCTCCTGCCTCAGCCTCCCGAGTAGCTGGGATTACAGGTGCGTGCCACCACGCCCAGCTAATTTCTGTATTTGTAGTAGAGACGGGGTTTAGCCATGTTGGCCAGGCTGGTCTCCAACTCCTGACCTCATGATCTGCCTGCTTCAGCCTCCCAAAGTGCTGGAATTACAGGGGTGAGCCACGGTGCCCGGTCGGGGGTTTTGTTTTTTAAAAAAATTGTGCTAAAACACACATAACATGAAATTTACGATCTTCACCGTTTTTAAGTTTACAGTAATGTTAAGTACATTCACATTATTGTGTAACCACCCTACAAAACTATTTTTATCTTACAAAACTGAAACTCTATACCCATTTAATCTCTTACAAAACTGAAACTATGCCAGTGGAAAAAACTGTCCACTGGAAACCATCCTTCTACTTTGTCTTTAGGAATTTGACACCTCTAGGTACTTCATATTTGTGGAATCATATAGTATTTGTCTTTTTTGTGACTGACTTATTCACTTAGCATAATGTCTTCAAGGTTCATCTGTGTTGTAGCTTATACTAGAATTTCATTCCTTTTTAAGGCTGAATAATGTGTGTGTGTGTGTGTGTGTGTGTGTGTGTGTGTGAGCGCGCATGCGTGTATCACATTTTGTTTATCCATTCATATGTAGATGGACACTTGGGTTGCTTCCACCTTATGGGTATCATGACTAATGCTGCTTATGGACATGGATGTACAAATATCTCTTTGAGATCCTGTTTTCAGTTCTTTTGGATACACATCCAGAAATCGAATTGCTAGGTGGCATGGTAATTATTTTTAATTTCCTGAGGAATCAATCATACTGTTTCCCACAGCAGTTGCACCATTTTATCATTTTACATTTACATCAACAGTGCACCAGGATTCCATTTTATCCAGCAGCACATGCAAGGGTTGGCTGGACCCAAGGGTCATCCTTTCCAACACTTATTTTCTGTTTTGTTTTTGCTTGTTTTTTAATAATAGCTATCTTAATAGGTATGTGGTGGCATCCAACTGTGGTTTTGATTTGCATTTCCTAACAGTGATGTTGTCCATTTGTATATCTTCTTTGGAGCAATGTTTATTCAGGTTATTTGCCCACTTAAAAAATCAGGTTGTTTTCTTGTGTGGTAGGAGTTCTTTATATATTCTGGATATTAACTCTTTACCAGAAATAGATTACCTTCACTATATTTGTAGATGTGGCCACTACTTATTGTGTCTAATATGCCAGGCGTTTTACAAACACTGTAAAGTTTCCTTCTCACAGGTAATCAGTCCAAAAACCAGCGTGCCAAAGCGTTTCCCCAGGGCTCTGTCCGGACTCTGAAGCACTGCATAAAGGGGTCTGTCTGAGCCCAATTTACTTCCGGTGGGGAAGGGAAAGGGAAGACACCACCGGAAGCAAGGAAGGTGCTGTGTAATCATTAAGGAGCGGAGGCTTTTGGAGCTGCTAAAATGCCGGATTACCTCGGTGCCGATCAGCGGAAGACCAAAGAGGATGAGAAGGACGACAAGCCCATCCGAGGTCAGTTGACATGGGCCGGAGCTCGGAGCTGGGGCGGGACTGGAGCGGAGCTGCCTTGGCACTGGAGAGGAGCTGGATTCCCGCTCCTGGCTCTGTGCTCTGGCCCTTTTGTGCCCCTAGTAATTTAGTCTGGACACCGGCCGGATTAACTTGCCTGCCTTCTCAGTCTCCCTCATCCACTACAAGTTCTGTATTATCTGCTGATGGAAATTTTTATTCATTCTCAGCTCTCGGGTCTTGAAGAAGTCACGCACCCTGCTTGGCCTAATAGGCCTTGAAAAGTTCTGCCTGGCGGTGCTCGGTCACCTGATCCTCTTTCCTCTCCTCCTCCTTCCCCCTGTGACAGCCGGGAGCTGTCACTGTGTAGCCACAATTCTGAGACATAATTTTCTTAAAAAAATTATTTGACCAGATAATACATTCACAGGGTTCACAATTCAAGAGGCAGAAAAGATATCTTTGAAAAGCCTCGCATCCTTGGCCCCAGCCACCAACTTCTCCACAGAGGCAACTAATGTTGCTATTTTGCATATCTTTTTAGACATATTCTATACATATACAAGCAAGTGTGCTTATCTATTCCTTTTTTTTAACACAAATGTAGCATGCTGTACATACTTCAACATCTTGATTTTTAAAAAATTAATATATATTAGAGATACTTTCCTATCATGTAGTCACTTCCTCTGCATCTGCATAGTATCCTGTATTATGCGTATACAGTAATGTATTTATTATTGATGGACGTGTAGATTTTTCCAATTTGTTGCTGTTATAAAACAATGAGTACCTTTTACCTCGTTGCACTCTGAGACCAAGATGGGTCACCAGAAGCTATGCTGGAGCCACCCGCGAAAATTCGGCCAGGGTTCTCGCTCTTGTCGCGTCTGTTCAAACCGGCACGGTCTGATCCGGAAATATGGCCTCAATATGTGCCGCCAGTGTTTTTGTCAGTATGGGAAGGATATTGGTTTCATTAAGTTGGACTAAGTGATCTTCCTTCAAAGGATTATCCAAGGCATCTACCCAATGGAAAACCATGATAGTTCTTTGTACATAAAATAAACATTTAAAAAAATGAATAATCTTGTTTATGTAACTTTTACCAAGTGCACAAGTACAAATTGTAGGATAAATTCTAGAAGTGGAGTTCTGATTTTGTAAGTGCCAAACTACACTCCATGGAGATTGTACCAGTTGACACTTTAACTTACAGTGCATGAGATATGCACACCAGTTTTGGATATAACTTCTTCCCAGTAGTCCCGTTTGTAGTCTCATCTTTATGCCGTTTCTCCTTTTGTTCCTTAAGCTATTTTTAAATGTTCTTTTGGTATTTCTTATGTTTCTTCTTACTTTTCCCTTTCTTAACAACTTCAACTTTTCCTAGCACCCTTCTCCATTTACACTGTCCCCCAAAAGAAAGCATTTCCTTTCTACCTTCATCTCATTCTGCTGTTTCTTTTAAAAATATTTTAGGACACTGAAAATGTCAGATATACTCAGTATTTATTGGAAAACTTAGACACAGAGATTTATCATTTGATCTGTGCACAGTGATCTGTGTGTTTCTCTGGGTTTGTTCTTCTGTAAAAATATTAATACATTTATTCCTTGGATACAGTTATGACTAACATGTATATAGGATCTTATGCGTTTATTCATACATACCCTTTTTTTTTTTGAGATGGAGTCTTGCTCTTGTCACCCAGGCTGGAGTGCAGAGATGTGATCTCAGCTCACTGCAATCGCTGCCTCCTGGGTTCAAGGGATTCTCCTGCCTCAACCTCCCAAGTAGCTGGGATTACAGGCACCCCCCCACCACACCCAACTAATTTTTGCATTTTTAGCAGAGACCGGGTTTCACAATGTTGGCCAGGCTGGTCTTGAACTCCTGACCTCAGGTGATCCGCCCACCTTGGCCTCCCAAAATGCTGGGATTACAGGCGTGAGCCACCGCGTCTAGCCTGATTAAGTTACTTTCAATTTAAGCTTTCCGATCTCAACTTGGTCCTAATTGCAGTTAACTTTTTGTGAATCTCCTATTGACTCACTTTGTTTGAGTGGTTATTTCAAGCCTTTTACATGTTTTTCAGGTCCTCAGTTCAGTCTCTTTCTTCATGACTGATGACTTTTTTCTCTCCTGAGACGATTGAGAATCCACTTAAGAGTTCTCTTAACTTCTCTGACATTTTCCATTTTCTGTTTTAATCCTGCCTTAGAGGAAGTGGTATCAATTTTTGTTATGTGCAACCTTCCCCATTTCTGTTTTTGACCTTATGCCTTCCTCCTCTGGACTTTGTTTCTTCAGTCACTACCTCTTCTATTTGTTGTCCTATGGAATTTTTCCCTTTTGTTCTTATAAGCATGCTAATATCCATTTTATCTTAAAAACATAGTTGAGAAAATCTTCCTGCTCTCCTAAGTTACAAGTCATTTTCTTTTTTTTCTTTCACGGCCTGAAAGTGGCAGAAAGGACAGGCTTAGGAGTTAGGAAGACCTAGGTTTGAATCTTGGCTTTGAGTTTTGTCTAATAAATTCTGTGAAACTGTTTTTCCTATCTGTAATGTAGAAATAATTGTATTTACTTCACAGGTTTATATAGAATTAGATAATATCAATATGTATCTCTAATCACGGTGTCTCATACAGTGATCATCTCAATTTATAGCAGCTATTACTATTCTCCCACAGTACATTTCTTTACTATTTATATATTTATTTTTAGAGACAGTCTTGCACTGTCGCTCAAGCTGGAGTGCAGTGGCATGATCATAGTCACTGCAGGCTGGGAACTCCTGGGCTAAAACCATTCTCCTGCCTCAGCCTCCCTAGTAGTTAGGACAACAGGCGTGCACCACCATGCCATGCTCATTTAAAACTTATTTTTTTTTTTTGTAGAGACAGGGTCTTGTTATGTTGCCTAGACTGGTTTCAAATTCCTGGGCTCAAGTGATCCTCCCACCTTGGCCACCCAAAGTACTGGCATTTCAGGGGTGAGCTACCATGCCAGGCTCTTATTTTATTTTTAAACTTCTTGCACTTTAGTTTCTATCTATATAAATCAGTTGAAACTGAGCAGTAGTTTCTTAATTCCCAGATCTTTAGTATTTCTCAATCCTAATCCTTGTGTTTTTGACATTGTTGAGCCTTTGAGCTTCCCTTGGTTTCTCTTGCTGAACCTTCCCGTTTATCCGCCTGCTTCTTTTCTTTCCTTCATTGTGTCCTCACATGGCTTCTCTAAAGTTTTGTTTCTATTAATTTCATCCATTCTGGTCTTGGACTGTATGTGCTTCCCTAGTCAACCTTTTTAACCTCAAGCTAGCATCTGACCTCTAGAGCCAGATTTATCTCCGCCTTTTAGAATGCTGCATCAGGATATGCCGGTGTGTTGGATAGTCTTCATGCCTACCCTCAGGCTCAGTAATTTGCTAAGAGCATTCATAAGACTCAGCATGTAGTCATACTCATGGCTATGATGTATTTTAGTGAAAGGATACAAAGCAAAATCAGCAAAGAGAAAAGACACATGGGGCCAAGTCCAGGAGAAACCAGGCACAAGCTTCCAAGGGTCCTCTTCCAGTGGAGTCACACAGGATGTACTTAATTCCCCCAGCAACAGGTAGTGACAATATGTGTAAAATGTTGCTAACCAGAGTAGCTCGTTAGAGATTTGGCACCCAGGGTTTTTATTATGGGTTGGTAATGTAGGCATCTCTGCCTAGAACATACCAAAATTCTAGACTCCCTGAAGGAAGATAAGTGTTCTGCATAAACCCTGTAGTTTGTATAAACATTTTAAGCACAGTGAACCACCTTTTTCAGTTCTGGGAATGGTAGGAACCCTCTGAAATTGTTCTCAGACAAGAGCCAAGAACCAACCTTATAAGCAGGCCTTTCAAAGGATAGCAGTTAACTCTTCTGTGCAGATAACAGTACCACAAACTTAATAAAATTTAAACTGAACTTCGTATCTCCCTCTGCTAACCACTTTCTATTGTGACTTCTGTTGTGTGGTACCTAGGTCCAAAGCCTGGGCATCATGTTTGATCCTCTCCCGTCAGCTTCTCACATTTAGTCATTTGCCATGTGCTGTAGATTCTTCCTCTGAGGGTTTTTTTTTAATCCAACTCTTCCTTTCTCTTTTCATTGCTACCATTTTTATTTAGGTTCTTATGACTTCCGAGTGGCCTCACTCCAATTTGTTCTTCATATCTCAGCGAGCTAATTCTTCCTAAGGCACAGTTCCTATAATGTCAACTGTAGTGGCCCTGATTACCTCATTCTAGAATTTATGGTCTACTTCACTAGAGCCCCAAACCTCCATCTACTTAATTTCCTATTACCGCCTAATGTGTATACTATGTTTCAGCTTACCTGGTCTAGCTGCTGTTACCTAAGCATGCTTTTTCCTACCTCTACTCATACTTAGTTAAAAAAAAAAAAAAAAAAAAAAAAAAAAAAAGACCTGCCGTTTTTTTCCTTAAAATATGTACGATTGTATGATTGGTTCTTGTTTTTCATGATAGATATATTCTATAAAGTTGCTGTGAATGGTCAGTTGGGAAGTACTGAACATTTGATCCTAGGAGAAATATATATATACATCTCACATAGATTATAATCTTTTTTTTTTTTTTTTTTTTGAGACAGGGTCTCACTTTGTTACCTAGGTGGAAGTGCAGTGGCACAATCTCAGCTTGCTGTGGCTGTCACTTCCTGGGCTCAAGCGATCCTCCTGCCTCAGCCCCCCAAGTAGCTGGGACTACAAGTGCATACCACCATGCTAATTTTTGCATTTTTTGTAGAGACATGGTTTCGCCATGTGGTCCAGGCTGCTCTTGAACGCCTGGACTCAAGCAATCCGCCTGTCTCGGCCTGGGATTACAAGTGTGAGCCACAGCATCCGGCTGATTATAATCTTAAATCCTAAAAACAACTCATCCTGGTAGATTCATTTTTTCTTTATTTCACAAAAGAGAAAACAAAGTTCAGAAGTGTTAAGTGACTTGGCTGAGGTCACCCCACTAACAGATTCCAGAGCTGGCATTCAAACCCTGTCCACCTGGCCCCAAAGCCTGAACTGCTTGGATTACACGGCATTTCCCCTACGGTCTCCATCTTCTGGTCATCTCTGTATGAAAGCTGAAACAAGAGGGTAGAGTGACTTGTTCTTAGTTGTGAACTTAAATTTTTTACCACTCTGTCTATTTGCAAATGACCATGAAAGCACATGAGTATTGATTTGGGGATTACAAATAAATTTGAGCAGCTAAGCAAATTCAGAAATGCAGAATTTGTGAATAGAAAAGATTAACTGTAAATCACTTGAAATCCCAGATAACCACCGTAGAACACCATTTCAGGTTACTCTCCACATGTGTTTTAAGTGATTTTTATATAAAAACAAAATATATGCACATTATATCCTTTTTTTTAAACCTACCTGATTCACTGAATAGCATTTGTTGGATTGCTTTCTATGTCTATGTTCTGTTATCATTTTAAATTGCTGCATTGTATTTCCTTTTCTTTTTCTTTTTGAGATGGAGTCTCTCTCGGTCACCCAGGCTGGAGTGCGGTGATGTGATTTGGGCTCACTGCAACCTCCGCCTCCTGGGTTCAAGCAATTCTCCAGCTTCAGCCTCCTGAGTAGCTGGGACTACAGACATGCGCCACCATGCCAGGCCAATTTTTGTATTTTTGGTAGAGACGGGGTTTCGCCAGGTTGGCTAGGCTGGTCTCAAACTCCTGACCTCAGGTGATCTGCCTGCCTGGGCCTCCCAAAGTACTGGGATTATAGGCAGGAGCCACCGCACGGGGCCTGCATTGTATTTCATTGTATGACTATGGTATAATTTAACCAAGATCCTTAATGGATGTGTTTTATGTATGTACTATATAAAATAGGTCATCACGTATATTATGTACTTTTAAAAACCTATTTTCCTCCCAGTTAGATAAAAATTCCTTGAGTCCAGGAACTATTTGATTGAATATGTATCATCATAATCTTGCTTGATTTTTGACACTCACTTAAAACAATTTGAATCGAACAGAAAAAAAGCTCTAGTTTCTTTTTTAAAAATTTTAATTCTAGTTTCTTTTTGAATCTCACGTATTGTCTCTCTTCTTTCAGCTCTGGATGAGGGGGATATTGCCTTGTTGAAAACTTATGTAAGTCCTTTCAGTGTCTACAAACTATAGATGTTTTATGTTGAAATAAAAACTGTTTTGGTATTGTCCTTCCAAAATAATTAGAAGAAGTTAAGAAACCAAAAATTAAAAAACCAAACAAAAAATAAAATAAAAAGAAACAATTAGAAAAGAATGTCTGGCAGCTTCTAGTAATCTTCACTAAATGAAGTTACCTACCTAAAGTTTATAGAATAGATCAAAGTATTTGGCATGTCTCAGTTTATGTATTATTTTAATACTATTCGTGATTAAAATGTGATGCTATATTGAAAGATATTTGAAATCATTTACACAAGTTTACTATATTTAACAAGTATTACTGAATTAGTTCTGAAATGAAGTTTTAATGCATAGAAATCGATAGTTTTGCATAATTTCACACACGATTTTTTTTTTTTTTTTTTTTGAAACGGAGTGTTGCTCTTGTCACCCAGGCTGGAGTGCAATGGCGCGATCTTGGTTCACTGCAACCTCCGCCTCCTGGGTTCAAGCGATTCTCCTGCCTCAGCCTCCTGAGTAGCTGGGATTATGAGCGCCCACCACCACGTCTGGCTAATTTTTTGTATTTTTGGTAGAGACAGGGTTTCATCATGTTGGCCAGGCTGGTCTTGAATTATTGACCTCAGGTGATCCACCCGCCTCCGCCCCCTAAAGTGCAGGGATTATAGGCATGAGCCACCATGCCTGGCCATGATTTTCATTTGTTATCTTGCATAATAGTGGATTGTGTATTTAGGGGGAAATATTGGGTCAGGAATACCTCTCTACTTCACAAGCTTTGGGATAATGATAGCTATTGAAATTGTAACTTAAAAATAATTTTTACCTGTAGTTTTAATAAATGGTTGATATCCTGATATTCTAACTAAACTGACCTTCATCACCTAGGGTCAGAGCACTTACTCTAGGCAGATCAAGCAAGTTGAAGATGACATTCAGCAACTTCTCAAGAAAATTAATGAGCTCACTGGTATGTATTTTTAAATTCCCATTTCCTTCCTTTAAATGTAATGTGTGAATAATATCAAGAGTTTAAATACAGATTTTACTCCTTCATGATTACAGATTTAAAAAAAATCATTATTCTTCCTTTCTGTTAAGAAATTAGATCTCATTTAACCATATCTTTCACTGCTTTTTACAACCAGGTTTAATGCTTATGCAGTTAAGAAATAAGAAATAGTACCATCTTCTAAGCCAGTAATATTTCTGTTGGTCAAAACCCAGTTCAGTAAACTTCAGTTAACAAGTCAAAAAACTTTTTTGGATAAAAATAAGATCTCACAACATAGTTTTGCTTCAAGTAATTGGGCTCTTTCCTGGAACTTTTTGGGGGGAACTTGAATGATGAAGTTTTATAATATTTGACCTACACAAAAATGTCAAATGTGGCATTATATTTTTGGCTTGACAATTACTTTAGGGCAGGGTGTAGTTTTCAGCTGGGGTGATTTTGCCCCACCCTCCCAACCCCTCCCAGAGGACACTGGGCAATGTCTGGAGACATCCTTGATTGTCATGACTTTGAGAGAGGGTGGTGCTGCTGGCGTCTAGTGGTGAGAGGCCAGGGATGCTACTAAACAGTCTATAATGCACATGATAGTCCTCACAATGAATGATTCAGTGCAAAATATCAGTAGTGCTGAGGTTTAGAAAGCTTATTATAGGGTGATGCATTACATTTTAGTAAATTTTGTCATCTTTCTCTATGTAGGTATTAAAGAATCTGACACTGGCCTGGCCCCACCAGCACTCTGGGATTTGGCTGCAGATAAGCAGACACTCCAGAGTGAACAGCCTTTACAGGTTGCCAGGTATGCACGGGTGCTCTGTGGCAACTTACCTTTGTCTGTATTTTCAAGCACTTAATGTTAGAGTCTCAGGGATAATGCAATAGTTCATAAATAATTTTGATTCCAAATTCCAAGTAAATAAAGCTTTCTACAAAACTGGGGTTAAAATTTTATGCCTTAAACAATTCTTCAAAAATATATGAAGGCATAATCATTTAAAAGATTTAAATGATATAAAAAGATGTAGAGCAAGAAATGAAAAACTCCCTTCTCATACTTGCTTTCCCGTTGCCCTTTCCTCAAACGTAACTACTGAAATAGTTTGGCCCTCGTAATCCTCTGTGTATCTTCCTGTATTTGCATGCAAAGAAACATATCCTGATTTTTTTTTTTTTAGATATAACTACATGTTTTGGGAATCTTTGTCTTTAATATAGGTATACTTATTTCTTTTTTCTTGTGTTTTTAAAAAATTGCAAAAATTGCATAATGTGTAGATGTTAGGCTGTAACAATTTCTGTTACTATACACAGTGCTGTAGTGAATATTCGTGTTAAATGTTTCTCAGTGTATGTGCATACATTTCTGTAGGCTAGCTTACTACAAGTGGAATTCTAGGGGTCAAAGATATTATAGTTTTAAAATCCTGTGAAAATTACTTTGGCCAGTTTATACTTTTACCAAGAGGCTTTGAGGCAAATGTCCATTTGTCTGATCAATGTAAGATACGCAGTTTTCAATTTTTACACTTTTGCCATTTGAGGGAAAATAATTTTAATTTGTACTGTGTTGATTACTAGTATGATAGCTACTTCTTTTGTTTACTAAACATCTGTATTTCTTTGACTACTCATGTTTTGTTCTTGGGTTGTTTCTTGTTAATTTTAGAAACAGTTCATATATTGTACATATTGTCTTTTCTTAAGTATGCTACAAGTATTTTTCCCTAGTCACTTTTAACTTCTTGGTACCTTTTGTTGTACTAATGTTTTACATTTTTAGGAGATAAAATATACCAATATTTCCATTATACCTTTTGGGTGTTAATGTTGCTTAGAAAAACCTAGCCCAATTCAAGGCTATAAACATATTCTCCTCTGTTTATAATCCTTTTAAAAATTTTGTTTTTATTTTTAGTTCCTAAAAGCTAAAGATTATTTTTATTTCCCATCTACTCACCCTCCCTACTTCACAATTTCCATCTTTTCTCACTTTTATTTATTCACTCACTTTTTAGTTTTATCATGGTTTTTGAAGGGTTAAATAGTTCAGGCTGGGCACGGCAGCTCACGCCTGTAATCCCAGCACTTTGGGAGGCCCAGGCAGGCAGATGACTTGAGGTCAGGAGTTCAAGACCAGCCTGGTCAACATAGTGAAACCCCGTCTCTACTAAAAATACAAAAATTAACTGGGTGTGGTGGCGGGCGCTTGTAATCCCAGCTACTGGAGAGGCTGAGGCAGGAGAATCGCTTGAACCTGGGAGGCAGAGGTTGCAGTAAGCTGAGATTGTGCCACTGCACTTCAGCCTGGGGTGACAGAGTGATACTCTGTCTCAAAAAAAAAAAAAAAAGAAAAGAGTTAAACAGTTAAATAATAACAACTGTATTTCCCAATTTCTCTTCCCTAATGACACTCATTTTCACCTTTTTTAGCTGATTATTTTGGTTTTCGTCTTCATGGTTCTAATGGATATTGCTATATCTTGTGTATTATAGATTCCTACTTCTTGATTTTTTAGTTTTAGGTATTATCTTTTGGCTTTCCATCATGGAAGATGAGGATTTTGTTTTGTTTCCTCTGCCTTCACCTTGAAGGCACACCTTTCCTATCCCCTCATCCTTCCTATGTAATTCTGTTATAATTTTGGTTAGATCAGTATTCAGTGTTTATATGATTATGGCTATGTAAACACTATTCACAAAGAGCCAAGTGGTAAGCTGTGATTGCTTTTCCTTTCTTGTACCACTTCTTTTAGTGGTGGTTGTTATAACGTCTTGTTTTTTCATTTGCCTGGTTTTCTGTGCATATATTATGAACTCAACCTCCCACTTTCTCTTGATTGTCTAAACTGCTCTTCAGATGCATTAGATCTGTTCGTTTTCTCTCAGTTATACCTTAGTTGCATCTGGTGTTCTCTCGGTTTCATTTTCCTTAAGTTTTTCCCAGCACCTTCTGACCTGCTTTGGTTTGGACCAGTTGTCCTTTATGCCTGTTTAATGACAATTGTTGTCTGACTTCTCTACCCTGGAGATTGCCCTTTACCTCTCTCCTGTTGCTTGGTCTAATACATCCTCTGGTAGCTTCTTGGAAAAGGGTCAGTTGGGAGGTAATATTTTGAGACTGCATATGTCTGAAAGTGTCTTAGCTGAGTATACAGTTCTTTTCCCTTCAAAATTTTGAAGGCGTCGTTCTGTTGTCCTTTGCCTCCCAGTGTTACTCTGAAGCCATTCTGATCCTCAGTCCTGTATATGTGGCCTAATTTTTCTCTGAAAATTGTAGAGTCTTCTCTTGTTCTATTTTGAAATTTCATGGTGATGTGCCTTGGTGTTGGTCTGTTTTCATCCATTGTCCTGGGCTCTCTTGTCCTTTAGTAAGGCAAATCTTCTTGAAACTATTTGTTAATTTCTTTCCTTCCGTTTTCTTGGACCCTTATTCCTGAATTCTCTTATTTGGATATGGGGCCTCCAGGATTGCTCCTCTAATTTGCTAATCTTTCCTTCCTGTTTTTCTTCTTTTTGCCTTTTTACTTTACTTTCTATGAGCTTTTCTTTATCTTTGAATTTTTCTGTTGATGTTTTTTTCCTCCCATTTTTCTTCTCGTAGGTTTTTAATTTCTCAGGTAAAAAAACTCAGGTTTTTTATTTCAAGGCTCTTATCTTTATTCTTTCATTTTTGTGTGTGTGTTGAATGTTCTGCTCTTATATCATGGTTGTAATATGTTCTTATCTCTCTATGGTAAATTAAAAAATCTAGGTACATTTTTCTAGGCCGTATGAGGGGAATTTTCTTTTTTCTGTAAAGCAGTTAGAGGGAAACTTTTCATATAGATTTTTCATAACAGACAGACTAGCTAAAGAGCCCTATACCCCTACAAGATCCCAGGCCTTAAAGAAAGCAAAGATTATTTTGAAAAAGTTTCCATTGATTTTAGTCTCATACTCTTTGCTTAAAACTCTTGATAAAATTTGTGTATGTGTAATTTTTAGCTTGTGAATTTTTTTTTTTTTTTGAGACAAGGTCTCACTTTGTTACCAAGGCTGGAGTGCAGTAACATGATCTCAGCTCGCTGCAGCCTCTGCTTCCTGGGCTCCCACCTCAGCCTCCCAAGTGGCTGGGACCACAGGTGCATACCACCCCATGTCTGGCTTTTTTTTTTTTTTTTTTTTTTTTTTTTTTTTAATTTTTAGTAGAGACAGGGTCTTGCCATGTTGCCTGGGCTGCTCTTGAACTCCTAGGCTCAAGCCATCTGCCCACCTTGGCCTCCCAAAGTTCTGGGATTACAGGTGTGAGCCACCGTGCCCAGCCAGCTTATGAATTTTTTTAATAACAATCTTACTGATATAAAATTCAGATATCATGAGGTTCACTCTTTTAAAGTATACAATTTAGTGATTTTTAGAATATCTAGAAAATTGTGCATTGATCATCACTATCTAATTCCAGAATAGAATATTTTTGTCACCCCAAAAACAAACCCAATACCCATTAGCAGTCTTCATTCCCGTCTCTTTCCAGCCCCTGGCAACCATTTATCTACTTTCTGTTTCTATGAATTTGTCTATCCTGGACATATCATCTAAATGGAATCATATAGTACATGGCTTCCTTCACTTAGCATATTTCAAGGTTCATCCGTATTCTAAAATAGATGGAACTTTTTATGGCCAAATAATATTCCAGTCTAATTTCTCTATCTGTATTCACTATTGGTGAGACATTCTTCTCATCATTCCTATAAACTCTTTAGATATGGTTTCCTTTAGCTTTTTGAAAATATTTCTTGTACTGATTTAAGGTTTTTGTTTGACTGGGCGCAGTGGCTCATGCCTGTAATCCCAGCACTTTGGGAGGCTGAGGCAGGTGGATCACTTGAGGTTGGGAGTTTGAGATCAGCCTGGCCAACATGGTGAAACCTGTCTCTACTAAAAATATAAAAATATTAGCTGGGCGTGGTGGCAGGCGCCTGTAATCCCAGACACTTAGGAGGCTGACGCAGGAGAATTGCTCGAACGTGGGAGGCGGAAGTTGCAGTGAGTCAAGATCGCGCCACTGCACTCCAGCCTGGGCAGCAGTGAGATTCCGTCTCAAAAAAAAAAAAAAAGTTTTGTTTAATAACACCAACATCTAGGCTTCTTAAGGGACAATTTCTATTGACTGATTTTTTTCCCCTTATGTATGAGCCATAATGTCATACATAAGGGAAAATGCATTTCATAATGTTTTGCATCTCATAACTTTTTGGTGATAACTAGACATTTAAAATAATGTAATGTGTCACCTCTGGAAATCAAATTCTTCCTTTCCCCAGGGTTTGGTATTATTGCTGTTTGTTGTTCTTGTTTTTCCTTTCAGGTTTTTTGGTCAGCCTCTTTTTTTTTGGTAGAGAATGGGTATAATTCTTCTTCCCTAGCAAACATGGTTGGTAACAGAAAACAGAGTCCTTCACACAATTATGCTATCAGGACAAAGCATTCTTTTTTAGCCTTGACCTCCTGGGCTCAAGTGATCCTCCAGCCTCAGCCTCCTCAGTAGCTGGGACTACAGGTGCATCCCACCACACCTGGCTAAGCCAAAGCATTCTGTACCTTACTTTTAGCTCTACCTATGTGCGCACTCCACAGGCTATTTTTGTATTTCTCTGTAATTCTTGCTGTGGCTTATGTAGCAGCTTTCTAATGTGAGTTCTGTTTTTTGTTTTTGTTTTTCTTTAGTAGATAGATACTATAGAAGGGGAAAGGCGGTTGACTATTTTATACTGTGATGTGCATGGCATTATAAATTCATTTTTACCAGGCCATATGGAAATGAATATAATTAAGTTAAAAATAGCTTCTACTGGCCGGGTGCAATGGCTCACGCCTGTAATCCCAGCACTTTGGGAGGCCGAAGCAGGTGGATCACTTGAGGTCGGGAGTTTGAAACCAGCCTGGCCAACATGGTGAAACCCCGTATATATTAAAAATACAAAACAATTAGCCGGGCGTGCTGGCGCATTCCTGTAATGCCAGCTACTTGGGAGGCTGAGGCAGGAGAACTGCTTGAACCCAGGAGGCGGAGATTGTAATGAGCCGAGATCGCACCACTGCACTCCAGTCTGGGCTCCAGAGCAAGACTCTGTCTCAAAAAAAAGAAAAAGAAAAAAAAACAAGCTTCTACTGCCTCAGTTAAAAAAAGAAAAAAGTAGCAAAAACAATAAAAATGGATTTAAAGTCCGGGTGTGGTGGCTCACGCCTGTAATCCCAGCACTTTGGGAAGCTGAGGCGGGCGGATCACCTGAGGTTGGGATTTCGAGACCAGCCTGACTAGCCTGAGGTTGGGAGTTCAAGAGAAACCCCCTCTCTACTAAAAAAAAAAAAAAAAATACAAAATTAGCTAGGCATGGTGGTGCATGCCTGTAATCCCAGCTACTCGGGAGGCTGAGGCAGGAGAATTGCATGAACCCAAGAGGTGGAGGTTGCAGTGAGCCAAGATCACACCATTGTGTTTCAGCCTGGGCAACAAGAGTGAAACTCCATCTCAAAAAAAAAAAAAAAAAAAAAAAGAAAAACGGATTTAAAGTATAAACTCAGGAAAAGAATGAAAACCCATTTATTACTGAATTTGGTGTAAGACAAGATGACCATCTTTTTGTAGGGAAAATAAAAACGAGAGCAACTTAAGATATACAGGAGCATCACTAATAATAAAGGAATACAAACTATGGAAATCAAGAAATCAGAGAACTTCTTAATGATGAGATATTTGGGTTTAATTTTCCAGGAGAATGTATTTGAAAATTTTATGACTTGGCTAAAGTCGAATGGACCTTTGGAGTTGGGTATAGAAAAGGATCTTTAACAGTGTCCCAGTTTCTGTAGTTCTAGTTTATACCTGTATATTGCACACTCAGGATATAATCTAGTTAGTTGAATTCATTATTAGTGGCTTAGGTTCCTTATTCTAATCAAGCTTTTTGCTGTGTTAGGTGTACAAAGATAATCAATGCTGATTCGGAGGACCCAAAATACATTATCAACGTAAAGCAGTTTGCCAAGTTTGTGGTGGACCTTAGTGATCAGGTGGCACCTACTGACATTGAAGAAGGGATGAGAGTGGGGTAAGATTTCTATTTACAATAAATACTTTTCTTTCACTAAGGATACTGTCTCACATTCATATCCTTGGCTTTGTAGTGAATAAATGGACTGAGTTCCTTGGAATACCAAAGGATGATCTAGTAATGTACTATAGTTGAAAATTCTGTCTTCTGCATCTGCTTCCTAACTTCCCATCGGCTTCGCTGACTCCCCTACTCCCACTGTTGTTTATTATGAATGGCTTCAAATTTCAGAGTTGAGGTTACCAGTCCATTTAAGGTAACATGGTATAGGTTGGGGGAGTACTTGCTTTAGGATAGTTGTGATGCTAAGTGTGTTAATGTCTATAGAATACATAACAACTCACTTAGTAAATTAAAAAAAAATCTCCCCTCCCTCCTCAAAGGTTTGATTGCTGTTGGATAGGTTGTTTGCGACATTAGACATGTAGTTTAGTATCCTCAGATTTCATGCTCTCTTTATTTCTCTTTATATAATTAGGGACTCTGTCTCTCTCTTGTTTTCTTAAAGTATGGTTTTGGGGATAAAGGACTAAACATAAAAGCACTTTGAAAGCTTAAAGAATGTATTAATGACTATCTTTTTTACTTCCTTAGCGTGGATAGAAATAAATATCAAATTCACATTCCATTGCCTCCTAAGATTGACCCAACAGTTACCATGATGCAGGTAAGAAACTATGGGAGGGAAAAGGAAGGCTATGTCTTTTTTTTTTTTTTTTTTTGAGGCGGAGTTTCACTCTTGTCCAGGCTGGAGTAGAATGGTGTGATCTTGGCTCACTGCAACCTCTGCCTCCCGGGTTCAAGCAATTCTCCTGCCTCAGCCTCCCGAGTAGCTGGGATTACAGGCACCCGCCACCACGCCCAGCTAATTTTTGTATTTTTAGTAGAGACGGTGTTTCACCATGTTGGCCAGACTGGTTTCGAACTCATGACCTCAAGTGTTTGGCCTGCCTCAGCCTCCCAAAGTGCTGGGATTCCAGGCGTGAGCCACTGAGCCCGGCAGTATTTTATATATATATTTTTTGAGACAGAGTCTCAGCCTGTCTTTATTTTACTAGTTTGTTTTTCATTCATTAGTGTCATAACAAGTTAATACAGCAAGTAGTTCCAGGGCACTGGGCAATGTATTCAATTTTTATTAAAATTCTCACTTGTGAGTTTTTCTTTTAAGGTATTAGGTCTATTCTATTGAATTTGGACAGTATCCAAAAAGCCTGTGACTGTATGTTGTACATTTCTGTCCCTCTCTTAGGTGGAAGAGAAACCTGATGTCACATACAGTGATGTTGGTGGCTGTAAGGAACAGATTGAGAAACTGCGAGAAGTAGTTGAAACCCCATTACTTCATGTAAGTAGCTGAGTGTTGTATTTAAATTTCTTTGTATAAAGATGTCTTTTGTGTATTGAGCACTAAAATTGCTTGTATATTAGATGGCTTTTAATATTTTCCCTAATGAGAGTTTTTTGAGAGGGTGGAGAGAGGAGGTGTGGAGAGTTGGTAAGTTCTAGGGGAGAGCAAGCAAAAAGGATTGAGTGGTCAGGTATATTTAAAAAAGAAAGATCTGCTGTTTACAGTGACAGAGGAGGCACAGTGTAACCTTTAGCAATATGTTAAATATGTTACAGGCTATTATAGAAGAAACTGGTTCTTCAAAAGACATCGAGAAGAAAGGGGCTTAAATTGAAGCAGGTTAAACTTGGGAGGATAATGGAAAACTAGGATACTGAATACCAGATAATTTTGTTCCTTAAACACCATAATTTTTTTTAAATTAGGAAAATATTTTAAGACTGGATAATGGAAGTGCTTTTTAAAAGCCATTTAGTCTTATGTATTGATAGAAGTCCAGTTTAGAACTTATGTCTTAGAATAAGTAAAATTTCTTATTTAGTTCAAGTATGTATATTGTGGACTTAATAATTTTGATTTAAATATTAAAGTATGGTTTTCAGGATAAAATACTAAACATAAAAGCACTTTGTTGATTTAGAAGTAGTCTGATTTTTGTTATACAGAAGTGGTAAGTGTGAAAATTGTGTCTCTATCACAGCCAGAGAGGTTTGTGAACCTTGGCATTGAGCCTCCCAAGGGCGTGCTGCTCTTTGGTCCACCCGGTACAGGCAAGACACTCTGTGCGCGGGCAGTTGCTAATCGGACTGATGCGTGCTTCATTCGAGTTATTGGATCTGAGCTTGTACAGAAATACGTCGGTGAGGTAAAGTAAATTTATCAAAGAATATATAGCCTTGTGAAAGATTTTACAGTATGAATGAAATTAAAAATGGCACTTCTGCATTGAGGGATCCAGACCTGAAATTTCTTTTTTCTTTTGTTGAGACAGAGTCTCATTGTGTTGCCCAGGCTGGAGTGCAGTGACATGATCTCAGCTCACTGCAGTCTCTACCTCTCTGGGCTTAGGCGATCCTCCCATCTCAGCCTCTCAGGTAGCTGAGACCATGGCTACATGCCACCACACCCAGCTAATTTTTCTATTTTTTGTAGAGAGGGGTTTTACCATGTGGCCCAGCTGGTCTCAAACTCCTGGGCTCAAGTGATCCATCTGCTTTGGCCTCCCAGAGTGCTGGTAGTATAGGCAAGAACCACCACGCCCGGCCTGAGACCTGAAATTTCTTGATTGTAATTAGTAGTTTAGAAGCTGCCTTTGTGGTCATTTGGAGATAGGCAACCACTTAAAATTTTAACCAGTATGCCCCCTCCTCAAAAGGGTGACATTTTCTACAGATGTGGCTTTTCTACGGAAATGCCTGGTAAATTAATTAAAAAGTATACTTTTACTTCAGGGGCAGTGTTTTCAGTCCTAATGAGAAAGTGAGAACATAGGTTGTTTTTATGTTTGTAGACATACATATATATATATATATATATATATATTTAGAGAATAAGTCTAGGGCTATATGTATTGTATCTGAAACCTGTTGATGATTCGTATATTTACAATAAGAATTAGCTACGGAGCTGCGTGAGTTGAGGTATCCTTTTATTCCCTAACTAAAACTTGCAAGTCAAATTCAATGATCAGGAATTCCAAGTGATAGATCAGATGCTTTTATTTACTCAAGTTTTACTAATTAGAATGGTTCCTTTATTTAACTATTAATTTGACCTCTTCAGATCTGAAACCTATTGCTATTTAATAGATACAGAATCATGAAAATGACTTAATATTTTAAGGCTGGCAAGATTAATTTGGTGGACTGGGGAGCAAACTTCAGTCTTTTTTAAAAAAAGTTTAGATAGGCCAGGCACGGTGGCTCATGCCTGTAATCCTAGCACTTTGGGAGGCAGAGGCAGGCGGATCACCTAAGGTCAGGAGTTGGAAACCAGCCTGACCAACATGGAGAAACCCCGTCTCCATTGAAAATAGAAAAAGCCGGGTGTGGTGGCGCATGTCTGTAATCCCAGCTCCTCGGGAGGCCGAGGCATGAGAATCGCTTGAACCCAGAAGGCGAAGGTTGCACTGAGCCAAGATCGTGCCATTGCACACCAGCCTGGGCAACAAGAGTGAAACTCTGTCTCAAAAAATAAAATTAAAATAGCTGCGCGCAGTGGCTCACGTCTGTAATCCCAGCACTTTGGGAGGCTGAGACGGGTGGAACATGAGGTCAGGAGTTCAATGCCAGCCTGGCCAAGATGCTGAAACCCCGTCTCTACTAAAAATACAAAAATTAGCGGGGTGTGGTGACACATGCCTGTAATCCCAGCTACCCGGGAGGCTGAGGTAGGGGAATCGCTTGAACCCAGGCGGCAGAGGTTGCAGTGAGCCGAGCTCGCACCACTGCACTCCAGCCTGGGCGACAGAGGAAGACTCCATCTCAAAAAAATAAAAAAATAAAAAACGTTTAGGTAATAATGGGTGAGAATACTGTTAGGAATAAATATTGAAAAGTTTGAAGCATAACTTTTTACTTATTTTAAAATATTTTGAAACCAATTTTGAATTAATAAATCATTTTTCTCATTAGGGGGCTCGAATGGTTCGTGAACTCTTTGAAATGGCCAGAACAAAAAAAGCCTGCCTTATCTTCTTTGATGAAATTGATGCTATTGGAGGTGAGAATGATACGTTAGAGAACTGCTTTAGGATTCAGTTTCATGAAAGCTGTAAAGTGATATGTCGTGATATGTTAATCTTGTACAGAATTTTAACTCCAACTCTTCTATGAGCTCTGAAACAGTGGCGCCACAGATCTAATAAGTAGTAGTGCTAAACTATAAAGGCAAGAAGACACATTATATACCATTGTCATTTTTTCAAAGCCTTTATTTTTGTGCTATGGGTTGAATATCCCTTAGCCGAAATGTTTGAGAAGTGTTTTGGAATTCACATATTTTGGATTTTGGCTTTTGAAGTACTTGCATTATACTGATTGAGTATCCCAAATCTGAAAACCTGAAATCTAAAGTGCTCCAATGAGTATTGCTTTTGTCATGTTGGTGCTCAAACTTTCAAATTTTGAAGCATTTTGGATTTTGCATTTGCAAATTTGGGATGCTCAGTCTATATCTGATTTCATTCATACAACACCTATTTCCATACTTTAAACAACTCGTAAATTGAGAAGTATCATCTAATGTCATAAGAAAGCACTGGGGCATAATTTAATTGATGGTGGTTTTTCTTAGTGCACATAAAATAATGTTCTTGTTGGCTTCACAGATTTGATGAAATACAGTATTAGCCATGAAATCTAGACTTTTTTTTTTGTTTTAAGAAACAGTCTCACTCTGTTGCTCAGGTTGGAGTTCAGTGGCATGATCTTGGCTCACTGCAACCTCTGCCTCCTGGGTTCAAGCAATTCTCATGTCTCAGCCTCCTGAGTAGCTGCAATTACAGATGCCTACCACCATGCCTGGCTAATTTTTGTATTTTTAGTAGAGACGTGGTTTCACCATGTTGGCCAGGCTGGTCTCGAACTCCTGAGGACAAGTTATTTTAACTAATCTCTGAGCCTCAGTTTGCTCATCTTATAAAGGGAATAATTGTTGTCTTGTGTACTTCATGAGTTTTTGAGAGGTCCAAATTAAGTAATAAATGTGGTAGACTTTGAAAACACTAAACTGCCCCATAGGCAGTTTAAAAAACGTTAAGTAAATCTGTGATGAATACTTTTGAAAGCAAAGATTCACTTTCTAATTAGTTTTATATAAAGCAAGCTGTTCTTACAGGATTTGCTTCAAAGTGGGATGTCACTTGTGCCTGAGGACATGATTTGAGCTGAGATTTTTGGTACTTTCAGGTCATGCATAGTGCTACTCTTGAGTGGACTTGAAGAGCTTATCTTTCCTTTTGTCTTCTCAGGGGCTCGTTTTGATGATGGTGCTGGAGGTGACAATGAAGTGCAGAGAACAATGTTGGAACTGATCAATCAGCTTGATGGTTTTGATCCTAGAGGCAATATTAAAGTGCTGATGGCCACTAACAGACCTGATACTTTGGATCCAGCACTGATGAGGCCAGGGAGATTGGATAGAAAAATTGAATTTAGCTTGCCCGATCTAGAGGTAAGAAAACCATTTCATTTTAGGAAAGGGATTTTTGAAGTTTTTTCTTCCTGTGATTTTTTTCCATTTTAATATTTGTCAATTTTCTCATTTTTAGGGTCGGACCCACATATTTAAGATTCACGCTCGTTCAATGAGTGTTGAAAGAGATATCAGATTTGAACTGTTAGCACGACTGTGTCCAAATAGCACTGGTAAGTAGAAAGTTCTTGCTTATATTTGCTGGTCTGTCTGCTCAGGCTGCTTTAATTAAGCCCGTTTATTTTCTTTTTGTTTGAAAGGTGCTGAGATTAGAAGCGTCTGCACAGAGGCTGGTATGTTTGCCATCAGAGCACGGCGAAAAATTGCTACCGAGAAGGATTTCTTGGAAGCTGTAAATAAGGTCATTAAGTCTTATGCCAAATTCAGTGCTACTCCTCGTTACATGACATACAACTGAACCCTGAAGGCTTTCAAGTGAAAACTTTAAATTGGAATCCTAACCTTATATAGACTTGTTAATAACCAATTCATAAACAAATAAATGGCTTCAAAATTGTATGCTTTTTTCCATATCTCTTCTTGTAATATAATAAAAGGTGATTTCTAATGTTATTAGGCAGAAAAGCTTGTTAGAATATATTTTGACTATTTTTTTGACCCACACCCGTTTAAGGATTTCACATCATACAAAGCGCTTGCTTAGATGGCTTCTATCCTAGGCATATGCTGGCCGGGTGCTCTACATATAAATTCTCATTGTATCCTCCCATCTGTCCACTGAGGAAGATTATCAAATGGATCTTCATCCAATGGATGCATAAACTTTCCTACTTACTTGTAGTGGCAAAGCTGGCTTTCAAGTACAAGTTTGTTGGCTCCATTACCTATGCTCCTATTATCCGCTTCTGTCCCGCAACAAAGTAGCTCACTTAGGCGTATGACCACATGCATTATGATAGTTTCCCACCACCATATTGAATAATAAAAGCTTTGGCCAAAGCTTTTTTAAAGTAGGAGAAACATTGGATGTATATGTTTTGCATTGCCATTTGATTTCAAATTAATCAGGAAGAATTAGTGATTTTAATGAGCAGTAAAGTGGTGCAATAAAGCAGAAAGAAAAATGTTCAGCCAGAAGTGAAAGACTAGTAAAAAAAGAAAAAAAAATATTTGTACATATGATCTAATTTAGAAAGTCCAGAATTGGCTTCATACAGAAAAGTGATTACTTTCATTTTACAAATTACTTTAAAATTTTGGTAAAGTTTCTGTTAGGCTTCTGGTCTACAGTGAGGTATTTTAAAAATAAAGGTTATATTAGAATCCTCAACATCTCTTTAAAATTACCTCCTGTGTAACCACCACCAAATCCTATCTTCTACCACAATTACCCCTTCCCCCAATGCCAAGACCAAAGCACAATAATGAATATTTTTATTGAAGTTCGATATTCATAAATAAGTTGCAAAATAAGAGTTGGATATATTTTTAATTCACAATAGAAAAAGTTGACAACATAGAAAATGCTGCTTTGCACTGAAATACTTAAAATTATGAAAGTTTTCAAGTAAAGAAATTAAAGCCTTTTATAAAATCCAACCAACATTCTTGATTTTTCATTTTTATGAACTTGATCAGAAAAATTCATCTTTTTTAACCCTGCCCTAATTTTTCTTGAGGAATTAAATAGAGCAAACTATTTTCAGGTTATGCTTACAATAAAATATACTTAAGAAAATGACTGAAGATGTATGTTTTTGAATGTTTTGATTAAATAAATGTACACATTTAGAACACACTCTGAAGTCTTTCCACTTTGTCATGGCCACGTGCTCATATATACCAATTAAAGACAACTCGAATTAGATAATGTTGAGCACACTCTGTTCTAACGATACAGAGTGACTATCGTGATAATTTAGGTCCATAAGGAAAATCTAATCGGCCACACATCAAATGTAAAATCAACTACTTTAAAAATTTGGGTTTTTCTGTCAAGGCATATTTATGCAGGTAGCATCAACATTGCCTAGGTCAGCATGTTTGTACTCAAAGAGATGAAACAGACATTTACCAGTAACTTCCTCCACCTAAAATAGATGTGTCTATATACATGTGTGTAGATGCACATATATATATATACATGTGTCAGGGTGCTGATAAGTTAGAATACAAAGGATTTATGACTTTAGAAAAATATACCGTAGAATCCTGTTTAAAAACTTCTTAGTGTTAAAAATGTGATTAGGTGTATTAAAAAACTCCGTTTTCATGATGCTTCTGAGGTTTATCTGTTACGTAAAGTGAAATGCAATACACCAGTATAATGAAAAGCCTGGTACAGCTTTCTCAAAGGCCAGGTGGAGTTTTAAGATGCTCAAACTTGATAAAATCTAAGTCACTAAGCAGGCACGTTACCTGGTGTGGTGCTAACTTTTACCGTTGTGTTGCTGGGATTGGAGGGGTTTCAAAACCATTGCATGCATTTTGGTTAGCTGTATGTTTGAAGAATTCAGTAATACTTTTATAGTTCTCAAACTTTTATGAGCATTCAAAACAGTAAGAATCTAAACATCGTGAATCCTAAAGGCACTCCTGAAAGGTAAGGTGCACTAAAAAGGACCAATAGCATTTTTTTGCACTCAGTAAAGCATACAGGCTCACACCAAGGAAGTTCGGTTTCATTTTAGAATTTAAATTGATTTACTATCTTTAAAGGGGCAGACATAAAAGAGCCTTCCCCACCACCTGCTCTTCCCTCCCTCATCCCCACACAAGGGCACACCCCCACCCCCCCAACACACACACAAAAACACACCCACCCACCCCAGGACAGATTCACTAGGTTTGCTACCCTCTCTTTTCTTCATCCACGCAAGAGAGCAGACTCATTTTCTCAAAGTGTACACTCAGAGGCTGGTACTGTCTTTCTCTGCTAAACAGGTAAGGACACAGGATCAAACCACACAGAGTGGATGTTTTAGATGTTTCCTGCAACTACAAAATGAGCTATTCCAGGGCTTGAAGAGGATCCATACCCTTAACAGTTTCTTGGGGTTCCACTGCAGATGAGATTGGCAATTGGGATCCCATTATCAGCTGCCATATACTAATACAGAGTCAGTGTCTAAGACATAGATTGGAGTTTCCTGGGCCCTGGTTCACAAATGTTTTCAAACATATTCCAACGATTCATGAGACATAGATCAACCACTGTCATACTGCACGAGATTTCAGAAGGTCAAAGGACTTTTCTTTATGGGACCTTCTTCAAAACAGTGCTTTCCCATATATTGCCATAAAATAAGGCTAGTGCTTAGATTATGTAGATTATGCCCATTTTGATAGGACAATATGAACCTGAATTTGAATCAGGGTGGAAAAACATAGAAGATACAGTAGCAGCTATTAAGGCCCAGAAAGAACAGGTGGGCTTATATATTATTTCCTTGAAAGCCAGAGACGAGACTGTAAGACAAAAAAGTCAGGAAATTTTTGCTGTATGAAATAATTGAGTAAAACATTCTGACGTATTTACATATGGATGAAATGTATTTTGAAATGCACTCGTTCTCAGATGCTAAGCAAAGTGATAAAACAAAAATATATTTTCCCACCTTAAGACTTGTGCTTTTAATATACATAACAATTCTATTCAAAACAGTTTAAAAGTTCAACAGAAAAGTTAAATACAAATGTATAAGACAAATACCTTTTTTTATACACTACTTTTTTTTTTTTTTTTGAGACGGAGTCTCGCTCTGTCGCCCAGGCTGGAGTGCAGTGGCGCGATCTCGGCTCACTGCAAGCTCCGCCTCCCGGGTTCACGCCATTCTCCTGCCTCAGCCTCCCGAGTAGCTGGGACTACAGGCGCCCGCCACTACGCCCGGCTAATTTTTTTGTATTTTTAGCAGAGACGGGGTTTCACCATGTTAGCCAGGATGATCTCAATCTCCTGACCTCGTGATCTGCCTGCCTCGGCCTCCCAAAGTACTGGATTACAGGCGTGAGCCACTGCGCCTGGCCTGTACACTACTGTCAATCTATCAACCATAGTATCTGCTAAGTGGAAGGCTGGTGCTAAAGAATGTGCAATAATTTTTTTTTTTTTTTTTTGAGATGGAGTCTTGCTCTGACACCCAGGCTGGAGTGCAATGGCGTGGTCTCGGCTCACTGCAACCTCCGCCTCCTGGGTTCATTCCATTCTCCTGCCTCAGCCTCCCGAGTAGCTGGGACTACAGGTGCGCGCCACCATGCCCAGCTCACTTTTGTATTTTTAAATAGAGACAGGGTTTCACCATGATGGCCAGGCTGGTCTTGAATTCCTGACCTTGTGATCTGCCCGCCTTGGCCTCCCAAAGTACTGGGATTACAGGCGTGAGCCACCGCACCTGGCCGAAGTATTTTATAACATAGTTTAAAATCCTTAAATTCTACTTAAATGGCTGAAATGATATTAGCTCGTTTACAAAAGTTTCTAGTGTAAGCTGAGGTTCTGCAACTACATGCTCTTTCAGAAGGCAGTCCGTATCAGAATGCAGATGTATCTGATCTCGTGATGATTGCAAAGGAAATAACTAAGCCAATCTAAATTTCACTCTAGAATTAGTTAAAGTTTTGATTAAAAGGAGGAGTTTATTTTGAATTAAATTAGTAAAGAGAGTGAGAAATCTGATAGGAGTTAACATCAACACATACACCACAGGCTTTGGTTGCAAGTAGGCCATGCTAACAATTCTACTGGGATCTGACTACTTTCTCCTGGCAGTATCTTATTCATGAAAGCTATAACAAGATGTCAATAAGACAGCATATTAAAGAAAAGACAAACTCACTATCAGCAGGAACTCTTAGCAGAGGAGGCTTTAGACAGGTTGGCTAATGCCTGTGCTTTGATTTGTAGTGAGCTGGTAATTACAAACAACTGAAAGTGACAAATTGGTTTAAAGGTATCCTCCTCCAACCTTTGACATTCCATGTTTCTGTGGAATGAGTAAGATGAGCATTATGCTTACTCCTAGGCTGAACACTGAGTTTGATGTATAATGAACTGATAGCTGTTATGAACTTCTAAGGAAGATTTAAGTTATATGTGGGGGTTAGTTTTCTTAAAAACATGGTCTTTAATGCTACTTCATGATTAGCAACAATAGCAAAGTTTCTAAGGACTTATACTGGCCACAGTTGTGACAATTTGAGCATCGAAAAGAACATAATGGATTGAAACCCATTAAAACTATAAAAATTCACAAGACCACCATCACACCAGAAAAGGGAAATCTAAAAAAAAAAAAAAACACTAATTTGTCACCATCTAATAAACCAGTTATTTACTTTGAAGTTGATAATTAAATGAAAATAATAAAGCATTCAACCTGCCCTTCTGGTAGAACTGTAGGTAAGGATGACCAAATAGCTCAAGTGGAGAAGGGAAAGCTTAGTTCACATAGAATAACCAACTAACAAACGGAGAAGAAATGAAAGAACTAGACAACCAACTCACAAACTTTAACAAAGTTAATGATTTAGGCAAGAATTACCACCTAATGTTAAAACTCCTGGGTAAATGGTAATTCATTCAATGCCAAAGGAATACCACACAGATAAGTCTGTAGTCACAAAGGGGAAAAATCTAACTGGATGATCAGACTGTCATGCTGATCCAGTAATCAAACTTAGATCAATAGATTAGTTAATGGTAGATCAACTAGATATTACGTTTTCTGAAGTGATGCGATATGAAGCATGTATCTTATCTATGATATAATCTAGCACAAAATGTTTTAACTTGAACCTATAAAGGCTTTAGATATAACTTCCAGATTGCAGGTAGTACAGGCAATATAAAAACAAGTTAAACAACACCATGAAAAAGAAACTAGGCAAATTCACAAGACAGGATTCTACAGGACCGCTGCCCCAGTCTCTTTAACAAGTCAATGTCATAAAAAAGGAACTGTGCTAGATTAAAATAGATGTAAGGGACTTTAAAGGACATGACCAGTTGCAATGTAAGGTCATAGAATGAATATCAGTTTGCACAAACCAACTGCAAATCTGGGGACAATTGGGGAAATTTAAATATGGTCTAAGATCAAAAATGTGCTGGAATGAGAAAGTGGAGATTGTTGATTAAAGAAAAATCGGTTATAAAACACTATAGATGTGGTCTTACTTTGGTTAAAAATGTAAATGTATATGTATGGAAAAAGATCTGGAAGGATATTAACAGTGGTAATCTCTGAGTGGTGGAAATATGTTTTATGTTCTTATTTTTGCTTGTCTACTTTTTTAAAATGTCCTCAATGCATTTATACTGCTTCTATAATAAATAAAAGGTTATTTTAAAACAAGAACTTCTAGAAAATTGCAGTTCCTGTCTTCTGTTAGATAACTGATTATAGACAGTCTGTAGACCAACAAGTACAAAAACAAAGAACCACTACTTATCTGTAGATCAACAAGTACAAAAACAAAGAACCACTATGTAATATCTTATTTGTGGGTAAAATACTTGACTGAAATAAATTTTTCGATGCTTAGCTTACAAAGATAATACTAGAATGTAGCAGAAATGTCTCTCCATAATAAATGCAGGCAACAGGCCAATTTATCTTTGAAGTATTCAATTAAAAAAACACAAGTACAATACATCTTGCTAGGCGTCATTCACCCTCCAAATCAAGCCTGGACTACTAGTATTCACCCTTAGAAAAAAAAATCTAGCGTCTAGTATTTAAAACGTGTAAATTATGAACTTCATGAGAGGCTTATAACCCCATCCTAGGGTGAGGTCCTCATCTATGCCTCAGGAGTGGCAGGAGTGGCATTGGGCTCCAAGTCCTCCTGGGAAGGGGGAGCCGAGGCTTCCTGTTCAGCAAGTGCCTCTCTAAGTTGGCTGCCTAAAACTGCATCATGAATGCTGTGGAACAGCAGCTCCCATAGGGCAGGATTTTCAAAAAATCTATTCCGAGTGAGGTCATTCACAACTTGTGCTATTAAAAGAAGAAAAGAAAATTAGTCCACACTCTGGATATCAGTCTTCAACAATTAAAAAAAAGTAACACTTCCATATAGTGTTTTTTTTTTTGTTATTGTTTTTTGTTTCTTTTTTTTTTTTGAGACAGAGTCTCACTCTGTCACCCAGGCTGGAGAGTAGTGGTGTGATCTCAGCTCACTGCAACCTCCAACTCCTGCGTTCAAGCACATATAGTTTAAATATTAAAATGCTATAGTAAAAGTTTCACTCCAATTCATGTCTCCACCCTTCATAACCTCAATCCCAGGAAACTACTTTCTTGTGTGTTCTTCCAGGATTTCTCTATGTAAATATAAATAAATATAAGTATGTATTCTTATTTCCCACTTTTCTTATCCCCAAAACAGCATATTTTATATATTTGGGGATAAGAAAAGTGGGGAAAAAATATATACACAAACACACACACACACACACATATATACACACATATATAAATATATATATACACACACATATATATACATATATATATAAAATGCTGTTTTGGGGATAAGAAAAGTGGGAAATATATAGATTAATGTTATATATATATATAAACTATATATAGATAATTCTGAACCCTTTTTGCTTAATTTTTTTACCACTACATCGTATTCTATTGTATAGATGTCCCTAGTTTATTTAACTAGTCCCTTTTGTTTGGTACTTGAGTTTTTTGTTTTATAACAATGCTGTGATGATCAACGACATACAAGTGTCATTTTGAACATATGCAGCATATTGCTGGATTTTCTGTGTTGAAAGGTAAATGCACTTATAATTTTGAAAGCTAATGTTAGTCTGCCCTCCATAGGGGCTGTTGCATTTTGTGCTCCCGTCAGTAATGTCTGAGAGAGCCTGTTTTCCCATCATATGCCTATGGAGCATGGTGTCATTTATTTTTGATTTTTGGCAATCTTACAGGTGAAAAGTAGCATCTTTATGAAGATTTCATTTTCAAGCACTTTTTAAAATTATTATTATTTTTTCTTTTAAATAAAGATGGGATCTCACTATGTTGCTTAGGCTGGTCTTGAACTCTTAGGCTCAAGCGATCCTCCTACCTTGGCCTCCCAAAGTGTTGGGATTATAGGTGTGAGCCACCACACCCAGCCTCAGGCACTGTTTTACTTTTTTTTTTTCCTTTTCTTTTTTGAGACGGAGTCTTACTCTGTCACCCAGCCTGGAGAGCAGTGGTGCAATCTCGGCTCACTGCAACCTCCGCCTCCTGGGTTCAAGCGATTCTCCTGCCTCAGCCTTCCGAGTAGCTGGGACTAAAGTCATGCGCCACCAAGCCGGGCTAATTTTTTGTATTTTTAGTAGAGATGGGGTTTCACCGTGTTAGCCAAGATGGTCTCGATCTTCTGACCTCAGGTGATCCGCCTGCCTCAGCCTCCCAAAGTGCTGGGATTACAGGTGTGAGCCACCACGCCGGGCTCCTTTTCTAAAAAATCATTTTCTTTCTTTTTTTTTTGGAAACAAGGTCTCATTCTGTTGCCCAGGCTGGAGTGTAGTGGCGTGATGTTGGCTCACTGCAACTTCTGCCTCCCAGATTCAAGACATCCTCCCACCTCAGCCTCCCGAGTAGCTGGGATTACAGGCATGCGCCACCATGTCTGGCTAATTTTTGTATTTTTAGTAGAGATGGGGTTTTGCCATGTTGCCCAGGCTGGTCTTGAACTCCTAGGCTCAGGCAATCCATCTGCCTTGGCCTCCCGAAGTGCTGGGATTACAGGTGTGAGTCACAACACCCGGCCTCAAGCACTGTTTTAACCAAAATGTAATATAAAACAAAAATAGCAGGCAAAGTATTCCCAAATGATTGGATAGAGAAACAAGCAACCTGAATGATTATATGTAACTGTTTATGGCAGCCATTAGATAATTGCTACTGTGGTCATGTATATATTATAATTACTATATTTATAGCAGCCATTAATATTATAATAAATGATGGCTTATTGGCTCCTTTCCTCCAACTCCAGTTCAGGAGGGTTGTCACAAGTAACTTGTAATATGAATGCCTCCATGTGGCTAATTTCAAAGCTGGCTTTAGAGTGATTTTTCAGAAGAACAATTTTCATTTTTATAAAATAATTAAAATTAAGGACATTTCCAAGTGCAATTATTTAAATAAGAGAAACAAAACTAAAATATTAAGCTTCACCCCATCTTAGAGGTATACTCACCACTGCATCCTGCTAAGTATACATATATACCGACGTCTCCATATTCTTTTACAATCTGTAATAATGTTGAAATAAAATTTAGTTTCTCTTTACTCTGTGCCAGATGAAAGTCTCTTTTTACCAATGTTTTTCGTGATAGAAGACACTCTAATTCATTCACTTGAGCTACTTTGCTTCAATAATGATGTATTTTTGAGCTAATCAGTTAAAAATAATTTTGTATCTCTTTTGCTTTTTATGTGGACAGTGATAATTAGGGGTAGCAAAAATACTGTTAAATCTTACTTAAGTACAATAAAACTATTATATTAACTTAAAGGATATTATAATTTCAAAATAAAAAACGATTTTTTTTAGAGACAGCATCTCACTAGTTTACTCATGCTGGTCTTGAACTCCTGAGCTCAGCAATCCTCCTGCTTCAGCCTCCTGAGTAGCCTAGCATATTACAGTAATGTTTTCTAAAACGAATCTTCTTGTAGCAATACACATTAAAATATTTACAGATGATGTTATGACTGGGATGTGTTTCAAAATAAAACAAGAGAAAGTGAATGTCAGCTATAAAGGAAACCAGATTGACCATAAATTGATCATTGTTGAAGCTGAGTGATAGTTCACGGGGGTTCAATATACTAAAATCTTTACTTCTATATATTTTTGAAATTTTCCATAATCAAAAGGGGATAAATCTTTTGTTGAAAAGAGAGCCTAGCCCACCTCCCTGATTATGCTGATAGTACGACACCAGGCATAGAGGTATTAAATGACTCGTTCAAGAGGATGCTTACCCCTGCCAGAGTTTTCACTCCAACAGAATCAATAAAATTGACTTGAGTGAAATCCAAAATGACAGTGTGGACGTTATCCCCTGGGGGCATAAATCTTTGCATTTCCTCAGGAAATGTGCTTTTGATCACTATTGGGGGATATTTTACTTCACCATCCTCTTCTTCAGGCTTGGTAGCATCCTCTCCATCTACTTCTGCATCCTGTGTCAAAAATTAAACCAAACCAGAATTTTATGAACAACTCACATTTCTGGTTGTGAGAAAGATTTATAATGGAAAATCTGCTCTTGTGTTCTTAAGCTACTGACTCTACCAGACCCCTTGTAAAATATTTGTCATATTCTAGCCTTGTAACTGAACAAAAAAAGGATGTATGTATAACATTCCATTTTAAGTCAACTTCTCTCTTTTTCCTTCTCCTCCTTTTTTTTCTTGTCCAACAAAATCCACTCTCCTCAGTTATCCTATCCATTTTCTGCTAAAGTCTAAAATAGTTCCATTAACTTTAGTATGATGGGTCACACATTAGCATGCCTGAACAGCAAAAGCCACCTTTGAGCTTTTTAAACTATCAGCTGAATAAATCTATGACAAAGTGCTAATGGTAAAATCTGTTAAGGTATTGTGTAATTTTTATTTTTTAAAATGATGTTTTCCTTACTTTTTTCAGAAACAGCCTCATAACTGACCTTATCAGGTGCTTGTAAAATATAGAGGATACTAAGGTGGTTTCTAAACTTTCCTCTTTTAGTAACTTCGTGCTGTGTTTAAACTTCAGTCATGAGTAAAGATGGAGGGCATTGCAGAACAAGACAGAACGGATTATTTCAATGAAAAGACCACTCACTGCTTTGACAACAGTTGCGTTGGCCATATTTGCATTTCCGACTTCCTTAGCGTACTTCCGCATGGCCTTTCTCCTTGCTCCCATGATGACTGCTGGGTTCACTCCAGTCTTTACAGAAGAGCACCATATGCAAAATCACTTCATGGCTCTCAGGGACCCACCCCAATGCCACTCCCCTTCAAATCTCCCCATTTAACTGCTTTCTGGGTCAGATTATCACCCCAACCCTTGCACTGCCTTTCCCTCAGAGGCCCTGAACTGGTTACTCCCTTACATTAGTAGCCTTTCTTATTCTCAGTCTTTATTCAAGACAACCAGAAGCTAAAATATTAAAGACAATTTTTAGAGCAGTCTTTTTCAAGTTCAGATCTGTCAGGTTGTTATATTTAAGAGACTCTGTGGGTTGACAGGGAGCTTTTCCTATATACAGCGTGGTGTAGGGTTGAGTTCTAAACATGACCAAAGGAATCTACATGATCCCAAGAATAAGAAACCTAAAATTATTTTCTCATGTTTTCTTAAAATTTTGTTTGAAAAGTAATATTATATATACGATAAGAGAGAATGAACAATGGTGATGGCTGCACAATGTTTATGTACTTAATGCGACCCACTGGACTGTATACTTTGAAAATGCTTAAAATAGTATATTTTATGTTATGTATATTTTACTACAATAAAAGAGAGAGAAACAAAGCGAGAATGAAATAGTATATACAAAGGTATACTAGTGATCCTCATATCCCTGTCAACCCACAAATCCCATCCTCAGAAATAATCAATTTCTCATGACTCACCTTTCGTTTTAATGCATTGCTATACAAGTCGCTATTTGCATAGTAAATTGGTGCATTTATTTGAAATATTTTTATTCCAGGAATTTCTTTCACCTGAAGAGTAAAATATTGCTGAATTTAACACATGGAAATATTTCAGAATCAAAACTGCATAGCTTCCCCACCCCAAATAGAAAATGAATGCAGAAGTTGCTAAGGTCCCCTTTTCAGGGCTTAGCTAAAATGATGTCACACACAGACCAAAAAAAAAAAAAAAGATAAGAAAAGAAAAAAAAAGTCACTCTTATCTACTCATGCTCTGAATGGAAGAGAACTGACAGAGACCTTTTTAACATGCACATCTTTCCATTTGTTTTAAAAGTCAGTCTTCGTTTTATTTTTACCATTAAACACAAAGAAGAAACTGAAAAATACTCAAAAACAGAAAAGAAAATGGACAGGAGATGGAAGGCTGCTGCCCAGACTGTGAGAGGCAGGCAAATAAAGTGAACAGAAGTTTACACTGGTTTGATTCACAGAAGCAGGAAGGAGCTTAAATGGACACAAGTGAAACTGAGTGAATATTTTATCAAGAACCCTTGTGGAACTCTAGGAGGCAGGCTGGAAACAAGCAATGTTGCATATACTTCTTTGGATCGAGGAAAAATATAGCAATTCTAACACCTTTACCTTAGAGTGAATTTTGTTTCCTCATATCCTAATACCTTAAAGTGAGTCTGAGAATTTCTTCCCAAGCATAAGACAAGACCGACAGACAAAACTAGTTTTAAAAGATTTTGTAAAAATCTTCGATATTCCACAGAAGAAAAGAACACTCAAAATCAAGGAAATCTGAAGCTGTAATTTTAACCATTCAAATGAAGTGGGAGAATTCCACAGCCCCACCATCTACATTTTACATGGTTAAAATTATTTTACCATTATACATTCATCAGAAAAAAACCATGCACACACAAACCATCCTTTCAGTTTCAATACTGTATAAATGTATACTTTAATTTCAACAATATATATTTATCCCCATTAAAAATGAGGAAAAATAAATATTGGAAATTGAGTAGTTAATGCATAGTATAAATTATAAAATTGAATCCATATAGTAGATCAAAGCTCAGACTTTTCACTTTGACCACTATACCTCCCATCTTACCCCTACTTTTTATCCTGGGTAAAAACAGTACTTAGCCAAGCACATCACATGCTTACAACCTTTTTAAGTGATAGAAAAAGGTCCTACCTCCTCATATGCGTCTATATCAATATACACATCAGTTTCAGGAAGCTTTCCAAGGACTTTGTAGCTTGGACTGAAGATAAAGAGTGTTAAATACCATTGTGTTGAGGCACAGCGTGTGATTTCAACAGGAGGTTGTGTATGTTTATGTCAGGTTGGGGTTTGCTGGTGCATTTGGGAATGCTTGATCCTTACATGGTGCCTTTGCAGAAGGGCTCCACACATATCACGTTCCCAGTGCCATTCCAAGCCTAATACACCCCACACACCTCATGCCACATACACATCACATGCCACACACACACATACATACCACACATGATACGCACACACCATGTACACCTCATACTACACATACACATCCCAATACCTACCTCACACACCACACACATACACAATATACATACCTACACACAATGCATACACACCACACATACAGAATACACACACATTATACGATATACCACACATATACATACACACATGCATACATACCACATGTATAATGCACAATACATACCCCCACACACATGCATACACACACAATGCACACACACCATACATACATACCTCATATCACACACAATATACACACACTACACTACATACCACACATATACACATCATACACACTGCATATATACTATGCAATGCACACCCCTCACATGCATACACACCATGCACATACATACCACACATATGCAATACACACATACCATATACACCTCATACCACACATATACACACTCCCACACACATACGCAATACACACACATACAATGTATACACACCCACATACCACACACACATACACAATACACACATCTACACATAATGCATGTACACCACACACACATATAAACACAATATACACACACATCACCCCACATATCACATACATACACACAATGCATACACACTACACACAAACACAAACAATACACACACACCACACATACACAATATACACAATCACACCACATACCATGCATACACACCCACACATGCATACACAGCACACACACTACATGCCACACACAATACCATACACAATACACACATACCATATACCTCACACCACACACACCCCTACATACATATACACACACACATGCATACACACCACACATGCAATATACAATACACACACCACACATGCGTACATACCACATATATGCACACACTACACACATAATACACATACGTGCAGACACATGCATACATACCCCCACTACATGCCACACACAATACCATACACAATACACACACCACATACCCCTCATACCACACACACACACACACCCATATACATATACACATGCATATACAACCTTCATCCAAGACACAATACACACAACACACACATGCATATACACCACACACACAACACACACATAATACACATACATACACATCACACACATATACATACATCACATACACCTCACACTTCACATCACACACACACACACACATCACGTATACCTCACACCACATTCACGATGCACATCACACACCCTATACCTCCCCTCCCCCCAACACCATACCACAAACACGATCTGGTCAGGAGAAAAGGTTCAGGCATTTAGAGGTGGAGGCAACGCTGAATTTCGCAGAGTTCAAGTTATGCCAGGGATATATGTAACACAAGTTCTCCTCAAGCCACTCAGTAGACAGAACTGTCTTTCTGCTCTAACTCTAAAGTAGGAGAGGGAATTTTTGTTTGTTGTTAGCAAGAATCACTGACTCATAGTAGGGGAGTAGTCAATTGAGGGCGTGGGGAGAAAATGAAAATCTCAAATTAGCATAGATGTTAACTTAATTTAGTCTGAATAGATTTTAAACATTATTTTTTGAGAGCCCTATTTCCTTTTTTTTTTTTTTTTTTTTTGAGGCGGAGTCTTATCCTGTTGCCCAGGCTGGAGTGCAATGGTGCAATCTTGGCTCATTGCAACCTCCGCCTCCCGGGTTCAAGCAATTCTCCTGCCTCAGCCTCCCAAGCAGCTGGGATTACAGTTGTGCGCCACCATGCCCAGCTAATTTTTGTATTTTTAATAGAGACAGGGTTTCACCATGTTGGCCAGGCTGGTCTCAAACTCCTGACCTCAAGTCATCTACCCACCTCGGCCTCCCAAAGTGCCAGGATTACAGACAGGCATGAGCCACTGTGCCTGCCCCTAATTCCTAACTCTTTGTAAAGGACCATCTGGCTCAAATTAGATACTGTAATAATGACAGATACTACTTCTTGAACACCTGTTATTATATCCTTTGAACAATGCTGCTGGGCACATTAATAATATTATAATAATAGTTAACATTATTAACAATCCTGCCATCACGTAGATGAGAAATTGAGGCTCAGTGGGGTTAGGTAAGTTGTTCAATGTCAGACAGCTTGCCAGAGGCAGAATATGGCTCAAGGTCTTTGATTTGACATTCCACAGTTTTGCTACTATGTCCTGGTGCTTCTTAGCATGAATGTCAAAGGACTTTGTAAATTAGAATATACTACACAAGTGTTAGCTGTTTTGCTGGGTAAATTTCCTCCATAAGCATTCAGAGAACACAAATGATGTGCCTGGTACTAGACTCCAGGAACATCACTTCTGCCAACAAGATGCTCACAATCTAGTGATATCTGTGGACAAATATGGCTCTGAGGACTGATTGTAGATAAGGGGCTAAGGCTCTCAGCTGAGTTTGCAATTATGAGAAAACCTCTAAGAGACTCAAAGTGCTGTCCATGTGTTGCAATCCAGTGCCACAGGGGAGGCAGAGTAAGGGATGGGCACATGGATCACAAGTACAGGAGTAGCTGAGATGGACACACGCAAGGTGCTAGGGAAGGATTAGAGCATTGTTGTGGGTACACAGGGGAAGTTGAGGTCCCTGACTGGGTGAGCTGGGCCTCAAAGGATGAGGATTTCAAATGCAGATGATGAACAGGCCTTCCTGACGACCTGCAGTGCCCTGGCACACCATTTCTGCAAGTCTAAATACTATTGCTCCCAGTGAAGGCCAAGTCCTTACTACTTCCCTAATGACACCAAGAGCAAGAAAGTCTCTTTTAATGAAATCCCATGCAGTTTTATTTGGCATCTCTTATGCTTCTCACACTGTACCTTGCTTACACCTGTTGAGGCACTTATAACTGTGTATTCTAAGTCTTTAAAAATTTATTTTTGTTTTATTATTTACTTATTTATTTTTTTAGAGATGGGATCTTATTCTGTGGCCCACGCTGGAGTGCAGTGGCCTGATCATGGCTCACTGTAGCCTTGAACTCCTAGGCTCTAGTGATCCTTGTGCCTCAGCTTCCTGAGTAGCTGGGACTATAGGGGTGCACCACTACACCTTGCCAACTAAAAAATTTTGTAGGTCTCACAATGCAATGTCTCACAACTGTAATCCCAGCACTTTGGGAGGCTGAGGTGGGAGGAACACTTGAGCCCAGGAGTTCAAGACCAGCCAGAGCATGATGGCGAGACCCCATCTCTACAAAAAATTTAAAAATTAGCCAGGTGTGATGGTGTGTGCCCATCATGGGAGGCTGAGGTGGGAGGATCCTTTGAGCCCAGGAATTCAAGGTGGCAGTGAGCTGTGACCGTACAAGTGCACTGCAGCCCATGTGGCAAAGTAAAACTCTGTCTCTAAAAACAATAAAATAAAAAAAATTTTTTTTTTGGTAGAGGCATGGTCTTATTATGTTGTCCAGGCTGGTCTCAAACTCCTCGCCTCAGCAATCCTCCTGCCTTGGCCTCCTAAATTGCTGGGATTATGGGCATGAGATGAGACACTGTGTTTGGCCTATATTCTAATTTTTTGAAGATGGATTATAAAATGCTGATTGAGGCTGGGCGCGGTGGCTCATGCCTCTAATCCCAGCACTTTGGGAGGCTGAGGCAGGTGGATCACGAGGTGAGGAGTTCAAGACCAGCCTGGCCAAGATGGTGAAACCCCATCTCTACAAAAAATACAAAAAATTAGCTGGGTGTGGTGGCGGGCACCTGTAATCCCAGCTACTCAAGAGGATGAGGCAGAGGCAGAGAACTGCTTGAACCCAGGAGGTGGAGGTTGCAGTGAGCTGAGATCATGCCACTGCACTCCAGCCTGGGCGACAGAGCATGACTCTGTCTTAAAAAAAAAAGTGCTGATTTGTCAGCTTCTGGATTTGCAAAAACTCACATCTGAGTCATTGCCTCACCACTTACTGTGATCTTGTGCAAGTTACCCAATCATTCTAGGCTTCAGCTTCCACATCTGTGAAATGGGGTTGCTGATTGTCATAGGTTTATAAGGTTATATGAAATGGCATAGAGCATTGATCTTTGCACAGAGCCAGGCACATAAGTAATTATAATAATTTGTGCCATCATTACTTCATTGTCCTTATTAACATCATCATCATGATTACGTGTCTGTCATCCTTAGGACAACGCAACCTTTGAGGGGAAGGACCATGTCTTATATACTGCACTGTCCCTAGAGTCTAGCATCTCCCTGGAAATATAATAGGCCCTCAACAAATACCTATTTAGAGAAATTATAATTTTTAAAATTTTATAATGCTAACCAAATTGTGAGCTTTGGGGGGCAGAAGCTGAACCTCTGTCATATTTATAACACATGCAAGTGCCTGAATTCAGGAATTATCTGCAGAATGATGTGATTGTCTCTTTGTTGTTGTTGTTGTTGTTGTTGAGACAGAGTCTCGCTCTGTCGCCTGGGCTGGAGTGCAGTGGCGTGATCTCGGCTCACTACAAGCTCCGCCTCCCCGGGTTCACACCATTCTCCTGCCTCAGCCTCCCCAGTAGCTGGAACTACAGGCGCCCGCCACCACGCCTGGCTAATTTTTTGATCGAGCCAGGATGGTCTCGATCTCCTGACCTCGTGATCCACCTGCTTTGGCCTCCCAAAGTGCTGGGTTTACAGCTGGCCGGGCCATGATTGTCTCTTAACTATGCCTGCTCTGAGGGAAAATGAGTGTTTCAAACAAACGGCCAAACCCAGTGCACCTCTACCCCTCTCCAGAAGTGTGCCCTAATTACAGAAGAAGCCAGCTGAAAATAAACACATACCCTGAGTGCTGATCTCCTAAACTCTAACATACAAAGACCCAGCAAAATCACCAACAAAGGATAGAACATAAAAAATATCAACTTCAGTTAACTATTATTTGAGGAAGAAAGAGAAGTAGAGCTTTTATTTTTTTCTTTTCTTTTCTTTTTTTTTTTTTTTTGAGACAGGGTCTCACTCTGTCACCCAGGCTGGAGCGCAGGAGTGCCATCTCAGCTCACTTGAACCTCTGCCTCCTAGGCTCAAGTGATCCTCCCACCTCAGCCTTCCAAGTAGCTGGGACCACAGGTGTGCACCACCATGCCCAGTTAATATTTTGTATTTCTGGTATGGATGGGGTTTTACCAGGTTGCCCAAACGGGAGCTTTTTTCTTTCTTTCTTTTTTTTTTGAGATAGGCTCTCACTCTTTCACCCAGGCTGGAGTGTAGTGGTGTGATCTTGGCTCACTGCAACCTCAGTCTATCAGGTTTAAGCGATTCTCCTGCCTCAGCCTCCTCAGTAGCTGGGATTACAGGTGTGCACCACCACACCCAGCTATTTTTTTTTGTATTTTTAGTAGAGACAGGGTTTTACCATGTTGGTCAGGCTAGTCTTGAACACCTGACCTCAAATGATCCGCTTGCCTCAGTCTCCCAAAGTGCTTGGATTACAGGAGTGAGCCACTGCACCCAGCACAAACTGGAGCATTAAAAAAAAAAAACTTGCTGGACTTTAAAATTTATGATAACCGGCCGGGCACGATGGCTCATGCCTGTAATCCCAGCACTTTGGGAGTCCGAGGTGGGCAGATTGCGAGGTCAGGAGGTCGACACCATCCTGGCTGACACGATGAAACTCTGTCTTTACTAAAAATAAAAAAAATTGGCCGGGCGTGGTGGCACGCGCCTGTAGTCTCAGCTACTCAGGAGGCTGAGGCAGAAGACTTGAACCCAGGAGGTGGAGGTTGCAGTGAGCCGAGATCATGCCACTGCACTCCAGCCTGGGTGACAGAGCAAGACTCTGTCTCAAAAGAAAACAAACAAAAAAATTTTATAACTCAAGTGAGTTCTCTAGTGTTAGAAAAATAAAGACTAAGTAAATAAAAATAAATAAAATTTATGATAAGATACCATAAAATCCTATTCAGTAAAAAAAACAAAAAACACCACCACCAGCAAAAAAATTCTCAAATTCTATACTGTAGCTTGTTAAAAGTTATAGATTTTTTTTTCTTTTTCTTTTTTTTGAGACGTGTGTCACTCTGTCGCCCAGGCTGGAGTGCAATGGCTCAATCTCAGCTCACTGCAACCTCCACCTCCTGGGTTCCAGCAATTTTCTGCCTCACCCTCCTGAGTAGCTGGGATTACAGGCACTCGCCACCACACCTGGCTCGCTTTTGTAATTTTAGTAGAGATGAGGGTTTGCCATGTTGCCCAGGCTGGTCTTGAACTCCTGACCTCAAGTGATCTGCCTGCCTCAGTCTTCCAATTCCTGGCATTACAGGTGTGAGACACCACACCTGGCCAAAAGTTATAGATATTTTAAAACCATAATGTTCACCAAAGTTCTGAGATAAAGAACTCTTACATATGCTAATAAAGTTCTTTATAAAAATGGGAAACACTTCTTTTAGATAAATACGGGCAACAGTGTTGGAACTTGTTATTAAAGGTAGTTAAATTCTTATCCTGAGTTTAGAATCCCACATATTCTTAACATTTTTCTGTTATGTCATTTGTGATGATGAAAATGCTCATTTCCCACCCTTGAGGGTGGGGAGCATCCTGACCTCCTGCAGATAAGGGGTCAACATCCTCATAAAGTGCCCTTTCAACACATCACAGTCACAACTTTAAGGTTTCATGTGATTTGCAACCATAGGCAAAACCACACTAGCTTCATTTTCATTTCCCTCTGTGTTAGAGCGGGAAGGGCACTGGCATTGGTAGAGTGGGTAGCACTTGTCAGGCACTGTGCTGGCTGTTTGCAGGCCTTGTCATTTAAGCCTTATTGTAACTATATGAGGTAGGAAGTATTAGTCTCATTTTATAGATGCAGAAACAGGCTCTGAGAGGCATGCAAAATCACAGAGCTTACAGAAGGTGCCGCCAGGACCTGACTAAAGTCCAGGCTATTTCTTTATTTTATTTTAAAAAATTTTTTGAGATGGAGTTTTGCTCTTGTTGCCCAAGCTGGAGTGCAATGGCACGACCTCGGCTCACTGCAACCTCTGCCTCCCAGGTTCAAGCGATTCTCCTGCCTCAGCCTCCTAAGTAGCTGGGATTACAGGTGCACGCCACCATGCCCAGCTAATTTTTTTGTATTTTTAGTAAAGACAGGGTTTCACCATGTTGGCCAGGCTGCTCTTGAACTCCTGACTTTGTGATCCACCTGCCTTGGCCTCCCAAAGTGCTGGGATTCCAGACAAGAGTCACTGTGCCTGGCCAGTCCAGGCTATTTCTATGACAATGTTTCCTTTTCATCTTTATGGTGATTTATCACAAAAAGGTGTTTTTTTGTTTGTTTGTTTTTTGTTAGGGATGGAGTTTTGCTATGTTGCCCAGGCTGGTCTTGGCCTCAAGTGATCCTCCCACCTCAGCCTTCCAAAGGGCTGGAATTGGGATTATAGGTGTTAGCTACTGTGCCCAGCCCATAAAGTTTTTTTTTTTTTTTTTTTTTGAGATGGAGTCTTGCTCTGTTGCCCAGGCTGGAGCGTAGTGGTGTGATCTTGGCTTACTGCAACCTCCACCTCCTGAGTTCAAGCAATTCTCCTGCCTTAGCCTCCCAAGTAGCTGGGATTACAGGTGTGTGCCACCAAGCCTGGCTAATTTTTTTTTGTATTTTTAGCGGAGATGGGGTTTCACCATGTTGGCCAGGCTGGTTTCAAACTCCTGACCTCAAGTGTTCCGCCTGCCTTGGCCTCTGAAAGTGCTGGGATTACAGGCGTGAGCCACTGCACCCAACCATATATTTTTTTAATTTATTTTATACTTTCCCTAGTGGGCTCAGCTTCCTACTAGGGAGAAGAGATAACAAGGGAAAGTGGTTCAGGGTGGAGGAAATGACAGTGGAAGGAATGCATACGATAACTTGGTGTCAGAGTTTGCTTCATGTCATTGAAACTCATGTCAGTACTTGGTGCCAAAACAAATCACAAGAGGATAAATAAACCAGCATAGCACTAGACCAGGAATGGCAGAAACAATGATGGAAATTAGGCTCTTTTAACATAACCATTGATGGGAGCATAAATTGTGACATAGAAGAGCATTTGGCAAAATTATATGGAATTTTTAAATTGGCATTTTGTTCATCTAGTCAACAGGCTACATGAGTGTTATAGCTCCCTCTCACGCTAACTAGAAATCATCAAAGGGCTCCACTTCTACCAACTTAAACTTTGGTCTACACCTAAAGTCAACATTGTCATCTCTGCCGGGACATTCACACCCATTCCAATCTGGGCACTCACCTCTGTGTTCTGTAAATCACAGTCAGCAGAGCAATGATCACAGCAGTGATCAAACCATAGTCCAATCCCAGGAACAAGGAGGACACAAAAGTGGTAAGCCAGATGGTCTAAGCAAAAGACAGAAAACTTGATGGAGAACCATGTTAAACATCCCACAAGAGTTAAACACACAAGTGTGCACACACACACATGCTACTTTTACCTTGTCTAACTGGATACTGCACATAACAACTGCATTAATTTATCTTTCTCACATTTTTCTTAGCACTAATCATATCTGCTCTATGACATATTAACAGAGCCATCACCTTTGTTACTTACCAGCTCTATTTTGCTGGTTCTCCAGAAAAAGGGGAGATCTGAGAACTGCATAAACATTCCCTTCAGGTTGACAATCACAATGGCCGACAGCACAGCCTGAAACAGAGCACATCCCCCATGCCTCTCCTCTTGTGTCCACAGAGTGTCCTTTGCTGGTTCCTCACTGTCCTCCTGCTGTCCTCCCCATGCCTTCTCCCTACTCACTTCCTATATGGCACCGATGGTAGCTTTGAAGCCATGAACACCTGGATTTTCAGGACCTGGTTAGCTAAAAGGGGCCTTGGAAAATCAGTCTTTCTTTTTTCTTTTTTTGAGATGAAGTCTTGCTCTGTCGCCCAGGCTGGAGTGCAGTAGCGTAATCTTGGCTAACTGCAACCTCTGCCTCCCAGGTTCAAGCAATTCTCCTGCCTCAACCTTCCCACTAGAATAGCTGAGACTACAGGTGGGTGCTACCACACTCAGTTAATTTTTGTATTTCTAGTAGAGACGGGATTTCACCATGTTGCCCAGGCTGGTCTCGAACTCCTAACCACAGGTTATCTGCCCGCCTCAGCCTCCCAAAGTGCCAATTACAGGTGTGAGCCACCACACCCGGCTGGAAATCATTCTTATATCCTAATAGCAAACCTGCATGGTGGCCAAGAGGTTCAGAATTAAACTTGGTACTCAAGGAATTATTTCACCTATGGTCTTTCTACATTATGATCTTCTCTACTCTATATGGTTCCTGATCTCTACTAGATTAAATATACCATCATGTAAATGTCTTATGAATGTAGACCATCTCAGGTTTTTTATGAAAGTACAAGGTCATAGAAGGTCAAAGAGAGAAGGGATGTTCAAGATCAGCCAGTCCAAACCCCGACTTTGCAGATAAGGAAACCGAGACTCAGAGGAGTTAAGATGGCTTTCCCCAGGTCCTGCAGGCAGCTGTCAGTAGGTTATAGAGCAGGATCTTGGTCCTAGCCTTGGCCCTTTCTCATACCATCCTGTGAGGGTTACAGTAAATAACCCTAATATAGCCATAAGAACATAAACAAATAAAATAGCAAAATCTCTACACATGAAAAAAACTTCACCCAAGTCCACATTACACACACCTGGGGCAATGATTCAAAGAGGAATCCAGTTGCTAATATGACCAGCAGAATCATTAATGAGGCCAAACAACCTGCAAGCTGAATGAGAGAAGACACATGGAAGGGGCTTTTAGGAGACTTGAATAAGAGGCAGGGCATAAGTTGGTTTTATTCTTTTGATAATTACTATGGGAAGATCAAGAAAATATGGATTCAAATAAGTCAACTAAACCACTACATAACCTATAGCTCCATCACACTCCCTCTCTGAAGTTTTGGTTCTTCTTATGGCTTTTAAATGGAAGCTGAAATGTTGTAATATCCTAATTAAAATGCCCTTTCCAGAGGTGGAGGAAAGATGTCTGGTGCCAACCTGAGACCTACAAGGGCCACCAGAAGAGTTCAGATAAGTGTCTGCTGTCCAATATGGGAGCCAGTAGCCACATGTGGCCATTTACTTTTTTTTTTTTTTTTTTTGAGACAGACTCTCACTCTGTCGCCAGGATGGAGTGCAGTGGCGCGACCCTGGCTCACTGCAACCTCTGCCTCCTGGGTTCAAGCGATTCTCCCGCCTCAGCCTCCCAAGTAGCTGGGACTACAGGCATCCGCCACCATGCCCAGCTAATTTTTGTATTTTTAGTAGAGACAGGGTTCACCAGGTTGGACAGGATGGTCTCGATCTCTTGACCTCATGATCTGCCCGCCTTGGCCTCCCAGAGTGCTGCGATTACAGGCATGAGCTACCGCACTTGGCCGGCCATTTACATTTGTAAAAATTAAAAGTCAGGTCTTGGTCGAACTAACCACATTTCAAGTGCTCAAGAGCCACATGTTGCTAGTGGCTGCCATATTGGACAGTGCAGATATTGAACATTTCCATCATTGCGGAAAGTTCTACTGGATGGTGATGGCATACTGCCCATACTCAGTCTCAGGCTTTCATAACAATATTCTATGTCTGAACTTTGAAGTTTACTGGTAGCCGAGTGTTGCATAACTTTCCAATGTAACTGGAGAATATACCTCTTTCCTATAGATTCAGTTCCTTGTGATTCACTTCAACCAATCATGCCTTTCTCTGATTCCCTACACAGCTCACTGGAGCATGGATCTGCAGGCCAGAGTAGCTTTGTTTGGGTTCAGAATATAATCAAAAGATTAAAATTTAATTACCACCCATATCATCAGGTCTTAGAGGCCTGTTATGTACATACCTGTGTCTTCCCACCGGTTCCCTCCTGAACAAGGCTTCGAGACAAGGAGCATGAAATTGAAAAGGTCTGGAAGAGTGAGCCAATGGAATTGCACAGTCCCAGGGCAATGAGCTCCTTTCCCATGTAGAAACAAAACACAAAAGAGATAGGTCATTCTTCAGGAAAAAAAAGCATAATAGCCCATTTAATACACATTGTCAGCACTACAGCCTATCTCTTCATTTTCCTTTCAGATGTAAGAATTTGTTCAGCATGAGTTCAAAATAGGAATTATGGCATATTTTATAGTGAGAGGGGGGAACATTTTGAATTTTTATTTTGTCAGAGATAAACGCTGGGCTCCCTGCTCAGCCTCCTTTCCAAACACACCCTCTACATAAATAACGCTTAAGAAGAAAACTGCACTAAAAGGGATCAACTATTTTTACTGCTGAAGAGAAAGTTATTGTTGTATAGGACTCTTGGCATCTTTTTAATGCCTGGGCTATTGCTCACAAATGAGTACATGCCAGTGTCTTCCTGGGGCAAGTGAGTCCTGCTCTTAGGTTTACTTTGCATATTTCTAGTTTGACAACTGCATCTCAGATGAATGTGGAGCATCTAGTTTCTCCTTAGAATACATAAGGATTGAAATAGACATTGTTATGTCAACATTATAGGTCACAGTGTTTGGATTAAATACCTTATCTGTGGCTGCGTTATAAAAGTAGGTGACAAAGAGAATATTGTGGAGTTAGTGATGAATCAGATACCCAATATTTAATGAACAAAGATAAACCTTCCTAGGGAGCAAAAACGCCCTGGAAAAACATTTAATCCTAAGCTGTGAGCTTTAAAAACAGGAGTAACATTGCAGACTGAATAAGTACATGCTTCAGATACATCAATCACCAGTACAAAAAGTTTTTCTACCAAGATAGATTAGTTCTTGTGCCTTCCATAACCGACCTTGGTTATTTATTTATTTTTTTTCTGAGGCAGAGTCTCGCTCTGTCGCCCAGGCTGGAGTGCAGCGGCGCGACCTCGGCTCACTGCAAGCTCCGCCTCCTGGGTTCATGCCATTCTCCTGCCTCAGCCTCCCGAGTAGCTGGGACTACAGGGGCCTGCCACCATGCCCGGCTAATTTTTTGTATTTTCAGTAGAGATGGGGTTTCACCATGTTAGCCAGGATGGTCTCAATCTCCTGACCTCATGATCCGCCTGCCTTGGCCTCCCGAAGTGCTGGGATTACAGGCGTGAGCCAGACATTGGTGATTGTACTGCTATGAAACATGTGCAGGAAACTGATTATCTTTACCTGATTGCCGTCAACCTGGTAGCCATGTTTATTTGCTAAGGTCTTGGCCATGGAGATGGTCACTGAAAATCCAACGATGGCTATGGCAATGGCATCTACGTACACAAGGTGGAAGAGGCTGGTGTCCGGATTGGCTGGAGGTAGCAGCCTGAAAAGTCAAGCTGCCTTTAACTTGTGTTGTGACCACAAGGGAAAAGAAAAAAAACCTTGCGACTGCAGGGAAGCATTTTAGGGGGGCATTATCTGCAAATGAAGTAATCAATGCTTGGATACTTATTTGCTCTGGTTGGCAAAAAGGAGGGCCCTCCTTGACGCAGAGAAATTCTTTTCAGGCTCAAACTGCAAAGTGCAGCTTTCTACCTGGATGGGTTATCAGAAGAGATCAGATGCCGTTTTATTTATAAAAGGAGTAACCTCATACCTCATGGCACCCTGATGGCAAGTGTAAGTAAGACACAGAAACCAGGAAGAAGCGAGGGTCAGCAAAGTGCTCAGATGCCACCAGGCATCTGAACCCAAGTCTTGGGGTGGGGAGGAGAGTAGTCTAAGGGCTACCTTAGAGGAGAATTAATGTCCTAGCAATGCTAGGCACCCCATACTTCTCCCCCTTGTCATCTGATGTAAGGACTCTGAGTGTGCTACCTCTTCCTGTGTGTGTGTGTGTGTGTGTGTGTGTGTTTTATCCCATTAGCTGAGGTTGTAACATGGGAAAGGAGCAGCAGAAGACTATACTCCTTGGGTGTCACCTGGGAATCTTGTGAATCTGGAGGAGATAAAAGTGTGACTCCTGGAATCCCACAATGGAGAACCCAGCTTTTGTGGTACATACTTGTAGTCTGGGATCCTTATCCTAAAGAAACAGAATAGGGATTCCCTAGAATGTTATGGGGGAAGGGGCAATAGGGATTTGCAGACATTCTCCTCCAATTCAAGGCATTGGGCTAAACAATAATAACAATAACTTAACTGATACTAATAATTATAATTATTACAATAACAAGCATTTATTATATGCTTTCTCTGTGCCAGGTTCTATGCTCATTTAATTGTTTTCAATGGCCCTGTGAACTAGGCACCACTGTAATTCCCATTTTACAGATGAAGAAAATGAGGTATAGCAAGGTTCAGCAACTTGTCCAAGGACAAGCAGCTCATCTACCAAGTACAACAAAACCATAAAGAACCTGCTTGGCCACAGCTATTTCTCTTACTATGTCATAGCACAGTGACGGAAGGGATGTTTCACATCGTGAAGTAAGGAAACAGAGGAAGAAAGGGAAAGGAACCTAATGCCTGTTAAGGTGAGTTTACCTGCTACATGCTTTACATAAGTCGTCTCATTTTCCCTCACAGCACTCCCATTACATAGGTTCTACTATTATCCCAATTTGTAGGTGAAAAAATGGATTTTGACAGATGTTAAGTGATTTTCCTAAACTGTAGCAGGGAGTCAAACCTGGGGGGTCTGGCTATAAAACCTGTTGTCCTTCCCTTCTCTTTGCTGCACAGGCATGAACTAAGAGGGAAGGCCTAGCAGCAGGTTTGGGCCTAAGGGAATAAGAATATAAGAAAAGGACATATTTTGGAACAAGTTAAGGAAAGTAAACAAACAAACAAGAAAACAGGATATAGTGCTATGATTGGGATCTTTAATAGTCAACTGTCACTTTCTGGGCACCGCAAAATGCACTGCTCATTTACCAAGTACAAAACCATGAAGAACCTGCTTGTCTACAGCAGATGCATTTATATGTGTAGGTACGTGTATATAGAAGCATGGTAGTTTGCCTCCAAATAGGCCACCAGTCATTCCTCCCATACTTGTATGTGCATGTCACTCCCCAAATCTAGATGGGGAATCTGTTTCCCCTCCAGCTATATTTGGGCTGGCCTCGTGATGTGCTTCGAGCAACAGAATGTGGTGGAAGTGATGCTGTATGAGTGCCTTAAGAGGCCTGGTAAATTCTCTGCTTTTCTTTCCTGTTGCTCTGAGCCACCATGTAAAGAGGTCTGGCAATGCTGCTGGAGATACCACATGTAGAGAAGATGCCTGCTAGCCCTCACCTGTTCCAGTGACTCCAGATGAAGTGTCAGACACGTGAGTGAAGCCCTCTTGGATCCTCCAACACTAGTCACACCTGCAGACATCTGCAGATGCATAACAAACCCCAAGTGAGACCTGCCAAAGAACCACCCAACTGAGCCTAACCTACACTAAAGAATTATGAGCAAATTAATGGTGGCTGTTTTAAGTCACTGTTTTGGGTTAGCCTGTTATCAGTGGAGCAATAAGACTCACAGGGAACTGAAATGGTATGATTGTATGTAGATAGGTAGGTAGGTATTTGTTACCTACTTGGTTTTGGGCAATGTTCCAGAAAGATAAGGTCTCCTCTGGATAGCCTGTTTCCAGAAACGTAAGGTCTTTTTTTTTTTTTTTTTTTAGTTAAGCTGTCACATACAGAAGGGAAGCAGTATGTTTGAGTACAATGCAATAGGGAAAGGAAGATATTAAGTAGAAATTATAGTGACAAGTAGATTTATATATATATATACATATATATATACGCATATATATGTATGTATATATATATATATATATAAATTTTTTTTTTTTTTTTTGAGATGGTGTTTCGCTCTTGTTGCCCAGGCTAGAATGCCATGGCGTGATCTTGACTCACTGCAACCTCCGCCTTCTGGTTTCAAGCGATTCTCCTGCTTGGCCTTCCAATAGTGGGATTACAGGCACCCGCCACCATGCCCGGCTAATTTTTGTATTTTTACTAGAGATGGGGTTTCACCATGTTTGCCAGGCTGGTCTGGAACTCCTGACCTTGTGATCCACCAGCCTCAGCCTCCTAAAGTGCTGGGATTACAGGAGTCTGCCACCGTGCCCGGCCAATAATATGTTTTAAAAATGTACAGTTAGATAATATAGATGAAGCAAAGAAGTAACATGGTTAGAAACTAAAAACTCACTGAAATAACAGCCTTAGAACCCATTACTAATAAGTAGTTAACACGACTTGAATGCTTACTGTGTCTTCAGGTGTTCACTCATTGCCTTCCATGCATTATCTCCTGTAGCTCTCACAACTGCCCTTGAGATAAGTATTAATTACCATGGCCACCTGGCAGGTAAGGAAATGGAGGCTTTGAGAGGATAAGTGGCCTGCTTAAGATCACACAGCTAGTACGTGGCAGGCTAGGATTTAGGTTGTTTTGCTCTTAAATCCCATGTCATTCAAGGAGAGATTTTTAAAACTATTAAATTTAGGAAAACAAAAGAAAACAGAAAACCACTTGCCACTATGGGTGGGACTGTAAAATGGCATAACTACTATGGGAAACAGTATGAAAGGCTCTCAAAAAAGTAAAAACAGATCCAGCAATCCCACTTACAGGTATATACCCAAAAGAACTGAAAGAAAGGTCTCAAAGACATATTTGCACACCCATATCCACAGCTGCACTATTCACAATAGCCAAGAGGTAAAGGCAACCCACGTGCTCATCAGTGGATGCATGGAGAAATAAAATACAGTGTATATCCACAATGGAATATTATTCGGCCTTAAGAAGGGAAGAAAATACTGTCATATGCTACAATATAGACAAACTCTGAAGACATTATGCTAAGTGAAATACGCCAGTCACGAAAAGACAAATGCTGTATGATTCCACTTACATGAGGCATCTAGAGAAGTCAAATTCATAAAAACAGAAAGATGAACGGTGGTTACTGGGGGCTGGGGGAAGAAGAAAAGAGGAAGCTCTTGCTTAAGGGGTGGAGAGTTACAGATTTGCAAGGTGAAAAAGTCCTGGAGATACGCTTTACAATAATGGGGATATATTTAACACTACTGAACTGTACACTTAAAAATGATTAAGATTTGCTGGGCGTGGTGGCTCATGCCTATAATCCCAGCACTTTGGGAAGCTGAGGCGGGCGGATCACATGAGGTCAGGAGTTCGAGACCAGCCTGGCCAACATAGTGAAACCCTGTCTCTACTAAAAATATAAAAATTAGTTGGATGTGGTGGCACACACCTGTAATCCCAGCTACTCAGGAGGCTCAGGCAGGAGAATCACTTGAACCTCAGAGGCAGAGGTTGCAGTGAGCCGAGATTGTGCCATTGCACTCCAGCCTGGGCAACAGAGTGAGACTCGGTCTCAAAAAAAAAGAAAAAAAAAAAAAGCCAAGCACAGTGGCTCACACCTGTAATCCCAGCACTCCAGCACTTTGGGAAGCTGAGGCGGGCGGATCACCTGAGGTCAGGAGTTTGAGACCAGCCTGGCCAACATGGAGAAACCCTGTCTCTACTAAAAATATAAAAATTAGCCGGGTGTGGTGGCTCATGCCTGTAATCCCAGCACTTTGGAAGGCCAAGGCGGGTGGATCACGAGGTCAGGAAATTGAGACCATCCTGGCTAACATGGTGAAACCCCGTCTCTATTAAAAATACAAAAAATCAGCCGGGCGTGGTGGCGGGTGCCTGTAGTCCCAGCTGCTCGGGAGGCTGAGGGAGGAGAATGGCATGAACCCAGGAGGCGGAGCTTGCAGTGAGCCGAGATCATGCCACTGCACTCCAGCCTGGGGGACAGAGCAAGACTCCATCTCAAAAAAAAAAAAAAAAAAAAAAAAAAATTAGCCAGGTGTGGTAGCATACGCCTGTAATCCCAGCTACTTGGGAGGCTGAGGCAGCAGAATCGCTTCAACCTGGGAGACGGAGGTTGCAGTGAGCAGAGAAGGCGCCACTGCACTCCAGCCCAGGCGACAGAGTGAGACTTCGTCTCAAAAAAAAAAAAAAAAGGTTAAGACAAAAATTTGTTATGTGTTTTTTACTACAATAAAAATAAAAATAAAATGCACCCAATCCCCCTAAAGCCCTCAGCTATTTGATGTATAGAAAAAAGATTATTTTTCATTGCAAGAGAACTAATGTAAGAGTTAGAGGCAATAGATCCATTGATTATTTCAGTCACACAGTTACTTAAAACCACTTTCCTACCCTAGAGGAAGTGTTCCAACGACATCCACATTGTATGATTCTTTCAAGTTAAACCCAGCTGAAATGCCAGTTCCCATTACGACCTAAAAAGACACAAATCCAAATGCACCTTTAGAGATGAATGTTCAAATACTGCAAAAATCAGCTTCAAATAATATGTTAGTCAAGTCAAATCTATTCTCACTTTTAACATTCAGATTTAAAAAGAAGATTTACCATTAGCTTCAACAATTCTAACTTCTCTTAATGACCCTACCCCACATAATTAAAATGAACTCTACAGAGTTTATGACCTGGCATTTTCTTCATGCTTTGTCCTTTTCTATACTAAGGCGTCTGGCTAGTTGACTGCTACAGAAAAAGGCCATAAAGCCTTTCAAACGTTGACCTTACCTTTAGGGTGGTGAAATGAGTCTCTGGCCACAATGTTATGAATAAAGGATATTTAACTCTGTACTTCGAGGGTGGTACAATGACACTGTATGATTACAAAATGTACATCTGGATTTAGAATCCTCCTGGTGATCCTGTTTCTGGGACAGCAGCCCTAAGTGTGGTGATAGGGCCCCAGCAGCAACCCATAGCTGTCTCCTCTCATTTCAGCTACAAAGTCAGGGTAGAAGGGTACATCAAACAGAGGGTCACTTTACATACGCCCATCCTGGATTGGCAGGGCATAGATTTACTTGGGGTGTAAAGTACAATCCCTAATGAGTTGCAAGAGAAACAAAACAAAAGGTGAGATAGCAATTTGCTCCACGCCCAGGAACTATTGCCTATAGAGCTTTCTGAGTGAGTTACCCAACAGAGAAGAAATTAGAGCTGGCCAGGGAAGGAAGCCAGCCCCTCCTGAGGAGGGCCACTGCAGGAAACAAATAATAAACTTATTATCAGAAACAGCAGCCTGGGAGACCAGGGGCATGGGTGATTCTGGCTCTTTTGATGGGAGGATCCTTTTCTGTTGATGACAATTATTTTCATCACCCTTAATTGCATTTTTTGTGCATCTCTAACTAGGGGAGTGCCTAGAGTATTCAAATCCACAGAATATATATGGCTCAAGCTCCTGGAGCTATAATTTTATACAGTGGTTAAGTAATTTAAACCATTGTTTTCTTATCAAGACAAACAGATGTATTATAAAATTGAATGCAAAACTCAAAAAATATTTTTATAATAAAAAATAAATTTGACACTTAAAGGGAGTCATAAAGATGCTGTCCCTAAACTTTCTAGAATTCTGGGAAACCATTCCCCTGGGAAACATGGAAGAGTCTTTAAAGGGAATCTGGGAAACAGAATTAGTAACCCAAAGCAGGAGAGGCAAGCTGGTCATTTACTTCATAATTGGGGCTTGCCTGACTTCTTTCCCACGCAAAGGTGCTCAGAACCTCTTGCTGTACTCCAAGTCAAAATGGGAACTCTGTGCCTAGCCCCAGTGAGAGAAGAGGTTTTGAAACTGTTAGAGATACATTTCGTTTTGTTTTGCCTGTTAAAAGGTTCTAATGCCATGTAGACAAGACTGAGGAAAAGAAAAGGTTTGAAGGTATTGCTTCCTTGTGAGCTACGCCAGCCAGTTGTTTCCACAGCTAGAACTTGTTGTTATAATTTGGATCAGACACCTATACTCTTCACTTCTTTTTTAAATTTTTAAATTTATTATACTTTAAGTTCTGGGATACATGTGCAGAATGTGCAGGTTACATACATACACAAGTGCCATGGTGGTTTGCTGCACCCATCAACCATCATCTACATTAGGTATTTCTCCTAATGCTATCCCTCCTCAGCCCCTGACCCATGGACAGGCCCCAGTGTGTGATGTTCCCCTGCCTGTGTCCATGTGTTCTCATTGTTCAACTCCCACTTGCAAGTGAGAACATGTGGTGTTTGGTTTTCTGTTCCTGTGTTAGTTTGCTGAGAATGATGGTTTCCAGCTTCATCCATGTCCCTGCAAAGGACATGAACTCATCCTTTTTTATGGCTGCATAGTATTCCATGGTGTATATGTGCCACATTTTCTTTATCCAGTCTATCATTGATGGGCATTTGGGTTGGTTCCAAGTCTTTGCTATTGTGAATAGTGCTGCAATAAACACATGTGTGGATGTGTCTTTATAGTGGCATGATTTATAATCCTTTGGGTATATACCCAGTAACGGGATTGCTGGGTCAAATGGTATTTCTAGTTCTAAATCCTTGAGGAATCACCACACTGTCTTCCACAATGGTTGAACTAATTTACACTCCCACCAACAGTGTAAAAGCATTCCTATTTCTCCACACCCTCTCCAGCATCTGTTGTTTCCTGATTTTTAAATGATCACCAGTCTAACTGGCATGAGATGGTATCCCGTTGTGGTTTTGATTTGCATTTCTCTAATGGCCAGTGATGATGAGCTTTTTTCCATATGTTTGTTGGCTGCATAAACGTCTTCTTTTGAAAAGTGTCTGTTCATAGCCTTTGCCCACTTTTTCATAGGGTTGTTTTTTTCTTGTAAATTTGTTTAAGTTCCTTGTAGATTCTGGATATTAGCCCTTTGTCAGATGGACAGATTGCAAAAATTTTCTCCCATTCTGTAGGTTGCCTGTTCACTCTGACGGTAGTTTCTTTTGCTGTGCAGAAGCTCTTTAGTTTAATTAGATCCCATTTGTCAATTTGGCTTTTGTTGCCATTGCTTTTGGTGTTTTAGTCATGAAGTCTTTGCCCATGCCTATGTCCTGAATGGTACTGCCTAGGTTTTCTTCCAGGGTTTTTACGGTTTTAGGCCTTAACATTTAAGTCTTTAATCCATCTTGAGTTAATTTTTGTATAAGGTGTAAGAAAGGGGTGCAGTTTTCCACATATGGCTAGCCAGTTTTCCCAACACCATTTATTAAATAGGGAATCCTTTCCCCATGCTTGTTTTTGCCAAGTTTGTCAAAGATCAGATGGTTGTAGATGTGTGGTGTTATTTCTGAGGCCTCTGTTCTGTTCCACAGGTCTATATATCTGTTTTGGTACCAGTACCATGCTGTTTTGGTTACTGTAGCCTTGTAGTATAGTTTGAAGTCAGGTAACGTGTTGCATCCAGCTTTGTTCTTTTTGCTTAGGATTGTCTTGGCTATGCGGGCCCTTTTTTGGTCCCATGTGAAATTTAAAGTAGTTTTTTCTAATTCTGTGAAGAAAGTCAGTGGTAGCTTGATGGGGATAGCATTGAATCTATAAATTCTATAAATTACTTTGGGCAGTATGACCATTTTCACGATTTTGATTCTTCCTATCCATGAGCATGGAATGTTTTTCCATTTGTTTGTGTCCTCTCTGATTTCCTTGAGCAGTGGTTTGTAGTTCTCCTTGAAGAGGTCCTTCACATCCCTTATAAGTTGTATTCATAGACATTTTCTTCTCTTTGGAGCAATTGTGAATGGGAGTTTGCTCATGATTTGGCTCTCTATTTTTGATGTATAGGAATGCTTGTGATTTTTGCACATTGATTTTGTATCCCGATACTTTGCTGAAGTTGCTTATCAGCTTAAGGAGATTTGGGGCTGATACGAAGGGTTTTTCTAAATATAAAATAATGTCACCTGCAAACAGACAATTTGACTTCCTCTCTTCCTATTTGAATACCCTTTATTTCTTTCTCTTGCCTGATTGTCCTGGCCAGAACTTCCAATACTATGTTGAATAGGAGTGGTGAGAGAGGGCATCCTTTTCTTGTGCTGGTTTTCAAAGGGAATGCTTCCAGTTTTTGCCTATTCAGTATGATATTGGCTGTGGGTTTGTCATAAATAGCTCTTATTATTTTGATATGTTCCATCAATACCTCATTTGAGAGTTTTTAGCTTGAAGGGCTGTTGAATTTCCTTGAAGGCCTTTTCTGCATCTATTGAGATAATCAAGTGGTTTTTGTCATTGGTTCTGTTTATGTGATGGACTATGTTTATTGATTTGTGTATGTTGAACCAGCCTTGCATCCCAGGGATGAAGCTGACTTGATCATGGTGGACAAGCTTTTTAATGTGCTGCTGGATTCAGTTTGCCAGTATTTTATTGAGGATTTTCGCATCGATATTCATCAGGGATGCTGGCCTGAAATTTTCTTTTTTTTGTTGTTGTGTCTCTGCCAGGTTTTGGTAGCAGGATGATGCTGGCATCATAAAATCAGTTAGGGAGGATTCCCTCTTTTTCTATTGTTTGGAATAGTTTCAGAAGGAATGGTACCAGCTTCTCTTTGTACCTCTGGTAGAATTCGGCTGTGAATCCATTTGGTCCTGGACTTTTTTTTGGTGGTAGGCTATTAATTGCTGCCTCAATTTCAGAGCCTGTTATTGGTCTATTCAGGGATTCAAGTTCCCCCTGGTTTAGTCTTGGGAGGGTGTATGTGTCCAGGAATTTATCCATTTCTTCTAGATTTTCTAGTTAATTTGCATAGAGGTGTTTATAGTATTCTCTGATGGTAGTTTGTACGTATTGCTCTTTTTTTTTTTTTTTTTTGAGACAGAGTCTCATTCTCGCTCTGTTGCCCAGGCTGGAGTGCACTAGTGTGATCTTGGCTCACTGCAACCTCTGCCTCCCAGATTCAAGTGATTCTCCTGCCTCAACCTCCCAAGTAGCTGGGACTACAGGCATGTGCCACCATGTCTGGCTAATTTTTTTTATTTTTAATAGAGAGGGGATTTCACCATGTTGGCCAATATGGTCTTGATCTCTTGACTTTCTGATTTGCCTGCCTCGGCCTCCCAAAGTGCTCGGATTACAGGCGTGAGCCACCGTGCCCAGCCAGTAGTTTGTATTTCTGTGGGAGCAGTGGTGATATCCCCTTTCTCATTTTTTACTGTGCCTATTTGATTCTTCTTATTAGTCTGGCTAATAGTCTATCTATTTTGTTAATCTTTTCAGAAAACCAGCTCCTGGATTCATTGATTTTTTTGAAGGGTTTTTCTTGTCTCTATCTCCTTCAGTTCTGCTCTGATCTTAGTTATTTCTTGTCTTCTGCCAGCTTTTGGATTTGTTTGCTCTTCCTTCTCAAGTTATTTTAATTGTGATGTTAGGGTGTTGATTTTAGATTTTCCCACTTTCTCCTGTGGGCATTTAGTGCTATAAATTTCCCTCTAAACACTGTTTTAGCTGTGTCCCAGAGATTCTGGTCGTTGTGTCTTTGTTCTCATTGGTTTCAAATAACTTATTTATTTCTGCCTTAATATTGTTATTTACCCAGTAGTCATTCAGGAGCAGGTTTTTCAGTTTCCATGTAGTTATGCAGTTTTGAGTGAGTTTCTTGATCGTGAGTTCTAATTTGACTGCACTGTGGTCTGACAGACTGTTTGTTATGATTTCCATTCTTTTGTATTTGCTAAGTGTTTTACTTCCAATTATGAGGTCAATTTTAGAATCAGAGTGATGTGGTGCTGAGAAGAATGAATATTCTGTTGATTTGGGGTGAAGAGTTCTGTAGATGTCTATTAGGTTTGCTTGGTCCAGAGCTGAGTTCAAGTCCTGAATATGCTTGCTAATTTTCTGTGTCATTGACCTGTCTCATATTGACAGTGGGGTGTTAAAGTCTCCCACTATTATTGTGTGGGAGTCTAAGTCTCTTTGTAGGTCTCTAAGGACTTGGTTTATGAATCTGGGTGCTCCTGTATTGGGTGCATATATATTTAGGGTAGTTACCTCTTCTTGCTGCATTGATCTCTTTATCATTATGTAATGCCCTTGTCTTTTTTGATCTTTGTTGGTTTAAAGTCTGTTTTATCAGAGACTAGAACTGCAATCCCCTGCTTTTTTTTTTTTTTTTGCTTTTCATTTGCTTGGTATATCTTCCTCCATCCCTTTATTTTGAGACTATGTGTGTCTTTGTATATGAGATGAGTCTCCCGAATACAGCACACTGATGGGTTTTGACTCTTTATCTAATTTGCCAATCTGTGTCTTTCAGTTGGGGCATTTAGCCCTCTTACATTTAAGGTTAATATTGTTATGCGTGGGCCAGGTGCGGTGGCTCACGCCTGTAATCCCAGCACTTTGGGAGGCTAAGGCAGGCAGATCACCTGAGGTCAGGAGTTCGAGACCAGCCTGGCCAACATGGTGAAACCCAGTCTCTGCTAAAAATACAAAAACTAGCTGGGCGTGGTGGCAGGCACCTGTAATCCCAGCTACTCAGGAGGCTGAAGCAGGAGAATTGCTTGAACCCGGGAAGCGGAAGTTGCAGTGAACCGAGATCGCACCATTGCACTCCAGCCTGGGGGACAAGAGCAAGACTTTGTCTCAAAAAAAAAAAATATTGTTATGTGTGAATTTGATCCTGTCATTATGATGCTAGCTGGTTATTTTGCCCATTAGTTGATGCAGTTTCTTCACAGTATCGATGCTTTTTACATTTTCATTTGTTTTTGCAGTGGCTGGTACCGGGTTTTCCTTTCCACATTTAGTGCTTTCTCAGGAGCTCTTGTAAGGCAGGCCTGGTGGTGACAAAATCTCTCAGCATTTGCTTGTCTGTAAAGGATTTCATTTATCCTTTGCTTATGAAGCTTAGTTTGGCTGGATGTGAAATTCTGGTTTGAAAATTTTCTTTAAGAATGTTGAATATTGGCTCCCACTGTCTTCTGGCTTGTAGGGTGTCTGCAGATAGATCCGCTATTAGTCTGATGGGGTTCCCTTTGTGGGTAACCCGACCTTTCTCTCTGGCTGCCCTTAACATTTTTTCCTTCATTTCAACCTTGGTGAATCTGATGATTATGTGTCTTGGGGTTGCTCTTCTTGAGGAGTATCTTTGTGGTGTTCTCTGTATTTCCTGAATTTGACTGTTGGCCTGTCTTGCTAGGTTGTGGAAGTTCTCCTGGATAATGTCCTGAAGAGTGTTTTCCAACTTGGTTCCATTCTCCCCGTCACTTTCAGGTACACCAGTCAAACGTAGGTTTGGTCTTTTCACACAGTCCCATATTTCCTGGAGGCTTTGTTCATTCCTTTTCATTCTTTTTTTTTCCTCTAATCTTGTCTTTACACTATATTTCATTAAGTTGATCTTCAATCTCTGATACCCTTTCTTCTGTTTGATTTGACTATTTATACTTGTGTATGCTTCATGAAATTCTTGTGCTGTGTTTTTCAGCTCCATCAAGTCATTTATGTTCTTCTCTAAACTGGTTATTCTAGTTAGCAATTCCTCTAACCTTTTTTCAAGGTTCTTAGCTTCCTTGCATTGGGTTAGAATATGTTCCTTTAGCTCGGAGGAGTTTGTTATTACCCACCTTCTGAAGCTTACTTCTGTCCATTCGTCAAACTCATTCTCCATCCACTTTTGTTCCCTTGCTGGTGAAGAGTTGTGATCCTTTGAAGGAGAAGAGGTGTTCTGGCTTTTGGAATTTTCAGCTTTTTGCATTGGTTTTTCCTCATCTTCATGGATTTATCTACCTTTGGTCTTTGCTCTTGGTGACCTTCGGATGGGGTTTTTATGTTGACGTCCTTTCTGTTGATGTTGATGCTATTCCTTTCTGTTTGTTAGTTTTCCTTCTAACAGTCAGGCCCCTCTGCTACAGGTGTGCTGGAGTTTGCTGACGTCCATTCCAGACCCTGTTTGCCTGGGTATCACCAGCGAAGGCTGCAGAACAGCAATGATTGCTACCTGTTCCTTCCTCCAGAAGCTTTGTCCCAGAGGGGCACCCGCCATATGCCAGCCAGAGATCCCCTGGATGAGGTGTCTTTGGCCCCTACTGGGAGGTGTCTCCCAGTCAGGAGTTACGGGGGTCCCACTTGAGAAGGCAGTCTGACCCTTAGCAGAGCTCGAATGCTGTGCTAGGAGATCTGGTGCTCTCTTCAGAGCTGGCAGACCGGAATGTTTAAGTTTGCTGAAGCTGCGCCCACAGCTGCCCCTTCCCCCAGGTTCTCTGTCCCAGGGAGATGGGAGTTTTATCTATAAGCCCCTGATTGTGGCTGCTGCCTTTCTTTCAGAGATGCCCTGCCCAGAGAGGAGGAATCTAGAGAAGCAGTCTGGCTACAGCAGCTTTGCTGAGCTGCGGTGGAATCCACCCAGTTGGACCTTCCAGGTGGCTTTGTTTACACTGTGAGGGGAAAACCGCCTACTGAAGCCTCAGTAATGGCAGATGCCCCTCCCCCCACCAAGCTCAAGCGTCCCAGGTTGACTTCAGACTGCTGTGGTGGCAGTGAGAATTTCAAGCCAATGGAGCTTAGCTTTCTGGGCTCTGCAGGGGTGGGATCCGCTGAGCTAGACCACTTGGCTCCCTGCCTTTAGCCCCCTTTCCAAGGGAGTGAATGGCTCTGTCTCACTGGTGTTCCAGGCACCACTGGGGTATGAAAAAAACTCCTGCAGCTAGCTCAGTGTCTGCCCAAATAGCTGCCCAGTTTTGTGCTTGAAATCCAAGGGAATCTTGGTGGTGTAGGCACCCAGGGGAGTCTCCTAGTCTGTGGGTTGTGAAGACCATGAGAAAAGCATAGTGTCTGGGCCAGAATGCACTGTTCCTCACAGCACAGTACCTCACAGCTTCCCTTGGCTAAGGGAGGGAATTCCCTGACCCCTTGCGCTTCCTGGGTGAAGTGATGCCCCACCCTGGTTCAGCTTGCCCTCTGTGGGCTGCATCCATTGTCTAACCATGCCCAATGAGGTGAGCCGGATTCCTCAGGTGGAAATGCAGAAATCACCCACCTTCTGTGTTGATCTCGAAGGGAGCTGCAGACCAGAGCTGTTCCTATTCGGCCATCTTGCCAGCCCTTTACCCCCAAATGTACTCTTCATTTCTTTTGAGACAAAATCTTGCTTTGTCACCCAGGCTGGAGTGCAGAGGTGTGATCTTGGCTCACTGCAACCTCTGCCTCCCAGGTTCAAGCAATTCTCATGCCTCAGTCTCCCAAGTAGCTGGGATTACAGGTGCATTTCACCACATCTAATTTTTTGTATTTTTAGTAGAGACGGGGTTTCACCATGTTAGCCAGGCTGGCCTCGAACTCCTGGCCTCAAGTGATCTGCCCGCCTTGGCCTCCCAAAGTGCTAGGATTACAGATGTGGAGTCACCACACCTAGACGACTCTTCATTTCTTATCCTTGCCGCTCCCACACACGTGCAAACAAGCCCCAGGGTGCTAAGGGCACTCTGTGGGACACTTTGGATATTAAAAGGTCCCCAGTGAAACAGTGACATCTATTGGGCACTGTGCAAACTTCTAGTTGGCAATAGTTCACAGTTTGAACACTGTGTTCCTTTCAATAATGCCATATCTTTGCAAAGCTGGGTGTTCAGTGGTTGCTGTGATGAAAAAGCAGGAACCACATACATATTCATGTGAACAGGAAATGAAGGTAGCATTGTCCTTTTTGATTCAGAGGTTTGAGGATCTAAGCAGTTCCCATCAGGCATATGCATTCCATGATTACATAATTGTGGTTACTTAAGAACATAATAAAATATTTTTATTCCAATTTATGTGCATATTTTTATAAACAACTACGAAGTTGTTAAACATAAATATTATTAAAGTGGACCTAACTACTTAATAAGTGGAACTGTGAGGTATTTCTTTTGGCTCAGGAGTGTCAAGGGATGGAGAAAGTTTGGGAACCTTTGCTTTGTCAAAATGGAAATGGATTTCTTTTTTAGGTTATTAAAGTAATATGTACTCATTACAAAACAATTAGCCAATAAAAATTTGAGGAGAAAATCCTCCATAATCCCATCACTTGTAATTAATGTTAAAATTTTCATGCAGAGTCTTACATATAATTTAAAAAATCATCTGTGTCTATGTTTTAAGGCTTTTTCTTTTTACTTTCTTGTCAATGAATTTGTCAAATTTGACAAATTGTAACCTTCTTTTGGCAGAATTGAGAGCAAAAAATTCCTTTCATCCACTTCAAAATCCCTCACAGAAATAAGTAAATGCAGTTGTAGAAGCCGAGTAGGTCACTGACCGAAGGTGACTTACCGCAAAGAACTCTAAAGGAATAGGCGCCGGCAATTTCTCTTTAAATCTCTCATTAAACTCCTTGCCACCCAACAGCAAACCAAAAACCATCAGCCCGACGCCTAGGGAACACACGTTGAGGTTTTTAACATTCTGCAACACAGCAACTGTACTCTGTAACACAGTGAATGCTGGATGTTTACATCAAGAAATCGCCCCTGAGAGAGACAGAGACACTCTAGCGCACTAATTCACACCAGCCATTCCGTTATTGGATATTTCTAGTGGAAAGTTCCAAGGCTGAAATCTCTCTTTGTAGCTTCTACCAATTAGGAGGCATTTTTACCCAGTCTACAACTTTATAGTTGTTACTCTTTTCTTTTTATAGTTGTTATTTATTTATTTATTTATTTTTGAGACACAGTCTTGCTCTGTTGCCCAGGCTGCAGTGCAGTGGCATGATCTTGGCTCACTGCAACCTCTGCCTCCCAGGTTCAAGCAATTCTCCTGCCTCAGCCTCCTGAGTAGCTGGGATTACAGGTGCCTGCCGCCACACCCAGCTAATTTTTGTATTTTTAGTAGACACGGAGTTTCACCATGTTGGTCAGGCTGGTCTCGAACTCCTGACCTCAAGTCATCTGCCTGCCTCGGCCTCCCAAAGTTCTGGGATTACAGGTGTGAGCCACTGTGCCCAGCCTTATAGTTATTCTTATCAAACAATTATTCTTATCATATGCTGATGTCTCAATGTAATATTATAAAATCCAGAAAAGGAACCCTGAAGCTGAGTCCTGAGCAATTGGAAAGAATTAAGGGTTGATAGCAAAGTACTCCAAAGGTAAATACATTGAAAAGCTTTTAGGAGCTCAAAGAGAGAGAAATTATTGTTAGCAGGACTTTGAAGTCAAGAGTGCTGATGTTTGGGAAAGGAACCTAGGAGAACTAGAGAACAAATCCACTTAATTATATCCTAGGGTTACCAACTGGGCACCTCAAATATAGTCAGTTCTCATTTGAAACCCAATAAAGTAGACTTCCCACTCAGCCCACAACATGCACCCTTTCCTATCGATGCCTAGAGTACTCAGTATGTTTTATTTCCTTTGTGACAAGGCATTTCGACAAGTCTCAGAGTAAGAAGTATGATAATAGCTATTATGGGAAACTAAGAATTTTGTTATTTAGAGAATATTCCTAAAGCCTGATTCCATTTTTATCAGTCAGGGACTCAACTTAAATGTCAAAGTGCCTTTCCTAGACCCCTAATCTAAAGGTCTCCCTATTTAACTTTCAGAGCAGCTGGTACTTCTTCTTCATAGCACTCAACACAAATTGTAATTGACTACACATGTATGCGATTAATGGTTTACAATCTTCCCACTGTACTGAAAGCTCCAGAGGGCAAGGCCTGTATCTTCTTAGCTCACAGCTGCATCTTGGCACCTAGCAGTGTCTGGCACATAAATACCTACAAAGGCAACAGGCCTCTCTTTTCAAGGATAGCTTTAACAGCATCTCAGAGGTTTTGATATGTAGTACTTCTACTGTCAATTAATTCTAATTATTTCCTAATTCCCTCTTTATTCATGGGTCATTTAGAAATGTTTTTTGGTTTCTAAATATATGGGAGTTTTAAAGCTATGTTTAGTTTTTGATTTTTTTATTATATTGCACTGTGTGAAAAAACATTGAATTTTTAGAATTTGTGATCAGTTTCACATGATCGATTTCAACATGATCAGTTATTACCATTGTTCCTTAAGTGCTTGCAAATAATTTATATTTTCTCTGTGTTTGGTAAGGGGTCTATATAATTAAAAGATTCATGTTAGTTAAATCTTTTATAGCCTTACTTATTTTTTGCCAGTTTGAACTAGCAGGTTTTGTTTTTTTTTTGAGACAGAGTCTTGCTCTGTCGCTCAGGCTGGAGTGCAGTGATGGGATCTCGGGTCACTACAAGCTCCACCTCCCGGGTTCACGCCATTCTCCTGTCTCAGCCTCCTGAGTAGCTGGGATCACAGGTGCCCGCCACCACACCTGGCTAATTTTTTTCTATTTTTAGTAGAGACGGGGTTTCACTTGTTAGCCAGGATAGTCTCGATCTCCTGACCTCGTGATCCGCCCATCTAGCCCTTTCAAAGTGCTGGGATTACAGGCATAAGCCACCACGCCCGGCCTTAATTAGCAGTTTTTGAGAGAGAAATGTTCTACCTTCATGCCTTTAAATTATTTGTTAGTTTCCAAAAAGATCATGATTTAGTTGTAAGAAAAAGCTCTCTCTTTACCTAGAGTGATGGTGCAGTCACCAAATAAAGACCTAGCAAAAAATTCCTTGTGAAGTAGGCAGTATCACATATTAATAACAGAGATTTTAAGGTTTAGTTCTCTTTGTAACACTCTTTTCAGAAAACCTTAGAATAAATGAATTTTTCCCTTTTTATGGAAATTACTGGAGAAAAAGAAAAATGAGTCTTGAAAGTAAAAAGAGATACAGAAGAGAAGGTTGGGGGGAATAAAGAGAAAAGTACCAGAACGTCAGGTAGTTTCTTACTTACATACACCACGGAAAAGATTCCACTGTACCGCTTTGTTTTAACTCCAAACAGATATTTTAACATGGAGGTGAAGACATGCACAGCTGCTGCGGTGGTAAACCCACGGACCAGAGGCTCTGTGAGATATATGGCCACAAATCCAAACCTACAGACACCTAGGCAAAACTATTTTTTTTTAATGACAAAGAAACAAATGAATCACATGATAGGTCAGGAAGTTATGACCCACAGCAAATATACAAGTTCTTTCTTGACCATTTTCTTTTTTTTTTGAGATGGAGTCTTGCTCTGTCACCCAGGCAGTGGCACAGTCTCAGCTCACTGCAACCTCTGCCTCCCGGGTTCAAGCGATTCTCCTGCCTCAGCCTCCTGAGTAGCTGGGACTAAAGGTGTGTGCCACCATGTCCGGCTAATTTTTGTATTTTTAGTAGACACGGGGTTTCACTATGTTGCCCAGGGTGGTCTCGAACTCCTGACCTTGTGATTCGCCTGCCTCAGCCTCCCAAAGTGCTGGGATTAAAGGTGTGAGCCACCGCGCCCAGCCTCTGGACCATTTTCTAACACTGCAAACTTGTACCTCAAGTGGGTAAGTAGCTAGAAAATCAACCACTGGTTATACAGAAAACAATGGAAGGTCTGGAGTGGCTTGGTGCCCCACAGTGCGCTGACCACACTAATGCCTTCCCTGTCTCTCATTGAGCTGGGGGCATGCTTCATCATGTAGACTAAAGTGCATGATCATGATCACTGGCTGTTTCTTCCAAGCAGAGAGGAATGTCCTCTCCCAGCACTAACCAATCCTGCCGTGTCAAACTTGTCTTGCTTTTGGGATCTTTAAAACACCCACCTGAAGCTTGCTTGCTCGTCACTCATAGTTGTGAATATGGCATGCAGTTGGTCTGCAGTTACTCCCAGAGCTCTGGGGTTTTTCTGGCTGACCCCATCCACCGTGTAGTAAGACCAGCCAAGAGCACTCAGTAGATACTTGTTAGGTTAACAAACGAGACAGTCCATTTCCCCATCTTTGAGCCTTACCTGAATGATTCCTGAAAGTAAGGTCACAGACATGGCGACTTTCACTCTCAAGGCATCTCTGGCCTCTGTGCCATTGGTTGCATTTACTCCTCCTGGAATGACTATATCATCTGGTACTAATCGAACAGCTACACCACCAATCATCAGGCTAATAACAGCAAAAGGACCTGAAATAATGAAGCATGAAGATCCCTGTTCAGGGTTCAGAGTATCTGATATGGTTTTTGCCAGTACACCAAGAGACAAAGGTGAGGTCAAGAAATCATGCTTGAAGGAAGGCTACGCTCCCTTCTTTAGTGTCCTGCCCCTGGTGTATGAGCAACCGTGTGTGTGCGTGTGTGCGCATGCAGACTGTATTTTCCAAAAATAGACATAGCAATATCTTCCATCCACAGAGTCTTCTTGACATTTCCCCATCAAGAGGTGGAGTCTAATTTCTCTCTCCTTGAATCTGGCTTGGCTTTGACTTGTTAGTAATCAAAAGAATGCAGCAGAAGTGACGTTGTGTGACTTCTCAGGCTAGGTAATAAAAGGGCTGCAGTTTCCACCTTCTGCTGAAGCCCTAAGTCACCATGTGTAAGAAAGCTCCAACTAGGCCAAGTGGAGAATTCCTGGGACTGCATGGAGAAAGGAAGGCAGGGAAGAGGGAAGGGAGGGAGGAAAAAGGGAGAGAGGAAGAATTACCCAGACCAGCCCTTCCCAAGTCCTGAACTGCAGGCACTATGGAAGATACAAACATGATTGTTGTTGTAAAGCTGCTACATTTTGGGGGTATTTGTTACCAAACAGTAGATATCTGGAAAGTATGTGTGTGTTAGGTAGTAGCCTTATGCAGCACCAGAACTATTATGAAATCCATATGCCCCTGATAAACTGAAAATATGTACAATTCAGAGCCCAAAATATGACAAAAATGAAATACATGCATAGCGATTAGGAACTTGAAGTACTACCATTAGTATAAAAATAAAAACCAGAAGCTGGCAAATTACATTATGAAATCAAGCATTTATCTCATTTCACAGATTTCAACAATTGCCCTTTTACACAAGAAAATTGTCTTTTTTATTATCCCAAGATTATAAGAAAATTGTAAGTTCTAGAAATCTTGGGAGGAGTGTAGTTTTTTTTTTGTTTTTTTTTTTTTTGAGACAGAGTCTCGTTCTGTTGCCCAGGTTGGAGTGCAGTGGTGTGATCTCAGCTCACTGCAATCTCTGCCTCCCAGGTTGAAGCGATTCTCCTGCCTCAGCCTCCTGAGTAGCTGGGATTACAGTCACCCCTCACCAAGCCTGGCAAATTTTTGTATTTTTACAAAGAGATGGGGTTTCACTATGTTGGTCTGGCTGGTCTCGAACTACTGACCTCAGACGATCTGCCCGCCTCGGCCTCCCAGAGTGCTGGGATTACAGGGATGAGCCACCGCACCTGGCCGAGTGTAGGTTTTTAAAGCACCTATTGTGTATGCAGTAACAAAAGTTGTTATTAAGACAATTTTTAATAATGACCATGCTATTTCTTTGGCACATTGCAAGGTTGGAAATACACAAGGAAAGGTAATAGAATATCAAATGTAAGCTTTTACCTATGGATATGTGTCTGGAGGTTCCAAGAAAACAATACATGATAACAGGGTAAAATGAAGAGTACAGGCCAAATATTGGAGGCACAGCTGCCAGCATTGCAAAGGCTAAGCCTGTGGGATTAAAAACCAAACAGAAATGGGGGATCATTAGAAGACAGAGGTGTTACATGTGTTTTTCTCTTGGTTCTTTATTTCTGATGAACGAGTGAAGCCCATCTTAATTTAAGCTGCAACCTGCCCTACCCCAGTCCTGCACATCATCTTACCTTGGTGCTGATAGAGTCCAAGCTGAGAAACTTTGCATTGTCATCTCCTTTTTGCCAGTGGGTGATTTTTTTTTCTGCTTTATTCTTTCACAAATTAGATAAAAGCAGAAAAAAGTCTTATCTTAGTGGTTGTCATTGTAATTTGGTGTTGACTCACAAATGCGAGCTCGTTCTCCAATGGGGTGTTTTTGTGGGTTCTCTGGAGACCCCTTTGCAATAAGGGACTCTCAGTTACTATGCCCTAACCTATGTAATGCTCCCTCCTCCTGACTCTTAGATATCCCTCCTCCGACTCTTATCAGAAGGTACAGCCTTCCACGTTCTTTTGGCTGGTGTATGCTCATCCTGTAGGCAGTCTTCTTAGGCAGGTACCTATCAAATGGGCCAAGTCTCATTACCTTCCAGTTACTCAATGGGAAAGCTTGACATTTTACTCCCAAGAAACTTTGGAAGTGCAGGTCACACCCTCTAGGGGACTCTTTCCCTCACTCTGCGGTCCTAGGCAGTTCACATCATCCTTTAGACATTTTTTTTTAAATAGAATTTTTAGAGCAGTTTAGGTTCACAGCAAATTGAGCAAAAGATACAGAGGTTTTCCATACATTCCCTGCCCTTATGTATGCACAGCCTCCCCCACTATCAACATCCCCCACTATCAACATCCCCCACCAGAGTGGCACATCTGTTACAAGTGATGAACCTACATTGACCTATCACTATCACCCAAAGTCCATAGTTTACATGAGGTTTACTCTTGGTGTGGTACAGTCTATGCAAATGTACAATGACAGGTAGCCATCATGATAGTGTGATATAAAGTAGTTTCACTGCTCAGAAATTCTCTGTGCTCTATTCATACTTCCCTCCCCCCATCCCCTGGACACTAATGATATTTTTACTGTCTTTGAAGTTTTGCCCCCCCCTTTTTTTTTTTTTAAGACAGGGTCTTGCTCTGTCACCCAGGCTGGAGTACAGGGGCATGTTCATGGCTCAATGCAGCCACAACCTCCCGGGCTCAAGCAATCCTCCCACCTCAGCCTCCCTAGTAGTTGGGACTACAGGTGTGTACCATCACACCTGGCTAATTTTTGTAGAGACAGAGTTTCCCCATGTTTCCCAGGCTGGTCTTGAACTCCTAGGCTCAGGCGATCTGCCCACCTCAGCCTCCCAAAGTGCTGGGATTACAGGCATAAGTCACTGTGCCTGGCCAGTTTGGCCTTTTTTAGAATGTCATTCAGTTGGGATCATACAGTATTAAGCTACACCAGGCTGACTTCTTTCACTAAGTAATAAGCATTTAAGGTTCCTTCATGTCTTTTCATGGCTTGATAGCTCATTCCTTTTTAATATTGAATATTTCATTGTTTGGATGTACCACAGTTTATCCATTCATCTACTGAAGGCCATCTTGATTGCTTCCAAGGTTTGGCAATTATGAATAAAGCTGCTATAAACATCCATGTGCAGGTTCACTTGAAAGTTTTTTAAAAACTAGTTTTTAGAGCAGCTGGACTTTTTCATGCAAGAATTAGGCAGCAGTCTTCACAAACTCCAGGGGGTACTGTTCAGCACGCTGAGCAGCTTTCTTGTAGTCCTTTCTTACTTGACTACAGGTGGAGGGGAAATGGATAGGGTTTTAACCTCTCCCTGGAAAATTCTCATTCCAAATCAGTCTCCTCGTTCCCTCATATATTCTGTTAAAGTGACACACTCAAGAGGGCCTGGGTCATTCATTCATAGCTTGGGATAGATTGACTGGCATCCCTCTTCAGAATGTGTAGGCAATAAGCCCTTTTTATTCTCAGCTTTGGGGGCTCAGCCAAATTTCTGGGACAATTAGAAAACTCATTTAATGCACTGTTATGCTGTGGAGAAAACAGCTTTAGCAAAAGAAGAGTTGGGAAAGCATCCTAACTTCATGTATAATAACATGGTCACTCGAATGTTGTTAAAAAAATTTATTTCTAGCAAAGAAATGTATGCATACGATTTAAAAAGCCAAGCAGCAAAGGCTCTCTGGAAGAGCCAGCTCTTTTCTGCTCACCCCTCTTCCTCCAGGTTTTGCTCCTCGGAGCCAATCACTTCCAACTCGTTTAGCTGTTTTTCTCTATTTACCTCCATTTTCCTAAATCATCATTCTCAAAGGAGAGCGCTCCCCCACCCCCACTTCTGGCAGGAGACATTTGGGGATGTCTGGAGACATTTTTGATTATCATGATGTGGGTACCGGGTGGGAGTATTACTGGCATCTAGTGGGTGAAGGCCAGGGGTGCTGCTAAGTGCCCTTCACTGCACAAGACAGGCCCCCAACAACAGAGTAAATGGCATCAGGTTGAGAAAACTCGTTCTAAATATGTTTGTATCATGATTTCTCAGTTTATCAATTTTAGATGCAAACTTAATTTTCCATTGTGTTTACCTTTCAGCTTTTCATTATGTGACTTTTTTTCTTTCTAGTCTGAGATCCTCTATTTATCCCTGGTATTCTATTTTACTATGGTGTGCCTTGTTTTATTTTTCATTTATTCTGCTGGGTATTTAATGATTTCTCTCAGTCTGAAAACACATGTATTTCATTCCTGGGGATTACTCTTTGATCATTTCTTCCTTCTGTTTACTCTCTTCTTTCTTTCTGGAAGTCCTATTAGATGTATGATGGGACATCAGGCTTGATCCTCTGGTGTTCTTATGTTTTCTCTCTTACTGTCTTTTTCTTCTACTTCCAGGAGATTTCCTCTACTTTATCTTCCAACCCTGACTAAATATTTATTCCAGCTATCACATTTTTAATTTCTATGAGCTCTTTCTTGTTCTCTGAATGCTCTTTTCAAAATAGCATCCTGTTTTTGTTTCATAGATTCAATGTGTTTTTGTATCTCTTTTAGGATACTATAGTTTTAAAGTTTTTTATTTTGCCCTGTTATTTCTGTTCCTTATGAATTCTTTTTTGTGTGATTTGGTCTCTTTCTTGAAGCTTCATGTGTATTGGCTCTTCGTTTACTGATGGGCCTTATTGTGGGACAACTGGGTGGCCAGCCAGCATCTTCACTGGGGGACCCCCACTTGTCACTATAGGTCTTTTATAGGTCACCATCTGCTTTGGGCTATAAGTTTTTTTGCAGGCACTTTGAAGTAAACAAAGTAGAGAAGGGAACAGCCTTTGCTGGCTCACAGTTCAGTGTGCAGACTTTTAGTTAACCTTCTTGACATCTCTTGGTATTTTTATCCTACCATCCACTGCATCGTGTAAATGTGGGAGCCTGAGTGTATTGATGCTACTGATTGCAAAGACTTTGAACCAGTTCCCTTGCTTTTAGCCTTTTGCCTGACTTCCAGCTTTCACAATACTTGGAGCCTCCAATTTCCCAGTGTTTTGTAGTGTACGTACCTACATTTCAGCTTCCTCTACTCTAATATTTCAGCTGCCCCTTGTCCATCTGCTTGCCATATATATATTTTTCCTGTTCCACGTGTCTCCTCTCTCATTTTCTTCCTCCTTGCTAGTTTATACCATTTCCCCCTCTTTTATTGTCATTTTAGAGGGATTTTTAAGACAATTAGAGATAAGAGCATACTTTCACTCTGACATGCTTAACACAAAATCTTTTTGGTAATTTAAATTATTTACCAATCACAACAAATGTATTTACTTTCTCTTAGATCTCTATCTTTGCTACATTTTGTTTTTCATATTTATCTATCTTCATTAATAATGAGCAGAAAAATACCTTTCCAATGCAAATTTGATGGTGGGATGATCTGTGCCTCTCAGCAGTGTTCCACCTACTGAATTATTCCCTGATTTGAAATAATTTCTTCCTAGGCTGGGCACAGTGGCTCACCCCTGTAATCCCAGCACTTTGGGAGGCCGAGGCGGGTGGATCACAAGGTCAAGAGATCGAGACCATCCTGGCCAACATGGTGAAACCCTGTCTCTACTGAAAATACAAAAATTAGCTGGGCGTGGTGGCACGCACCTGTAGTCCCAGCTACTCAGGAGGCTGAGGCAGGAGAATTGCTTGAATCCGGGAGGCGGAGGTTGCAGTGAGCCGAGATCACGCCACTGCACTCCAGCTTGCCAATAGAGCGAGACTCTGTCTCAAAAAAAAAAAAAAAAAGAAAAAAAAATAGAAATAATTTATTGTTTCTGTAATAATATACACTCCTAGTTTTCCTTTCCAGATACTTTTCTATCTCTTCTGCTGGTTCCTCCTTCTGTATTTGGCCTTTAATGTTGGACACAGCTTGATCTTAGCTCCCTTCTTTTTTCATTCCACATTCTTTCCCTAGGTGCCGTGGTCTATTGCCATGGTTTAAATGCTTTCTATAGGTCTGATTCCACAGTTGATATCTCTAGCCCCTACCTCTCTTTTGGGCTCACCATATATTAAATACAAACATGAAATATCTACTTGTCTATCTCACAAGCATCTCAAATTTAACATAATCAAACTTACTCTTCAATCCTATTCCTGTCATCTTATTATTTTTATTTTTTGAGATGGAGTTTTGCTCTTGTCACCCAGGCTGGAGTGCAATGGCATGATCTCAGCTCACTGCAACCTCTGTCTCCCAGGTTCAAGCGATTCTCCTGCCTCAGCCTCCCGAGTAGCTGGGACTACAGGCATGTGCCACTATGCCTGGCTTATTTTGTATTTTTAGTAGATATGGGTTTCACCATGTTGGTCAGTCTTGAACCCCTGACCTCAGGTTATCCACCCACCTTGGCCTTCCAGTGTTGGGATTACAGGTGTGAGCCACCACACCCAGCCCTGTCATCTTTATTATGTCTGCAATTGGCACCTCCATCCCTCAGGTGGTTGAAACAGCAACCTGGAAGTCATTCTTGACCATCCCTCCTCTTCACCATCCCCACACATCCAACCCATCAGCCTTAAAGTTGTTGTTGACACACCCTCCTCCTTCTTTCTAAATTAATCCAACAGCCAGTTTTGCTGATCTCACCTACAAAATGTATCATATGTCTTTCCAAAGTCTTTCCATTCTTACAGCCACCATTCTAGTTCAAGATGGAAGAAAGTCAGCTGGTTGAAAATAAGTTTGCAGAATGACTGTGAGAATTCAACTAGGCAGAATCCTGAGGAGTTCTTTGAGTGTGAGCTTGCGTGGTTGTCAGCAGTCATTCCTGCAGCTCCGTCAGTCCAGCTTGACTGAATGTCAGTTTGACTTCTGCTTCCTGTTTCAGATACTGGGCCCTTATCCGCTCCTCACCCTGCCCTTGCCCCTGCCTTTGAATCTGTCCCTTTCTCTGTTCTTGGGGTGATGGCACCAAAATGATTGTGGGAATCTGTCCCAAATCTGCTTTAAGATTTTGTATAATAGATTTAATAAATATGGTAAATCAGTCACTTGGAAAATAAAAAACTCAGCTAATTGATCATTAGGGGAAGTGATTTGTTTTTGACAAGTTATTTTTTTGGAAACTGGCTAGAAGGGAATTGATTTTTGGCCAGCTGACCTACAGCTGTTCAAGCCATTATCACCTTTGCCTACCATGAGCTGCTGTCACCTCTACCTGGTCTCCTCACATCCATTCTGGTGCCTCTCCCACTACCCAAATCCATTCCCCCCACAGCAGTCTTCAGTGACCTCTTACAAAGTGATATGGTTTGGCTGTGTCCCTACGCAAATCTCATCTTGAATTGTAGCTCCCATAATTCCCATGTGTTGTGAGAGGGACCGGATAGGAGGTAATTGAATCATGGGGGCGGGTCTTTCCCATGCTGTCCTCATGATAGTGAATATGTCTCACGAGATCTGATGATTTTACGAGGGGCAGTTCCCCACACAAGCTCTCTCTTGCCTGCCACCATGTAAGATGTGACTTTGCTCGTTTGCCTTCTGCCATGATTGTGAGGCCTCCCCAGCCACATGGAACTGTGAGTCTATTAAACCTCTTTTTCTTTATAAATTACCAAGTCTCAGGTATGTCTTTGTTAGCACTGTGAGAAGACTTATGCACAAAGAAAACCTAAATAAAAAGTAATGCTGATAGCTTTTCACTGTACTCAGAATGAAACCCAAAAATGGCCTAAGAAGACTCTGCAGGCCTACTTCTGCCCACCTCGCCTGCCACTGCCCCCTGCTCCCTCACACTGCTGGAACACTGCTTTTCCATTCATTCTTTGTACCATACCCAATTCTTTTCCTGCTCAGTGCCTTCACACATGCTATTCCTTCTGCCTGAAATGCATTTTCTCTCATTCTTGACCTGAGTCAGGTCTCAGCTCAAACCTCATTTCCTGGATCCACTATTTTTTTTTTTTTCCAATAGAGTCTTGCTCTGTTGCCCAGGCTGGAGTCCAGTGGCACGATCTCAGCTCACCGCAACCTCCACCTCCCAGGTTCAAGTGATTATCCTGCTTCAGCCTCCTGAGTATCTGAGACTACAGGCACATGCCACCATGCCTGGCTAATTTTTATATTTTTTGTAGATATGGGGTTTCACCATGTTGGCCAGGCTGATCTCGAACTCCTGACCTCAGGTGATCCACCCACCTCAGCCTTCCAAAGTGCTGGGATTACAGGCGTAAGCCACCACAGCCGGCCCTAGATCCACTATTTTTATTTCACAATACCTTATATTTTCCTCCATTTTGCTTATCATTATAATTAAAATTTTTATATGTGCTTTTTTCTGCTTAGCAATCTCATGCCTTGATTGGATGGTTAGTGAGCTCCATGAGGACAGTGAGCCAGATAGGTGCCTAATAGACATGTACTGTTTAGAATACATGAATAAATTAATGAATAAGTTAATGAATATTAAGTTCTTATATCACATATAAAACCACAGAGTTGCTGCAATATACTACAGGAATTTAGCATATCATGGTCCCTTGTAATTAGAATATGGACTCAGAAGCCACAAACCTTAACAACAACCATAACAACAAAATGTTTCTTGAGTGACTGACTTAGCAAGTGGTAAGATAATGCCCAAGCAGTGTACTGATCTGCAAAGTAGTAACACCATTTTCTACTATTAATATCCCTGGAGCTTTTTTTTTTTTTTTTTTTTTTTTGAGACAGGGACTCACTCTGTCTCCCAGGCCGGAGTGAAGTAGTATGATCATAGCTCATTACAGCCTTGAACTTTGGGGCTCAAATGATCCTCCTATGTCAGCCTCTTGAGTAGCTGAGACTACAGGCATGCCCAGCTATGTTTTTTGTTTTTGTTTGTTTTTGTTTTGGTAGAGACAGTGTCTCACTTTGTTGCCCAGGCTGGTCTCCAACTCCCAGTCTCAAGTGATCCTCCCACCTTGGCCTTCCAAAGTGCTGAGATTACAGGTTTAAGGATTACATGTTTCTGAAGAATACCTTTAGATAGGTAAAGGTTACTAGAAAGATATGATAAAAATTATGAATTTGCAATCATGATGAAATAAACAGAAGGTCAAGCAATTGTTTGAGGACAGCAAGGGGGGAAAGAAAGAAAGATCTACTGACCTTGAGGAAGCTGAAGCACCCCTGTGCTTATGCCTGAGACCAAGTCACCCAACACATATTCCTTGAATTTGTATGCTGGCAGCCATTTAGTTATGGGTAGGAACATATAAATGATATTTCTTATTTTTTTAGGAGTACATCTGAAAGGACAAAGACAGACAGAGATAAAGTTATAAATGAGAAACATCTCTGTAGAATTCAAACCAAAGCATTTTCCCTTCCTTATTCCCAGGAGCAATCTGGAAAAATTTCCAATTGGTGATTCAAGATGTTGCCAAACAGGGTAGGAGTCAGGGATAGGGAAAAAAAGAGAGTGGGTGGAATATTCCTGGGAGACAAAAGATATTTTCAAGGTGGGTGGAGAATTAGAAAGCATGTTGGTTATGTTAACATTTACACAGAAAAAAGGCATAGTAGGAATTCAATAAATATGGTGAAATTCATGATGAAGCCTGTGTGCAAATATCTAACGCTGACTGAACCTCGTGAACAGCTTTGCAAACCATGATGGCTCAGCATTCATTTTTCTCTCCACTTCACCAAACAGATTTTCTTTACACATTTGACCTTGCGCCTCTCATAACTGAATGATACAATAACAGAAACAGGTTAAAAGGCAACGTACGTGAATGCCTGTTTCAGCTTATCCGCAATGGAATCAGGAACCTTGTCCTTTGTGTGTAGTCTTTCCTGGAGGACCGGATGACTAAAGATAGGCCTTTCCACATAGTACCTCTGGGTTGCTGCAAGGATTTCATTTTCTTCAGCATGATCCATAGTACTCTGAAATTATTCCTTAACAGCCGGAGACAAGCATTTCCTGAGTGTCACTAGGGGAAAAAAGAAAAACTCCATTTTACTTGCCAAAATCCTACTGATGACTTTTCCTAAGCATCTCTTCTTTGTGGTGTTCCAAGTTCTTCTGAGGCTTTCTTTGGACGCCCCAGAGGACCTAATGTATTGATCTGTATATAGGAGGCAGTAATTAATGAAATCAAAATCAATTAAAAAAACGTGACTTATTCCCTCCCAGAGTAATAAATGGTTAATGTGTGTACTTTTAACAAAAGCTCATATTAAGTGCAATGGCTAAATACTAGTCAGTTCCCTCTAGGTCCACATAAGAGGAATTGCAAATTAGGTCAATTTTGACCAGCTATATGTCAAGGAAACAGAAAAAAAGAGTACGATCAGTCCTTAAATTGACTCAATGTTTCTTAAAGCTATATTAGCCTCATTTCCAATTCTATATTTATGGTTGATTACTCTTTAAATTATTCTATGGTTCAGAGTTTAGGCTTACATGTCTGTTTGAGGCAAGTTGCTGGTGACCTTTGTGAAAGGCAGTAAGTTAAGAACATCAGCACACTATTCTAATATTGTTTTGAAGTTGATTACATTGTCATGTTTTTGATTATTAGAATGACTGATAGTTTTTTTCATTGCTACACAGTGATACCACTTATATGAGTAAAACAATGATTAAAGAATAAAAATACAACATATTTGTGCATATGGAGTTGTGTACAAGAATGTTTTCTGCAGCCTTATAACAGTGAAAAGTACTTGTATGCAGTAAAAAATACATTTTGGTATATTCATAAATTTAATTCTATGTAGTAATTAAAAGAAATGCACTAAATTTCTGTGTCATCATCAATACATCTCAGAGGCAATTTTCAACAAAAATGTAAGGCACAGTTGAATACTGAGAGGATTCAATTATTTAAAGTTTAAAAACATAAAACAATAGTATATGTTATTACATATATTTGTAGTAAAAGTATAAAACCACTCATGACAACAATAAATACTGAGATCAGGATGGTGTTACCTCTAGAGAGAGGGAAATGAGACTAAGAAGGGATAGTAGAGGGCTTCTACTAACTGTATCTGCAATGTTTTAGTTTGTAAAAAAAAGAACTGGCACAAAGACAGCAAAATGTGAAGATCTGATTATGCTGCTTAGTAAGTAAACTGGTGCTTGTTACATGATTGTACTTGTCTGTACATTTGAACTATATACCTCATAATAAAATATTAAATGCACAACAACTAAAGCCAGTATTCCCAAATGAAGGAAGTTAATGGCAGAGCAGGCAGAGGTTAACATGAATGCATGGTTAAGTGCTTGTGTGGTGACTGTGGAATTGTGAGGGCTACTAATGTTGGTCAATACAACTCCTTCACAGTGAAAACTCAGGTTTTCATCAAAATGAAATCACATTCAAATTGAAATCAAGGCCAGGCATGGAGGCTCACACCTGTAATCCCAGCACTTTGGGAGGCTAAGGTGGGTGGATCACCTGAGGTCAGGAGTTCGAAACCAACCTGGCCAACATGGAGAAAACCTGCCTCTACTAAAAAAAAAAAAAAAAAAAAAAATTAGCTGGGAGTGGTGATGCACACGTGTAATCCCAGATACTTGGGAGGCTGAGACAGGAAAATCACTTGAACCCGGGAGGCAGAGGTTGCAGTGAGCTGAGATCGCGCCATTGTACTCCAGCCTGGGCGACAAGAGTGAAACTCCGTCTCAAAGGCAACAAAACAAATTGAAATCAGGGTTGTGTATGATCTACCACAAAATATTGTGCAAAATAAATACCTATGTCCAAAGAGGTTGAAAATTCAAGAGCCTATAATAAAAAGAAATTCTGGCAGCAAATGCAACCAAGTACCACCAAGGATGATATTAAAATGTTATGGTTTGACTGTTTTTGTCTCTTTCAAAATTCAAGTTGAAACTTAACCCCCAATACAAGAGTATTACGAGGTGTGGTCCTTAGGAAGTGATTGATCATGTGGGCTCTGGAGCACTCACGAATGGGATTAAGTTATAAAAAGACTTAGCACAGGGAGTTCACCCCCTTTCATCCCTTCTGTCCCTTCCGCCATGTGAGGATACAGTGTTCCTCCTCTCTAGAGGATGATGCAATAAGACACCATCTTGGAAGCAGAGACACCTGGCCCTTACCAGCTGGTGCATTGTTCTTGGACCTCCCAGCCTCCAGAACTGTGAGAAATAAATTTCTATTGTTTATAAATTTCTGTCTGTGGTATTTTGTTATAGCAGCTCATATGAACTAAGAAATGGTAAATCTGGAGGAAGAATTTTGCAGCAGAACCTGAGAAATAAAGATGATATGTTTTTTGTTTCAGACTAGTAAGGTGGGTTGGCCACCTCTCATCTAGCTCTTTAGGGCCACTCTAGGAACTCATCAAAATACAAGAATGACTGGGCTGATGTATGAGTGGAGTTTGACACATCACAAACCCTACCACTGGCTTCCACCTACCCTAACTCCTCCAGATCATTACATGACAGCATTATAAAACCATTTGTAATCCAGGCAACATACCATGCTGCTTTAAGCCTCTGTGCCCATCCAGAGTTTCAATTCATTCTAATAAGAGATGTTGTTGCTTTCCCTTCACTCCTTCCATTTTCCCCACAGCCTAATCATTGTATCTTCCAAACCCTTGTTCTGTCTTCTGCTTTTCTGTGAGGTCTCCCCTCACTTATAATCCTTTATGAAATGGGCCTATGCATGTTACTTGGTATACGCTTCCATTCTTCTATTCTAATAGAATCATTGATCTCCTCTTCTAGACTGTAAATTCTTTGAGACAATATCATACTCTGAATTCCCAGGACCTAGCTCAGTACTTGTATCTTAGCAGGTGCTCAGTAACTGGGAGGTGAATGAAATCTTTGAATGGGTATGTTATGATTATTGATAATGCATGCCATGCTTCCTCTCTTTCATCTTATAGATTATGTCTGCTTTGAACTTTTATTATTTTTTGTAGACATCATCTTCTTAGTCTTTTGTCCTAGTTCAGAAAGGTAATTTCTTCCTACATATGGCCCCTTGAAGAGAAAAGGAACAGGTAGACCTGAGGAAGGTCTAATAAGAATCAGACTCTAGTTTTTCTCCTGTTGCAGAAACTCAGTTTTACCATTGATTTTCCTGTTACCCCACAGGAGTTTGCTCAGCTGTCAATCAGGTGAATTATGATGATCAAGTCTAGGGATGTTTTATCACCTACAAGGCAGTGGTGACAAAATGTGGCCAATCACCACAATGGTCTGGGGAGGGCTTGAATTACTGGGTTCAGGGCCTTAACCTGAACCTACCCAGTTAGGATTTCCACTGGGTGAGGCCTAAACAATGGGTATTCACTACTTGTGGATGTAAGCGTGTGTCTCTTACCCATGTATGTGGCAACCTTCTCTGGAGATTTCAGGGCAACAGAATGGTTTACACTGTAGCATAGCAGAGAAAACACTTAAAACACTAGGTATCTTTATCTTTAGTCTTAAGAGTCCTTCGGCTATCCCCAACATCAGGAATTCCTCGTGACACCCGTGAATCTGAGAGTATAAACACAAGAGGGTGGTCACTTACCACTCCCTTATTTCTCCTTCTCCCAGAACCTCAAAATTCCTTCTATTTCATTAAGCAGAGCAATTATATTTATGTATTAAAAGTTCCCCAGGACATGCAGTTGATCAGCTAGATAGGTACTTGACATATTGAAAACACTGGCTTTCAACTCTGGCTAAACCTAGAACTTCCTTAGGTACTTTTATAAAACACTAATGCTTAGGATCCACACCTGACCAACTAGAGCACAGCCTCCAGGAGGCAGGCTTGGGCATTTCTTTATAGCATCCTAAGATGATTTTAACGAGCAGTTCAAGTTGAGAAGCACTGGCTTAGAATCTGAGAGAGAGAGAAATACATATGAAAAATACATAAGAAAAATCACAAAGAAATATTTGAAAATGAAAACCAATTATAGATGTTGAAGAAATTAATACTGAATCAGTGACAAGATTAAAGCCTCATAAGATCATTTTTTAAAGTAAACTTTATATTATACATCATATATAGAATATATAATACAAAATAATAAATGTAATTGCCATAAGATGCTTACTGAAAAGTACATGAAATCAGTTTTGAAGAGGATTAAAATATAAGGTCATAATTTAGTAGTTAAAAGAGCTTTTTCAAATTTGCCATTTTCATTTAGGGCATTGGTTCTCAGCCATGGCTGCACATTGGAGTCACCTGGGCAGCTTTAAATACTGATGCCCGAGTCTATTTCCAGTGATTCTGATTTAATTGGTCTGCAAAGCAGACAGGGATTGAGAGCTTAAGAAGCTCTCAGGTGATTCTATTGTATAGCAAAGGCTCAAAACCACTGACATAGGAGATGGCAAAACAAACACCCTCACCCACCCATCCATGTACCCAGCACCCAAACAAAAAGAAAAAAACTAAATAGGGTGTAAATAAATTCTGTGCAATGCATTATAGCACTATCTTTACTTATGTGTGTCTGCAAAATATTTAATACAAATTACAAAAGAGTACTATTTAGCTTAGGTTTCTCAAGCAAAGTCTTGTTTCTATGCTTATATTCTCACAACAAAAGAGAGTTGTGCGGAGGTGGGCAGTGCAACATCCACTATACTTCAGGCAAATGCAGTCTTAACTGTCACAACCATTTCATTGTGGGTTTCAATTAGGAGCAAATCTCAAACAAATTTAGATCTCAAAACATAAGATGGATTTTCTAAAGCATTAAGATATGCACTATCTGTAGGGTTGCCAGAGAAAATATAGAAGGCTCAGTTAAATTTGCATATTAATCAAGAAATAATCTTTTAGTATGTCTCAAATATTGCATGGGATATAATTATATTAAAAAGTATTCTTTGTCTCAACTTTAACTGGGTATCTTGTATTTTTCTTTGCTAAATCTGGCAACCTTAACTCTCTGTAGGTTAGGAAGAGACACAGAGAGGAGACGATTCTCAAATATTTTTGAGATACTGGCACCCTGGCTATAATCTATGTCCTTTTTGAGATAGCTGGTTGGTAGTTCAAGGACATTTCAACTGGGAAAGGAAAGGAGAAGATGTTGTAATGAAAGGCTGTCCTTTCGGGGGACTTTTTATTTGCATCAACAATGATTAAATAATTAAAGCCTCGAAGGCTATCAATAACCATCTTATCAGAGGCAGAGAGGCAAAGTAACCAAGGAACCAACACTAGGAGATCAAATAACCAGACTCTTATATGACAGATAATGAGCTTCCAGTGTGCTGATTGAAATTATAAATCACCAAATTGTAAAAGTACACAAATCCTTACATGAGAAAAGTCACTTACTAAGATCACCTAAAGGGACACATCTTCTGGCAGGTCCTCAAACACAAAATACTAATGACAGCAAAGCAAATTGACCTAGAGCTTCAAGGTCCATTTCGCCACAGGCAGGAAGGGAGGAATTTGAAGGTAACTTAGAACATTTTTCATCATAGATTTTTTTTTTTTTTTTGAGACACATTCTCACTCTGTTGCCTAGGCTGGAGTGCAGTGGCGTGATCTTGGCTCACTGCAACCTCTGCCTCCTGGGTTCAAGCGATTTTCCTGCCTCAGCCTCCCGAGTAGCTGGGATTACAGGTGTGCGCCACCACGCCCAACTACTTTTTGTATTTTTTTGGTAGAGATTGAGGTTTCCCCTTGTTGGCCAGGCTGTTCTCAAACTCTTGACCCTCAGGTGATTTGCCCACCTTGGCCTCCCAAAGTGCTGGAATTATGGGTGTGAACCACTGTGCCTGGCCTCATCATAGATTTTAAAATCTAAATTTATCGTAACTCCCTCACTTTGTAGATGAGAAAATGGATCCATCTACACTCACTTGGGGGTAAGAGGCTTATCCAAAAATATTTGCAAAACACAAACCCTGTCTCCTATTCAAAGTAGTCTTTAAACGGCATCTCTGATACTTATAAAATATTGCCATGATAAATATTTATAAATAAAAAAATAACAAAATGGTAACAACATTTTAAACTTCAGACTAAGAGCCAAAGTCAGCTGCATGCCAATAATGAAGATTCACTGTGGTTTTGTGGTAGATGCTCTGAATTGGAGGTCATGATCAGTGTAGAGCCCTGGTTCTGTACCTTAAGTGTCTCAGTTGTTCTACGTTGTTATGGCAGGGTCAACTACACCAGGGTTTTCTATGCCTTGCTGGCATGTCACAATCACCTGGGGAGATTAAAACCACAATTTCCAGGCCTTCTAGAGATTCTTTTTTTTTTTTTTCTTTTGAGATGGAGTCTCACTCTGTCGCCCAGGCTGGAGTGCAGTGGTGCGATCTTGGCTCACTGCAACCTATGCCTCCTGGGTTCAAGCGATTCTCCTGCCTCAGCTTCCCAAGTAGCTGGGATTACAGGCACCCACCACCATGGCCAGGTAATTTCTGTATTTTTAGTAGAGATGGGGTTTCACCATATTGGCCAGGCTGGTCTCCAACTCTTGACCTCAGGTGATCTGCCCACCTTAGCCTCCCAAAGTGCTGGGATTACAGGCATAAGCCACTATGCCTGGCCCCGTCTAGAGATTCTAATTTAATAATTCTAGAATCTGTATTTTTTTAAAGCTCATGGAGTGAGACTGATGCACAACCTATTGGGAAAATAGATTGTGAGCCTCATGAAAGGAGAAACGCAATACTAATTTCTGTACAGTGATTGGTACTTAGGGCTAAAAAATGCTTGCTGAATGAACATATAAAAATAATTTGCCTGAGTCTTAGTTTCCTCATCTTTATTAACTTTTAAACCACTTTATTGAGATATGACTGACATACAAAAAGCTGTATATACTTAGTGTATACAAGTTGATAAGTTTGGAGGAATCTATGCCATAAATATATCCATCACCTCCAAAAGTTTGCTTTTTCTCTTAATTTATTATTATTTTGTGATAAGAACACAAGGTCTACCCTGCCAGTACTTTTTTTTTTTTTTTTTTTTTGAAACAGACACCTGCTCTTGTTGCCCAGGCTGTAGTGCAGTGGCACCATCTTGGCTCACTGCAACCTCCACCTCCCAGGTTCAAGCGATTCTCCTGCCTCAGTCTCCTCAGTAGCTGGGACTACAGGTGTGTGCCACTACGCCTGGCTAATTTTTGTATAATATTTTTACTAGAGATGGGGTTTCACCATGTTGGCAAGGCTGGTCTTGAACTCTTGACCTCAAGTGATCCATCTGCCTTGGTCTCCCAAAGTACTGGGATTACAGGTGTAAACCCCTGTGCCTGGCCTGTTAGTGCATTTTTAAGTGTACAGCAGTGGGTGGTTAACTGCAGGTACTATGCTGTACTGTAGATCTCTAGGATTTCTCCATCTTGCATAATTTTCACTTGGTTTCCTTTGATTAATTTCTCCCCATTTTTCTCTCCTCCCAGTCCCTGGAAATTACTATTCTCTGCTTCTATGTTTCCTTATCTTTAAATGTTTCCAGTGACAACATTCTGGGAACAGTATCTGGCAAGTTTCAAAATGCCAATTAAATCTCTTGGTGCTTAAACTAGCTAGAATGGATTCAGTTGTCTGAAACTAAGAGCCATCATCAGTAAAGTAATGCTTTTCTTTAAGTTTTGAAATTGTATTTTTCTCTGTGAACCGGAGGTATCAGAAAAGAGTGAGTAAGGGCATTCATCCATCTACTCAAAATAATTTACACATTTATAACTTTAATAATGCATATATTAACCTTTTAATCTCAAATATGCAAGCACATGCCCAAGCTTACTACGTCTTTCACATGACTTCTCTATGGGCCTCAATATAAACAACAAAAATAAATTTTACTATGAATTTTTTCAACATTGCCCTGAGCAACAGGATGTGAACTTTTCTATAATGTACACAGCAAATAGCAAAAGTCTCATGAATTAGAACCCAGAAAAAACATATTTTCACTTATGGCTTTATCAGCCTTTCCTAAAAGGAATTTGAAAAGCTGTTTTCTATTCTTACTACTTTTTGGACTGTTAGCAATAACCAGAATATATTATCTATCTGTTTTCCCTTATTAACTATCATTGATTAATTATAGTGGCTCAATATGTAGAAAGAGCAAAAGGCCCTAAGACCTATGCAAGCTGGTTTTGAATGTAGACTGCAAGCTCGATGAGGGCAGGACTGTTATTTCTGAGCATCAAGTGCACAGCCTGGCATGCAGCTGGCTAGCAGACATTTGTTGGCTGAATGATCTTGAGTGAGTGGCAGGGGCCAAGGTTGCCATAGCATGTAGTCTTGTGCTGTGCCCATCCTTTCCCTCTTCTTTTATATTAGGTTGGTGCAAAAGTGATTGTGGTTTTTGCCATTACTTTCAGAGGCAAAAACAATACTTATCCACTCCCCTTAAATTCCTCTGCCAAAGGACTCTTACACGTTAATATCCGTAGAGGCAATACCACATGCAGAGCCTAGGGTTCAGGACTGTGTTTGAAGGCTGGAAATGGCACTTTTTTTTTTTTTTTTTTTGAAATAGAGTTTCACTCTTGTAACCCACCCTAAAGTGCGATGGTGTGATCTCGGCTCACTGCAACCTCTGCCTCCTGGGTTCAAGCGATTCTCCTGCCTCAGCCTCCCAAGTAGCTGGAACTACAGGCACATGCCACCATACCTGGCTAATTTTTTTATTTTTAGTAGAGATGGAGTTTTACTATGCTGGCCAGGCTGGTCTCAAACTCCTGACCTCAGGTGAGCCGCCCGCCTCGGCCTCCCAAAGTGCTGGGATTACAGGCGTGAGCCAACGCGCCCAGCCAGAACTGGCACTTTAGAGCTTCATGTTTTTTTGCAAGATATACAAGCTTTCTGTACCCTAATTTCCTTATCTGTAAATGGCAGCTGGGAGTACAGGCTATGGAATGACATAGACCTCAATTCAAGTCCTGGTTCTGCCACCATGGTGGGACATCTGGTGAGTTACTTGATCTAAGTAGGGTGACCAAGGTCCTGGCTTCTGCCTGCTGTTCCAGAGAGGATGGCTTTGGAGAGGATACTGGATTTGAAGTGGCTCTCAAATAATGGATAGAAGGCAAAAAGGCAGGCACGTGATTTTGCATAGAGATGTGAAAAGGTAAACGCTAATAAGACATGTTCATGGAATACCAAAGGTACTGGTAGAAATCGTGCTTTGGGTGGTTACAGGAAATAAAACTGGAGAGGTCAAGTAGGATCAGATCTTTTAAGTCCATGAAAGGCAGGATGCAGGTTCCAATTTGCAGCCATGGGCTCTTGTTATTTGACCATACCCCAGTCCTCCTTTGTCCTATACAGAGCTACTGCTCAAAATCACTCTACCACGGATAAATTATTCCATACCACTAAATAAGTTGAATCCCTTCCAGCACTAATTTGCTGTGACTCCCTAAATTAATAAATAGCAAGATTTATTTTCCAGCCAGAAACACTTGAAAGATCTTTAACGCTCATAAGATATGCCTTTAGAATTTTCTTTGAGGTAAAAAGCTCAGTAATTCAAAGTGGTGCTTAGGTTTGAATGACAGATACTTCAATAGAAAAGAGTTCTCTAAGCAAAAATGAAAGAAGAAGCTACTGGTTGACTAGTCATTTCTTTTTCCAACATAATATACACATGATAAAATTGCAAGTATTATGAAATAACTAATAATGAAAAGCAATACTTTTCCATCCCATTCTCCCCAACTTTAGTTCTATTTCCTGAAGCAGCCATTTTCTTTCTTTCTTTTTTTTTTTCCTTTCTGAGACAGGTGTCACTCTGTCACCCAGGCTGGAGTGCAGTGGTGTGATCATGGCTCACTGCAGCCTCAACCTCCTGCACTCGAGCTGTTCTCTTGCCTCAGCCTCTTGAGTAACTGGGATCACAGGCATGTGCCACCACAGCTGGCTAATTTTTAAATTTTTCTTCATAGAGAAAGGGTCTCATTATGGTGCCCAGGCCGATCTTGAACTCATGGGCTCAAGTGATCCTCCCACCTTGGCTTCCCAAAGTGCTGGGATTACAGGTGTGAGCCACTGTAGCCAGCCACCATTTTCTTAAAATCATTTTTAATATTAATTCTTCTGGTGAGTTTATTATTAACTCTAAATCAGCAATTCTCAGAAAGAGAAACTGGTATTTCAGGTGGGATTTGTATGAGATAGTTCTGTGCATTTAGCATCTCTCTTCTTGACATTAAATGCTAGTAGCATTCTCCATCCACAGGATACACTTCCCAATCTTTCCTGGAATCGAGAACTACTGCTCTAAGTAATAAAATTATATGGCTTTTTTTTTTTACTTATCAAGTTTAGACATTATTCACGAATGCTTACCATGAAAAATTAACTTTTTTGAGACAGGGTCTGGCTCTGTCACCCAGGCTGGAGTGCAGTGGCATGAGCTCGGTTCACTGCAACTTCCACTTCCTGGGTTCAATAGATTGTTGTGTCTCAACCTCTTGAGTAGCTAACACTACAGGTGCATGCCACCACACTCACCTAATTTTTGTATTTTTTGTAGAAACGGGGTATCACCATGTTGCCTAGGCTGGTCTCAAACTCCTGAGCTCAAGTGATCCACCCACTTTGGCCTTCCAAAGTGCTGGGATTACAGGCATGAGCCACTACACTCAGCCGAAATATTAACATTTAAGTCTCCTTACTCACTTCTATTTTTGCTAAATTATATTACTATTTTTAATTTCTTTACCTATAAAACCAATATATACTGATTTATTCTCCCTTTTCTCTTTCCTTCTGGAATTTCTATTTGACATTTGTTGGAGCTTCTCCTGTCATTGTGTGCTTTAACCTCTTACATTTTACAGCTTTTTATCTCATTGGGTTGATTACAGATAGTCTTCTCAGATTTAACTTCCAGTTTAATAATCTACTTTTGGCTCTAATACATTAAGTAGGACATTAATTTTTTAAAAATATTTAAAGCCTATATTTTTCATTTCTATACTTTTTGAAATCAACTTGTTCTAATTTCATAGTGTTGCATTTTCCCTTTTGTTTTCAATTCTCTTTATTCTTTCAATAATTTTTAACACACTTCTGATCTTGTTCATCTATTTCCATTGTTTTAAATTCTTGGGGATCTGATTCTTCTGCTTGTTCTGTTTGCTGACACTCCCTTGCAGTGATTTGTAGGTTTTTAAAATTCTGAGTCATATTTAATTGTGGAAGGGGAGGAGTGGTTCTGTGGATGTTCCATGTACACTTAAGTCGTGATGTGTTTTTAGACACTTTCATGTCTACTCTGCTAGGGTTATGGTGGTTTTAGTGGGTCCTGGACATTTTCACTACTGTTGGTGTTTGTTTAATATGGTTTGAGGCTTCTGAACCACAGAGGAAGTATAATTTTGAACCTAATTTCTGAATGAGGCACAGGCCCAGGGTTTTGTTTGTTCAAGGGTGACTTTCTTTTTTTAACTTTCACTCAAGGCCTACAAGACTTCCTTGTTTCCCTAAGTAGTGGTTAGAGTTTGCCTAATACTCTATTAATGGACTAGACAGGTCTTTAGAGCTCCAGGCTTATCCAGTGTTTCAATTCCATGGTCCTGGTCTCCTGTGGGCCTGAAGCCAAATTTTCTTTCCAGGTTTGAATGATACAACTTCATCATTCAACACTCTAGGGTCTATATTCCACAGAAAAATTCCTATGGCTTGGGCTGCATGTAGGATTTCTTATTATTATTGTTCTTTTTTAAACATTTTTCTCTGCATTCTTCTGACAGTCTTTATTTCAAGGTTATTTGAACATTTGTTATGTTTTATCCTTCATTTTTGTGTGTTTGTCCTGGAGGGAGATCTGAATGAGTCAGCTTCGCCCTCTGTGTTGCTAGAAGTGCCATCATCATCAGCATCATCATTTTTTTAGGCTAGTCAAGTGAAGCAGTGGGAATGTAGAAGGAACAAAGAAATCAGTAACTGGTTGTATAAATCAGTTGTAAATACCACTGCACTTGGACCAGGAAGAATTTCCATTATTTCTATAACTATGTGAATATTGTTCACTGCTACTTCTACCTATAAAAGGAAATGCATTTAATTCTTCTTAAAGTCATTCTTCTTGAGCTCACTATCTGCCCTAATTTGTATTAATTTTTTTTTCTTTCTTTTTTTTTTTTTTTTTGAGACAGAGTCTCACTCTGTCGCCCAGGCTGGTGTGCAGTGATGCGATCTGGGCTCACTGCAAGCTCCATCTCCCGGGTTCATGCCATTCTCCTGCCTCAGTCTCCTGAGTAGCTGGGACTACAGGTGCCCGCCACCACACCCGGCTAATTTTTGTATTTTTAGTAGAGACAGGGTTTCACCGTGTTAGCCAGGATGGTCTTGATCTCCTGACCTCGTGATCTGCCCATCTCAGCCTCCCAAAGTGCTGGGATTACAGGCGTGAGCCACTGCGCCTGGCCTGTATTAATTTTTTCTAAGCCTGGTGAACATCTGTCAACCTACAGTTTATTTCATTGCAATTGTGGATTAGCTCCACTCTTTCTAATTCCACAGCTTCCTCCTCCTTGCTTTATACCCTCATTTTGCTGGAGTGCATCCTTAGGCAACTGCTTTAGAAAAGGTACTCAGAAGTAAACGGCCTGAGTCTTTGAATGTCTGAAAATGTCTTCATTTCACCCTCACGCTTGATAAGTTACTGACAATATGATTCTAAGTTCAAAATCATTTTTCCTTACAAATTTAAAGCCATTGCTCTATTAAAATCCAGTTTCCTCATGAGAAGCCTTATGTTAATCTTAAACGACTTTATTTTTCCTTTCAGAAAGTTTTAGGAATCTCTGTGTATTCTTGACTTGGAAATTTTGTAACAATTGTATCTCTGCATGTTTTTTCATTCACTTGATGGGCCTTTTAACCTCACACTTTTCCTCAACTACAGGAACTTTTTTTCCTAGCATTTAATTGTCAATTTCTTACCTTTTATTTTCTTTGTTTTCTATCTCAGAAAACAAAGATTTTCTTACTGGATTGCTTCTGTCTCTCCTCTTTTCTAGCATATTCTTTCTTTCTTCAAAATTTGGTTGTGCATTCCAAGAGATTATTTTTATTTATTTATTTATTTATTTATTGAGACAAAGTCTCACTCTATTGCCCAGGCTGGAGTGCAGTGGCGCGACCTCAGCTCACTGAAACCTCTGCCTCCTGGGTTCAAGTGATTCTCCTGCCTCAGCCTTCTGAGTAGCTGGGAGTACAGGAGTGCGCCACCACGCCCAGCCAATTTTTGTATTTTTAGTAAAGACGGGGTTTCACCGTTTTGGCCAGGCTGGTCTCGAACTCCTGACCTCGTGATCTGCCCACCTCAGCCTCCCAAAGTGATGGGATTACAGGCGTGAGCCACTGCACCTGGCCCATTACAGGAGATTTAAAAATCATTATTGTTATTAATATTATTATTTAGGCTAGTCAAGTGAAGCAGTGGAAATGAAGGAACAAAGAAATCAGTAACTGGTTGTGATCAATTAGTTGTAAACACCACTGGACTTGGACCAGGAAGAATTTCCATTATTAGCCTTCTAGTAAATTATTTTTATTTTAGTTATTTAAAAAAATGTTCAACATCTTTTTTATTTTCTGATTGCTCTTTCTGAATAACATCACGCTTTTGTTGTGTGGAAACAACAACTCTAATCATGCTAAGAGTGCTCAGATTTTTAAAAAAGGCGATTTTCTTTTCCCTGAATGATCTCTCCTCTGGCAATAGTAATTGTTTATCTTGATGTTTCTTTTTCATGCTTCTTCATATGTCAGGTTATTCTTGGTTATATAATTTCTTTATAAATTAAGGATTTCGTTTGTTTTTCTGGTTGATTTGTGCCACTTTCTTCCACTGTCATGTATATAAGTGTCTCCAGGATAGGACTCTTCCCTGAACGAAATGAACATTAACAGCCTTTGTGTACCGGAGTGGGCTTTGTTGATAGCTAGTTATACTTTGGGTGAAGAGGCAAGAGCTAGCCTTTTAGCCAGGGCCCACCCTCTTTCTAAATGCCAGAAAGAGAAAAGATTTACTCTATGGTGCCAATACTCTAGAGAAGCCCTACTTCACTATAACTAGTCCATGAAGACTTTCCATTAATCTCGTTGCTCATGCATGCTCCCCATTGCTGCTAACTCCATACAGGGGGTTCTTTCTAGGGGATCACTTGCACTCCGAGGGTGGTCCTTTTTGTACAAATTCTTGGTTCTGTTTAATCAGTAATTTGCTTCCAAGCATTTTCATATCCCATTATCTTCAGAGTTCTTCCCCCTTTGTATCTTTTACGGTCATTTTAATGGAGTTTTAGGATAGAGAGTAAGCAAGTACTTATGCTTGGCCTGTCATCTTTAACATTTGACTTGTTATTATTGACCATTTTGTAAACTGGGCATTTGTACGCTAAAATTTATAAAACACATTTTAATATAAAATATATAGGTGTATGGAGAAAGTTTTGAAAGTATTTACCATAACATGGTAAACAGAGGTTATGTTTGATGGTAGAATTATGAGTAATTTTATTTTTTTTGCTTATCTGTATTTTCTAAAATTTCCATAGTAGGCACTATTATTTTAGCAACACACATTATAAGCCTAAGTGTTAAGTGTTGATAATAGGAGTAATAGTTAAGATATTTTCTGTTATCGTCTCAGGAAAGAAGTCTGAAAATTCAGGAGACCCTTGGCATTTGAGACGAAAGCGCAAGTTAGGTCCAGAGACCCCTGAGAATCCTGAGATTTGAGACCAGCATTAAGTGAAAGGGGAATAGGCGAGTTTCTGGACTGATTTAACAAAATCAGGCTTATGATTTTGTTACATGCTTCACATACAACCCTAAGAGGCAGGTACTATTTTCTAAACTACCAATTAAACGTATCAGGCCCCTTCAGATTTGCTCCCCACTGATAGTTGAAACCCAAACTGCTAAGCATCTACTGAAGGAGTCATAAACCAATACCACCAATACCAATACAAGGAGCCAGGTAGTTAATGAAAATGACAGAAGTGGACAAGGTGTCTAAGCCAATCTAGAAAGCATGTGCCAAGCCCAAAGTGGTCAGCTGCTATCCAGGTATTGCTGAATGTTGGGTAGGGCTTCCATTTAAAACTTTTCTTTAGACAGTCTCTTCAATAAATGGTGCTGGGAAAACTGGCTATCCACATGCAGAAGAGTGAAATTGGATCCTTTTCTCATACTATATGCAAAAACCAACTCAAAATGGATTAAAGACTTAAAAGTTGAGACCTAAAACTGTAAATCTACTAAAAGAAAATGGGGGAAAGCTCCATGATGCTGGTCTAGGCAATGATTTTCTGGATATGGCTCCAAAGTCACAGACAACAAAAGCAAAAACAGACAAATGGAATGGCATCAAACTAAGGCTCTGCACAGCAAAGGAAACAACAAAATGAGGAGACAACCCACAGAATGGGAGTAAGTATTTGCAAACCACACATCTGACAAGTGCTTAATATCTAAAATATATAAGGAACTCAAACAACCTGATAGCAAGAAAACAAATAACACAATTAAAAAATGGGCAAAGGACCAGAATAGATATTTCTCAAAAGACGCAGAAGTGGCCAAGAGGTACATGAAAAAATGTCCAGCATTACCAATATTTAGGGAAATGCACTTTAAAAACACAATGATACATAATGTCACCTGTTAGAATGGCCTTCATCAAAAAGATGAATGATAACAAGTGTTGGTGAGCATGCAGAGAAAACAGAACTCTTACACATTGTTGGTGGGAGTGTATATTAGTACAACCATTATGGAAAATGCTATGACAGTTCCTCAGAAAACTGAAAATAGAACTACCATATGATCCAACAATCCCACTTCTGGGTATATATCCAAAGGAGTTGAAATCAATACGTCAAAGGGATATCTGCATTCCCATGTTTATTACAGCATTATTCACAATAGCTAAGACATGGAACCAATTTAAGTGTTCATTGATGGATGAATGAATAAAGAAAATGTGGTACATAGACACAGTGAAATATGATTCAGCCTTAAAAAAGAAAGAAATCATGTTATTTGTGATAATATGGATGAATCTGGAGGATATGATGCTATGTGAAAAAAGCCAGGTACAGAAAGACAAATACCACATCATCTCACTTACATGTGGAATCTAAAAAACTCACAGAAATAGAGAGTAGAATGGTGTTGACCAGAGGCTAGGTCATGGGTGGGAGGGAAGGAATGGGGAATTGTTGACTGAAGGGTACAAAGTTTAAGATAGACAAGAATAGGTTTTGAGAGCGATTGCACAGCAGGAGGACTGTGTGTTTTGTTGGGTCTGCACATTGCTTCATGAAAATTTGCATTGGTTTCCAACATTTAAAAATTGAGAAAGTTTTTATTAAAATGTAGTTTCAAGTTCTCCTTCCAAACTCATGTTCTATATGAAGTTCTAGAATAGGCAAAACTAATCTATGGTGATGGAAATCATAACTGTGACTTCAGCCCTCTATATCCATAGGAGAGTGGTGCCAGGACGCCACAAGGATATCAAAATCCACAGATGTTCAAGTCCCTAGTTGGCCCTCTCTATCTGCAGAACCTGTGGATACAAAGGGTCAACTGTATATTTTAAAAAAAACTAAGAGTAAATTTCAAATTATAAAAACCAGGTAAGTAAGCAGGTTAGTGGATATGTTAGCTTGATTTAATAATTCTCCATTGTATACATATATCAAAACATCACATTGTACCCATAAATATATAAAATTATAATTTATCAGTTAAAATATTCGTCATAATTTTAAAAAAATTTCTTTATATTGAGATTTCTTTTCTTTTTTTTTTTTTGAGATGGAGTCTCGCTCTCGACTCACTGCAACCTCTGCCTCCCAGGTTCAAGCAATTCTCCTCCCTCAGCCTCCCAAGTAGCTGGGATTACAGGCATGTGCCACCACACCCAGCTAATTTTCATAATTTTAGTAGAGACAGGGTTTCACCATGTTGGCCTGGCTGGTCTTGAACTCCTGACTTCAAGCGATCCACCCACCTCAGCCTCCCAAAGTGCTGGGATTACAAGTGTGAGCCACCGTGCCCAGCTATATTGAGATTTCATGTACACATAGTGAACTATACAGATCAGTATATGGTTTAATGAGTTTACTGTGCATTTCAGACTACTAGAAATAGAATCTTTCATTATCTAGAAATTTCCCTTCTGTCCCTACCCAGTCAATCTCTGATGTGTCGGCAACTATAGTTCTGATTTCTATCACCATAGATCAGTTTTGCCTATTCTAGAACTTCATCAGGAACATGAATTTGGAAGGAAAACTTGAAAATACATTTTAATAAAAAATTTCTCAATTTTTAAATGTTGGAAACCAATCCACATTTTCATGAAACAATGTGCAGACCCAACAAAACACATAGGTTCAACTATGCTCAACAGCAACACAACCACTTTGTGTCTGGTCTGCAGTATAAACTAAGAATACATTTTGCATAAGTTTATTATGATTTATTTCATGACTATTGGTTTGGGTGCTACCTGACAGTTTTTATTCTTTAGCAACTAGCAGCACATTTCTTAGAACAGGAGGGGCAGACTTATCTTCAGGGCAACAAGGAGAAAGGGAAACCGAAGCCCTCTCTGCAGCCAGCCTTGGGGGAAAGGAAGCACAAGGGGAGGAATGGGAAGAGGCTAATTTGGAGAGGAAAGGAAAACTGGGGGGACTATCCAGGAGGTATAACAAGGAAGAAAGAGAACACAGGCTGCTGCTGTTTCAACTAAACAGTAAGAAACTCCATCTTCACATCACCTTACAAGTATCCCACTGAAAAGGGGCCCTGTGTGATCTTTAGCACCCTCTCAAACTCTTGTCCACTGCTCCTTTCCTTGCTGTGGTCATTTTCTTTACCTTCCCACCTTGTCACTCTGCTCCAGTCACATGGACTTCCTTGCTGTCTGTTGTTGTTGTTTGTTTGTTTGTTTGTTTTGAGACAGAGTCTCACTCTGTTGCCCAGGCTGGAGTGCAGTGGTGCGATCACAGCTCGCTGCAACATCTGCTTCCCAGGTTCAAGTGATTCTGGCACCTCAGCCTACCGAGCAGCTGGGATTACAGGCATGCGCAACCATGCCCACCTAATTTTTGTGTTTTTAGTAGAAATGGGATTTCACCATGTTGGTCAGGCTGGTCTCGGACTCCTGGCCTCAAGCGATCTGCCCGCTTTGGCCTCCCAAAAGTGCTTGGATGATAGACGTGAGCCACCGCAGTTGGCCTCCTTGCTGTTTTATGAACATGCCAAGCACTTGTCTGCCTCAGGGCCTTTGCACTGGCCAGGATGCTCTACTCCCAGATAGACTCGTAACTTCCTCCTTCACCACCTTCCGGTCTATGCTCAATATCACTTTCTCAGGGGAAGCTTTTTCTGACCACCTTCTTTCAAAAATTTCACAGCCAACACCTCTACCATCTTCTTTCTAGATATATTTTTATCCATAGCACTTAACACTATCTAACCTACATGATGGTTTACTTCTTTATTTTCTGTCTCTCTTCCCCTCTTCATAAGAATGTAAGCTACATGAAGTCAGGGGCATAGGGGGAACTCATTAGATATTTGTTGGATAATGAGTGACTCTAGGAAGAAAGGAAGGAAATAATAAAGCAAGAAAGGAAGCAATGAAAACCCTTGTTACCTTTGAGATTGTTGTTAAAAGTGTTCAATAAACAGGCACTGGCTAAGAAATTTTTACCATTTCTAATTATTTTGCAAAATTGTAATGCTTTTTGGAAGTAAAGATTTAAAAAGCAAACTAATAATAATCCTAAGGACTAGCACAACACTATTCTTATTATCTTAAGAAACTAGATGTATGGAAGGATACATTTTTATTTATAAACACATAAATGGGCCATTGAGTTTAGTAATAATTAAGTTTCCATTAGAGTTGAAATTATGACAAATCTATCTTTTCCTGGTACACTTCTTCCTACTTTAATTCATTTTAAGAAGTAGGTCAGGAATAAATTATGAAATAACAAAACAGCAAGTGCCCAATACTACTAAATCTTTGGGAACAACGATCAGCAATAAACATATAAAATGACTCCAATCCTAGAATTTTGTTTTGTTTGTTTACTGGCAATGAGTACAACCAGCTCTAGGTGGCTGGAGAGGTGGGGGCTGAGCTAGTTTTGTAGGTCTGCATTGGATTTTTGACATCAGGTAAAGCCTACTCCTCTGAGATACAGAGGTAAAGAACTTTACTGCCAGTAGCTTTCCACTCTAGGAAAAAATATGCTTCAACCTAAGCTGTGATTTAGAATTAAGTCAGGCCCTGGGATTGGCCAATGCTGGATTAGACCAAGTGTGTCCAGGCTGCCAGTTCACCCCTGGAGACAGCACTGCATGCACTGTGTATGGAAGGCTGCAGGGAACATGAGGGAATCAAGGGCCATAAGCCCACATTTGTCAACATGGAGCAGGTGGGATATGGTGATCTGCCTGCATTTTAGCAAGCTTGAGAATAGGCTTATAGCAGAGATAAGACTAATCGAGAAAGAAAAGAGAGAAATTAAGTGCAGCTCCTGGTAACCGACGTGCCTCTTACCCTTGTCAGTTTTTCTTCCTTAATGCCTTTCCATTTTTGCTCAACTCATGTCTGTCTCTCTTACCGATTTGACAGTCACATATATACACTGTTTTTTGTCTTCTAGGTATTTTGGGAAATGAAAGGTAGTAGGAGATTAAAAGAAGAGTAGGGTAAACAAATACCTTTCATGGATTACAATTTAGTAAGTCCTAACTCTAAATTTAAGAAGAATTTTCCAAGTGTGAAAATCTACAGAATTTACAATGTAATGGCAACATGATTAGGTCCCAAGAAATAATTAAGGTAAACAATGTGCTCTTTTTCTCCTCTCCCAGTTCTGGTAACTCAATAGTCTTCAACTACTTGAGAAGGTGTGAGGATCATTTTTTATCTCAGTTTGGCCACTAAAGTTCACATTTCAGCTACGATCAAGTTGATCATGCTTATCCCCTGCTGACACCTTCTTCCCCACCTCAACAAGTCACAGATCACTTCAAGGAGAAAATTTCAAGAGGCTATTAAACACTGGCATGGATACTCAGAGCAGAGATGTTATCGTCTCTGGGGACCTTTAGGAACAGCTGATCATCCTGGATAGGCAGAATTACACCTAATTCAGTCCATCAAAAACTACTGGGTGCTGCAAAGTCAGCAAAGCATTGTGGGAATATCAAAAAGGTGAGCAGGCACAGCAGCTCCCCCCGAATAACCTGAAATGGCTTCATCTGGACTGCTTCTGAGAAAGGCATGTTTAGGTTTGGTTACCACAGAGGAGGCGCAATGCTGGGCCAGGCTATGTTTAACAGGGACTCTGTGGGCCTGCTTTCCATCCTAAGATGACACAATCTTAGAATCAGTTCTTAGCAATCACTTAACCCAGTGATTCTCAATCCTGACTGGACATTAGTATTTGCTGGGGTTACTTTTAAAAAATAAAGATGCCTGGGCCTATGCCAGTCCATTGTCTCCTCCCCACCTTCATCACTCTTTTTTTTTTAATTTTCTTTGAGACTGAGTCTCGCTCTTGTTGCCCAGGCTGGAGTATAGTGGCGCAATCTCGGCTCACTGCAACCTCCACCTCCTGGGTTTGATTCTTCTGTTTCAGCCTCCCGAGTAGTTGGGATTACAGGCATGTGCCACCACGCCTGGCTAATTTTTATATTTTTAGTAGAGACAGGGTTTTGCTATGTTGGCCAAGCTGGTCTCGAACTCCTGGCCTCAAATGGTACACCCTCCTCGGTCTCCCAAAGTGCTGGGATTACAGGTGTGAGCCACTGAGCCTGGCCCACACTTTCACTATTGAAAACGATTGTATTCTGGAGGGCCATGAGGGAGGGGACAGGTCTTTTTCAAAATCTAGGGAACACTAAGGACTTTATCCTCAGAATAAATCTGATTAATAATTAATCAGAATCTCTGTTGGGTTTTTTCTAAATAAACTCCCAGGCAATGCAAATGCAATGGAATTATACATTGGTTGCTGAGAACCATTGGTCCCATAAAACACCCTCATTTTATACGTAGAAAAATTAAGGTCCAAAGAATTTAACTAACCTGTGACTTGCCCAAGATCATATGCCTGGTTAGTGGCAGAGCTTGGCTTAAAACCATGATCTCCATTAATTTACAAATCCAGTAAGCATCTATTAAGTACATTCTAGGGTTGTTGGCCCACCACCTAGTTGCCACTCAAGAATACTGTAAGTCAAAGCTGGTTGATAGCTAAGGATATCTTAGGCTGATCCTGATCCAAGTTAAAAGGTAAGTGTAAGGTGTGATGGTTCTGGCATTCTGTCTTATACTTTTCTTCCAAATAGTGGTGTGTGATTTAGACCTCTGGAAATTTTGAGGAATCCTTTGATCTGGATAAAATCCATTACTACCTCTGACCCACTCTCCTATTTACTAGTTCCAGGGGGCCGTCTACTTACCCAGATCCAATGTGCAGCACAAAAGTCGGGACAGGGGACAAGATCCCCCGCTGGGAGCTCCAGTGCAGTTCACTGAAGCCTTGATCACTGAGGCTGAGAGCAGGAGAAGGGAGAGCTCGCTCCTTGGCCCTATGTATAGAAGAAGAAAAGGAAGTTAATTCAGCAGTTGTTGGTTTGTTTTTTGAAAGAAGCTATGTCCAAAATATTTCTTAACGCTCTCCTTTCATTCCTAATACCAACCCACTCCCTTCCAAGGCACAGCTACTGCTATCACAGTGGCTTACATGCGATAGACTAATTATATATAATTATATCTTCTTCCTAAGGGTGAACTGCTAGGATGTGAGAAAGATATAGTTCAATTTTTGAACTCAGCCATTCCCATATGTAGCAATTCATGAATACAAGTTTGCATATGAGAAATTGTGTCCAGAATGGGGCATCATCAGTAGTGGGAGCAAATCCTCTTAGAGCAGTTGCCTTGAAAAGAGCAAGAAAAGTAGAAAAATGAGAGACTCATAATGTTCAAGATAAGAGTTGATCTTGATCAATTAAAAACTTAATTAGGCTAATCTGTCTTCAGTCTTTTACAAAGAATACAATTATTCCTTCCCATTCACAGAATACTTACTCAAGGGGCCATGTATTTATTCTATTTGAAAGTAAATTAAGTCATATCCACTCAGTTTGTGAATTTACCCACATTGCTTCATTTCCCTTTCCCTCCATCTACCTATCCTCTGACTAATTCGCTGACCCGTTCTGAAGTGAGCTTTCATAACCTGGGCACCAGGAATCCTCTGAAAGGTGTACAAGATTTTGAATGGGTGAGCTTTTTTATTTTTTTTCTGGGGTAAGTCCCTAGTGTCCTCCAGATTTTGAAAGAGTCCTGTCCCCTCCTTCATAATCCTCTAGAATACAATTGTTTTCAAGGGTGAAGGTGGGGAGAAGATAATGATGTTGATAGTTGTTGGTACCTACAATAAAACATTTTATGAAGTTGGTCCTGGAACTAGTCTTCAAAAGAAGGATTAAAAGAGTTCATGAAATTGGATCTATCCTCCAACAGAATGGACTTACATAAAATGTACTCTGAGTCACAAAATGATTAAATTTATCCATGCTGTGTCTTTTGTGCAAGATTTCACTAGTTTGAAACCAAAAGAAAGGAAAATCATCATCTTATTTTTCTTAACTTTATTAACTTAATGATAATGAGAACACCTGGGAATACGGACGTGCTTCCTATTTATCATGATTTCCCTAGAAAACTGTTTCACTTGGGTTACTAAAATGCAGACTACCTGCAACGGTAGAAAAATTAAGATACCAGGGGGCAACACATGATATTTAGAATGAGATGAAAACTCAACTGACTTTGATCGTCAATTAAATAGGCAGTGCACACCTGCATCTACACCTCACAAGGCAATCCATTGATTGTTAGAAACTTCCTCAGTCTTCCATTCTTCTGTTCTTAGCAAAGCGCCTCTATGCGAAAAGCACTCAAATACTTGTTGGATTGAGTCAATTCTTTTGGTTTCACTCATAAATTAATGAGGAACGTGTAACTCTGTATAGTTTCAGAGTAGTTAAAGAGAGAAAAAAAGAAATGCTACATAAGAGAATTGGGGCTTCAGGTGTTACCTAATAGACTAGAAAGCTTTCCAAGAGTGCACTTAAGATATGAGCTATAGCAACCTTACCTAGGCAATTCTTCACCCTAAGTTTCTTTCTAATGCAAATTAGTTTGAATTTCTCTCTCTTCCCTCCTGTCCTTTGCCTGAAAGTCTTCTGATACAAAGCAATACTACCGTAATTAGAAGGAATGCCTGACAAAAATACATTTTAAATTTCATTTTCAAAAAGGTTGATACTTCGTATTGCATACTCCGAATTCCCCTGCATTTCTATGCTGTAAATTCCTAAACTTTAGATAATACATTTATATCTAGTGCACATTGTTCAGTTTTCAGATAGGAAAAAGCTAAATCTCAGTCTGTGCCCGCAAAAAGTTGATATTTTTTGTTGTTTTAAGAGTCTCCATGAATGTTGTTTAAATTCTAGAATCCACAGTACTCATCGAAGCTAGGAAAAGAATTTTGCCCACCCCACAGCGTATCTGAGGCTTTCTTCACAGCTAGCTGATCGGATCCTTGCAGCTGTTTCTTCTGTAGGTCTCGGAGCTCACTGAGAACGTCCAGCACGCCTTCCCGGCGGGGCCCGGCCCAGGTGCGCACTAGATGAGGCAGTCAACCAAGTCAATTGGTTCCCGATCAACTAAATCTCTCCTAAAAATAAACACTGCCGCGAGCTTCGAGAGTTCAGCGTGTCAGAGCCTCTATGATGGCAGAGCACCTGCCGCGATGCCTGATTGGTAGGGAGAAGGATTTCCCGGGAGGGGGCCAATACCAAATTTTAGGGCTGTTAGGCTCTGAGCAGTCCCTTCGTGACCGGATAAGTCAGAGACCCGGGGTTTGAGCCTTGCCCGGCGCTGAGCGGAGGGCCCAGTTTCGGGACCACAGCCTTGCTCCCTGGGAGCTCCGGGCGGCCAATGCCGGGCAAGCCCAGCCCGGCACAGGAGGAGGCAGGGCCCGTCTCCGGAAAGAGGGCCAGAGGCAGAACTGAGGGCCTGGTTTTGTGTAATTCGATTTGGATACAAACAGGCCAGACCCAAACTGGAAACGGCGAAGGGCTGGATTAGCACCGAAGGGATTCGAGGAGGCAAACGGGAAGTAAAAATGCTGTGTGGAGCTGCAGAGGGCAAGGGGACAGGGGTTGCAAAGGAAAGAGCTTCGTGAGACTTTCTCCTTCCCGGCGTAGGGACCAGCAGAGTGCGGGCAGGTCAGCCCTGTCACCGGTTCGTTTAGGGAAAAAGCGCGACATGGGGCCTGGGAGACAGGGGCAGAGGCGGTGACAGCGAGGGCCCCTGCTCGGGTGGGCCCGCGGGCCTCAGCTCAGTCCCCTCCCGAGGGACCGCGACCCCCGGCCCCGCGGCCGCCCGCGCGCACTCACCAGCCCGGGCTGCCCTGGGCGGAGCCGCCCCGCCGCGCTCCACAGCCGCTGCCTCTTCGACGCGCGCGCTGCCTCCAGGTGCGGCTCTAGGAGGAGGCGCCGCGGGCAGTGCCGGCCGCGCCCCGCGACTCCCGGTAACCCGAGCCCGCCCCGCCCCGCTAGGGCCAGGCCCCGCCGCCACCCTCCGCGCTGGGACGCCGGGGCGCGGGCATCCCTGCCGCCTACGGATCTCTTCCCAAGCACCTAGAACTTTCCAAAGCGTGCTTGGAATTTAACACCTTGGTCGTCGATCCCCGCAAATATACTCTGATGAGACCGGCTTTCTTCCCATACCGCCCAGGAGTTTCTCCAGGTGGCATTCCTGTCGCCTTGAGGTGGAACATCAGTAGAGGCTCGAGGCTGAAGCAAGCACAATACACAAGGTATAGCGTTCAAGTGGAAAACATTGCGTATTATGATTTTAAAATGAAAAAAAAACACAAAAAACCTGACTTATCTTTTCAATTACAATCATTATAGAGACTCCGATTCGTACAGGAACATTTCGAAAACAGGAAATCCTGAGGACAATGTGAGTATGAGTTTTTTTTTTTTTTTAATTTTCAAAAATCTTTGATGAACTGCCTTTGGTTAACACTTGGTTTGCAAATATTGACTATTGCACGACAAGGCAATGCATGATAAGTTATTTTCTGGGCATTTAAGTTAGAATTTATAAAACAACTTTTGCTTTTTATTAAGTAGAATAATGTAACACGTTACCCCAAGCTGGGAGAATTGCTTGAGTCCAGGAGTTTGAGACCAGCCTGGGCAACAAAGCGAGACTCCGTCTCTTAAAAAAAAAAATTAGATAGGAAATAGCTTGTTTTGCATCTAGCAACTGGGATACAAGAGAGCACCGCAGCCAGAGTGCCGGGCTCCAAGAGGGTGAGGGGTAGAAAATGATTTCAGATACATACTTCCCTCTGGCTTTATGCCTTAGCAAGGATTATAGTTGGTTCATTAAGAGCATCTTTTTTTTTTTTTTTGCTTTGTGCATTTCTGCGCGTGCACACTGTAGTGACACGTGGCGGACTAGCTGTTTGGTCTTAAAGCTGTAAATGCACGCCTGCAGACACCAGAGGCTTCTGCCAAGGAGACCCCACCTCCAGAACCTGGGCCAGGCCTTTGGCTGGGAGCGCTGGTGCTGTTCTTCATCCGAGAGGAAAGGCTAGAGATTCCCTCCCTACTCCACACGAGGGCGATCTCTTCAAGGGCACCAGACCACTCTCCGCGTCCCTAGCTGAGGAAACCAAATTTGCTTTTCTCCACGCTTTTGAACATCTCTAAACAAATCTTAATAGGGTAATTTACTAAGGAGGAGTTGGGCTCCTGGGACGTGCATTTCTGGTGTCCTTCATTTGCCACTTGGCCTTTGCCATCCTATGAAATTATTTTGTCACATACCTGTCTGTAGCCCAGTACTTCTTACACTTTAATGTGCATAGGAATCACCTGCGGATCCCGTTAAAAACGCAGATTCTGATTCAGTAGGTCTGGGGTGGGGTCTGAGATGTGCCTTTCTAACAGGCCCCTGGGTGATCCTGATAGGCTACTGGAGGACCAAACTTTGAGTAGCAACACTGGAGACAGTTGGATGATAAACTGGTTTTGCCGGTAGCACCAGGTACCTAATATACTAACACAATAATGGCAATGTTGCTAACACCTGTTCAGTGTTTACATGTAGTAGGCACTGTTCTGAGTACATGTATTTACTTGTATAGATATTGCTATTATTTCTGGTTTAGAGATGAGTTTGCTTTTAATATGAGTCTTCCCCACCCCCTACCCCCTTCCCATCCTTGCTGGCTTAATTACATTTATTTGGTATTAGAATATTAGGGAGAGTATCAGGAAGAACAGCTAGTGGATGCTAGACCTTAATACCTAGGTGATGGGGTTGACCTGTGCAGCAAACCACCATGACACACGTTTACCTGTGTAATAAATCTGCACATCCTGGACATGTACTCCAGAACTTAAAAGCGGATAAAAGAAAAAATTAAAGAATATTAAAAAGATCTGAAAACGTATACTCAGGGAATTTTCTTCCCTCCTTTGTTCCACACATTCTAGCCAATCCTGTGTGAGTAAACAATGTCATGATTTCTCATCTATTCTTCCTGTGTTTTTGTAAAGCCACAGATATTTGTTTACATGTTCTTGGCTGCCTGCCTGCCTTCCTTCCTTTCCTTCCTTCCTTCCTTTCCTTCCTTCCTTCCTTGCCTTCCTTCTTTTATTATGCTTTAAGTTCTGGGATACACGTGCAGAATGTGCAGGTTTGTTACATAGCTATACAAGTGCCAGGGTGGTTTGCTGCACCCATCAACCCGTCATCTACATTAGGAATTTCTCCTAATGTTATCCCTCCCCTAGCCCCCCACCTCCGACAGGCCCCAGTGTGTGATGTTCCCCTCCCTGTGTCCAGGTGTTCTCATTGTTCAACTCCCACCTATGAGTGAGAACATGAGGTGTTGGGTTTCCTGTTCTTGTGTTAGTCTGCTGAGAATGACAGTTTCCAGCTTCATCCATGTCCCTGCAAAGGACATGAACTCACCCTTTTTTATGGTTGCATAGTATTCTATGGTGTATATGTGCCACATTTACTTTATCCGGTCTATCATTGATGGGCATTTGGGTTGGTTCCATGTCTTTGCTATTGTGAATAGTGCTGCAATAAACATACATGTGTATGTGTCTTTAGAGTAGAATGATTTATAATCCTTGGGGTATATACCTAGTAATGGGATTGCTGGGTCAAATGGTAATTCTAATTCTAGATCCTTAAGGAATCACTACACTGTCTTCCACAATGGTTGAACTAATTTACACTCCCACCAACAGCATAAAAGCTTTCCTGTTTCTCCACATCCTCTCCAGCATCTGTTGTTTCCTGACTTTTTAATGATCACCATTCTAACTAGCATGAGATGGTATCTCATTGTGGTTTTGATTTGCATTTCTCTAATGACTAGTGATGATGAGCATTTTTTCATATGTCTGTTGGCTGTGTAAATGTCTTCTTTTGAGAAGTGTCTGTTCATATCCTTTGCCCACTTTTTGATGGGGTTGTTTTTTTCTTGTAAATTTGTTTAAGTCCTTTGTAGATTGTGGATATTAGCCCTTTGTCAGATGGGTAGATGGTAAAAATTTTCTCCCGTTCTTTTGGTTGCCTGTTGACTCTGATGATTGTTTCTTTTGCTGTGCAGAAGCTCTTTAGTTTAATTAGATCCCATTTGTCAATTTTGGCTTTTGTTGCCATTGCTTTTGGTGCTTTAGACATGAAGTCCTTGCCCATGCCTATGTCCTGAACGGTATTGCCTAGGTTTGCTTCTAGGGTGTTTATGGTTTTAGGTCTAACATGTAAGTCTTTAATCCATCTTGAATTAATTTTAGTACAAGGTGTAAGGAAGGGATCCAGTTTCAGCTTTCTACATATGGCTAGCCAGTTTTCCCAGCACCATTTATTAAATAGGGAATCCTTTCCCCATATCTTGTTTTTGTCAGGTTTGTCAAAGATCAGATAGTTGTAGATATGCGGCGTTATTTCTGAGGGCTCTGATCTGTTCTATTGGTCTATATCTCTGTTTTGGTACCAGTACCTTGCTGTTTTGGTTACTGTGTAGTATAGTTTGAAGTCAGGTAGCATGATGCCTCCAGCTTTGTTCTTTTGGCTCAGGATTGACTTGGCAATGCGGGCTCTTTTTTGGTTCCATATGAATTTTAAAGTAGTTTTTTCCAATTCTGTGAAGAAAGTCATTGGTAGCTTGATGGGGATGGCATTGAATCTGTAAATGACCTTGGGCAGTGTGGCCATTTTCACGATATTGATTCTTCCTACCCATGAGCATGGAATGTTCTTCCATTTGTTTGTGTCCTCTTTTATTTCATTGAGCAGTGGTTTGTAGTTCTCCTTGAAGAGGTCCTTCACATCCCTTGTAAGTTGGATTCCTAGGTATTTTATTCTCTTTGAAGCAATTGTGAATGGGAGTTCACGCATGATTTGGCTCTCTGTTTGTCTGTTATTGGCGTATAAGAATGCTTGTGATTTTTTGCACATTGATTTTGTGTCCTGAGACTTTGCTGAAGTTGCCTATCAGCTTAAGGAGATTTTGGGCTGAGACGATGGGGTTTTCTAGATATACAATCATGTCATCTGCAAACAGGGACAATTTGACTTCCTCTTTTCCTAATTGAATACCCTTTATTTCCTTCTCCTGCCTGATTGCCCTGGCCAGAACTTCCAACACTATGTTGAATAGGAGTGGTGAGAGAGGGCATCCCTGTCTTGTGCCAGTTTTCAAGGGGAATGCTTCCAGTTTTTGCCCATTCAGTATGATATTGGCTGTGGGTCTGTCATAGATAGCTCTTATTTTGAGATACGTCCCATCAGTACCTAATTTATTGAGAGTTTTTAGCATGAAGGGTTGTTGAATTTTGTCAAAGGTCTTTTCTGCAGGTATTGAGATAATCATGTGGTTTTTGTTGTTGGCTCTGTTTATATGCTGGATTACGTTTATTGATTTGTGTATGTTGAAGCAGCCTTGCATCCCAGAGATGAAGCCCACTTGATCATGGTGGATAAGATTTTTGATGTGCTGCTGGATTCGGTTTGCCAGTATTTTATTGAGGATTTTTGCATCGATGTTCATCAGGGATATTGGTCTAAAATTCTCCTTCTTTGTTGTGTCTCTGCCAGGTTTTGGTATCAGGATGATGCTGGCCTCATAAAATGATTTAGGGAGGATTCCCTCTTTTTCTATTGATTGGAATAGTTTCAGAAGGAATGGTAGCAGCTCCTCCTTGTACCCCTGGTAGAATTCGGCTGTGAATCCATCTGGTCCTGGACTTTTTTTGGTTGGTAAGCTATTAATTATTGCATCAATTTCAGAGCCTGTTATTGGTCTATTCAGAGATTCAACTTCTTCCTGGTTTAGTCTTGGGAGGGTGTATGTGTCGAGGAATTTATGCATTTCTTCTAGATTTTCTAGTTTATTTGCGCAGAGGTGTTTATAGTATTCTCTGATGGTAGTTTGTATTTCTGTGGGATTGGTGGTGATATCCCCTTTATCATTTTTTATTGCATCTATTTGATTCTTCTCTCTTTTCTTCTTTATTAGTCTTGCTATCGGTCTATCAATTTTGTTGATCTTTTCAAAAAACCAGCTCCTGGATTCATTGATTATTTTGAAGGGTTTTTTGTGTCTCTATTTCCTTCAGTTCTGCTCTGATCTTAGTTATTTCTTGCCTTCTGCTAGCTTTTGAATGTATTTGCTCTTGCTTTTCTAGTTCTTTTAATTTTGATGTTAGGGTGTCAATTTTAGATCTTTCCTGCTTTCTCTTGTGGGCATTTAGTGCTATGAATTTCCCTCTAAATACTGCTTTTACTGTGTCCCAGAGATTCTGGTATATTGTATCTTTGTTCTCGTTGGTTTCAAAGAACATCTTTATTTCTGCCTTCATTTCTTTATGTACCCAGTAGTCATTCAAGAGCGGGTTGTTCAGTTTCCATGTAGTTGAGCGGTTTTGAGTGAGTTTCTTAATCCTGAGTTCTAGTTTGATTGCACTGTGGTCTGAGAGACAGTTTATTATAATTTCTGTTCTTTTATATTTGCTGAGGAGTGCTTTACTTCCAACTATGTGGTCAATTTTGGAATAGGTGTGGTGTGGTGCTGAAAAGAATGTATATTCTGTTGATTTGGGATGGAGAGTTCTGTAGATGTCTATTAGGTCCACTTGGTGCAGAGCTGAGTTCAGTTCCTGGATATCCTTGTTAACTTTCTGTCTCGTTGATCTAATGTTGACAGTGGGGTGTTAAAGTCTCCCATTATTATGGTGTGGGAATCTAAGTCTCTTTGTAGGTCTCTAAGGACTTGCTTTATGAATCTGGGTGCTCCTGTATTGGGTGCATATATATTGAGGATAGTTAGCTCTTCTTGTTGAATTGATCCCTTGACCATTACGTAATGGCCTTCTTTGTCTCTCTTGATCTTTGTTGAAAATTCTTTTCTTTAAGAATGTTGAATGTAGGCCCCCACTCTCTTCTGGCTTGTAGAGTTTCTGCCAAGAGATCAGCTGTTAGTCTGATGGGCTTCACTTTGTGGGTAACCCGACCTTTCTCTCTGGCTGCCCTTAACATTTTTTCGTTCATTTCAACTTTGGTGACTCGTGACTCTGACAATTATGTGTCTTAGAGTTGCTCTTCTCGAGGAGTATCTTAGTGGCGTTCTCTGTATTTCCTGAATTTGAATGTTGGTCTGCCTTGCTGGATTGGGGAAGTTCTCCTGGATAATATCCTGCAGAGTGTTTTCCAACTTGGTTCCATTCTCCCCTTCTCTTTCAGGTACACCAATCAGACGTAGATTTGGTCTTCACACATAGTCCCATATTTCTTGGAGGCTTTGTTCATTTCTTTTAATTCTTTTTTCTCTAAACTTCTCTTCTCGCTTCATTTCATTCATTTGATCTTCCATCACTGATACACTTTCTTCCAGTTGATCAAATCGGCTACTGAGGCTTGTGCATTCGTCACGTCGTTCTCGTGCCTTGGTTTTCACCTCCATCAGGTCCTTTAAGGACTTCTCTGCATTGGTTATTCTAGTTAGCCATTCGTCTAATTTTTTTTCAAGGTTTTTAACTTCTTTGCCATGGGTTCAAACTTCCTCCTTTAGCTTGGAGTAGTTTGATCGTCTGAAGCCTTCTTCTCTCAGCTCGTCAAAGTCATTCTCCATCCAGCTTTGTTCCGTTGCTGGTGAGGAGCTGTGTTCCTTTGAAGGAGGAGAGGCGCTCTGATTTTTAGAGTTTCCAGTTTTTCTGCTCTGTTTTTCCTCATCTTTGTGGTTTTATCTACCTTTGGTCTTTGACGATGGTGACGTACAGATGGGGTTTTGGTGTGGATGTCCTTTCTGTTTGTTAGTTTTCCTTCTAACAGTCAAGACCCTCAGCTGCAGGTCTGTTGGAGTTTGCTGGAGGTCCACTCCAGACCCTGTTTGCCTAGGTATCAGCAGTGGAGGCTGCACAACAGCGGATATTGGTGAACAGCAAATGTTGCTGCCTGATCATTCCTCTGGAAGTTTTGTCTCAGAGGAGTACCTGGCCGTTTGAGGTGTCAGTCTGCCCCTACTTGGGGGTGCCTCCCAGTTAGGCTACTCGGGAGTCAGGGACCCACTTGAGGAGGCAGTCTGTCTGTTCTCAGATCTCCAACTACGTGCTGGGAGAACCACTACTCTCTTCAAAGCTGTCAGACAGGGACATTTAAGTCTACAGAGGTTTCTGCTGCCTTTTGTTTGGCTATGCCCTGCCCCGAGAGGTGAAGTCTATAGAGGAAGGCAGGCCTCCTTGAGCTGTGGTGGGCTCCATCCACTTCGAGCTTCCTGGCTGCTTTGTTTACCTACTCAAGCCTCAGCAATGGCGGGCGCCCCTCCCACTGCCTCGCTGCCACCTTGCAGTTTGATCTCAGATTGCTGTGCTAGCAATGACCGAGGCTCCGTGGGCGCAGGACCCTCTGTGCCAGGCATGGGATATAATCTTCTGGTGTGCTGTTTGCTAAGACCATTGGAAAAGCGCAGTATTTGGGTGGGAGAGACCTGATTTTCCAGGTGCCATCTGTCCGGGAGTTCCCCGACCTCATGCACTTCCCAGGTGAGGCGATGCCTCGCCCTGCTTCTGCTAACGCTCAGTGCGCTGCACCCACTATCCTGTACCCACTGTCTGACACTCCCCAGTGAGATGAACCTGGTACCTCAGTTGGAAATGCAGAAATCCCCGTCTTCTGTGTCGCTCATGCTGGGAGCTGTAGACTGGAGCTGTTCCTATTCAGCCGTCTTGGCTCCACCCCCACCAAAGTAGTTTTTTCTAATTCTGTGAAGAAAGTCAGTGGTAGCTTGATGGGGATAGCATTGAATCTATAAATTACTTTGGGCAGTATGGCCATTTTCTATTGTTTGGAATAGTTTCAGAAGGAATGGTACCAGCTCCTCTTTGTACCTCTGGTAGAATTCGGCCGTGAATCTGTCTGGTCCTGGACTGTTTTTGGTTGGTAGGCTATTAATTACTACCTCAATTTCAGAAACTGTTATTGGTCCATTCAGAGATTCAACTTCTTCCTGGTAGTCTTGGGCAGGTATATGCATCCAGGAATTTATCCATTTTTCGTAGATTTTCCAATTTTTTTGCATAGAGGTGTTTATAGTATTCTCTGATGGTAGTTTGTATTTCTGTGGGATCGATGGTTATATCCCCTTTATCCCTTTTTATTGCATCTATTTGATTCTTCTCTCTTTTCTTTATTAGTCTGGCTAGCAGTGTATTTATTTTGTTGATCTTTTCAAAAAACCAGCTCCTGGATTCATTGATTTTTTTTTTTTTGAGGGGTTTTTCGTACCTCTATCTCCTTCAGTTCTGCTCTGATCTTAGTTACTTCTTGCCTTCTAGCTTTTCAATTTGTTTGCTCTTGCTTCTCTAGTTCTTTTAATTGTGATGTTAGGGGGTCGATTTTAGATCTTTCCTCCTTTCTCTTGTGGGCATTTAGTGCTATAAATTTCCCTCTACACACTGCTTAAATATGTCCCAGAGATTCTGGTATGTTCTGTCTTTGTTCTCATTGGTTTCAAAGAACTTATTTATTTGTGCCTTTATTTTGTTATTTAGCCAGTAGTCATTCAGGAGCAGGTTGTTCAGTTTCCATGTAGTTGTGCAGTTTTGAGTGAGTTTCTTAATCCTGAGTTCTAATTTGAGTGCACTGTGGTCTGAGAAAGTTTGTAATGATTTCTGTTTTTTCATATTTGTTGAGGAGTGTTTTACTTCCAATTATGTGGTCAGTTTTAGAATATGTGTGATGTGGTGCTGAGAAGAATGTATATTCTATTGATTTGAGGTGGAGAGTTCTGTAGATGTCTATTAGGTCTGCTTGGTCCAGAGTTGAGTTCAAGTCCTGGCTATCCTTGTTAATTTTCTGTCTCATTGATATGTCTAATATTGACAGTGGAGTGTTAAAATCTCCCATTATTATTGTGTGGGACTCTAAGTCTCTTTCTAGGTCTCTAAGAACTTGCTTTATGAATCTCACTGCTCCTGTATTGGGTGCATATATATTTAGGATAGTTAGCTCTTCTTGTTGAATTGATCCCTTTACCATTATATAATGGCCTTCTTTGTCTCTTTTGTTCTTTGTTGGTTTAAAGTCTGTTTTTATCAGAGACTAGGATTGCAACCCCTGCTTTTTTTTGCTCTCCATTTGCTTGGAAGATCTTCCTCTATCCCTTTATTTTGAGCCTATGTGTGTCTTTGCACGTGAGATGGGTCTCCTGAATACAGCACACTGATGGGTCTTTACTCTATCCAATTTGCCTGTGTCTTATAATTGGGGCATTTAGCCTATTTACATTTAAGGTTAATATTGTTATGTGTGAATTTGCTCCTGTCATTATGATGCTAGCTGGTTGTTTTGCCTGTTAGTTTATGCAGTTTCTTCATAGCGTCAATGGTCTTTACAATTTGGCATGTTTTTGCAGTGACTGGTACTGGTTGTTCCTTTCCATGTTTAGTTCTTTGTTCAGGAGCTCTTGTAAGGCAGGCCTTGTGGTGACAAAATACCTCAGCCTTTGCTTGTCTGTAAAGGATTTTATTTCTCCTTCACTTACGAAGCTTAGTTTGGCTGGATATGAAATTCTGGGTTGAAACATTTTTTAAGAATGTTGAATATTGGCCCCCACTCTCTTCTGGCTTGTATGGTTTCTGCCAAGAGATCCGCTATTAGTCTGATGGGCTTCCATTTGTGGGTAACCCAACCTTTCTCTCTGGTTGCCTTTAACATTTTTTCCTTCATTTCAACCTTGGTGAATCTGATGATTATGTGTCTTGGAGTTATACTTCTCGAGGAATATTTGTGGTGTTCTCTGTATTTCCTGAATTTGAATGTTGGCCTGCCTTGCTAAGTTGGGGAAGTTCTCCTGGATAATATCCTGAAGAGTGTTTTCTAACTTGGTTTAATTCTCCCCATCACTTTTAGGTACACCATTCAAACACAGATTTGGTTTTTTCACTAGTCCCACATTTCTTGGAGGCTTTGTTTGTTTCTTTTCATTCTTTTTTTCTCTAATCTTGTCTTCTCGCTTTATTTCATTAATTTGAACTCAGTCACTGATATCCTTTCTTCCGCTTGATTGATTCGGCTATTGAAGCTTGTGTATGCTTCATGACATTCTTGTGCTGTGTTTTTCAGCTCCATCAGGTTATTTATTTTCTTCTCTACACTGGTTATTCTAGTTAGCTGTTCCTCTGCCCTTTTCTCAGGGTTTTTAGCTTTCTTGTGATGGGTTAGAACATGCTCCTTTAGCTTGGAGAAGTTTGTTATTAGCCACCTTCTGAAACCTACTTCTGTCAACTCATCAAACTCATTCTCCGTCCAGTTTTGTTCCCTTGCTGGTTAGGAGTTGTGATCCCTTGGAGGAGAAGAAGTGTTCTAGTTTTTAGAATTTTCAGTCTTGAGGCTCTGGTTTCTCCCCATCTTTGGTCTTTGATGTTGGTGACCTGCGGATGGGGTTTTGGTGTGGATGTCCTTTTTGTTGATGTTGATGCTATTCCTTTCTGTTTGTTAGTTTTACTTCTAACAGTCAGGCTCCTCAGCTGGAGGTCTGTTGGAGTTTGCTGGAGGTCTACTCCAGACTGTGTTTGCCTGGGTATCACCAGTGGAGGCTACAGAGCAGCTAATATTGCTGCCTTTTCCTTCCTCCAGAAGCTTTGTCCCAGAGGGGCACCCGCCACATGCCAGCCAGAGTTCTCCTGTATGAGGTGTCTGTCGGCCCCTACTGGGAGGTGACTCCCAGTTAGGGTACATGGGGGTCGACCCACTTGAGGAGGCAGTCTGTCCGCTATCAGTGCTCAAACGCAGTGCTGGGAGATCCACTGCTCTCTTTAGATCTGTCAGGCAGGGTTGTTTAAGTTTGCTGAAGCTGTGCTGGCAGCTGCACCTTTCCCCAGGTACTCTGTCCCAGGGAGATGAAGATTTTGTCTATAAGTCCCTGACTGGGGCTGCTGCCTTTTGTTCAGATATGCCCTGCCCACAGAGATAGAATCTAGAGAGACAGTCAGCCTTGCTGAGCTGTGGTGGGCTTCGCCCAGTTTGAGCTTCCTGGCAACTTCGTTTACACTGTGGGCATAAAACCGCCTACTGAAGCTCCAGCAGTGGCAGACATCCTTCTCCCCGCCAAGCTCCAGCGTCCCAGTTCGATCTCAGACTTCTGCGCTAGCAGCGAGAATTTCAAACCAATGGATCTTAGCTTGCTGGGTTCTGTGGGTGTGGGACCTGCTGAGCCAGGCACCTGAGAGAATCTTGTGGTCTGCCGGTTGCGAAGACCGTGGGCAAAGTGCAGTATTTGGGCAGGAGTGTAGCATTCGTCCCTCTCTCACGGCTTCCCTTGGGTAGGAAAGGGAAATCTCCAACCCCTCGCACCTCCTGGGTGAGGTGATGCCCTGCCCTGCTTCTGCTCTTCCTCCGTGGGCTGTACCCACTGTCTAACCAGTCTCAATGTGATGAACCAGGTACCTCAGTTGGAAATGCAGAAATCACCCGTCCTCTGCGTCGATCTTGCTGGGAGCTGTAGACTGCAGCTGTTCCTATTCGGCCATCTTGAAGTCCCCTCAATTTTGGCTTTTGTTGCCATTGCTTTTGGTGTTTTAGTCATGAAGTCTTTGCCCATGCCAATGTCTTGAATGATATTGCTCAGGTTTTCTTCTAGGGTTTTTATGGTTTTAGGTTTTACGTTTAAGTCTTTAATCCATCTTGAGTTAGTTTTTGTGTAAGGTGTAACGAAGGCATCCAGTTTCAGTTTTCTGCATTTGTCTAGCCAGTTTTCCCAACACCATTTATTTAATAGGGAATCCTTTCCCCGTTGCTTCTTTTTATCAGATTTGTCAAAGATCAGATGGTTGTAGATGTGTGGTGTTATTTCTGAGGCCTCTGTTGTGTTCCATTGGTCTATATATCTGTTTTGGTACCAGTACCATGCTGTTTTGGTTACTGTAGCCTTCTATAGTTTGAAGTCAGGTAGCATGATGCCTCCAGCTTTGTTTCTTTTGGCTTAGGATTGTCTTGGCTATGTGGGCTCTTTTTTGTTTCCATATGAAATTTAAAGTAGTTTTTCCAATTCTGTGAAGAAAGTCAATGGTAGCTTGATGGGGATAGCATTGAATCTATAAATTACTTTGGGCAGTATGGCCGTTTTCATGATATTGATTCTTCCTATCCATGAGCATGGAATGTTTTTCCATTTGTTTGTGTCCTCTCTGATTTCATTGAGCAGTGGTTTGTAGTTCTCCTTGAAGAGGTCCTTCCTATCCCATGTAAATTGTATTCCTAGGTATTTTATTCTCTTTGCAGCAATTTTGAATGGGAGTTTGCTCATAATTTGGCTCTCTAATATTGGTGTATAGGGATGCTTGTGATTTTTGCACATTGATTTTGTATCCTGAGACTTTGCTGAAGTTACTTATCAGCTTAAGGAGATTTTGGGCTGAGACGGTGGGGTTTTCTAAATAGACAATCATGTCATCTGCAAACAGAGACAATTTGACTTCCTCTTTTTCTTATTGAATACCCTTTATTTCTTTCTCTTGCCTGATTGCCCTGGCCAGAACTTCCAATACTGTGCTGAATAGGAGTCGTGAGAAAGGGCATCCTTGTCTTGTGCTGGTTTTCAAAGGGAATGCTTCCAGCTTTTGCCCATTCAGTATGATATTGGCTGTGGGTTTGTCATAAATAGCTCTTATTATTTTGAGATACATTCCATCAATACCTAGTTTATTGAGAGTTTTTAGCATGAAGAGCTGTTGAATTTTATTGAAGGCCTTTTCTGCATTTATTGAGATAATTATGTTGTTTTTTGTCATTTGTTCTGTTTATGTGATGGATTACATTTATTGATTTGTGTATGTTGAACCAGCCTTGCATCCCAGGGATGAAGCTGACTTGATCGTGGTGGGTAAACTTTTTGATATGTTGCTGGATTTGATCTGCCAGTATTTTATTGAGGATTTTCGCATTGATGTTCATCAGGGATATTGGCCTGCAACTTTCTTTTTTTGTTGTGTCTCTGCCAGGTTTTGTTATCAGGATGATGCTGCCCTCATAAAATGAGTTAGGGAGGAGTCCGTCTTTTTCTGTTGTTTGGAATAGTTTCAGTAGGAATAGTACCAGCTCCTCTTGTACCTCTGGTGGAATTCAGCTGTGAATGCATCTGGTCCTGGACTTTTTTTGGTTGGTAGGCTATTAATTACTGCCTCAATTTCAGAACTTGTTATTGGTCTATTCAGGGATTCGACTTCTTCCTGGTTTAGTCTTGGGAGGGTGTATGTGTCCAGGAATTTATCCATTTCTTTTAGATTTTCTAGTATATTTGCATAGAGGTGTTTATAGTATTCTCTGATGGTAGTTTGTATTTCTTTGGGAATCAGTGGTGATATCCCCTTTATCATTTCTTATTGTGTCTATTTGATTCTTCTCTCTTTTCTTCTTTATTAGTCTGGCTAGCAGTCTACCTATTTTGTTGATCTTTTCAAAAAACCAATTGCTGGATTCATTAATTTTTTTGAAGGGTTTTTCATGTCTCTATCTCCTTCAGTTCTGCTCTGATCTTAGTTATTTCTTGTCTTCTGCTAGCCTTTGAATTTGTTTGCTCTTGGTTCTGTAGTTCTTTTAATTGTGATGTTAGGGTGCCAGTTTTGCATCTTTCCTGCTTTCTCTTGTAGGCATTTAGTGCTATAAGTTTCCCTCTACACACTGCTTTAGCTGTGTCCCAGAGATTCTGGTACATTGTGTCTTTGTTCTCATTGGTTTCAAATAACTTATTTATTTGTGCCTTAATTTCGTTATTTAGCCAGTAGTCATTCAGGAGCAGGTTTTTCAGTTTCCATGTAGTTGTGCAGTTTTGAGTGAGTTTCTTAATGCTGAGTTCTAATTTGATGGCAGTGTGGTCTGACAGACTGTTATGATTTCCTTTCTTTTGCATTTGCTGAGGAGTGTTTTACTTCCAATTATGTGGTCAATTTTAGAATATGTGTGATGTGGTGCTGAGAAGAATGTATATTCTGTTGATTTGGGGTGGAGAGTTCTGTAGATGTCTATTAGGTCTGCTTGGTCCAAAGCTGATTTCAAGTCCTGGTTATCCTTCTTAATTTTCTGTCTCATTGATATGTCTAATATTGACAGTGGGGTGTTAAAGTCTCCCACTGTCATTGTGGGGAGTCTAAGTCTCTTCGTAGGTCTCTAAGAACTTGCTTTATGAATCTTGGTGCTTCTCTATTGGGTGCATATATATTTAGGATACCTACCTCTTCTTGTTGCATTGATCCCTTTACCATTATGTAATGGCCTTCTTTGTCTCCTTTGATGTTTGTTGATTTAAAGTCTGTTTTATCAGAGACTATGATTGCAACCCCTGCTTCTTTTTTTGCTTTCCATTTCCTTGGTAAATATTCCTCCATCCCTTTATTTTGAGCCTATTGTGTCTTTGCTGGTGAGATGGGTCTTCTGAATACAGCACACCAATGGGTCTAGACTCTTTATCCAATTTGCCAGTCTGTGTCTTTTAATTGGAGCATTTAGCCCATTTACATTTAAGGTTGATATTGTTATGTGTGAATTTGCTCCTGTCATTATGATGCTAGCTGGTTGTTTTGTCCATTAGTTTATGCAGTATCTTTATGGTGTCGATGGTCTTTACAATTTGATATGTTTTTGCAGTTGCTGGTACTGGTTTTTCCTTTCCTTGTTTAGTGCTTTGTTCAGGAGCTCTTGTAAGGCAGGCCTGGTAGTGGTAAACTCTCTCAACATTTGTTTGTCTGTAAAGGATTTTATTTCTCCTTCACTTATGAAGCTTAGTTTGGCAGACGTGAATTTCTGGGTTGAAAATTCTTTAAGAATGTTGAAAATTGGGCCCCACTCTCTTCTGTCTTGTAGGGATTCTGAAGACAGATCCACTGTTAGTCTGATGGGCTTCCCTTTGTGTGTAACCCGACCTCTCTCTGGTTGCCCTTAATATTTTTTCCTTCATTTCAACCTTGCTGAATCTGACGATTATATATCTTGGGGTTGCTCTTCTTGAGGAGTGTCTTTGTGGTGTGCTCCATATTTCCTGAATTTGAATGTTGGTCTTTGTTGCTACAGTGGGGAAGTTCTCCTGGATAACATCCTGTAGAGTATTTTCCAGCTTGGTTCTTTTCTCCCCTCACTTTCAGGTACACCAATCAAATGTAGGTTTGGTCTTTTCACATAGTCCCATATTTTTTTGGAGGCTTTGTTCATTCCTTTTCATTCTTTTTTCTCTAATCTTGTCTTCATGCTTTATTTCATTAAGTTGATCTTCAATCTCTGGCATCCTTTTTTCTGATTGATCGTTCTGGCTATTGATACTTGTGTATGCTTCACGAAGTTATTGTTCTGCCTTTTTTTAGCTCCATCAGGTCATTTATGATCTTCTCTAAACTGTTTTTTCTAGTTAGCAATCCCTCTAAACTTTTTCAAGGTTCTTAGCTTCCTTGCAATAGGTTATAACACGTTCCTTTAGCTCGGGAGGAGTTTGTTATTACCCACCTTCTGAAGCCTACTTCTGTGAATTCGTCAAACTCATTCTCCATCCAGTTTTGTTCCTTTGCTGGTGAGGAGCTGTGATCCTTCGGAAGAGAAGAGGCGTTCTGGCTTTTGGAATTTTCAGGCTTTTTGGGCTGTTTTTTCCTCATCTCCGTGGATTTGTCTATCTTTGGTCTTTGATGTTGGTGACCTTCAGATGGGGTCTGTGAGTGGATATCTTTTTTGTTCATGCTGATGCTATTCCTTTCTGTTTGTTAGTTTTCCTTCTAACAGGCCCCTCAGCTGCAGGTCTGTTGGAGTTTGCTGGAGGTACACTCCAGACCATGTTTGCCTAGGTATCACCAGCAGAGGCTTCAGAAAAGCAAAGCTTGCTGCCTGTTCCTTCCTCTGGAAGCTTCATCCTAGAATGGCACCCGCCAGATGCCAGCCGGAGCTCTCCTGTATGAGGTGTCTGTTGACCCCTGCTGGGAGGTGTCTCCCAGTCAGGAGGCACAGGGATCAGGGACCCACTTGAGGAGGCAGTCTGTCCCTTAGAGCTCGAGTGCTGTGCTGGGAGATTCACTGCTTTCTTCAGAGCTGGCAAGCAGGGATGTTGAAGTCCTCTGAAGGTGTGCCCACAGCTGCGCCTTCCCCCAGGTGCTCTGTCCCAGGGAGATGGCGGTTTTATCTATAAGCTCCTGACTGGGGCTGCTGCCTTTTTTTTCAGAGATCCCCTGCCCAGAGAGGAGGAGTCCAGAGAGGCATTCTGGCTACAACGGCTTTGCTGAGCTGTGGTGGGCTCTGCCCAGTTCAAAGTTCCCGTTGGCTTTGTTTACACTGTGAGGGGAAAACCATCTACTGAAGCCCCAGTAATGGTGGATGCTCCTCCCCGCACCAAGCTCGAGGGTCCCAGTTTGACCTCAGACTGTTGTGCTGGCAGCGAGAATTTCAGGCCAGTGGAGCTTAGCTTGCTGGGCTCCACTGGGGTGGGATCCACTGAGCTAGACCACTTGTCTCCCTGGCTTCAGCTCCCTTTCCAGGGGAGTGAACGGTTCTCTCTCACTGGTGTTTCTGGTGCCACTGGGGTATAAAAAAGAAACTCCTGCAGCTAGCTTGGTGTCTGCTCAAATGGCCGCCCAGTTTTGTGCTTGAAACCCAGGGCCCTGGTGGTGTAGGCATCTGAGGGAATCTCTTAGTCTGTGGGTTAAGAAGACCGTGGGAAAAGTGTAGTATCTGGGCCAGAGTGCACCATTCCTCACAACACAGTCCCTCACGGGTTCCCTTGGCTAGGGGCAGGAGTTCCCTGACCCCTTGTCCTTCCAGGGTGAGGCAATGCCCCGCCCTGCTTCGTTCGGCTCACCCTCCATGGGATGCACTCACTATCTAACCAGTCCCAGTGAGATGAGCCAGGTACCTCAGTTGGAAATGCAGAAATCACCCACCTTTTGCGTTGATATCGCTGAGAGCTACAGACCGGAGCTGCTCCTATTTGGCCATCTTGTCAGCCACCTCCTTCCTTTTCTTTTTTTGAGACATAAGTCTCTCTCTCTCACCCAGATTGGAGTGCAGTGGCACAATTATGGCTCACTGCAGCCTTTAATTCCTGGGCTCAAGCGATCCTCCCTCCTAAGCCTCCTAAAGTGCTAGGATTACAGGTGTGAGCCACTGCGCCCAGCTTCCCCTTCTTTCTTACACAAAAGTGGCATTCTTCATATATTCTTCTACACTTAGCTCTTTCCACTTAACAGTATCTATGGAAATCACTCCACGTTATGTCACAGAGATCTTCCTTTTTTTTTTTAAACAGCTACACAGTAGTACATTACATATATGTAGCACAGTGTGTTGAAATACTCTCCTATGTTTGGATAGTTATGTAGCTTACAATATTTTGTGGTTACAAATAATGCTGCAATTAATAACTTTGTGCATGTACATTTTCATATTTTTGGAGGTGTAGCTTTAGGATAAATTCCTAGAAGTGGGATCAAGTGTTTGGTGGGTCAAAAAGTAAATGCGTATGTAGTTTTCTTAGCTGTTGCCATAATCCTCTCCTCAGGGCTTATGTCATTTTTCATTCCTACCAGCAAGGTATGAGGAGGCCTATGTTTCACAGCCTTTTCAAGCTTATATTGTCAAGCTTTTGAATTTTGCCAATTTGATGGGTTAGAAGTTGTATCTCAGTGGGGCTTACTTTACACTTCTATTATAATGAGTGATGTTGCACACCTTTCGTATGTCGAAGGGCCATTTTTTGTATGATTTTCCTGAATTATCTATTCATATCTTTTGCTCATTTTTCTACGTAATTTTTGGTCTATTTTTACCTTCAATTTGAAAGATCTTTGTATATTAGGAATATTTGCTCTTTATCTGTGATATGTGTTACAAATATACTCTCAATTTCTCATTTGTATTTTGTCTTGAAAGCATTGTTTTTGCTTAGAGAAAGAACTGCTTATTTTTTAAGGGACACACATGTATTTTTACTTAATTCTTATAATAGTTTCATGAGTGGCTATCATTCCTCTGGTATTACAGACAGACAGGCTAATATTAACCGACTTGCCAAAGAATGTAAAGCTAATAAATAGCATAATATAAATTTTTTTTGTAAATACTTATGGATTCATTTATTATTTTAATAACTGTTAATTTTTCAAACAACATGTGGCAGGCATTGAGACTGCACTAGAAAGTTGCTCACGTGGAATTTACAGACTAACAGTGGAGGAGAAGCCAGAGTTTCGTTAGATAATAACACTGATAAGGCTAACTACCAACTTGGATAAATGCTGTAAAGGTAAAAAAAATCCAGAAGTATGAGCACATTTAAATGAAAAAACTCAATCCAAATCAGGAAGGGGTGGGGGGTGGGGTGTCAAACATTAGGAGTCAATTAGATAAAGGGGTGGAGGTAGGGTGAGGAGCTAGCACCTGCAAATGCCCCGTAAGTGCAAGTGGCATGGCACATTGGAAAGACGGAAACAAGCCTGAAGAAGGCCCAGGTGGATGGAGCACAAAGGGTAGAGTGGCATAAGATACAGCTGGAGAGGAAGGCAGGGCCAGTTCTCTGCTCACTGCAAACTCTGCCTTCCAGGCTCAGGTGATTCTCCTGCCTCAGCCTCCTGGGTAGCTGGGATTACAGGCACCAGCCGCCATGCCTGGCTAATTTTTGTATTTTTAGTAGAGACGGGGTTTCACCGTATTGGCCAGGCTGGTCTCAAACTCCTGACCTCAGGTGATTTGCCTGCCCCAGCCTCCCAAAGTGCGGAGATTTCAGGCATGACCCACTGTGCCGGCTCAATGTGAACTCTTTGAAGAGGTTGAACAGGAGACGACATGATTGTATTTGCATTTTGAAAAGATCCACCATATCACTGCTTGCAAAATGGATCGGAAAGGACCAGAATGGATGCAGCAGGGGACCAAATGCTGGCTACTGTAGTAATTATTATCAATAAGTAGACTGAGAAAATACAAACAGAACAGTAGGCAGAAAACCAGACGAAGGGAAGGGCAAGGCCATCACTAGATGTTATGAGAATTAGAAAGTGGTGCCGCCTCCAGGGAGGCCAAATTTTAAAAATGTTTGTGTTTATCCTGCTTGAAGTTCGCTGAGCTTTTTAGAATCTGTAGATTTATAGATCCTTTCAAATTCAGAAACTTCTAGTTATTTGTTCTTCAAATAAATAATAAGGAGTTCATCGGGTGTGTAAAGTTACCTATTTTATATGTATATTTGATGACATCTTTGGTTCTTTGGTTTCTTTTTCTTTTTTCTTTTTTTGAGACAGGGTCTCACTCTGTCACCCAAGCTGGAGTGCAGTGGCGCAATCTTGGCTCACTGCAACCTCCGCTTCCCGGGTTCAAGTGATTCTCATGCCTCAGCCTTCAGAGTAGCTGGGACTACAGGCACCCGTCACCATGCTGGGGTAATTTTTTTTTTCAGTGCAGATGGGGTTTCACCATGTTGGCCAGGCTGCTCTCAAACTCCTGACCTCAAGTGATTCGCCAACCTTGGCCTACCAGACATCTTTGGTTACTGGTCCATCTTTTCTTGATGAAGTCTGGCAGTTCCAGATAGTATTTATGAAATTTGTCAATTTTTCAATATTTATAAATTTGTAACATGTTGCGATTTCTTTTCTCATTTTAAATATGCACTTTTATACCTAATTTTGTATTTCTCATATTGAGGTTTTTTTTTTTTTTTTCCTTACAGAGATTCTACCAAATTGTGTAAGTTAGCCCACCAAAACCTGGATCTGCCCCAATCCCAAGCAGCATGGGAGGTAATAATGACTTGGGTGAGAGTGTCACCCAAGGAATAGGTGTAACTAACAGGTTATCTCTGGCTTAGGCAGCTCCTCAATATCTCTTTCAGCTGAGAATCAGGTCTATTTTCTTGGTTTTAGAAGCTCGCCTACCAGGCCAGCATGAGCAGGGCAGGGCAGATGTGCCATCGGAGGTATTTAAACTATCAAATGCTGAGCATTTATGTGCACTGAGTTTGAAACAGATCTAGTGGACTAACCTGTAGGTCAAAGTCTTACAGGAAGGTGGGCCCTGGAACTTGTGTCACCGGACTAGCAACTCAATGTCTGATCCATCCAAATGGAAGACTTCAGTTGCCATGGCAATTGACAAAGCTATTTTGCTAAAATACCTACCTCAATTACCTAAATACCCCCCTCAGTTACCTAAATACCCCCCTCAGTTACCTAAATACCCAAAGTCTCTCCATTAAAAACTCATTCTTTTGGATCTGGAAACAGTTCTGGAAGTTTAACACTACTTACTAAAATGTAAATCCCTCAGGGAAAAGTTACAGTTATATTATTTATGTAATCACTAATTATACTAACAATTTTTTGTGAGATATGTAAATGCCTACCACTGTAAGTAAATGCCTACCTTTTCTCTCTCCATTATGAGAGTTGGTTAATCTGTAGGACTGGGGATGAAAGCTGGTTTTCATGGTGTGGGAATTTGAACAGAGTTCTGGTTGCATGAAGGTGTGTATTAGTCCATTTTTATGCTGCTGATAAAGACATACCAGAGACTGGACAATTTACAAAAGAAAGTGATTTATTGGACTTAACAGTTCCATGTGGCTGGGGAGGCCTCACAATCACAGTGGAAGGTGAAAGGCAAAAGGCACATCGCACATGGTGGCAGACAGGAGAACAGAGCTTGTGCAGGGAGAATGCCCTTTTACATCATATCTCAAGAGACATATTCACTGTCACAAGAATAGCATGGGAAAGACCCGCCCCCATGATTCAATTGCCTCCCAGGTCCTCCCACAACACGTGGGAATTGTGGGAGTTACAATTCAAGATGAGATTTGGGTGGGGGCACAGCCAAACCATATCAGGGTGTGTCTTAGGTAGAGAGGCCAAAAGACAGCTTTCCTTCTCTGTTGTTTTGTCAAGCTCCACACATAGAAGGTGCTAGAAAGTAAGTATTTTGTTACAGTTAGGAAATTTAGAGGCAGAGCAAAGAACCAACTTGAAATTGCTTAAAGTATCAACATGAAAGAAATTGTGTTAGAATTAATAGTGATTGAGTTTCTTCTTTAGCCTTTAAGGGAGCTGTTTAGTTTCTGTTAAGGTGATTGTAGAGGTGTTAAAAAATGTCTGACTTGTCTCATTGCATCTGCTTTCTATGGTTAGTAACATTAAGGGAGTATTGTAATAACTTTGATATAAGTTAGTTTACTGTTTCTAGGTTTATGAGGCAATATTTCTTACACACATTTCTGTGCCTTTTTATTATTCACTTACATATCTCCATATATTATTCTACCAGTACTCTCTCCATGAAAAGTTATATTTTCTAGACATTATCTTCTCCTTCTTAGCTGCACTGGCATGAATTCTGGGACAGGGGATCCAGGTGCTGGAATATGGTAATAGGGCCACTGGAGAGTGGCAGACACTCCATTGTCATTACATGGTCTCCCATGTCTATAAAGGCAGCATCGGTTTACAGCCATATTGGATTATTAAAAACAAAACAAAACAAAAAACCAACTATAACCATTTATTTATAATAAACACCCAAAGGACTACATGGAAGAAACAGTAATCATGACAAACCCTCTCACCTCTGAAATGGAATTCTTTTAATAACAGCTGATTTTTTTCCTGAACAATACATACATGCATAGTTACTTTTTGTCTTTATTATTACATTTTGTAGGTGAGCAGTTTGTAGTTACTGTGGAGAAGTATGAATCCTTAGCAAAATTCTTGTCAATTTAAAAGTATTCCTTAGCTGTTATCTCAGGACTACCTGTAAATTCTAGTCTCCCACCTTCTCTTCTTCACTCACTTCAGCCATTCTCCACACCTTGGCCAGAGTGATCTGATCAAAAGTCATCTGCTTAAAACCCTCCAATAACTTCCAGTGAATGCCTCCTGATTAAAGCTGAACTTTGTTAGTATGAGAAATTACTCCCCATCTCTCACTCCTGCAACACCAGCCCCTCCCCATCTTTTCAGGCTGCTTCTTGTAAGCCCCTCAAATCCAATGTTACGCGTCTCCCCTGAGGAGCCAAGCTAGTTCCTGACTTTGCGTTTTTGCACATACTTTTATTTTTAGAATATATCTTCCCACTGAGTCGGCTTGATAGATTCTCCTTATTTTTTGCTATATTTAGATCTTCACGTGAGAATAGAGAATAATACAATAAAAAATTTTGTATGCACGCAATTCATTTAAACCTTAACATTATTCTATTTTACTCTGACTTTTTAAAAAAGGAATAAAACATTTTAGTAGAGCTGAGATCTTCTGCATACACCTCTCTGATCTTATTCCCCTAACTGAGGTAACCACTATCATGAATTTTTAAAACTTTTTTTTTTTTTTTTTTTAAGGGAGAATCTCACTCTCATCACCCAGGCTGGAATGCAGTGGCACAAGATCGGCTCACTGCAGCCTTGCTTCCCAGGCTCAGGTGATTCTCCCACCTCAGCCTCCTGAGTAGCTGGGACTACAGGCGCATGCTGCCACCATGCCAGGCTAATTTTTTGTAGTTTTAGTAAAGACAAGGTTTTGCAGTGTTGCCCAGGTTGGTCTCAAATTCTTGGGCTCAAGCTATCCTCCTGCCTCAGCCTCCTAAAAAGTGCTGGGATATAGATGTGAGCCACCATGCCTGGTTTGTCATTTTAATTATTAATCACTTGTCCTATTACCTTGGCTCACACTTAATATAAACTAATGTTTAAGAAGAGTTTTAAAAAACATTTGTTCATTGCTAGTATGTAGAAATACAATGATCTTTTCATCTAGCAATAATTGTGCTTTGGATAAATCCCACTGGCTATGATACTGCCATTGCACAAAGTTGTAATTGATCTTTTAAAACATATCTTTTTATTGTTTTTGATTGACAAATCATAATTGTACACATTTATGGGGTACAATGTTTTGATATATGTGTACAATGTGGCAGGATTAAATCAAACTAATTAACATATCCTTCACCTCACTTACCTATCATTTTTCATAGTAAGACATTGGGAATTTACTGTTAGTTGTTTTGAAATATACAATAAATTATTATTGACTATAGTCACTTTGCTGTACAACAGATCTCAAAACTTATTCTTTTGTCTATTTGAAATTTTGTATCCTTTGATCAACATCTCTCCATTCCCTCCTTCCCCACCCCCATCCCCATCCCCAGCCTCTGGTAACCATTGCTCTACTTTCGACTTGTAGGAGTTCAACTTTATTAGATTTCACATGTAAGTGAGATCATGCAATGTTTATCTTTCTATGCCTGGCTTATTTCACTTAGCATAATGTTCTCCAGATTCATCCAAAAGCTGTCACAAATGGCAGGATTTCCTTTGTTTTTAAGGCTAAATAGTATTCAATTGTGTATATATATATATACCACATTTTCTTTTTTTGGGGGACAGAGGCTAGCTCTGTCACTCAGGCTGGAGTGTAGTGGTGCCATCTTGGTTCACCACAACCTCCACCTCCTGGAATTAAGTGATTCTTGTGCCTCAGCCTCATGAGTGGCTGGGATCACAGGCACGTACCACCATGCCCAGCTGATTTTTATAGTTTTAGTAGAGACAAGGTTTTGCTATCTTGGTCAGGCTGGTCTCGAACTCCTGGCCTCAAGCGATCTGCTCACCTAGGCCTCCCAAAGTACTGGGATTACAGGCATGAGCCACAGCCCCCAGGCTCACATTTTCTTTATCCATTTATCCACTGATGGACACCTGGGTTGATTCCATATCTTGGCTATTGTGTGAATAGTGCTACAGTGAACATGGGAGTGCAGATATCCCTTGGACATACTGATTTTAGTTCCTTTCGATATATACCCAGAAGTGGTATTCTTGGTCATATGATAGTTCTATTTTTAGTTTTTTGAGGAACCTTTATGCCATTTTTCATAATGGCTATACTAATTTACATTCCCCTCAACAATGAACAATTGATCTTTGTATATTGATTCTGTATCCTGTAATCTTACAAAACCCAATTATTAGTTCTAGTAGCTTTTCATAGATTCCATGGGCTTTTCTATGCACATAGTCATGTTGTTTCCCAATAAAGACAGTTTGACTTGTTACTTTTGAATCTGGATGCCTTTTATTTCTTTTTCTAACTTTATTGCCCTGGCTAGAATCTTTAGGATAAGGTTGAGTAGAAGTGGTAAAAGGAAATATCTTGTTTTGTTCTTGAATTTAGGGAGAAAGCATCTAGTTTTTCATCACTTAGTATGATATCACTTGCAAATTTTTTATTTTTTACTTTTCTTTGAGACACGATCTTGCTCTGTCGCCCAGGCTGGAGTGCAGTGGTGTGATCACAGCTTACTGCAGCCTCAACCTGGGCTCGGTTCAGGCCAGATCCTCCCACCTCAGCCTCCTGAGTACCTGGGACCACAGTGCATGCCACCACACTCAGCTAATTTTAAGGTTTTTTTTTGGTAGAGACAGGGTCTCACTATGTTGCCCAGTCTGGATGTTTATATGTGCCCATTAGACCCAAAATACATGTCTATGGCAGCACCTTCTTCTTAGTATTGTATGTATTGGTTGGTATTTCTGAGTTTCTGTCTAGACTACACATTGAGAAAGAGAACCATGTTTCATTCATGGTAGTTTCTCAAATAATGTACATTAGTATGGTAGATGTTTAATAGATGCTTATCAAAAGAATATTTAGTGCTTAATGAGGTATTTACCCAGTTATCCGTTTATTTTTGTGATTATTAGTAAATACCTTCCTCCTCCACTAACTGTGACCTTCCTTAGTGCAGAGATTGTGTCTCTTTTTGTTCACTATTCCATCTCTAGTGCTCTTGCCCGTGCTTGGCACATGGTATCCCTTAATAGATATTTGATGAAGGATTGCATACACAAAATGACTAAAGTGGGCCATGGTAGGAAGAATCCTCTGAAATCAGTTATTTCTTTCACATTTAAGTGTCTTAAAAGGTGCTGTTCTCCAGTGGATGTATTTGTTCTTTAAAATATTAGTTCATTCATTGTAGGAGTATTTAGGCTCAGCATTAGAGGGGTCAAAAGTATTGAGAAAGTTTGCCATTGCTGAAACCTCTAGTTTTAACGTTTTTTTTCTTATTTTTTTCCTCCTCTTGAAAGTAAAACAAAACAAAAATCAATGATATTAACATACTTTTTATTTTGTAGATGTTAAAATCAAGAAGGGAAAATGTTTCAATCACCATTTTATCCTCAATACTTAGCACAGTGCCTGGACCATAGCAAATACTCAATAAATATTTACTCAATGAACATATGAGTGCTTATGATGAGACAAGCGTTAGCAGCTAATAAAATTCTCAGGAGTGAAGTCATTATTGGAATTATCTATTGACTTTTCTTAGTGGAATTACAGAGTAATTAGCAGAAAAAGGTGAATAAGAGAAAAATGGCTAAATTGAAAATGTGGCTTCTAATTGCTATTATCAATGATGAAACCAAAAACTGGTGCAAATATTTGACATCATAACTTCCAAACTGACCAGCCTTGCAAATCTTACATAAAATTTAATTAAAAATGAATGAAGACCAATGAACTTCAATGGCTTTTGGACATAATTTTTATTTAAGCATGGGCTTTTATAGCTTGGTTCACCCTAGAGTGCAACCTTTCAGTTACACAAATAGCATTCAGAGCTACAGGGCCATTATAATGTTGCTGGTGTTGTACAACTTCATCAGAAGGTATGAATATGACCCGCAGAAAAAACAATCCACGAAGAAAACACAATGAAAAAACAACCACTGTTTTACAAATCACTCTGTTATCACAGACAAAAAATGGCAGTTACTGTTAGTAAATCAGCCACAGAACACTTAAAAAAAGATCTTTAGACAAGGAAATGGGAACTTATTTGTGGGAGATAGGGTCTTCATCCACAATTTAAAGTAGAAAATATTTCAGGGTCAAGCATTTTTCTTATCCACAAAACAACGCTAAACCAACATACATTTTTAAGGAGTATATTAAAGGAGATACAATATCTTTACAACTATCTTCTTGAATAGGTATTTCAATTAATTTTCTGCAGAATATAAGTAGCCCCAAATTCAGCAGCAAAATATTACAACATAACAAGTAAATACAGTTTCAATGTGTTGTATTGTAGAAGAGAATACATAAAGGACAAACAATGATAATTTAATCATATAAAACATGAGACATAGCCGAAATACAGTCCACTTAAATAGCTTTGTGACCAAGAATGTTAAATACTGTGCTAAATGCCATTTTAAACATAAAATCTCTTAAATTTTTTGTGCTTAAATTTCATTTTTCTGTTAAACTGTTTCTTATTGTCAATACTGCCACTGTAACTGATATTACAACAGATCACAACTTTCACGGACACATCAACATGAAGACATTTACTTATGAGCAAATAAGTCACTTGTCATTAGTTCACAGTGTGGGAAAGTGGTGTACACTCGGTCTTGAGAAGGGCTTTCAGGTAATCACCAAGTCCTTCACAGATATTTCCTGATATCAGATGTAGTGCGAGATTTAAAAGAATGGAGAGCAACACATCACATGTTGGAAGAAAAAAAATAAACTTTTTGATTCTTCATGGGTATCGCCTAAGTGACCTTCGTCTTCTGTTGTAGAAATGTCTGAGCCCATGTTGTCGTGAAAAATTCATCATGTAATTTTGTTTGCGAGTGCTGTTAAAATCAAACAGGATAGAGGCAGGGAAGGAAAGGAAAAAGAGCATGTAAGTCCCATCATTGAACGTGCAATCTATTCTAGGTCCTAAGTTACTCTGATATTTGTTTGAAAATTTTCAGGGTTAATAGGTCATGCTCACATTACCACCCAGGGTCAGAGGAACTAAAGGCTGGGACCTATACTCACTGCCTTTGGCCTTGAAGAAATCCCTGTCTTTTCATGAGTGAGCTCTGAACCAGAAAATATGTGAAATTCTCTTGATTCATAGCAAAAGCAAACTGTTTTAAATTTTAATTTTATTCTTGAATGCTTCCTGAAAATATTTACTTAGGTACCTTTCATTTGAGAAGTGTGCTCTATACCCATTGCCTTATTTAAATATATCTTTAACAAGTAGGAAAAATAATTTGGTTCCTTTAGCAAACATTCTCATTTAAAGCTTAAAAACTAAAAACAAAGAAACAGACTGTTAGCTGGATCAGCTTGACATTCCTAGTTCATGCAGTCCCATGAGACAAAATAAGGAGGTCAGTTTTTCTCAGAATGTTGGATTCTCTTGTCTTCCTCAAACCATAAGCATCTGGGTTATATTTTATAAACGTGGCCTTAGGAAAGAGACACTCCACTGAAAAGAGGTCATAAAATACTAAGAAAGTGTAACCAAATGTATAATTGTAAATATGTATGTATGTTTTCCCCCACATATGTACATACACACATTTATACATATATGCTGTGTGTGAAGCTGATAAAAATACTGAAGATGGATTTCAGGATCCTGTAGGAAACTGTACAATACTAGTAGTGACAGCTGTTAATGTTTTGGTATAGTCCTTTAAAAAGGATTGTGAGCTATAACATCACTGAAAGGATCATATTCTCACACTGACCTGAGTGACAATATATCCATATGTGGCATCAATATGTGGTTTATGAGAGTGAGCCTATCAGTATATTTCAAATTCACTGAGTTTCCTCATGGTCCCAAAGCCTTTTCTCCCTAATTCCATGAAGACATAAAATGTACATAATGTCATGTGATGTGATTCCAACATAAAGATCAATATGACATGAACTTGAGTTAGGGTAGGAGAGGGGGGAAAGGGTAATTTTGTTCTGAGCAGTATAAGCTGCATTATCAATCATCAATATGCTAGTAAGGTGTAAAATGATATTTTACCTAGTATAATAGGTATTATACTTAGGCATATTATACTAGCACTTGTAAAATATAAACTTTAAAACAAGATAATTTCACAGTTTCATCATTAGAAAATTTATAATAAAATATCTCAAAGGAAAAGACATAAATTGAATTTCATCAGATATGTATAATCAAAAAGCAATAGCATCTGTGCTAAAATATTGATACAAAGACATCAAATTGATACATATTTTATAAAATAAAAAAGGTACTAATAACATCCCCTGCTAGATTTCAATAATATCAAAATGCTAGAAACAATAAAATGGAAACAAAGAATATATCCTGAAGACATTATAGAGAAAAAGATTTCAAAAAAATCAGGTTTTGTCTTTAGGCAGATTTACTATCCTCCCCCTCCCATCCCCTCCATGTGACAATATTACATGTATCAACTAAGTTGATCAGTTTCAGTGTCACAGTTGAATGACCCAAATTTATCCATTTATTAGCTGCTATAAGTACTAACTGCTGCCTATGTAAAATTGAGTTACAAAAAAACCCCCAAGGAATTAATGTATTGAACTAATCAAGTGTCAAGAAAAATTATCCTGTTGCTCCTTTATTCACAAAATCTTGGGACTGGAACTAGCTGTGTTACTGCCAGCATCCTCAGTCGCCTTATAGTTCTTTCCCTGAGCTATTATAGTGGCCCCCTGAACTAGCCTCCTTAACTTTTTTCCTTTTATGAAAAAAAAAAAAAACTCCACTGAAAGGAAACCCCTGAAATACTAAGAAAGTATAACTGAATGCATAATTGTATACATGTGCATGTATACCTTCCTACACATACATGCAGTTGATTTTGCACACCAGATTCAGTAAACTTTTCCTCAAACACTGGCTTCACTTTGCCCAAAACCATGCAGAATCCTCTTATCTATGGAGCAACAGCTAAGCCAACTTAAACAGACGTTTCAAGTCCTCTTCATGCTTAATCTTATTCTGCCCTTTATTTTTCTACATTCCTATACAAACTGCTCTACTCAAACGCCTTGAGTCCTTTCTACCCGCCTCATTGGCCAGCTGTCAACATCACTTCCTAGATTCTACGTGTTCAAGTATTACATTTTCTTTGTTTACTCCCTCTATAAGTGAACTTTTTTTTTTTTACTTTGAACTCTCATAGTGCTCATTTCCTGCTTTGAAGGAGTTTGTGTTCATATCTTGGCTCCCCACAACTAAACTTTTGTTGGTATGGGGGCCAGTCCCCCAACTCCCCCCACCCCCGCACCATAGCACTGAGCCTCCTGCCTGACCCGTGCATGGGTGGTCAAGGCATGTTTGTTGAACTTATGGTGACTTACTGATTGGATTCCTGCTGTAAATCATTACTCTATAACTATAAGGAATAATTGCAAAGTTAAAGCAATGAAAATTATTCTGTTAAAACACGTTTAAAGGTATAAGGTACTCAAAGAGAATTTAAAATAGTTAAAATATTTTACATAAAAAAAGATGAAGTTAGAACACTCAAGATATTTTGTTATCTCAATGCAACCTAGATTGACATGAAAGTTACCTTAATATATGGGAACAAAAGAACATTCAGTTTTAACAAAACTTGATGTGCTTACTTAACAGCTTTAAAGCAACGTCTCCATATAATTATTTACTTATTATGGAGCTGATTGAAAGTCTCCATCTTTATAGGTGAGAAAATAAATACTAGCAGGTTGCAGATCTTTAGTGCCCTAAAAACTAGTCCAAGGTAGAAGCTTAAAACCAATTTAGGGGACATTTTGAATCACTGGATGTTCTTTTTTTAAATAACATTTTTTTCTTAAAAGATTTTAAATATATTTCTAATTTTTTTGGTAGAGACGGGGTCTTGCTATGTTGGCCAGGCTGGTGTCGAACTCCTGGCCTCAAGTGATCCTGTTGCCTTGGACTCCCACAGTTCTGGGATTACAAGCATGGCCACTGTGCCTGGCCTGGGTGCTCTTTAATTTTGAAAAAGTTTATGTATCAGTATCATATCTTTGGATTCCTGAGAATGTTGATATGCATATAGTAATGGACTTGCTATAGATGCCTAGTGTTTATATAGTCACATTAAAAATGGCAGCTGGGTGCAGTGACTCACACCTGTAATCCCAGCACTTTGGGAGGCTGAGGAAGGCAGATCATGAGGTCAGGAGATCAAGACCATCCAGCTAACAGAGTGAAACCCCATCTCTACTAAAAATACAAAAAATTAGCTGGGTGTTGTGGCACGCCAGGCATGGTGGTACGCGCCTGTAGTCCCAGCTACTTGGGAGGCTGAGGCAGGAGAATTGCTTGAACCTGGGAGGCAGAGGTTGCAGTGAGCTGAGATTGTGCCACTGCACTCCAGCCTGGGGCGACACGGTGAGACTCTGTCTCAAAAAACAAACAAACAAACAAACAAAAAAACCACACTATCAAAGCATCGTGGAAACTAGGTGGTAATTTGGTATGTGAAATATAAAAATCTTTTGAGTCAGTTAGGTTGAAATCTAATGAAGTGGATATTTCCAGTTTATGAGCCTTTGAAAATCAACCATTATGGCAAGCTATACTAAAATGCTGTCTGCCTCTAAGACCACTTAATAAATTGACATGGTTACTAAACAGTTATTGTACCTTCTAAAATGTCTAACAGCATTGGGAATTAGGGGAATTTTTAACATTTATCTTATATTTACTCATTTTTTGGTGTGATATATTTGTGAGCCTATTTTTTGTTTTTGATACATTTTGATGTACAGCTATAGATAACCTTATAACTGAAATAAGAAGTGCAATGAACTTTTAAAGATTTATTTATTCACTGCAATTACCAGAGAAAGTAATTTTTATTTTAAGTTCAATAAAAGGAGGTAATGTTCATCCCAAGGCACATCAGCTATGCCACTTGACATATCAATTTGCTTTGGTTGTGGATAGAACTAGGTCCATTTTTAAATTCTTCCATTATGAGTAAGTAATTGAAAGAAGGGAGAATGAACAACAAAGGCTTCTTGGAAATGATAATGTAAATGTCCATTATTGCCAAGGGAGTTTAGGGACTTAGATGGCATATAGAATTATAACGTGTTTCCTTGTTTCTGCATAGGAAATATGGCCATTGCAAGATCTTTGAATAACTAGTGACTCTGTGCTCTTTTGAACTGTTACTCTTTAAAGGAGACACAATCTTAGTTCATTTATTATGATGAAAACAATTCAATTGATTTTTTAATGGATTCTAAAGGAAATGGAGGAGATAGAGAATTGATACTAATTTGAGCTCATAGAAATATAGGCATTTCTACTTGTCAGTAATTTATCACCAAAACATATGGTAGAACAAATAATGATTTATATGAATGCAGACATAAGAATCCAGTGGACTGTTCAACATATCTTAGAAATATTGGTGAGTGTAAGGCAGGAAGCTGCCATTCAAACTATCACTGAAACTTCCCTGCATAGAGGATGCCACACATTTGACTTAAAGGCCATGCATTTTCAGGAAGGCTATGCATAAATAAGTGCAGACACAAACATCTCACACATACTGAAGATTTCATATTTCTCTTCTCTGCTAAATGGGGATGAGAATAATATCCAATAATGTGCACCTCAGGGAGCTGTAAGGATTAAATGAAAACTAGCACTATATATAGATGTTCAATAAATTATAACCATTTTGCCTTCTTAAATTTTAAAGAATCTCAGAGGACAAATACAAGAATATATTAAAAGTGGCCAATCTTACCTAAGGACAAGATCTAGAACTCCTAAGTATTATGAATACATCTACTCCGTCTGCCAATTCAGTTATTAACTTAGAGGAGAATTGGTAAGTCAAGGGACCCTCATGCATCTTCAGCATAGTAGGTCTTTTGAAAGACATTCCATTTAATCAGAGTCCCTAAATCTTTTGCACACATTTCTATTTTCCCTTGTCCCTCATAACAAATTTATCAACTGTGAGCACTTCAAGGGCACCCAATACGGTGTCAAGCACAGAGCAGAATCTAAGTCAAATCTGTTGCCCAATGATGAAATGCTGACTAGCACTCTGGTCTATGCTGTTGTGCCCTATATTGTATATATTAGGGACTTATCTCAATTTGACTGACTCCGAATTTACATGGAAATAAGTTTCAAATGTTCCACTATATACCAGTATCATTTATTACTGTTTTCATAGATTTTTTTTTTTTTTTAGTTGCAAAGGTGCTTTACAAAACTTCTCAGTTAAGTTTGGTGTCACTGATGAAACTATTAGTAAACAGTTCCCCAGATTTAGTAAGGAGGACTTACCTTACTCTAGTGGAAAACCAATGACAGCAAATAATGAAATATAACACAAGTTAAAAAATGCCTTTCAATGCATGCAGCACTGTGATTAGTCATAAAAGTCTGATCAGGTTTAGACGCAATATAGGATTTTTCATCTCTTTTGAAAATAAAAATTAAAGAAGTTATTTCTTATTCTTCTATACCCAAGATCTACATATACTTTTCTATGTAATGTAACATGCAATATTTGCTCATAACCATATGTTAAGGTACATGTAGCTGTAGTACTACATTTGGCATAAATGTTGCATATAAATTATAAATATTAATAGCTTAATAACTACTAATTTTATTATCTGATTTTTCAATTATTTTACATTGTAAGAAATACTAATTCCTGAATATATTAAGGAATGGGCTTTAAAAAATACAGAAGTCTCCTATGTCAGATAACACAATCATATTTAATAAAGGACAAATATGCTTTGCAACAAATGTAATATGCTCATTTCCGTAAATCATTTGTGCCAAAAATGTGACAGTATCTTGATAATGAAGAGCATGAGGGGATGGTCACGATGGAACTCATTTTAAATTCTGATAAATGCTTTTAAGACCATAGTTAGCAACATAAGGTTTGCAGTTCTCCGTAAATGTGGTATTAATTCACTTTTTAGTAAATTCATTCACGAAGGCTTTTTACTGAGCTTTCAAGGTACACATGCAAAAATTGGCCCACTTCATTATACACATGACAGGTGTGACTTAGACACGTACACAGGAAATGTGATGTGTGAATGAAATGCGAATTGGGTGAGGGAGATTCTTAGGATAGAAGTATGAGTGCCCAACAAAAATGGTTAAGACAACAAATTCTCTTTTATCCTAAGAAGAACCTCACCAGCATGGATCTTGTGAGGGATCTGCCCAGTGTATTCATAAACATATACTGAAAAATAAATATTCTATGCTAGCAAATGAATTCAGAGAAATTAGGTTTCTGACACTTGATTGTCAATGATCGTGTTATGCCACATCATTCAGACTTTATGGAATGAGGACTTTTTGTAAGCTAGTGAGGCTGGAAAAATATTATCTGTCAATTCGGTTAATCTGTTATACGGCAGATTAGCAGGGGCTAATCATCGTGAAATGCTTTTCATGTGCAGGTTTTATTGGAAAATATGAGAGTGGGAAGATTACACTCTCAAACAAGCATGAGAGACTGCTTGTTAAATGCTAAAGGGTGGTTTTCATCTTTATGGTGTGGGGCTTGTCATTCTGTATGTCCATATTTATGAAAATCAAATCCTTCCACATGTATTTTAGAATTAAACCATTTAATTAAAAATACATTACAAATCTTGTTCATTTAGGATACACTTTTAAACCCTGAAATATTGTTGAAAGTGCTAAGTTTGTTCTCATTAAACTTGTGTTTTCTTGGCTAATATGGGCAGTACTGAGGTTAAACTCAATATAAGATACCATGCATGACCATAATTTTTCTTTCTAAGGGTTTTCAGCATGTGTCCTTGGTGCACATGCACAGAAGCGAAACTATGGTAATAAAGTTAGATTAAAGCCAACCTTCACTTAAAAAAAGAAGTATATTTCTAAAAATTCCTAAGTGAAATGTATGCCCCAACCATTAGTTGCAAAAACATATCAGTAGCCCTGTTTGTAACATACAGTTACGTAGGGTTTGTATCTCTTAAGATACAAGCCTCAGTCTGCTCCTCTCCCTGCCATGCTTGAGGAGTTAACATTGCTAGTTCAAATAATCAAGTGTTCTGATACAAAAATGCAGTTAATTAAGAGAATGCTTTCAGTTAATAGGGGTTTATGGAGGTATTCCACCTATTTCTAAATATACATCCTCTGAAGCAAAGTTATAATTAAGAATATTTGTGATCATGACATGAACCTTGGCTCTAGCTTCTTTGTGCCTCATATGATTGAAGGACACTCTGGAAAACTATTATATTTAATTTTTTGAATTATCTGGAACTTTATTTTGCGCTCATCAAATGAATGAATTGAAGTAATTATTTTGTAGAGCTACTAATTGCATACTAATGAATGCCTTAAAACTCTTTGTGGCTCTTTTGAAAAGAAGTACTTTGAAAGGGTAGAGTGGTGTAGAAATGTTACACTCTAAGACCAGAGCAAAACATCAAAAACATAGTTCTGGAAATATAACATCTTAGTATTATGTATGTTTTGAAACAACTCATTTATTGAACGTAGCTTTGTGAGCTATTTCTTTTCTTCAAAAAGAAGGAAAATAAATTCCTTTAACAAATTTTTGAAATGTCATTAAAGAGACTGCATTTGCTTTTGAAATTATATATACATAAAAGCATATGGTGGTACATATAAAATTATAATTTTTAAATTATTCCTGAAAGAAGACTTGGAGTAAAATTCAAAGCATACAACACCATGCAAATGTAGCAATGCTCTTGTCTCATTCAAAATGTTTTAGTGCTCTGAGAGTTTGAGATAATAATGCAGGATAAGAACAGACTTATCAGGATAAGAGCCTGGTATATGACAAATTCTTCAAAGTATTTAAAATATGGAGCTTGATGCTGGTAGTTGCTTATAAGCATTAATTCCAACACCAGGTGACCTGGGAGACTCTCTTGGGTGCTGTGTGCTGAGGCTTCCTGCCGGTGCTCTGACAGCCTCTAAGGCAGCATGTTGACAGGGAGCAAGGAATAGAGTCCTGTTTCCAATATGTGAAGGGGTTGCTTTTACACTGGCTGGTATATTGGTGCCTCTGAACCCCTCGCCCCTGCTTTTTAATCTTAGTATAAGTGAGGAAATTACTGGTGATGATATGTCTCTGAAATCCAAAATAGGTAAGTGCAATTGATTGTTTGGGCAGGATGAAAATATCTACTCAAATGTGTGATATGTTAAGAATTATTGTGTTTACTCAAGGGGCAGGATTACTATCCTGCCTTCTTTTGAGGACTGTCAGGTTTTGAAGTTTCCACAGGAGTTTGGTAATGCTTTGTCAGGCACAGGAAGCCCCATTAATGCAAATTGTATTGGCAAGCCACTTGAAAGATAAGAAGTGGTTATTGACTCTCATTTTATTATCTACCAGTTTATGAGAATCACCTGAGCTGCTTTTAAAACAAGAATGATGCCCAGTTCCCACTGCAGATCAATTTAAAGCCCCATCCAAAGGGATGGGCCTGGGCATTGGGACATTTTTTGATGTCTTCAAAAGCTTCCCAAATGATTTTGACGTTCAAACAGATTGAGAAGTGCTGTTTTGAAAGGCAAGTAGCCAGGGTAAAATGGTTCTAGGGTTGGATTTTGGTCTATTTGGAAATCTCTCTATGGCCTTACTGTACATAGATTCATTTCAGCACCCAGGTTATTTTATTCTGCTGGAATAACGTAGTCTGAGGAAATCAGTATCTAAGTAAAACATCAGCCTCATATTTAGATTCAAATGAGTCTGGACTGTTACTTTAAACTTCAACTTTGTCTTGTGGAGGCAGAGCCCAGCAAGTTGTCCAAAAGCAGCAGCGCACACAGGAGGCTAGTGTGGGGACCAGGTTGCTCTTGGATTTGGGGGTTGATATGGATGCCATGCAAGCAGGTGCCTCAGTGAAAACTAAGACGAGGGCTAGCTCAAGACTGGAAAATTCAGCTCATGGCTATGACTGAACCAAAACAAATCTGGTAGTTTTCCTACCAATTAATCACTTAAATTTGCTTGCAAATTGACTGAAATCAGCCAAGGGACTGATTTCATTTTGGATTTGGTAAACAGAATGAACATTTGAACCTATCTACCGAGAAGATTCACCTCTCCTTGCCAACCACTTGGAGCCATCAGTCCGAACCCGTCGAGACATAAGCATTCCAGTTCTACAGGAACTAGATCATTAGAGAAAAAGCAAGTCATCTCTCTGTGAGGGAACAGTCAACCCGGCCAGGTGAGAGTGGTGACAGCTTTATTATATAAAGAGGGAAAAACACCTTTAACTTGTTAGGTGCTGGGATTGGTCAGGAGGAATCTGAAACCACAAACTCTTTGTTCTAGTTGCAACCACATCATTCAATGGAGAATGTCTGTAATTGGGCACATTAGCTAGTAACACTTCAGACACTGCCCACTACAGATCCTTCCTCTTCAAGGATGTCATTTCATTTTATAAGGCAACCCAGATCTGCCTTAAGACATGGTTTCCCATTTACCTGGAGACTTTTGTTTTATCCAATTTAACCAATATTGTCAACCCTTAAATAAATGTTGTGCTTATGGAAGTTTTCTAAGGTACATTACATTTCATTCGGGGCTTTGCTATTTCACTGATGATTTGAGCTATAGCTTGCAGTTGCAAAAGAGTGTAAGCCAAAGTGCTCCTGTGGGGGCTTCTCATCAAAAACGGATCTTACTGAATTAAGGGTCATGCTATATCAAAGGAATTTCAAACCTTCCTGAAATGGACATGGGATGCCATGTAATAGATACTCACAGGACGACCTCCACATGGTCCAAAGCCCATTGATCATGACCTGTTCCATTGTGGCGTGGTTGCCACCAGCGCAGTAAGACTCCTTTCATCCGTGCCTCCCTGGGTCACACACAGAAGGACAAAGAAGTTATACATTAGGAAACAGAACTTTTTGGTATTTGACTTCTAGATGTCAAATATTATAATAGGCTAATCTAAATCAACAAAATGTTATGCATGGAATTCAGATTTGCTTAGGTCATAGTATTCTTCTGAGCAGCATTAAATTTTATTGGCTACTCAAGGACTTGTAAAACTTTTCCATCTCTCTTCCTCCTTTCCCTTGTTCCATTAATATCCAGAAGATATTTGGTCAAGCATGGAGTGCTTTCTGTGTGACAGACACTGTGCTAGAAGCTGGGCTTACAATGCAAAGCAAAACTGACATGACTGCTTAACCTCAGTAAAATTTCAAACTAGCACACCAGCAGAAAATAAATGTTTTCTAAGACTAGAAAAACTGGTTAAAACAAGGGAAATCGGCAAAAACTGCCCTTGCGTTTAGTTATTATTGTCTATTCCCTCTTGTCCTTATTCCTTGCTTTAATTTGTGCCTTTCTTGTCCTAATCGAAAACAGTAACAGCACTTTGGAGATCTGGGTTAGTCTTCGTTCTGCCACCACCTAGTTTTGTGGCATTGGTGCATTAACTTTACCCAACTTCTACCTCAAACTTTGTGATTCCCAGGGATTCACAAAGGGATTGTGCATGAGACCATGCCTTTCCATTTGGGCCACTTACAGGGGGACATTGTAAGACACTCTCTGAGCTTGTGTGAAGTCCTTTGGCTGGTGCTGGGCGATGACATGCCAGGTGATCCCGTTGTTGACGCTGTATTGCAGCAGCACTGCCTTGTCCACAGCGTGGGGGCCACTCAGGTCACTGTTGCAGCTGTCCGTCTGCGACATGCTCCCAATTTGCAAAACAAACATGATTTTGCTGAAAAACACAGGGAAATCATCTTTATTTTTATTTATTTATTTTTTGAGATGGAGTCTTGCTCTGTCACCCAGGCTGGAGTACAGTGGTGTGATCTCGGCTCACTACAACGTCTGCCTACTGGGTTCAAGCGATTTTCCTGCCTCGGTCTCCCTAGTAGCTGGCATAACAGGTGTGCGCCACCACGCCTGGCTAATTTTTGTATTTTTAGTATAGACGGGGTTTTGACATGTTGTCCAGGCTGGTCTCGAACTCCTGACCTCAGGTGATCCACCCACCTCGGCCTCCCAAAGTGCTGGGATTACAGGTGTAAGCCACTGTGCCCGGCTGGGAAATCATCTTTATACTAAATTCAGGAAGTATTAAAGGAATTATACTTCCTTAATCTTTTCTTGTTCCTAAAGTCCATAATTTCCAAGTTCATAATATAATAGAAACAGAAGCAGCCAGTCTTGAGAGCTTGTTTGGAGATTCTAGCAGGGGAGCGTAGCTACTTGTATACCCTTGACCAAAGACTGATCCTCCCCTGTTGGGGATGGTCATCCTCTTCACCCACACGCAGCTTTGGGAGGGACGCACATGGAGCGGTGAGGGAGGAAGGGGACACCTGCCTAGCTAGCCGGATCAGCTGAATCAACCCTGGTGATCAATGAATTGACAGATGTCACAGCCAGATCGCCCTCACATCTGTGAAGCAGCCAGTCTTACGACTACATCACTGTTAGTAACAAAATTTATTTATATTGTCTTCTATATTATACATGTGAAAACCTCATAAGGCTTATTTTCTACACAAAGTATTTTCGACTTTCAAAGATGTATCCTCTTTTCATGATGTTGGAAATCTTGTTAGAGTATTTCATTTAGAACACCTTCTATTCTCTGAAAGGTAACGTGGGCCAAACAGACAGCTGAGGACATGGAGAGGACATGGAATACAACCACAATATTTATGCTGCATTCTTTTTACAAATAGCTCCAAGCTGAACACATCTGGATGGGGATAAATTATTATGACTGTTTTAGGAAAGGCTGTCTGGAGATCAGAGCTGAGGGAAAACTGAGTTAGGACGTGCAGGTTCTGAACCATGTCTGCTATTCTGTTCAACATGACATTTTGCTTTTCATTGTCATCCTTGCCCTAGATAGACCTTTTAGGCATGGGAAATAAATCATCATAAGATTCCTCATGATTAACAGAGTACCTAATTTAAAGTAGGTGGTGGAATAAAGAGCTAGACTTAGAAACGTATAAATGCATAAACTAATTGAAAACATAGTGTGCCATTGCTAACTATGCACCTAGTTGCAGCTATATATGATGATGTTACAGAAAACACCAGGTTATCTCTAGATTAAGTATATCTTTTTGGCAGGCCAAAAAAAAAAAAAAAAAAAAAAAAGGAAGATGATAGACGCAACTTATATCATGGTTTCCATACAGGAATTAATTTTATTTTCATTGTTTATCATATGAAGGGCCCCCAAACCTGCCTTTCCGCTTGTGAAAATACAACACTAATATTATATTTTCCAAAGTGAAAGGTTTCATGTAAACTATCTTCCCATTAATCAAACACATCTAATTCTCAAATATTCTCATAGCTACTGAACACTTTTCAGCATTCAAGAAATACTCTACAGTAATACCTAGCAACCTTTTTTAAGCCTAAGAATCTTTTCTTGAATTTATATAGACAAAAAGCTGTGTTTACTCTGGTTAAGGTAGCCAAAGCTGGGAAGGGCAGGTAGGGAAGGAAATTCAATCCTTCTTATGTCTTTGTCAGTCACTTCCCTAGTCCATTTGCAAGGTCTCTGCCCACTCTACTCTGCATTAACCCTCAGCAATTTAACCCTCAGCAATTATAGCACATAAAATTTTAAAGGTCTTATCCATCCAACCATCCATCCATCCATCCATCCTCCATTTCTATTTATTGTACTTACATAAGCTAAATATAGGCATATGTTTGCATTGCTACAAATTTATTTCACATACACATTTATATTTATATACTTGCCTGTGCTCAACATTAAATTATCTATGTAGTTTATCCCTAACCATTTTTTAAAATATTTGGCCATTTCTCTGGGTTTATGCCTACATTACCACCACTCAGCCACTGTGGGTGAAGAAATACAAAGCAATTCTCTAATAAATTTAAGCGAAACATAATTCTGAGTTGTGAAACATATATGCTTCCTTGTCCCAAATTCAAATGACAGGTTTTCACTGCTTAGTGACATCTGTGCCATGAAGTTCACAATCCTATCTAACAGACAATGGACAATCACTGGGCTTGTGACTAATTCTATGTCTGGACTAAAATATGGAGGTTTGGGTACCTTGCTCGAGTGAGATCCAGAGGCTTGGTAGCTGCTTGCCTGATCTGACAGCCATTAAAGTACAGTGAGTCTCCATGGGCGTAGGGGGCCAGCTGCCCACAGCCACTTCCTATGACTCCACCTTGAATGGTCTCCCAGTTTGCCTCGGTGACTCTTGCGGACTCAAAATTATCTTTAATATAACTGGGAAGGTCGTGACTGAAAACAGAGCAGTCATCACCTAGAGGACAAGGAGCAGTCACAGAAATTAAGTGGACCAACCAGAGTCATTCAAGATTAAGAACAAGTATTCAAGTTCAGGTTTAAGTAGTTGTTACTGTAAGAATGGCAAAATACAAGGAACTTAAACAACTTTACAAAAAAAAAAAAGCCAAACAACCCCATCAAAAAGTGGGTGAGGTTTTGAACAGACACTTCTCAAAAGAAGATATTTATGTGGCCAACAAACATATGAAAAAAAGCTCATCATCACTGGTCATTAGAGAAATGCAAATCAAAACCACAGTGGGATACCATCTCATGTCAGTTAGAATGGTGATCATTAAAAAGTCAGGAAACAACAGATGCTGGAGAGGATGTGGAGAAATAGGAACACTTTTACACTGTTGGTGGGAGTGTAAATTAGTTCAACCATTGTAGAAGACAGTGTGGTGATTCCTCAAGGATCTAGAACTAGAAATACCATTTGACCTGGCAATCCCATTACTCGGTATATACCCAAAGGATTATAAATCATTCTACGCTAAAGACACATGCACACTTATGTTTATTGCAGCACTATTCACAACAGCAAAGACTTGGAACCAACCCAAATGTCCATCAATGTTAGACTGGATAAAGAAAATGTGGCACATAAACACCATGGAATACTATGCAGCCATATAGAAGGATGAGTTCATGTCCTTTGCAGGGACATGGATGAAGCTGGAAACCATCATTCTCTGCAAACTAACACAAGAATAGAAAACCAAACCACCGCATGTTCTAATTCATAGGTGGGAGTTGAACAATTAGAACAGATGGACACAGGCAGGGGAACATCACACACTGGGGCCTGTTGGGGCAGGGGGCAAGGGGAGGAATAGCATTAGGAGAAATACCTAATGTAGATGATGGATTGATGGGTGCAGCAAACCACCCTGGCACATGTATACCTATGTAACAAACCTGCATGTTCTGCACATGTATCCCAGAACTTAAAGTAGAAAAAAAAAAAGAGAAATATAACAAAATCCAGGAAAAAAAATGAATGTTGTTACAGTAAAAAAAAAAAAAAGGCAAAATACTAAGTAGATACAGATTCCCAAAGTAAATGTTTTGTTTTGGCAATTATTGGCTTATATTGTTGGAAAAAAAATCCAATTTTCTTTGAGTCAATGTTTACTAAAACACGTAGTGCTCATGTCCGTATTTGCCGTGTAAAACTGTTGTTTAAATACCACAGCATCTGGCTGGGCCTTGAATGTTTACCAATGGTGGGTCTCAGTAGTGAACTCTCACCCTGGTATGAGAGGCCTATCTAATTTCTTTTTTCCTAGCATGATTTGTTGTAGAAAATACAGGTTAATGTACACTTGATGATTCTTAAGAGCAGTGTCTATATTTTAACTCGTTGGATTCCAGCACCTAAAACAATATTTAGCACATATAAGATATTCAGTAATGGGTGGGGCGTGGTGGCTCATGCCTGTAATTCCAGCACTTTGGGAGGCCGAGGTGGGAAGATCACCTGAGGTCAGGAGTTCGAGTCCAGCCTGACTAACACGGTGAAACCCCATCTCTACTAAAAATACAAAAGAAGATGAGCTGGGCATGGTGGCATGTGCCTGTAATCCCAGCTACTCAGGAGGCTGAGGCAGGATAATCACTTGAACCCAGAAGGCAGAGGTTGTAGTGAGCTGAGATCACACCACTGCACTCCAGCCTGGGCAACAAGAGTGAAAACTCCGTCTCAAAAAAAAAAAAGATATTCAGTAATGAAGCTGGGATAAATAAATAATGATAAAACTGCAAGTGTCTCTAAGAGACCACTGAACTGAATTACTGGCATTTAAGTAAGATATTATATTAGCAAACGTGTATGTGCTTGCATTTCCCCTTGATTTAAACAGTACATTTTTTCTACATGTCCTTAATAGTTTCAAATTAAGGTTCAGGAGAGAGGGCAAATTCCAGACATCGAGGACTTCTTGTGAGACATTTGATTCACTCATTTGACTAGAGTTAAAATTCTCCAGCTAATACAGTGACAGACCCAGCCGGTCTCAGTGACAATGACACCAGGGGAGAAAGGAAATGGCTAAGTAATTTCTAACATCAGAGATGTGCAGCAGTCTACATTAATCATATCCATTTGATTTCAATTCAAGGAAACAACATCAACCAAGAAATCTAAATAGATCCGACTCCAGAATTCAAAAACATGGATTCTTACATTGTATATCTGGGGGAAATTGTGTTAACTCTGCTCCTCCTTGGATAAATCTCTCAGCCATGAGTGACAGCAAGGCTGATTGGAAAGAACAACTTGACTAGTGGTCTTTCTGATATATGCTGGCTGTGTGACCTTAGGCAGGTCATTTAGCCTCCCTGAGTCTCAGTTTCTTTGCCTGTAGCATGGGAATAATTATATTAACCATAGATAACTGATGGGGATATCATAGATAATAAGCGACTGAAGAATAAGTTGGTGTATACTATGTAAATAGTAAAGCATAAGACAGTGTTAAGGATTAATTCAAAGAAGATTTATTAGCATTGCTATCGGCCAGGTATTAAGCTATGAGGATATAGAATGTTAACTATGGAAAGCGAACTTTGTAATGATAGAGGCTGAAACCTGTTAGAAACATTGGATCAAAGGAAAGCAGGCCTGCATACCTTCTAACAGACCAACAGAGCAATTTCCTGTGATGTGAAGGGTCGAGTAGATACTCTCTGCCCTGGATATATACTCAACCTCTAGAAACTCAAGGAGTGAAAATGTATTTCTTTGAGTCATAAAGGGGTGTGTGTGTGTGTGTGTGTGTGTGTCCGTGTCACAGTGACCTGGAAACCAGAACATTTTGAGTTTTCAGCTACATCTTAGGAGAACAGTGGCAGCTGCTGCTGGAAGAGGCTGAGGAAGGAGGGATACTGGTCAAGTATGTAGGCACAGGCAGCTAGGCCAGGAAGGAGGGAGGCCCAGAAGTGGAAATTAAGTGTTGGGGCTGTGGGCAGGGGCAGGGAGTTATATGAAAGACAGAGAATGTGAGGTACTATACCATATCCTGATTTAGCATATCTGGATTTATATGCTTATATATTTATAGAATGTCTGGAGTAGATTTCATTTCTATATTTTAAAAAATGCCTTCAGGAATATTGCATAAATCTATGCTTAATAATTTGTCCCAAAGTTAAAGAGTGACCAAGGAGTGTGTCATGAATCTCAGATCCCTCAGGCTGGAGTTTCTATCCATTTCCTAGTGGACTTTTGTATATATGTTAAGATGAGGAGAACCTCTTGGTCTCCTCTATCAAAGTTGGCAGCCTGGGATTCAGACCTTGGAAGCTCTCGTCGCAGATGCAGATGGCACCGGTCGTGCAGTATCCGTGCCCGCTGCAGAGCTTGGGGCAAGCCTCTCCAATGTACACGTGGTCAATTGCCCAGCTTTGCTTCTCAGTTTCTTCTCCCTTCTGGATCCAGCGGAACTGTGTTGCACTGAAAGAACCACAGAGAGCAGAAGGGATTCAGTAGGTTGTTACTTCCATGGCTGCATCCTGCCTCCAGCCTCTGGGAGAGGGGACTATTTGTGAGAAAAGGGCTTCCCAAATGTCTTCCTGAAGCACCCTGCTGGCAGAGGTGAGAGAACTTGTATTTCTTAGACTCTGGGAGTATAACCCAAAATGCCATTCTGGAAGCTTGTATCTTCTCTGAAAATTTCATGTGAATTTCCTATTCTAGTCCATAATAAATCTGTGTACATTTTTCCTACACAGGTGTATCGTTTTCCAAATCTTTGAGTAAACCGAATGCTGCTCTAGGAAGATTGCACTCCATTGTATTTATCCTGCAGCTTTGTGTAACCTGTCAGCCCTGCACACCCAGCTGGTATTTGTATCTGGATGAGAAGCGCAGCCTTTGGGAAGGCAGAACACTGGGGCAGAACTGGTGCCAACACCAGTCTTGGATTGGGGTCTGTCATTCAGGGCCTGTGATTGAGTTTGGTACATGCTATGGTATTAAGTCAAAGGAAATCTGAGATCTCTGAATCATTTACAGACACACTCCAATTTCCTCCTGGAACATGCAGTTGCCATTTGGGGGCATGGGTTGGTGAGAGGAGGGAGAAAAGGAGGGAAGATGGGAGAGGGCACCAGGGCTGCATGTAAAGCTCTGCCTCACACTGTCAGTTGTTTTCAGCTCACTGCATGAACTCTGTAGAGAGGCCAGATAATTTCACAAAGTTTACCTTAATTTGCAACCTACCTAGAGGAGACATGGTCAGGCAGCTGGATGGTGATTCTTTTCCAGCTTGAGCTGTTGACAGAGTTGTAGATGGTGGCTTCATGGAACTGGAAAGGGGAGCAGCCAATGCTGTTAGAAGAGGAAGGAAGGCACTGGGTCTGTACGAGCTGCCAGGAATCCGATCTGCAGAAACCAAAAGGCTTTGTTAGACAAATTGTAAGAGAAACATATAATCTGTTAATGTCAAGGTAATGCTTTGTGATCGGGTTAAATTAAAATATTTGTATAGGAGTTTCCTGTTTTCTATAAACATTTATAATTACAGATTATAAAAAAATTAAAATATTTTCTCTTAAGAAATATTCTGACTCTTTAAAAGCACACGGACAACAGAATAAAATAATAGCATGCATAGCAATGAATTCTGGTGGATTCTTCCTACTGACATTGTTACTAGAAATATACCTGGAGTTGAATGACAAAATTGTCTGTCTTCTCAAACTTAATGTAATTAATGTTTAAAGGTGATAGTCGGAGGGCTATTAACCCTAATAAGGTAACTGAACTATGTCAGACTTTTATTCAATACTGTTAATATGCTTTAGAAGAGGTGACTCTGGCTGATGCATATTCAGATCATTCACTGATTAAAGTTTTTGTTAGAGGTAGTTGAAAATGAGTAACATGAATAAGAGAGTTCTACTCTGAGGACAAATGTAGTGCTTTGCTTATTTTGATAAAATTTAAAATATAAAGTTTCTTGGTGGCAGCCTTGAATGAAAATGGATTTTTTTGGTTTGAAGGAAAATTTTGAAAATAAGACATATGTATACATTTTGTACAAGTGAAATTTATATAAAAATATGCACGAACTACCACTTTTAAGATATAGGGTTATTCCTCTGTAAGCAGCTGCCTTAGCCTGTAATTCCCAGCACTTTGGGAGGCAGAGGCAGGCGGATCACCTGAGGTCGGGAGTTCAAGACCAGCCTGACCAACATGGAGAAACCCCGTCTCTACTAAAAATACAAAATAAGCTGGGCGTGGTGACACATGCCTGTAATCCCACCTACTCAGGAGGCTGAGGCAGGAGAACCGCTTGAACCTGGGAGGCGGAGGTTGCGGTGAGCCGAGATCCCACCATTGCACTCCAGCCTGGGCAACAAGAGCGAAACTGTCTCTCTCTCTCTCTCTCTCTCTCTCTCTCTCTCACACACACACACACACACACACACACACACACACACACAACGATTTGGATGGGGTATTCAAGTTTGAAGATAATGTTAAAAATTATTTCACAAACCTTGCATCCTTAGTGTATTCCAGCATTACGGAATGAAGGTCACCACAAGAAGTGGCTTCACAACCCACCACAATCTAAAACAAACATAAACAATCAATACACAGGTAAGATTAGATGATACTGAATTCCATTAATTAAAATCCCATCCGTCCATTTATTACTCTGATAGGTAATATTCAGAGAAGCTTTTATAGAGCAGCCTGCTGGGATACCAAGAATACATTCTTTTGGATTCTGTTAAAGATGTTCAATTTTGCATGGAGATAAAAATAAAGGTTTTAAAAGTTACATTTCTATGTACTAAATTAGTATAATAAAAAATTAATCACAAATCTGGGTAAGATAAACTGGCCAAAAAGAAAGTAACATTAGTCAAATTTATAGACAGAAACTGAAAGTATCACTGATTCAAAACAATTTCATTGATAGCCTAACTTTCTTGATTGTTACTATTAAATTTTTAGTTGGAATTAAAATCAGCAATTTTAATTACTTAATATTCGTTCTTGGGGTTTTCTGTATTTCCATATCAATGAAAGCTTTCCATATTATATGCAATTAAATGTTTGAATCATTAATAATACATAAATGCTATAAAAATTTGGTGATTCAAATTTAAGTCCTAATCATCTATTTAATCATGTCCTATTTCAGCACTGATAACTAGGGAAGGTTAGTGTTAAAAATTTCAGGCCATACAGTCATGAATAAAACAACTCTAAATTCAGAGAGAGAATAAGAAGCATAATGATAGTGGGAATCATAATACACAAATATAATGCTGTGGTGCTTCAAAGGAGATAGTATTTGATTCAGTGGATTAGAAAATAATCAGATAGATAGGGTACATGCGAGCTGCCCCTGAAGACTGGGAAGAGTGTGAGAGGTAGAGATAGGAAAAAGATATTTAGGTGAAAGAAAGAGTGTGAGTGAAGACAAAGTAGGGAATCATGGTGGGACATCAAGAGCACAGTATATAGCATGTTTTGGTCCAAGTATATCGTATATGAAATATTCAGAGATGAGGTTAGAATGATCGGTTGAATTTGGCAGACCAGAAGCTGCAGCCTAAGGTGTTTGACCTTAATTTGGTAAGTGATGGAGAGTCATTAAAGGTTTCTGTGGAATGATGTGCTGCTTAGAGATATGCTTTATAAAGATCAATCTGACCATGATGTCAAAGACAGATAGGAGTGGAGAGAGAGAGATTGGGAGTGAAAAGAGTACTTAGTCAACTGTTGATTTAGTTAGGGCCAGAAAGGAGGTGGTGATAGTGCAAACAGAGAAGATTGGATGGATACCAGGAACACTGGAAAGTAGAATTCAAAGGATGTAGTCACTGATTAGATATGAAAAGTGAAAAATCAAAGCCTAGTTGAACATTTCAAGCTAGTTACTAGGTGATTGGTGGTGCCATCGACAGAAACAGGAAAATCAGAGGAGTTGGTATGGTGAGGGAAGATATTAAGTGCACCGTTAGACACATTCAGTTGAGGTGCCAATGTGCAAAGGTGTAGAAATGTGTAGGGGCTATTAAAATATTGAATTAATTGTTAGCCAGTCAAGGTTGGATGTGCAGATTTGAAATTTGCTCTTCAAGATATGATTCTTGAAGCTAGATGATTGGATACAATTCCTGATGGTGAGAATGTCTATGGAGAGAGAAGAAAGTTGATACATACTGAGAAATGCTGACATTTAGAGGGCTGAGGGGAGAAAAGCCATAAGAAGATAACAGATATCAAAGAGGTAGAAGGAGAACGAGCAGAGAACCCAGAAGCCTAGGGGAAAGAGAATTCCACAGGTTGAAGAGGGCAAGAATAACAGTGTCAAATAGTGTAGAGAGGAAAGAGAAGGTGGGGAATGTGCAAAAACTGTTGATATTGGGTACGGTAAGTCTCTGCTGACTTTCAAGTATGTAGTTTTAGTGATACTTTACTAAATTTTTGAGGATAGACTCTCTTTTTTTCCTAAAGAAATTGCCTTGGTTATAGAAAGAGAGACCCAGTCTCTTCAGTGCAGTTACTTCTGTTACAGAAGTAACAAAAGAGGAGGCTCCAATCAACTCAATCAAATATAATACCTTTGATCTGGGCCACAATGTGAACCTGGGAGAGGGAAAATCTTCACTCTTAAGGAACAGGGCTTAGAAGTAGAGGAAGTGTAACACTTCTTCATATCACTAAGCTAAGAATACTCCTGAAGGAGTGGTAGCATTTGGGGAGCTTGCCTTACCCTCCAGTCCCCAAAGGAGAGTTTAACATAGAGCTGAGGCGAAAAGCAAATACATTTTTATTTCTGCTAGTAAGGATTTTTACTATTAACTGTCATTGTAGTACATCAAAAAAGGGTATTAGAATAACTGATGTCTTTAAAATGACCTAGTAATACAATACATTTCTGTAATGACTTTTGTGTGTGTGTGTGTGTGTGTGTGTGTGGGATATGGTCTTGTTCTGTTGCCCTAGCTGGAGTGCAGTAGTGGGATCATAGCTCACTGTAACCTCCAACCACTGGGCTCGAGTGATTCTTGTGCCTCAGCTTCCTGAGCAGCTAGGACTACAAGTACATGCCACCACGCCCAGCTAATTTTTTTTTTTTTTTTTTTTTGGTAGAGATAGGGGGTCTTGCTATGTTTCCCAGGATGGTCTTGAACTCTTGGCCTCAGAGATCCTTCCTCCTTGGCCTCCCAAAGTGCTGGGATTACAGGTGTTTGCAATAGAGATACATCAATTGATATTGCTTTGCCTTTCTCTGAGTGTCTATTAATTATTTATGTCTTCACTTTCATCCTATATGAATCAAGTATTCAGTTTAAAATATTTGAGAGTCCTCCTTAATTTTTTGAGGATTTAGGAAGTTCCAACAGGACTAATGTAGTATAGGCATATGAAGTCAGAGACACAAGAAAATAGAAAGATACACTGGAAAAAAAATAGATGGAGAAAAAATGGCTCAATGCACATAATAGGCATGGAGTAAGATAAAGAGGAAGGGGAGAGACAGCGGAAGGGAAGGGAGAGAGAGAGAACTGTGCAACATAAAAAGGAGATAGTGTTACAGAGTAGAGATAGAAGTAGGCAGAGTGCCCTATTTGAGCTTTCTATTTACAAGGGTAGGGAGACTGAAATCCAGATTACATATATAAGATAGAATATATTCAGTTGGTGTAAAAGTAATTGCGGTTTTTGCCATTAAAAGAATTGGCATTAAAAGTAATTCCTTTTTTTTTTTTTTTTTTTTGAGACAGAATCTCGTTCTGTCGCCCACAGTGCAGTGGTATGATCTTGCCTCTCAGGTTTCAGCGATTATTATTTCTCAGCCTCCCAAGTAGCTGGGATTACAGGTGTGCACTACCACGACTGGCTTTTTTATTTTATTTATTTTTTTATAGAGACAAGGTTTTGCCGTGTTGGCCAGGCTAGTCTGGAGCTCCTGGCCTCTTGGCCTCAAGTGATCCTCCTGCCCCAGCCTCCCAAAGTGGTGGGATTATAGGCATGGTTCCACTGCACCCGGCCTGCAATTACTTTTGCACCAGCCTAATAGTTACATTTCTTGCTATGTCCCAACATTTTCAGGGATTTTATCTATCCTCAAGTAATCATACTTGAATAAAGGTCTTTGCAAAAGATGACCTCTTTTATTCATAAGATAAAGTCTTTTTTAATGAATAATATCAGTCATTTCCTTATAGTTGTCTGACTAACCATTCTCCCTCGAGGCCCCAAATGCAATGCTACTTTCTGTTTTAAAGAGCCACTTTTCCTTACTTTAAACTGCATCATGTATCCTGGCTGTATAATGAGTTCTCGGGAGGAGAGAGCATTGTGAGTCTTGTCCTTCTTTTTATTTGGCCAATAGAGGTGAAAGGATGGATTGCCACAAAATCCTGCTGTCCTTACAGCATTAGGGTAAAAACTCCAGTTTTCTTCATGGGAAGTGCCTTCTGTTAAGGAAAATTGGAAGCAATATGGCATATTATTCTCTTGAGGAAAATTGGAAGCAATATGGCATATTATTCTCTTGAACTGACCGATTTATTGTTGAATTCCTTAAATTTTTATGCTCTACTAGCTTTCTGCTTACACTTTAGGATTGATTTTTATTTTATTTAACTGGGATAATGCATAAATCCAACGTGAGAAATCAAACTTTGACAAGACTATTAAATGGTAGTATAATGATTACCGTACTTTTAAAATGTAATTGCTAGTCTAGGTAACCTAGCACCGAAAAGTTCTTGATACACTTTGTCAGCCAGTGCATTAAGTATTTCTGTGACACATTAATTACTAAAGAAACTAAAATTATTTTCGGGTATTGAAATTTCAAATTATATTTAAAGCCAGACATTGAGCCTTTAACATGATTTATTGAATGCTCAGTGGACATTTCAAAAAGCAGCCAACTTTGAAGATTTATAAACCACTGGGCAAAATAACAGCTAACATTTGTTGAGCAGGAGTATGGGCTAGGCACTCTTATAAATGCTTTTCATGTGCTAATCTATCTGAAGACATAAGCAGAAAAATGGCTCACAGGAAAGAAAATTGTTCAATGTCTTGTTTCTTACCATCATCAAAAGTGTCCACCAATTGGCTGGGATTGATTTCTGCTCCACCAATCAAAATGTTGTCCAGTGCCCACTGAGCACGCTCCACCCCAGAGACCACAATTCCATTGCTGATCACAAAAGGCTGCCACCAGCGAAGTCGAGTTGTGTTGGTGAGGGCATCTTCAGGAAGAAGTATGTAGTCGTGTCTAACAGAAATGTATTTCTGGTAATCCATCTCATGGAGCAAAGTCCAGGTAATTCCTATAATAACAAATATACCAACATAGCAATATATCTAGAATCTCCTGCCTCCTCATAAACCACCAGTATACTTCAGATACTGTGAACTTCCCAAAGAAATTTTCAGCCAGGAAATGACAACTGATTTTCCTGACTTTGATATTAGGTATTCACTACTTATACTGTTTCTGTATGAGGCTAATGATATGAGGGGAAGGATATTTCGAAAGAGTTGGCCAAAATAAAAACACTGAAGTAAAAATAAGTTATGTTTTGCTTTTAAAATTTAGTTCTAAATTCTTATTTCTCACAAATAATGAGATACACCCATGTTTTACATGTTTCTAGGCAATAGCTTTCAGTATTAAAATAGTTATTGTAATTTTATGCAATTTAATTATTTGGACTGGTATAAAGTTTATCTCTTCTTGCTTGATAAGATTGCAGGTGGGATGTTTAATTACTTAAGAAAACATCCTTCAAATACCTTAAAATACTTTAGGGTCATCTGTTAATCAGCTAGTTATTAAGAATGATATCTATCTGCTAAAGCAGATTTTTCTAAAGACACCATGGTATTACTGGTCTGGTTTTAGCTACTTCAGAATAACAAAACAGAATTCTATTAAAATATTCTATGACAAACTCACAAAATCAGACTTTTTTTTCACAATTTTAGAAGATTTCCATAGATTATAGCATTTATTACATGCTTATTTACACATAAGCTGTTAAAAATGCTTTAAAGTTTTAAAAATGATCTTTTACTTGGAAATCATACAAAATGTATTTCTTAATTGTATCACTCAAGCTTCAGTAAAGCGTAGAGGTTGTTTTCTTTATTCATAAAGTTTGGACTTTATTTTTAATGTGATTTCTCTCCTTCCCTTTTTGCATAACACAGAAGTCACTTGTACGGAACATGTAATACAAACAAAATCTGTAGCTTTTTCTTTGTGAGTTTCACAATTCAAACTGTGAAGTCAGCAAAGCTTTGCAGAGACTTTTCTGAGGGTGTTGGATGGAATTTGGGAATCTGCTCCAAGGGGTGGTTTTCACCCCTGACACATGCCTCCATCGGTAGAGTAGTCCAACAGCACGCCTTCCTTCCGGCAGATGGGACGATGGCAAGAGGTCATGTTGTTCTCACTACCGATGCGCCCCCAGTATTGCAGGAACCTGAATGCAAGCACATTTTATCCATCAGAATAATTCATTAGAACAAATACTCTACTCAAGTCCTGGATAATTTCTTCCATACAAGTGTTCCTTGCTTTGGGACCAATTTGCTATGGTGCAATAGAAATAACTAACAAAAAATTCACTTACTTTGCACCTCGAAGATCCAAATCTTGTGTAACCGCTTGTCTCACAGTGGATCCCCCAAAATAGAGTGCAGTGTCCTCGGCAAGAATTCCACACTCAGTGCAAGTACTTCCACCTTCTAAGGACATCCATAAGTCAGGTTTGATTTCTTCACTGTCAAAGCGTTCCTTCAGGAAAGTCTGGAAATAAAATAAGCCAGATGTGGTTAAAAAAACAATTTCAGATAACTATGGAATATTTAAGAAAATACAGAGTGATGTCTTGGACTTAAAAAAAATAGAGCTGATTTCAAATGCTTTTCAAAGATGTTTAAAAAAGGCTATTTCCACAATCTTTTTTCCTGTCGTATATTGAAAATCATTTAAACTGCTCAAATAATGTTTAATAATTGAAATTTAAAATAATTGTAAAGTTGACTATATCAATTTTTTTTTTTGAGACGAAGTCTTGCTCTGTCACTTGGGCTGGAGTACAGTGGCACAATCTCAACTAACTGCAGCCTCTGCCTCCCGGGTTCAAGCAATTCTCATGCCTCTGCCTCCTGAGTAGCTGGGATTACAGGTGTGTGCCACCACACCTGGCTATTTTTTGTATTTTTCATAGAGATGGGGTTTCACCATGTTGGCTAGGCTGGTCTCGAATCCCTGACCTCAAGTGATCTGCCCACCTCCGCCTCCCAGAGTGCTGGAATTACAGGTGTGAGCCACCATGCCTGGCCATATTATAGTAACACTTCTATTTGTAAAAAGTTAGTTAGTTATTTAAGCATATACCCCCAAACATGTATATTTGTTTATATAGTATATAAAAGTATTATTGTAATGTATTATATTATGAAACATGCCAAAAGGAATTTGAAAGCAATAAGATAAAATATAAACATGCAATCCAGCACTTTCCCCCTGACATTCCCCAATGGATTGTCCTGGTGTGTGTGCCCTCACTTTGGAGACTGCTTCAGGCAGCCAGGATCCTTCAGCCTCTAGCACAGAATGAACCTTGAAGGTCTACATGGTTAGGCAGGGACACTTGAAACCAAATCTCTCTATATAAGTCAAAAGAAAGTAAACCTTTGAAGGCAGTTTGAAAGATGTTTCACCTGTTTATCAGGCCAAGTTGCAGGGTGATAAGTACTCAAAATCTAGAATACAATATTTTCCCCTGAGTCTCCAGTTTATCCTTTTAACTAAGAATGATTGACAACCAGAAAATCTATTTTTCAGAGAGTGTACAAAGTATAAAGGTTCTTGGCTACATTTTTTTGTAAAATTTGCTTATCTCCTCATAGTCAAGGTCTTAATTTCCCTATTCATTCTGTCTACAGTACTTTCATTTTATCCATAATGCAGATTTGTATTAGGTAGAGACACATTTCTTGTTTAAAATGATGAAAAGATATCATAAAGCCAATTTGTTCTAGTTGCAATGCAATAACTGTATACAGAAAAACCTATATTTTTTCATTTAAGGAGAGTTCTATCTTACTGTGTAGTTAAAATGATTTAAACAGTTTCTTTTTCTCAAACTTAGAAGATAATCAATTCTATAGTTAAAGACATACAGTCAAATGTCAGTCTGCCTTAGTCTCACTAATGGATAGCAAATGAATACGTTTTATAATTGAAAGCTTGTAAGAAGACAAGTGTTAGAAGAAATGCATGGTTAACCACGTAAACTTTCATTAGAAGATTTTAATCAGGGTTTATAATTTATAGATTTGTACAATTTCTTATCCAACTGAGGAATACTAATAAAATTTGAGTGCTCATGAAAGAAATTAGATTTTCAAAAGTTTATTAATTACCTGTGGTATATAAAGCTTTGTTTTTCATGTGGTAACCTCATTTGTTAATAATGTACTTACATCTTCAGACACAAATGAGCATTGTTCCAATTTTATTTAAAAAATGTTCAATTCCATAGTTGAAGTATTAGAACAAACACAAATGACAGAACAGGTTTGATTTACATTGTTGACTCTCATATGTTGGATTTCAATCACTAGGAATTTTGCTTTTTTTAGCCTAGTCATTTTTCTGTTATTGTAATGACAAATGCACTATGTTTATTCACAGAAATAGAGTGCATATGTGGCAACTGTGTTGGGTAACTGTATTTGCTTTGCATATTAAATAATGATGTAACAGCTAAAGCTTTCAAAAGTGACCTCTCCATTCTTAATACACAACCCCATTTCAGCAGTCAACGAATCAGAACACAGAATTTTCTAAACAAAAATTCAGGTACTGTTTAGGCCTTTTTGAAAATTTGGTCTTTTGTGATAATGTATATTATTTGCTTTATTTCATAACAATAATAACAATAATATCTTCCTTCAAATAGTGCATCAATTGAAAAAGTGAAGTAAAAAAGGCTTAATATTGACTTTAAAAATAGTCTGCTTAAGAAAAAAAAAAGAAACCCAGAGTATTTATCATTTGTAATCCATATAGTCTGGCTCATTTTATGAACTGGATAAACTGTACTAGAACTTGATCCTAATATTCTTGTACTTAGGAAACATAAGACATTTTTAAAGTTTCTATTCAAAGGATTTTCTTTCCTGGGGGACCCAAAGGACATTGTTATAGATTATGTCTCATACATAAGTTGGTTCCTAGGCATGACCCATGATGTGAGTAATGCGTCTTGTCCAGGGCTTTACCCTTACCTTCAGAGTGTGGGTCAAGTAGCAGTTTGGCCCTGAGTATCCCGGATCACAGATGCACTGTTCCCTTAAGCAATCTCCATGGCCCCTGCAGTTGTCCAAGCATCCAGGGCCCAGGTAGAAATTATCGATTGCCCACTGCATGTCTGAGTACTTCTGATAGAACCTAAACCTTACCGGACTATTGACAATGCAAAAGCAAAGGAGTGAAAAACAAAAGTTAACTGTATTTAGGTCCATTGTCCTGCATGTGTATTCAGTACTCAAGAGAAAAAACATTTAAGATACTCTTACTAGATGAAATAGGTTAATAAAAAATGTTTTCTGACCACTCTTATCTTTCTAGTAATGGAACTTTCAAGCTGGTTTTATTGAAATTTCAGAATATCTGAGCACACTTGCACAACAAAATTAAATCAGTGGAATCTCTGTGTCAAGAAATAAATAGAAATATTTAAATACACAAATCTGTAACTTTCATAAATCAGGTTTCTTCTGAATTGGAGTTCCGTGGTCATGATGCAATTTAGATTCACTAATTGCATTTCTGAAATTGTACAGAAGGTGAGTGACGCCTTTGACAAGAGCCTTGTCAGCATACACACAGCCCTCAGGCGGTCGGGAGGCAGCATTTTCTGAATTCCCTGAAGACAATCAATATTCTCAGAGTAACTATGCTAATTAGAAAACAATTTTGAAAGGGTTATATTAAAGGACATTTTCTTTGAGATTTTAATTTCATCTTTGTTCTTCTCTGTCTTCTGGGGGAAAAAACAAGCCTCATAATTATCCTTATATTAAAATATGCCATACTATTTTGGTTTAAAGAATCCAAAGTACATGAAGGAACTTTCTGGGGTGATATAAATGTTCTGTATCTTGTTTTATGTGGTGGTTACATGGGTTACACAACTAAAAACTCATTGATCTGAACAATTAAGATGTATGTATTTTACTGAATGTAAATTATACCTCATTATTACAAAAAGAGAATGGGAGGAGAAAATGAGTCTGTGATAGACATCATGGTGGGTCCCCAGCATCCATTTCACCCCAGATAATCCATGAAATAATCATTTCCTAACTCAACTATTGAGTGGCTAATTGGTACCAGTGGGATGCAAGGTGGCGCTTGTTCTGGCTGTCTTGGAACAAAAGCAACTATCTTTCTTTCTCACTGGACGTAAGTACGGAAGCATCCTGCCCCAGTTCTCTGGCTGCCATCTCATGTTCAATAGCAAAACCAGCCTGAGAGAGCTGAGTATGCCGCCAGTGCCGTGGACAGCAGATATTCTCTTAAGAGGATAAGGAGGAACGCTGTCCCTGAAGACACCGTTCAACTTACAAATCAACCAGCCCTAGAGTTCACTTATCTTTGGATTCGTTCATTATAGATATAACAAATTTCGAGCTGGTTTGAATTGGGTTTTCTGTTCCTTGCAGCTGAAAGCATCCTGATTTAATTCCTTAGTATGTTAATTGAATAAGCTCTTTAGATACATTCCAGAAAACCCTGAGTGGTAATAATAATAATAATAATATCTATGGGACACTGGGAACTGTGCGTAAGCACTTTATTCAAAGACTCTTTATGTTTCACAAGATTTGTTTAGTCAGACTATCTGATTAATACAGTCTAGGTGCACCTGTTATTTTCTTTTGTGTATCTTTACTTTTAAAGTAGAAGAGAAATCTTTTGGAATTGCCTTAAATTAATATATCCACAGACTTTGCAGAGCAAGGTTTAATCACCTCTGCTCATCACTGGTCCAGGCTAATTACCTCTCACTGCAGGATCAGAATACAATGCTTTGATAAGAGAAAAATGGATCCCATAAGTCACAGTGGTAGAAATAGCATGATGAGTTAGGATTTGCTCCTGGCTCTGTCTATCATGGATTGATAAGGCAATAATGTGGAAAGTATATAGTGCACAGAGGTCCACAGTCTACAAGGTTGAGAAGGTAGGGTACACCTTTTCATCTGGCTCCAAGGCCATCACTATTGCTCTGTTCCCATTTTAAGATACTGAGGTTTAGAAAATAAGAGTCTGCAAAAGCCCATATTGCCAAGTCTGAGGATTACAAATTGAGGTCTGAAGTTAGCTCATCATGGAAGTTATGATGAAAGTAACCAATTAGAGAACCTTTAGAGTTAGGGAGAAAGAAAGCACTTTACCCACAAATACACATAATTTCAGGCATGACAACAGTGTACCTAATGGTGTACCTTCTGGATGCTTGGAACCAGGCTTTGTTTTAGTTTTCTACTTACTTTCCCACTAAGCTTTCAGGAAGTGGGTAGGTGATCCTTTTCCACCCTTTAGTTGGAAAGAATACAGATGGCTGAGAAACACTTCCAGAGCATTTTGGGTCAGCAGGCAAGCACTGAGGGACCAGATAATTCCAACTCACACCGAAGTCAGTAGAATACTGCACATGAATTTGATTCTGGGCAATTTTTTCAGACACCTTACATCCAACTGAGATCTAATAAACAGAAAAACAAGATCAAGGTATTAAAACTATATGATATGATTCTTCTCCAAGGACTTGGCAGCAAAAAAGCTGCTGATCACTTGATATACACTGTACCACATCCATCCTGTATTTTCAGATTCATTATTTGTTCTGCTAATGGACAGAGAAAGTCACCATGATTGCCCCAGGTGACAAATTATAGAAAGTGCCAAATATATTGTGTAGGGGGTTTGGAGAGAAACTCAGACCCCGTGCTTCTGCCATGCTGGCTGAATGCCTTGGAAGGCCTGGGCTCACTCCTACAAACTGTTAGTTGTGCTAATGGTCTGGCATTTCTATTTGGCAGAATACTTAACCAAGAAGAATAGCTAACAGCTTTACCAATTTTACTATTTTGTTGTACAATTTATGACTCTCAATACAACACTTTCAACGACAAGTAAGATGAAATAATAACTGAAGGTAGTTTAAACAAGGCACAGCACCCTTCGTTGATGGTGATAGCCATGATGTGACACTGCTGTTAATACAGTGGGATTTAGGTAGACAGAATAAATTGGTTCACATAAAATCTTGGCCTAAATATTAGCCAAAATTGATGTTGACATTAATGCTAATCATGCCTTTGTTTTCTATAAATTTTTTTCTCCAGAAACATCCAAATGTTCTTGTAAAAAAAAAAAAAAAAAAAAAAAAACTAGAGGCTGGGTGCCATGGCTCACGCCTGTAATCCCAGCACTTTGGGAGGCCGAGACGGGTGGATCACGAGGTCAGGAGTTTGAGACCAGCCTGACCAACATGGTGAAACCCTGTCTCTACTAAAAATACAAAAATTAGCTGGGCATGGTGGCGTGCACCTGTAATCCCAGCTACTCAGGAGCCTGAGGCAGGAGAATCGTCTGAACCCGGGAGGCAGAGGTTGCAGTGAACCAAGATTACGCCACTGCACTCTAGCCTGGGCAACAGAGCAAGACTCCGTCTCAGAAAAAAAGGTCTTATTTCACCTAAATTTCTAAGTTATAGTTAGTATTAATAGAGAGATGGGTAAGAGGAAAAAAAGTAGAAATAACCATTATAGCTTTAATTTTCTCTTGTTGAAACAAATTGCTTAAGTCATAATGATTTAACTCGGAGTTATAATCAGTATCCTACATTTTTATTGTTGATATTTTTATCTATCAGTATTTCATCCTGAGCAGGAACACATTTACTCTTATAAAAGTTTCAGCTTGAGAGACAGCTGGCAAGATGGCTGAATAGGAACAGCTCCAGTCTGCAGCTCCCAGCAAGATCAATGCAGAAGGTGGGTGATTTCGGCATTTCCAACTGAGGAACCCGGTTCATCTCATTGGGACTGGTTGGACAGTGGGTGCAGCCCATGGAGGGTGAGCTGAAGCAGAGTGTGGCAGAACCACAAGGGGTCGGGGGATTTCCCTTTCCTAGCCAAGGGAAGCCGTGAGCAACTGTGCTGGGAGGAACAGTGCAATCTGGCCCAGATACTGCGCTTTTCCCACAGTCTTTGCAACTGGCAGACCAGGACATTCCCTTCGGTGCCTGGCTCAGTGAGTCCCACCCCCACGGAGCCCAGCAAGGTAAGATTCACTGGCTTGAAATTCTCGCTGCCAACACAGCAGTCTGAGGTCGAACTGGGATGCTCGAGCTTGGTTTGGGGAGGGGCGTCTGCCATTACTGAGGCTTGAGTAGGCGGTTTTCCCTTCACTGTGTAAACAGAGCCACCCAGAAGTTTGAAATGGGTGGAGCCCGCCTCAGCTCAGCAAGGCCAACTGCCACTCTAGATTCCTCCTCTCTGGGCAGGGCATCTCTGAAAAAAAGGCAGCAGCCCCAGTCAGGGACTTATAGATAAAACTTCCATCTCCCTGGGATAGAGCTCCTGGGGGAAGGGGTGCTGTGGGCACAGCTTCAGCAGACTTAAACGTCCCTGCTTGACAGCTCTGAAGAGAGCAGCGGTTCTCTCAGCACAGCATTTGAGCTCTGATAAGGGACAGGCTGCCTCCTCAAGTGAAACCCTGACCCCTGTGTATCCTGATTGGGAGACACCTCCCAGTAGGGGCCGACAGACACCTCATACAGGAGAGCTCCGGCTGGCATCTGGTGGGTGCCCCTCTGGGATGAAGCTTCCAGAGGAAGGAACAGGCAGCAATCTTTGCTGTTCTGTAGCCTCTGTTGGTGATACCTAGGCAAACAGGGTCTGGAGTGGACCTCCAGCAAACTGCAGGAGACCTGCAGCAGAGGGGCCTGACTGCCAGAAGGAAAACTAACAAACAGAAAGGAATAGTATCAATACCAACAAAAAGGAGGTCCACTCATAGACCCCATCCTAAGGTCACCAACATCAAAGACCAAAGGTAGATAAATCCACGAAGATGGGGAGAAACCAGCGCAAAAAGGCTGAAAATTCCAAAAGCCAGAAAATTCCAAAAGCCAGAATGCCTCTTCTCCTCCAAAGGATCACAACTCCTCGCCAGCAAGGGAACAAAACGAGATGGAGAATGAGTTTGGCAAATTGACAGAAGTAGGCTTCAGAAGGTGGGTAATAACAAACTCCTCCAAGCTAAAGGCGCATGTTCTAACCCAATGCAAGGAAGCTATAAGAACCTTGAAAAAAGGTTAGAGGGACTGCTAACTAGAATAACCAGTTTAGAGAAGAATATAAATGACCTGATGGAGCTGAAAAACACAGCACGAGAACTTCGTGAAGCATACACAAGTATCAATAGCCGAATCGATCAAGTGGAGGAAAGAATATCAGAGAATGAAGATCAAATCAATGAAATAAAGTGGGAAGACAACATTAGAGAAAAAAGAGTGAAAAGAAACAAAGCCTCCAAGAAATATGGGACTACGTGAAAAGACCAAATCTATGTTTCATCAGTGTATCTGAAAGTGATGGGGAGAATGGAACCAAGTTGGAAAACACTCTTCAGGATATTATCCAGGAGAACTTCCCCAACCTAGCAAGGCAGGCCAACATTCAAATTCAGGAAATACAGAGAACGCCACAAAGATACATAATCGTCAGATTCACCAAGGTTGAAATGAAGGAAAAAATGTTAAGGGCAGCAAGAGAGAAAGGTCGGGTTACCCACAAAGGGAAGCCCATCAGACTAACAGCAGATCTCCCTGCAGAAACCCTACAAGCCAGAAGAGAGTGGAAGCCAATATTCAACATTCTTAAAGAAAAGAGTTTTCAATCCAGAATTTCATATCCAGCCAAACTAAGCTTCATAAGCGAAGGATAAATAAAATCCTTTACAGACAAGCAAATGCTGAGAGATTTTTGTCACCACCAGGCCTGCCTTACAGGAGCTCCTGAAGGAAGCACTAAACATGGAAAGGAACAACCAGTACCAGCCACTGCAAAAACATACCAAATTGTAAAGACCATTGATGCTTTGGATAAACTGCATAACTAATGGGCAAAATAACCAGCTAGCATCATAATGACAGGATCAAATTCACACATAACAATATTAACCTTAAATGTAAATGGGCTAAATGCCCCAATTAAAAGACACAGACTAGCAAACTGGATAAAGAGTCAAGACCCATCTCATGTGCAAAGACATACATAGGCTCAAAATAAAGGGATGGAGGAATATTTATCAAGCAAACGGAAAGCACAAAAAAGCAGGGGCTGCAATCCTAGTCTCTGATAAAACAGACTTTAAACCAACAAAGGTCAAAAGAGACAAAGACTGGCATTACATAATGGTAAAGGAATCAACGCAACAAGAAGAGCTAGCTGTTCTAAATATATATGCACCCAATACAGAGGACCCAGATTCATAAAGCAACTTCTTAGAGACCTACAAAGAGACTTAGACTCCCACACAATAATAATGGGAGATTTTTAACACCGCACTGTCAATATTAGATCAACGAGACAGAAAATTAACAAGGATATCTAGGACTTGGAAGTCACCTCTGGACCAAGCGGACCTAATAGACATCTACAGAACTCTCCACCTCAAATCAACAGAATATACATTCTTCTTAGCACCACATTGCACTTATTCCAAAATTGACCATATAATTGGAAGTAAAAAACTCCTCAGCAAATGCAAAAGAGCGGAAATCATAACAAACTGTCTCTCAGACCACAGTGCAATCAAATTAGAACTCAGGATTAAGAAACTCACTCAAATCCACACAACTACATGGAAACTGAACAATCTGCTCCTGAATGACTACTGGGTACATAACGAAATGAAGGCAGAAATAAAGATGTTCTTTGAAACCAATGAGAACAAAGACACAACATACCAGAATCTCTGGGACACATTTAAAGCAGTGTGTAGAGGGAAATTTATAGCACTAAATGCCCACAAGAGAAAGCAGGAAAGATCTAAAACTGACACCCTAACATCAAAATTAAAAGAACTAGAGAAGCAGGAGCAAACACATTCAAAAGCTAGCAGAAGACAACAAATAACTAAGATCAGAGCAGAACTGAAGGAGATAGAGACACAAAATACCCTTCAAAAAAATCAATGAATCCAGAAGCTGGTTTTTTGAAAAGATCAACAAAAGAGATGGACCACTAGTGAGACGAATAAGGAAGAAAAGAGAGAAGGATCAAATAGACACAATAAAAAATGATAAAGGGGATATCACCACTGATCCCACAGAAATACAAACTACCGTCAGAGAATACTATAAACACCTCTATGCAAATAAACTAGAAAATCTAGAAGAAATGGATAAATTCCTCGACACATACACCCTCCCAAGACTAAGCCAGGAAGAAGTCGAATCCCTGAATAGACCAATAACAATTTCTGAAATTGAGGCAGTAATTAATAGCCTACTAAACAAAAAAAGCCCAGGACCAGGTGGATTCACAGCTGTATTCTACCAGAGGTACAAACAGGAGCTGGTACCATTCCTTCTAAAACTATTCCGAACAATAGAAAAAGAGGGAATCCCCCCTAACTCATTTTATGAGGCCAGCATCATCCTGCTACCAAAACCTGGCAGAGACACCACAAAAAAAGAAAATTTCAGGCCAATATCCCTTATGAATATTGATGTGAAAATCCTTGATAAAATACTGGCAAACCAAATCCAACCAAGATCAAGTTGGCTTCATCCCTGGGATACAAGGCTGGTTCAGCATACACAAATCAATAAACATAATCCAACATATAAATGACAAAAATGCCATGATTATCTCAATAGATGCAGAAAAGGCCTTCGCCAATATTCAGTAGCCCTTCATGTTAAAAACTCAATAACTAGGTATTGATGGAACATATCTCAAAATAATAAGAGCTATTTATGACAAATCCACAGCCAATATCATACTGAATGGGCAAAAACTGGAAGCATTCCCTTTGAAAATAGGCACAAGACAAGGATGCCCTCTCTTAGCTCTCTCTCTTATTCAACACAGTATTGGAAATTCTGGCCAGGGCAATCAGGCAAGAGAAAGAAATAAAGGGTATTCAGTTAGGAAAAGAGGAAGTCAAATTGTCTCTGTTTGCAGATGACATGATTGTGTATTTAGAAAACCCCATCGTCTCAGCCCAAAATCTCCTTAAGCTGATAAGCAACTTCAGCAAAGTCTCAGGATACAAAAATCAATGTGCAAAAATCACAAGCATTTCTGTACACCAATAACAGAGAGTCAAATCATGAGTGAACTCCCATTCACAATTGCTACAAAGAGAACAAAATACTTAGGAATAATACAACTTACAAGGGATGTGAAGGACCTCTTCAAGGAGAGCTACAAACCACTGCTCAAGGAAATAAGAGAGGATGCAAACAAACAAATGGAAAAACATTCTATGCCCATGGTTAGGAAGAACCAATATCGTGAAAATGGCCATACTGCCCAAAGTAATTATAGATTCAATGCTATCCCCATCAAGCTACTATTGACTTTCTTCACAGAATTGGAAAAACTACTTTAAATTTCACATGGAACCAGAAAAGAGCCTGTATAGCCAAGACAATCCTAAGCAAAAAGAACAAACCTGGAGGCATCATGCTACCTGACTTCAAAGTATACTATAAGGCAACAGTAACAAAAACAGCATGGTACTGGTACCAAAACAGTTATATAGACCAATCAAACAGAACAGAGGCCTCAGAAATAACACCACACATCTACAACCATCTTGATCTTTGACAAACCTGACAAAAACAAGCAATGGGGAAAGGATTCCCTATTTAATAAATGGTGTTGGGAAAACTGGCTAGCCATATGCAAAAAGCTGAATCTGGATCCCTTCCTTACACCTTATTCAAAAATTAACTCAAGATGGATTAAAGATTTAAATGTTAAGACCTAAAACCATAAAAACCCTAAAAGAAAACTCAGGCAATACCATTCAGGACATAAGCATGGGCAAAGACTTAATGACTAAAACACCAAAAGCAATGGCAACAAAAGCCAAAGTAGACCAATGGGATCTAATTAAACTAAAGAGCTCCTGCACAGCAAAAGAAACTATTAGAGTGAATAGGCAACAGAATGGGAGAAAAATTTGCAATCTATCCATCTGACAAAGGGCTAATATCCAGAATCTACAAAGACCTTAAAGAAATTTACAAGAAAAAAAAAACATCAAAAAGTGGTCGAAGGATATGAACAGACACTTCTCAAAAGAAGACATTTATGTGGCCAACAAACTTGAAAAAATGCTCATCATCACTGGTCATTAGAGAAATGCAAATCAAAACCACATTGAGATACCATCTCACACCAGTTAGAATGGCGATCATTAAAAAGTCAGGAAACAACAGATGCTAGAGGGGCTGTGGAGAAATAGGAACGCTTTTACACTGTTGGTGGGAGTGTAAAGTAGTGCAACCATCGTGGAAGACAGTGTGGCAATTCCTCAAGGATCTAGAACTAGAAATACCATTGCACCCAGCAATCCCATTACTGGGTATATACCCAAAGGATTATAAATCATTCTACTATAAAAATACATGCACACGTATGTTTACTGCGGCACTGTTCACAATAGCAAAGACTTGGAACCAACCAAATGCCCATCAATGATAGACTGGATAAAGAAAATGTGGCACATATACACCATGGAATACTATGCAACCATAAAAAAGATGAGTTCATGTCCTTTGCAGGGACATGGATGAAGCTGGAAACCATCATTCTCAGCAAACTAACACAAGAACAGAAAACCAAACACCACATGTTCTCACTCATAGGTGGGAGTTGAACAATGAGAACACATCGCCACAGGGAGAGGAACATCACGCACTGTGGGGCCTGTCGGGGAGTGGAGGAGGGATAGCATTAGGAGAAATACCTAATGTAGATGACGGTTTGATGGGTGCAGCAAACCACCATGCCACATGTATACCTATGTAACAAACCTGCATGTTCTGCACGTGTATCCCAAAACTTAAAGTATAATAAAAAAAGATGAAAAAAAGTTTCAACTTGAAATAGTTCAGAAATAAAATACTTTTAATCATTAAGCAATGTATAGTTGAGTTGTATATTAGTTTAATAGTAAATTTTACTTTTCAAAGTATATACTAAGTCAATGAAATATTAGATCATCTTTTCTCTGATATTTTTTGTTATATTGCTAATGTATGGTTGTTTATATAATCAAGATCATAACATTTCACCTTGAATTGCATAATCCAGCCTTCAGTGGGAGTCAGGTCATGGGTCACTGCATACACCTCCCGTCCATCATGACTGCCACAGAGCATCACACCATCAGGGGAGTCACAGAATCTTTCTACTGTACAATCATCATGGAATAGCCAGTGCTCATTCACTTAAAACAAAAAAACAAAATTTTATGACAAATTTGTGACAAAAATACTTGAAGCAAATTTTCACTTTAAGCAAGACATAGAATTATTTTAAGTAGAAACTGCTCATATTATATACACTCTATAGACAAAACACTAATATAAATACATTGTTTCAGGAACATAAATACTAGGAGGATTGAGATATATGCCCTTTGTCTGATATTAGTACACACACAACCATAGATATTAGTCTACACATGAAAAAAAGTATATTGTACACATTGTAAATGAAAATCAAAAGGAAATAACTAATTTTTTGACAGATATTTAACTTTTTAGATAGCATATAAAGAAGTAGAGATGATTTTTAATTTTAAAAATTTTATTTACAGTGTCTCGTTTATTAGGAAAGAATCATGAAGAATCACAATTGCACTGGGCTGGTCATTTTATTTTATTTTTTTTAATACCGGATAGGGAATAGAGTTAACTACTACTCACATTCTGAAAGTATTATCTGGGTAACTAAAAAGCTTGTAATGAATTTTTTATAGCTTTATCAAGATATAACTGATATACAAAAATGACACACATTTAAAACATACATCTTGGCTGGGTATGGTGGCTCATGCCTGTAATCCCAGCACTTTGAAAGGCTGAAGTGGGAGGATCGCTTGAGGCCAGCCTGGGCAACATAGTGAGATCCTGACTGTTAAAAAAAAAATTAGCTGGAGTGGTGGTGCACGCCCATAGTCTCAGCTACTTAGGAGGCTGCTTGAGTCCAGGAGTTCAGGGCTGCAGTGATTTGTGATTGTGCCACTGCACTCCAGCCTGGGCAGCAGAGTGAGACCCTGTCTCTAAAAAATTTGTTTTAAAAAATGAAATATACATTTGATGACTCTGGAAATATGCACAACCCATGATACTATCACCACAAGCAGGGCACCAAATCGATCCATCACTTCCAAAAATTTCCTTGTATTCTTTTGTGTGTGTGGTTTTTAGTTTTTGTTGGGGGGTTGCTGTTTAGAACACCCAACAAGAGACATATCCTCTTAACATATGTTCAGTGCACAATATAATCCTGTCAACCATAGACACTATGTCATACAGCAGATCTCTAGAACTTATTTCTTTTGCATGACAGAAACTTTATAGCTACTGAAAAAGTATTCATTTCCCCTTTCTCCAGATCCTGGCAACCACCCTATTTAATTAGATAAACAAATGATTTTTGAGTTTAAGAAATGAGTTTATAACAAACTTGTTATAAAGGCTAATTTTAAGTCCTATAATGTGAAGCCATGTTTAATTTGGCCAAAAGTAAAATAAAATCTTATTAAATAGATTATTTAAGAAATTAGGATTCTAAGATAATACTGTTATAAATTTACCTTGGTAATGTTCTTAATATTTGATTATTTATGTATGGATATTCAAGTATTCTGGATAGATATTTCTTTTAATAAGTCTTGACTCCTAAACCTGATTAACAGTTAACACTTTGAGGAAATGTACTCATCAAGATACTACTGAAGAAATAGATTTGAAGGTGTCTAAAGAAAACCTAAGTAGTAAGACTATGAATTGATTAATGCAGAGTACATCTTGTGTGTTGATCCTCTCTCTCTTTCTCTCTTAACCCCTTCCTCCACAACCCTCACAGTTCCTTTTCTCTTCTGGAAGAGATGATTTTACATTAATTTTATCCCAGAAAAGTTAGAAATTAAACATATCCATAATATATGTTGCATCTCATTCACAGTATGCTTTGATTTTATAGGTCCAATTCTTTTCTAAAAGTCTTCTGGCTAGTCCCAGCATTTCCAGGGAAGCTGAACAGGTGCAGCCGGAGGCTTGGAGCCACTATGGAAGCAGCACAGTTGATGCCTCAGAGGATCCAGAGAAAAGACCAGATAACTATAATTCAGCCTTCACCCATATTGTGTCTTTTTGATTTTGTCTGAGTATATATGCCGCACAACAAGCAGCTTATCTCTGAGATTCAAATAGTTACTGCAATTCCATTATCTGTTTTTTTACTGTGAGGGATTTGGAGCCACATTTAGTCCTACATCACAGATACAGGACTCAAGAGTCAAAGTGCACAGAAATTTGAATTCCGATAAGAATACTCTGAGCCAGTTTATTCTGGGGTACATACTTCATTTTATGCTAGAACTCTGCAATCCTGATGAAAGAGGGCTTGCATTGCTCAACTAACTAACTCACCCGTCTCTCCTGCAGTATTAGAAACTACTTCTGTATGTACACGTTACAGTTTCTAGGAACTCCATTTTTGCAAGACAGATAGGAGCCAGAAAATTTGTTCCTTCAACTGTATATCGCTAATTAAACATAAAATCAAATCAGCATTTTAGGTACTTGAATAACTAGTCTGTGCTTACTTTTATTCATATGGAAGCAGTGTTTAAATTATTCTCTGATTGTAAACTCACTTATGTAAACCATTATACAGGAAAAAAATGAGTAATGAAGCAAAGTTCTGAAGCAGATCTATGTAAGCAAATTTCAATAACCTTCTTAAGAGAATATGACACTTAGTAGTGGTGAGGGACATTTTAAGCTTTTTCTATTTACAAGTTTTTTTTAAACGAGGGTGTTTCAAAGTAAATATTTGCTGTTACGTTATGCCACATGATATACTAATAAATGAATTAATGAAATTAACCTAAATATCCAGTATTATTATTGAATATATAGCTACTAAAATTTTATATTCAAATATATCCAAGGACATGAGGAAATAAGGATTTAATTCTAAACAAAAAAAGAAGCTATGAAATATATATAATTTAAGACTATAATTTTGTTAAAAATATGTTTATGTAAATGCGCTAAAAAAAGTTCTTTAAGAATATATGCCAAAATATTGACAATGGTTATCCCCTGAGTGATTTTTATTTTCATCCTTAGGATTTTCTGTATTTTCTGTTTCACATTTTGAACATGTATACTTTTACAAGAAAATATGAACTAAAATTAAAAATTTTTAAACTCCTCAAGTTTCAATTTTTTTTTTCCAGGACATGCTATTCTTCTGGAAGATTCTTATCAGTCTTATTATTGTAAAAATGAACCAGACTGTCTTTTCCATGCAAGTTGCTAGGGGCTGAGCTGGGTGTGACAGAGTTCCACTGTCTGAATCAATACTGGCATAACAGTATATCAATCTTTACTATTTAGATACATGCTAGTATGGGATATATAATGAATATCACTGCTTTATCTGAAGATACCATGTTTCATGTAGTATAACAAATATGTGGCATGGCAAAGATACATACTTAATATAAGACACCACTTTTTATAAAGATGACCAGAATAGTGTCATGAAATGAAAACAAGACATTAAAAATGAGAGGAGGATAGGCCGGGCATGGTGGCTCACGCCTGTAATCTCAGCACACTGGGAGGCCGAGGTGGGCAGATCACCTGAGGTTGGGGGTTCAAGACCAGCCTGGCCAACATGGTGAAACCCCATCTCTACTAAAATTACAAAATTAGCTGGGCATGGTGTCACATGCTTGTAATCCCAGCTACTCTGGAGGCTGAGGCAGGAGAATTGCTTGCACCTGGGAGGCGGAGGTTGCAGTGAGCTGGGATTGTGCCATTGTACTCCAGCCTAGGCAACAAGAATGAAACTGACTTAAAAAAAAGAGAGGAGTACAAAGAGGTCCTTCCTGCTTCACCAATATCATTGAATACCCCTATAGGGAATGAAGGGTAACAAGCAAGACCTGGGACATGACCTAAGACATGAAATGCCATTACAAATGTGTCTGCCCTGTAGCAAAACACAATATTTGTCTTCAGATACTAAAACAAATGACTGGGAAATGTCATTTGTTGGGCAGAAGATTTGGGTAGAAATCTTTGGCTTTCTACCCAAAATAGAAAACAGGAAACACTGAAAATTTTCTAAGAAAAGAAAATCCTGTTAATAAAATTATAGATTGCTATATATAAAAACACACTAGCTGGCTTGAATGAAAGAAAAGATTTAGTTAAAATGCCAACTAGGAAGGCTGAGAGGAACAAAAGGATGACACCCTTTTCAGCGTTTCTACACCACTGGAACATCTGAAAAGGTTCCATATTTTGCTCTTTTGAAAAGACCCAAATCCAAACCACTGCATTTCCACTGGGCTTTTTATTTAGCGCTGTGCATAATTTACCTGAAGTTTTGTCTTCCATAAACATGTCAAAGGCGATCCTCCCGACAGGGCCGGCATCTGCAGGGGAGCGCTCATGCTGGGGTACTGGGGCGCTGCTGAAGGTGTCCAGCATAACGGTCCTTTGGTCAGCAGAGCCTGAGATGAGGACATTGTCAATGGCCCAGTCGTTCTGATCCAGGCCGTCATGTCTTGGCTGCCACCAGCGGAAGCGAGTGGCAATCTCTTTAGCATCAGGAGGGAGAAGGATATTCACAAATCTATAGGAAAATGATGGGGAAGGGTGTGGGGAAGAACCCTTGTCAAATATCTTCTCTGAGTAAAAGATTTACAACCAGCCATAAGATAATGTATGTCACATGGTGGGTGAGGGAAGGACATAAGCTAAAATAATTTTCAAAAACCACGATTAACTGGCTTAATTTTATGAAGTCTCAGTAGTCACTAAATTGGGGGAAATAGAATGTGAACAGATTCAAGTATCCCAGAACTCCCAATTGGTTCTGTCTCTGGGCAGGCTTTAGAGGGACTGCACAGTTTTTTGCATACCTGGTGGGTATCTGTAGGCCTAGAGTATATGCACTTTGGTAGACATAAGCCAATGCTGACTTTTTTCTGTCACCTAGTGCTTGGCTTCTTCTGCTTCCTTCCCTGGCACCTTGTTTTCACTCTGTTTCCATGAGTGCTGGCAAGTGACTTGGGGTATGGACACTGGATTGTGGGAGGACATTTGAGTTCTCAGCCTGAGGGTACCAGGTCCATTATCAGTTGTCTGTGGTGCAGACACTGACTTTGTTTATATGCTTTGTTGAAAATATTTAAAATTGTATATATTCATAGAAAATGTCATGTGAGAACCATGGGCTAGCAAGCCCAGCATGCTATCTATCCCTGTCTCACTCACCAGGGACAGACATGGAAAAATGTGGCTCCATGCTCCAACAGAAAACTGAATTAGCTAGAAATAAGGTCTAAAATGCCCTTTAATCACAATTATACATGAAAACCCAGGAACATATCAACCTCTTGAATTTATATTCATAACTCATAAAATCTGTTGGGGAAGATAATGTCCTTAGATTTACCATCCTCCTCACAAAGTATCTTTTTTTTTTTTTTTTGAGACAGAGATCTCACTCTGTTGCCCACGCTGGAGTACAGTGGTACAATCTCGGCTCACTGCAACCTCCGCCTCCTGGGTGCAAGCAATTCTCCTGCCTCAGCCTCCCGAGTAGCTGGGATTACAGGCGCGCATGCCAACATGCCTGGATAATTTTTGTATTTTTAGTAGAGATAGGGTTTCACCATGTTGGCCAGGTTGGTTTCGAACTCCTGACCTCGGGTGATCCACCCACCTCAGCCTCCCAAAGTGCTGGGATTACAGGCATGAGCCACCATGCCCAGCCAGTATCATCTTATTTTTTTAATCTATGCTAATCTACCTCCCTTTAGAGGCATACCTCAAGGGATGCCTTTTCGTGTTTGCAGAACTCCAAGGCAAGACAACCAGTCCAAGTTCATCCCATGAAGCCCTTTAAACTGAGGGCTTCAGTGACAGTTTTAGTTCTTGTCTTTCACATTAAAGAGATTTCATTATATTAATTTTGTTTATACAGTATCTCCATGTTGATTTTATTTTTCCTTCCTTTTTTTTTTCTGTCTTCCTTGAGGTAGAGTGGCCAGAACAGTAGGTAGTATTCCAGATGGAGGCCAACCAAGATTCACTCACAGGTAGGATGCTTTTAGCTGGATTTATACAACTTGAATTTTAAATACTTTTTTCTATTATGCCATCATTCTGTGCGCCCTTTGGGCCATGATAGCTTAATGGATCTTAGTCTTAGGGAAGAACAGTGTAGTCTAGAAAGTATCAATCTTAGACCCTCACCTGTGCGGGTACTGGCAGCTGGGAGACATCACCCTTTATGCAGAGTCTTTTCCGAAGTCTATTTCCTCATTTATGTCAATTTTGAAGCTCATCTGTCTTCCCTGCACCTTTTTTTTTTTTGGTATGCTTATCTTGTGAGATGTTCCTAACATTTACCTCTATTGGTTTGACATGTTTACATACTATCCGAAATCTGTCAGTTTCTGGGGGACACACAATCGCACTTCTTCACACAGAGCAATGATCTTTTATCTCTATTTTTTCTTTCCTAATTCTAAATTAGTTTTTATTTTCTCTGATAAGTCTTTGACCACATTTTAAAAATCTCTGGAATGGAAATTTACCTAAGGCTACTTGAAAGTCTAAATAAATTATAACCACTTTTCCTACCTCAGTCAATTTGATTCCCCTTCAGAGAACTAAAGTAGATTAGACAGTTATGCTTTTACCCTACAGAAACATAACTCTCTTTTCCTTGCACTAACGTTATGCTGCTTAAGTGTTCAGGAACTCACACTTGAGGTCTTTATAAATTCCTCCATCAAGACCAAGGAAACAGTTTACTTGGCTTGTCTGTTATCTCCTACTAACAGTTGAGCACAGGGTACTCTGTACCACTTAGCTTCTAGTTGGATTCCTTTATTGGTGTCCAACTTTAATGCAAGTGGAAGATTTAAAAGTTTTGCTTGTGGCAAAAACTGCTGGTATTTCCTCAGTGGCCATTCTCCCTTTCTTCCTTCCTAATAGGAGCCTTTTCATCCAAGTGACTGGTCGCCCAGAATAAAGACAGCATGTCCAGCCTTCCTTGCATCTGGGTGTGGCTATGTGGCTAAACTCAATAGCTAATGGAATATGAAAGGAAGTACGTGCAGCTGTTAGGAAATGTCCTTGAAGAGAGAGCACACCCTTCTCGCCCCAATCTCCTTCCTATGGACTGTAAAGTTGGGGAGCTAGTGGCCCTTTTGGACCATGAGATGAAAGTCACATGCTGAGTGGGGCAGAACAATAAGACAGGAGGAACCTGGGTCACTGGTGCTTGCGGAGCCACTACAGTAGTCCTGGAGTACTTTTTTTGGGGATGTAATTTACATAGGAGAGAGAGAAAAATTAAGTAATTTTGTCTTTCCTGCCATTGACAGCTGAACCTATTCTTAACTGATATATTGAATTTAAATGATCATTTATAAGATTCTTTTTATTTTACTCAAATTTTAGCCTGTATCTGGCTTGCATGCATTAAAGGATTATCTACGTTTCCTTTTTTTTTTTTTTTTTTTTTTAAAGATGCGGTCTTACTCTGTCACCCAGGCTAGAGCATAGTGCCACAATCATAGCTTACTGCAGCCTCAAACTCCTGAGCTCAAGCAATCCTCTTGCCTCAGCCTCCTGAGTAGCTGGGACTACAGGCACATGCCACCACACCCAGGTAATTTAAGTTTTTTTTTTTTTTGGTAAAATGTCTTGCTTTGCTGCCCAGGCTGGTCTTGAACTCCTGGCTTCAAGTGATCCTCCTGCCTTGGCTTCCCAAAGTGCTGGGATTACAGGTGTGAGCCACCATGCCCAGCATGTGTTTCCTGTCTGGGCTATATTTATTTCCTCTTCTCTTCAGCCTCCCCCTGGACCCTGCCTTTCTCTCTCTCTCATTCTTTCTGTCTTCTCTTTTCTTACCCTCTTCCTCCTCCTACTTTACTGAATATGCTATTTTCCTTCTTAACAACTCTTTGACATTTCTAATTGGTCATAATCATTGCTTTCGGCCCTTCAGTACTTTTTTTAAAATGACCCATACGTTGTGTTTATTCAAGGTTTTTAAATAAGGAGTTTAAAAATAATCTCTAGGCTTCTTAAGGATATTTACATTTTATTGTGTTTCTTTGCTTTCCAGTCCAAAATTCTCTAAAAACAGAGTGTACACTATATAAATAAATATTTATTTTTCTGTTTCCATTTTCCCAAAGCATTGCTGAAATTAATTATACTAGTTAATTTCTGTGGGTTTTTGCACTGGGTTTATTCACCGTTGGCATTGTGGTAGAATATTTCATCTTATTCTGGGATGTGAAAACTAGTTGTTCTTAAAATAAAAACCCAAACCAGCTATTTATCCAGCTCAGAAACCCTTCTTCATTTCAGTCTCAGAGGCATCCTCTAGTGAGGCATAAGTCTGAGGTCCCCCTCAGTCTCCCGTGACTGATTGCTGGTAGCAATCTCTGCTCGATGTACTCGTTATTAGATATCAAATCGAATACAAACCCGGGCTTACTGTACTGGTCATAGAAAATCTCCATGAGCAGGTTCCAGGTAATGCCTCCATTGACAGAATATTCCAAGAGAACACCTTGGTTACGGTTGTTTGGTGTAATCAGGCACCCATACATGAAGTAAAATTGGATGAACTCAGCATTAGTGAGGTTTAGATCCACAGTGACTAATAATCGACTACAACCCTAAGAAAAAGAAGTAAAATAAAAAAAAGTGATAAGGAATCTCGATTGCAGATTATAGATTTTCTATGGATTTTTTTTTTTTTTGAGACAGGGTCTTGCTCTGTCACCTAGGCTGGAGTGCAGTGGCACCATCACAGCTCACTGCAGCCTTGACCTCCTGGGTTCAAGTGATCCTCCCACCTCAGCCTCCCAAGTGGCTGGGACTACGGGTACATGCCTCCATGTCTAGCTAATTTTTTGTAGAGACAGGGTTTTGTTATGTTGTCCAGGCTGGTCTTAACTCCTGGGCTCAAATGATCTGCCTGCCTCGGCCTCCCAAAGTGCTGGTATTTCCATTCTTTTAATATTTATTTTGTGATACCAGCCACATAGTATTGTGGCACTGATTTTCTTACCCTCTTTCTTACTATGCTAGCTCTTAGTATTTTGCCTAGTACACAGTAGGTACCCAGCACATGTTTGCTGAACTTTGAAATTTCAGCATTCAAGACTTATTTACAGAGAACAATGTATTCCAAGATAATTTTCTGTTTTCTTTTTCCTTTTTTTTAATATGAATGTTTATTTGGGCCAAGGTTGAGTATCGCAGCCCAGGACACATTTCCAAGTTGCCTTGGCTGTTTTTTTTTCATAAGCAAGATGAGAGCTGGAACTAATATAACTGTCCTTTATTTTTATTAAACTATCTCCAGTTATTTTCAGACACTATTAGATTTTTAAAAATGAATCAACCACTAAGAAAATAGCATATTGAGATGACCATTTTATTATGATTATTATTATTTAATTTTTTGAGACAGTCTGGCTGGAGTGCAGTGGTGCAGTCTCGGCTCACTGCAACCTCCATCTCCTGGGTTCAAGTGATTCTCTTGCCTCCGCCTCCCGAGTAGCTGGGACCACAGTTGTGTGCTACCACACCCGGCTAATTTTTGTATTTTTAATGGCGATGGGGTTTCACCATGTTGGCCAGGCTGGTCTTGAACTCCTGACCTCAGGTGATCTGCCCACCTCGGCCTCCCAAAGTGCTGGGATTACAGGCGTGAGCCACCGCGCCTGTAAATAGATGACTATTTTAATATGAAATTTAAAAATAGCTACATCTGGAAATTTTATAATTATACAGATAATCTAATTACTGTAATGTTTTAAATTCACACTTTAGCAGAATTTAATGGCATCTGTATTAATTTCTTAATGTTGATATACGGATTTTTTTTAGTTGAACATATGTGAAAAACTCACTTTTAGTTCTAAGTGAGGAAAAGTATCCTGAACACTGCAGTCTTTCTCAGTGTTGCTGATTATAAAAAGCCTACATGCTATATGCCTTCTTGCTACTCGAGCTAAAATGTTGAATATAAATAATACACTTCATTGGCACAAATGTAAACTCTAAGGTAGGGCATGCTAAGGAAATAAAGAGCTGGCAGTAAATTTGTTATTTTTTTTTTTTTTTTTTTTTTTTTTTTTTGAGACGGAGTCTCGCTCTGTCGCCCAGGCGGGACTGCGGACTGCAGTGGCGCAATCTCGGCTCACTGCAAGCTCCGCTTCCCGGGTTCACGCCATTCTCCTGCCTCAGCCTCCCGAGTAGCTGGGACTACAGGCGCCCGCCACCGCGCCCGGCTAATTTTTTTTTGTATTTTTAGTAGAGACGGGGTTTCACCTTGTTAGCCAGGATGGTCTCGATCTCCTGACCTCATGATCCACCCGCCTCGGCCTCCCAAAGTGCTGGGATTACAGGCGTGAGCCACCGCGCCCGGCCAAATTTGTTATTTTAAAACATTAATTTGTCTATCTAATCATGGTATACAAGAAATTGTATTTTAAACAGAGTCGCCTTTGGCAGAAAAGTAGAGTGACTATAAAATTTCCCAAAGAAAGTTTCCAAGCTTGCTGCTGTCACTCACAAGATAATATGCTACACATACAAATATCTAGTAATTTCTAATAATTATTCTTTCCTGGACAACCTATAAAAATAATTCATTGTTCTTAATAAATTCAGGAACCATCACAGCTCATTTTCCAGATTTTTGGCTCCTTAAATCCAAAATCTGTTGCAAGCTCAGGAGTTGTCAATTAGAAGGGCTCCATGCAGATGGAAGATTGCACAAGTGCTCTTTTCCAAGATGAACATTCACTTACATTCTTTTGTAATATGTACTTAAATATGACCTGTGCTGACACTACCCTGAATAATTAAATAGTCTCAACTGATTTGTGGTAGAAAAATCCTGGGAATGATTAATATTTTCTGATTCCTTAGTATAAAGCATAGCATAAAGTTATACTATATTTATTTTCTAATTACTTGGTATAAAGTATAGTATAAAGTTATCTTTATAGCATAAAGATTTGTATAAAGTTGCAAGTTCAGATCAGGGTTGTACATTTAGGGTAACTAACCCTGCATCTTGATTTGCCCATTAAACTTCAGAAGAGAGTCAACTATTTGGAAGGAACTTAAGAAGAGCAGAAATGAGTAACCAGCAGCCAAACACTCACCCCACTGAAATGGAGAGCCATTCCCGACGCCACGGCTCCACACACTGTACTCAATTTCCCTCCGTTCACAGTCAGCCAGTTCTGACTGGATGGAGCTCGATTGAAGTTGTCTTTGAGTTGGGTTGGAAGAGAGGTCTCGGGGTCATCACAGTACAGGCCACCCCACTGTTCATCACAGCTGGGTGCAGAGCAAGAGAGAGGAAAAGTCAACATCAGACAAAGCCCCTGCAAGCTTGTTCTCAAATTAGTGAAGACTACTCTTTTCCTAGTCCAAGATGATGAAAAGTTACTGATTTTCAGAGAGCTTGCCAGAATACACCTGCTCTCCTTAACTGTACTTTAGGTTACAAATAATCTATGAATTAACTAACTCTAACATTTCCTAAGGTAGTGATTCAGGGTTATAGGTGGAGAGAAAGAAGCAACTTCAAAGAATCTACTAAAGGCCCATCTCATATCACACAGCTCTGAAGGGCTGATAAACAATGGGAGCTGCCAAAGTAAACTGGTGGGTCCTAATAATTTACAAAATTAGTCTTTTTAACAGAGGCTTTGAGCCACTTAGGAATCCAAGGGGCCATGGTGCTAACAGCAGAAGATACTTTGGGCAATAACTGTCACTTCTTACCAAAAGACTGACTTCCCTGTTTAGGGTGGAAGGGCATATGAATATAGGACTGGGAAGCTCAGGGATCTCAAGGGTCGTCCTGGGTATGGGCTAAAATCATTAGCCAAAAAAAGACTTCCCAGGTGTATGGGGAAAGCATCTTCATTCATACTTCCCCATTAAACAGCATAATCTCACACAGACACACAGACACACACACACACCCCCACACCTTCATTTAAATTATTCCAAGTATACTGAGGTTCTCTAAGAGTAATACAATAGGCCTGTGCATCAAATACCTCTGGTAAATTGACCAGACATCTACATACTTTCTTAGGCAAACAACATAGCAATATAAATTAAACAATGACAAGTGCATATCCTTACATATATTCAGACCTAAGTGAGAAAAATACTCATGATGTATTAGTTTTGGTCAGAACTTACTGAACTCCTGAACCTTTTCTAATGTTATTTTCAAGGCTCGAGTGTATCACAGAAACACAGAAGGAAATAAAATATAGTTAATTATAATTCATCTGTCTCCTGACAAGATAGCTATTGTTCAGTTCCTAATCTCTAAGCAAGAATGAAGATACAGTATCCATCAACTTCACAGTTAGCTCAAGATCATATTTCAGAAAAAAATGTATAACTTAAGGAAGCATGGGAGTGATTCAAAAACCAGTTACAGAAAAATCTCCTAGATGGAATGTGAATCAGGAGCTTTCAACAGAAGGAAGAAAAAAACCGACTTACACGCAGTTTCCCTGGATGCATCTCCCATGGCCACTGCACATGTCTATGCAGCCATCCCCGATATAGACATTATCTATTGCCCATGTCTGCTGCTTGTCAAAAGGAGCTGGTTGATGCCAACGGAAACGAGTGGCTTGGGACCTTTGAAGAAGATGAGAATTTTAATGAAGGATGCTGTGGAAAAGAAAATGTGTTCCAGTATGTTTGAACAAGTGCATGGAGAAGTGTAACACAAAAGCATGTACATTCCTACTTCTTTTCTGAAAAGAACATTCATTATTACAATATTCTTCTTTTCTTTTTTTGAGATGGAGTCTTGCTCTGTCACCCGGGCTGGAACGCAGTGGCACCATCTCAGCTCACTGCAGCCTCCACTTCCTGGGTTCAAGCAATTCTGATGTCTCAGCCTCCCGAGTAGCTGGGATTATAGGCATGCACTACAACACCCAGTTAATTTTTGTATTTTAGGGGAGACAGAGTTTCACCATGTTGGCCAGGCTGGTCTTGAACTCCTGACCTAAAGTGATCCTCCCACCTCAGCCTCCCAAAGTGCGGGGATTACAGGCATGAGCCACTGTGCCTGGCTGGCCATTATTACAATATTCTACAGAAAACATTGTTTATAGTCAAACCAAACCAACCAAACTGTGATAGTTTGATCATACAATTTGGCCAAGTGATCTTCCTGAGCCTTGTAAAAAACAGACAGTCAGAAACAAAAACGAATCCTAAAACTGGAAGCCTCAGGGGAGCTGTGAGCCTTGGATTTCGTGTGGGAAGTACCATGGAATGACACCAGAGCTGCTGCTAACTTGTAAGTGCAAAATCAGAAAAGATGACTATCTCCGAGCAGCCGCAAGCCCTCTGCATTTGGCTTGGGAACAGAACATGGGCTGGATTTCAGCTTCCCACTTGCTCCCTAATTGGACAGAGAAAATTGTACAGAGAAAAAAAAGAGAGAGCATAATAAATGAGACCAGACTTATTTTACATTGATATAAAAGCGATATAAGTAAAGCTAAAACAGAGGTTCTCCCATTCCAGAAGCAGAAATATATTTGCTCATTCACGGAGTTCTGGAGAGTGTCTTGCTCAAAAATACAACACACGTGTTTTCAGAGGCACTAGATGGCAGTAAAATCCAAGCAATGCCTGAGGCTCAAGTGCATTGAACATGAAAAGACTTTTAGAGGAAACCATTTGTGTTTATTGATCCATATATGTTCTGTCATTAAGAGACCGTTAATCATTTGACTCAGGAATATCTGTTTAAGGCAGGACAAAAGACCAAACAACAGGAAGGAGTTTGCATTTTCCAAATGAAAATATTTCTATAAAGTTTAGAAAATGGAGAAGAAACAGACTAGAACTAAAATCTTCACCTGAAATGAAGAGGTCAGTCCAATACATGTCTGTTGAGCGTCTATGTACAAACTGGTTTCTCCATAATTTTGCTTGCTCCCCAGCTTTGGCATGTTCCCCCAGCAGAGTGATCTCTGCCTAATAAACTCCTGTCACTTTCTACTGCATTTTACCGAAACCCCTAGTCCCCTCCTTGGCCCACAAGGTCCTGCCTGATATCCGCCTGAACCTGGGCCTCTGCTTCCCTCCCTCATCATGGTCACTCGCCTCTGGAGCACTGTTTCTCCCCTCAGGCGCCAAAGCACACCAAACTCATTCCCACCTTTCTGCCTACATATTCTCTTTCTCTGTCTCTGTCTCTCTCTCTTCCTCTCCCTCCCTTCCTCTCTCTCTTTCTGCCTGGTTAACCTCTGTGTGTCCTTCAGGTCTCAGAGGAAATGTCAGGTCCTCACAGAGAAATTTTCTTCCTGATCCCTTTTAAAATGATGTTTCTTCCATGCTATTCTCTCTCATAGCAAACTATTGTTTTCCTCTTATAGTATTTGTCACAGTTATAGTTATACATTTATTTGCATACATATTTGATACATGTCTGTCTCTTCCTTGAATGGTAAGTTATAAGGAGAGCAGGGTTGATTCCTTTTTGTTCAACATCGTAGACTTCATGGACAGCACCTAGAGCTTAGTGGGTGTTCTAAACGTCCAGGAAGTTCGTATCCAGGGGCTTCCATTCTCACAGTAAGCAATGTGGAAATGCACTCACCCCTGTAAGCTGTGTAACTCAGCGGTTTTGCTGATAAATTATTTTTAATGACTAAATTTATCTAAATTTATTTACAGTTATGTCTGTTTATCTGCAGCAACAACTTATAATTAACATAGCGGAATACCATATTTCCATAGCACATAATTACTCGGAGCCAACATTTATATATTCATTCTGTTTTTTTTTTTTTTAGACTATAAGCTTCTGAAGGGCAGAGAATATCTCTGTATCCCTTAGGGAATATTGGTTTGTATCCTCAGTGCTTATAGATAGTAGGTAAGTAATAAACTTTCTTGGTTCCCCTAATATCTTACACATACTTCACCAAAGCCCTCGTCACCTTGTATTAAAAGTGCCTATTCATATGTAATTTCCTGTTATTTTCCTTATTTATCATTTTATTGTTGCTGGCACCTACAGATGGAGCTTCATAAACATTTGCTGAAACACTATTAAGTTGGTAGCAATAAAGATGCCCAGGAAGATCAAAACACCCTACAAGAGATGTCCTGTAGGGTAGATGGGCAGGGCCTGGTGTCAGCTGTGGAGGGGTGGTAATCTGATGGCTGTTGAAGGGGGCAGACAGCTTCCTGGCAGCCGAGAGGTGGCATGGGTTGCCTAGCAGGTGGTTGCTTTCTGAGCATTGGCTGTGTTTAATCACAATGTGGGCAACCACTTAGAGAAACTGTATGGAAGATTTAAGAGCCAGATGCATTGTTGGAGTTGACAGCATTTATGGGGACTTCCAATGCTGACATTTTCAATTTGTGCAACTCTCTGGCATTTCAAAGAAGAGGAAACAGTAAGAAACTACATGAAAAATGTACTAACATGGGAGTTGGCCCCTCAGGAGCAAAGATAAGTGAGGGCTTTCATTTGTACTCTGGCACTAGTAGGTTCTATGTCCACGGTGAGTAACTAAACATGTATAATAAGGGAGTTAAATGAGATGATTTTTAAGGCCCCTTCTTAGATGTGATGATTTCATATTCTTAGGAATAACTACACCTAGTAATTATGTACCCATCAAACAAGGATACACATACTATCCAATATTAATTTGTAAGAAGAGGAAACATTTTCACTAAGAACTGGAATATAAGTTAAAAATGAGAGTTTGGAAGTTGAATTGCCAGGACTTCTTATTCCCAGCCCTGTCAGAGCTCCACTGTGTGAAGGGGCTACATCACTTATGTTTATGTGCTGATGCTTCCCTGTCAGTAAACCAGGAAGATGCTACTTTCCGCCTCACAAGGGTGTTGTGAAAATTAATTAGTTCTTGTTTACCAAGAACTACGAGTGTCTTGGTGGAGTTCCTCGGCAGGTGTTATCATTTATCTTTATAATGATGGCCACCATCAGCTGCTACTTCCCGGAGTTGGGGGAAAAATGGTCCCAGAGAAGATTTCTCATTTTTCCATATCCTTGAACTCTCTCCTCTTGGTTCTTTTGTGGAGTTATACCATTTCTTTCCCATCTACAGTATGTAGTAAGTGTTACATCAGTTTTGTTTAATAGATATCCATTGCTAAGTAGTTAAAATATTACTGTTAATAGTACGGTTCCCCTCACTGGTCTCCCAGGTATCTCTCCCTACACTACCTCCGCACCTTTTAACAGATTTCACTACACATTACAGAGTCTTCATTTTTGCTCTTTTCTTCAGAATGACTCTATCTACCTATGAAGTCCTCACTGTCGTCATCATCGTGAGAAAAAGCCCTTTGAAAGGAACATAATATTTTAAACCTCTTCATCCTTCCCTGAAATATCTTTTACTTCGAAAGAGATACATAAAATATTTAAGCCTAGAAAATCTAGCCTAACAATGCCATTCTACCGAAGACGACGATGACGCCCAGTGACCTAAGTCTCACACTGATTCACTAACAAAACTGAGACAAGGCAAGGATCTCTTGGTTCATGATTACTTTGTATTCTCATTAAGCAAACCTTTCAAAACTCCACTGCAACCTCCACAAAATCTTCCTACCCTTATCATTACCTGTAAATATGAACAGTTGTTAAGCTATGGGAGGCTGTATGTGTTGCAGCTATATGTGTCTTGACTTCTGTGTCAGCTTCAGAGCTGAAGCCCCTGGCCCTCTGTGTTTGAGCAACAGACTCTGTGATGTCAGCCCATTTCAAAATGTGTGTCTATTTGCCTTGCAAGCCAAGACCCTTCCTTTATGTTTTGCATAAAATTTCCTCCACTAGCCTATTTCTTTGTATTAACCTATCTTCTTTGACAAAGTTGGAGAATATTCCAAAGAAGATATATAAATGGCCAATAAGCACAGGATAAGAAGCCCAACATCATCAGCCTTTAGGGAAATGTCAATGAGAACCACAATGAGATACAACCTCACACCCATGAAGATGGCAACAGTCAAAAAGACAATAACAAGTGCTGGTAAGGATATGGGGAAATTAGAATCCTCTACATTGCTGGTGGGAATGTAAAAGAGTACAGCTGTTGTGGGTAAAAGGTTGTCAGTTTCTCAAAATGTTGAACATAATTACCAGGAATTCCAGTCCTAGGTATATAGCCAAGAAAAGTGAAAACATACATCCACATAAAACTTGCACAGGAATGTCCACCACAGCATAAAAGGTGGAAGGAACCCAAGAACCTATCAAACGATGAACAGATAAATAAAATGTGGTATATCCATAAAATGGAATATTAATCAGCTGTAAGGCGGAATGAGGAGCTGATACATTCCACAATATATCACACTACACTTTGATGCTAAGTGAAGGAAGCCAATTGTAAAACAAACACACATTGTATAATTCCATTTCTATGAACTGTCCAGAACAGGCAAATACAGAACATAGCTTAGTGGTTACCTAGGGCTGGGGTGAGGGGTGGGGAGTGACTGCTAATAAGTATAGGATTTCTTTTAGTGGGGACAAAATATTCTAAAATTACACTGTGGTGATGGTTTCAACAACCCTGTGGGTTTTTTTTTTTATTTAGTAATGACTAAAAAACATTGAATTGTACACTTTATTTTTTTGAGACAGGGTCTCATCTTGCTCTGTCATGCAGGCTGCAGTGCAATGGCATGATCTCAGCTCACTGCAATCTCTGCCTCCCAGGTTCAAGCGATCCTTATGCCTCAGCCTCCCAAGTAACTGGGATTACAGGCATGCACCACCGCGCCCGGCTAATTTTTGTATTTTTAGTAGAGACGGGGTTTCACCATGTTGGCCAGGCTGGTCTTGAACTCATGACTTGAGGTGATTCGCCTGCCTCGACCTCCCAAAGTGTTGAGATTACAGACATGAGCCACTGCACCCAGCCAATAAGCTTTTTTAAAGTAAAGAATATAGCCAGGCATGGTGGCTCACGCCTGTAATCCCAGCACTTTGGGAGGCCGAGGCGGGTGGATCACGAGGTCCAGAGATCAAGACCATCCTGGCCAACATGGTGAAACCCCGTCTCTACTAAAAATACAAAAATTAGCTGGGCATCATAGTGTGCGCCTGTAGTCCCAACTACTGGGGAGGCTGAGGCAGGAGAATCGCTTGAACCTGGGAGGCGGAGGTTGCAGTGAGCCGAGATCACACCACTGCACTCTAGCCTGACAACAGAGTGAGACTCCATCTCAAAAAAAAAAAAAGTCCTCTCTAAATTTGTTTACCTGAAAGTGTTATAGCCTCCCATCCCCATCTCTTTCCCCCATTCCTTTCACAATGTTGCCATTATTTGTGCACAGCACCTTTCCTTAGAACTTCCTGCAGACATTAAGTAGCTTCCACGGTGTGGCTAAAACCACCTGGGTTTCCAAAGTGTAGATAATCTTTAAAGAAGGTGGTATCAGTTAGGTCATTAGGGCTAGTAGAAGGGAATAGATAATCTTCAAACTGTGACTTAAAATAGCCAAGTCACACTTGAGCCTTTCAGTGGCCACTCCCCTCCTCCCTTTCTCGGTGGATTTGGGTTACCTGCCCTTCCACTGACTCACCCTGGGTCTAAGGTGATATTCAAGAACCCATGCTATTTGAGCCACCTCTTACTTTTAGGTCTGGGGTTAGTAAGGTGGAGGAGGCAGATTCAGAGTAGGGGCTATGAAACTGATGTTGGCATCTTCCTCTCTTCCTTTTCAGTCTCTCTCAATAACTCCTGACATTCCTGCCTTCCTATTTCTCCTCAGACCATCTCTCTTAGGCAAGCAATAAAGAGGCAGTACTAATACAGTGGTTAAGCTCATGGGCTCTGGTGCCAGACAAACTGTATTTATTTCCAGTATCTTACTGAAACCGTTCGTTCGAAGGTCACTCATTCTCTCAAATTGAAAAATCCAGTAAAGTTTTTTGTGAAACTTTTAAATTTATTACTCTCTATAGTTTATGTCATTGAAGGCCATCTCTTCCTGCTTGTTAATCTCCTCTCATCTGGCTTCTGGATACCATGTTATTCTGAATCTTCTCTCTGCCTGAATCCTCTCAGTCCCCTTGCTGGCCATTTCTGCTCCTTCTGCTATTAAATTTAGGAGTCCTCTCTCTCCCTCTCTTTTTAAACACTCTCTTATGGAGGCAGGTGCAGTTTTACAGCATTGCCTATTACTCTATGTTCATGCCTCTGAAGTTCATTATCTTCTCTTGGTCTCAGATCTTCATGTCTCTGTCAAATGGACATTTCCATTTGTACCTCCAGCCATCACATGTAATCCAGCATCATTTGACTAAATTTGCCATATTGTCCCTCCTGGAATCAACTTTAGCTTGCTCCCCGCATCTTCTCACTATTTTACTAGGCTTCAAACTCTGGAGTCATCTCTTGATGTATGTAACGGAGAAGGAGAAATTAGTGACTGGGTTTTAATCAATTCTTTCTTTGAAATGCTCTGTCATATCTGCCTCATTCCCTCAGCTGTAGCCCAGACTTGTTATTTCACTTAGAAGTTATTGTCACAACACCTTTGCACCCTCCTCTTATGTGAATCTGTCTGTTGTCCTGATTTTTCTCTTGGAAGAATATTCTCAGCTCAAAACCCACCACAGTTCATTTTGCCTACAAATCTAAACTCCTTTGCCTTGCTTCAATGCTTGCTATAAGTTAACCCAACTCTGTGAATCAGCATCTTGTCATAGCTTCCAGATATGAGCCCTCTGCTTGAATCGGCAACTCATGTGCTTCCCCTAGGCCCATACCTATGTGTCCTTGCACTGTCCACATTGTTCCCCTGATTTAGTGTTCTTTCATTTACCCACCTAATTCCTAGCCATCCTTCAAGGCCAGGGCCCATCTCTTCCATGAAACACTAGAATTCTGGCTTTCACTATCATCTCCCATTTCTTGATACTGCAGCATTTCTAGCCCATTCCTCAATGAAGCACTAAATTATATAGAGCAGGTATTATTTTTCAGTGGTTTCTTGGGTATATGTCTAATTTTCCTTAAATAGATTGTAACCTCCTCCAGTGCAAGAATTTAAGACAGTGCCCTAGCCATTATCATGGGCTCACTCTCATTCAAGATTAAGCTGTGACTTAGGAAAACTTCTTAGTCTGAGGTTGAAGTCTGATAATAAACCTGTGTTATGGTTAACAAGTGTGATTATGTGGTTAACTCATAAAAGTAGAAATAATTTTCATTTTTAGTAAATCTTGACAATGTTCTCAACACTTCCATGCACATTTATGAGATTTTCATATGGTGAAAAGGATCTCCATTTTTCAGATGAAGAGACTGAAGTTTAGAAACACAAAATAACTTGCTTAAAAGCTCATAGGGGTGAAAAGGCAGAGCCCTCCACTCTACTACAATGCTTTTTGTTCATTTATTTATAAATCATCTTCTTTCAGGAAGATCTAACTTAACTAATGTGTATGGCAAGGAATAGAAACTATGAATCTATCTACTCCAATTATTTATGTTTTAACATAGCAATGTCTGGAGCAGAGCGTGATGTAGTCTGGAGCAGAGTGTGATGTATCTCGTGTTTAGTTTCAGTGTTCCCTTCCTAGTTAGGAGCACCAGCATCCGTTCAGTTTTGCAACTCAAAGACCAGGGAGTCATCTTCAGCCCTGCTCTTCTCAAGCTCCCACGTCAATTTCATGACCCAGCTTGGTCAGTTTCATTGCCTCCCATGTCTCTTGACTTTCTCCACTTCTCCTCATGTCTACTGCCTGTACCATCGGCATTTCTTATTCTTCAAGAGCCTCTTTACATCTACTCTTATCCTCTCCTATTTGTTTTCTGGTTAGAATGGGCTTTTCTGTGGCTATTACAAAAGTAAAAAAAACAAAACAAAACAAAAACCCAACAGATGCTGGCGAAGTTGTGGAGAAAAAGGAATGCGTTTACCCTGTTGGTGGGAGTGTAAATTAGTTCAACCATTGTGGAAGACAGTGTGGCATTTCCTCAAAGACCTAGAGGCAGAAACGGCATTCGACCCAGCAATCCCATTACTGGGTATATACCCAAAGGAACATAAATCTTTCTATTATTGATACACACATATGTTCACTGCAGCAGTATTCACAATAACAAAGACATGGAATCAACCTAATAGCCCATCAATGATAGACTGGATAAAGAAAATGTGGTACATATACACCATGGAATACTATGCAGCCATAAAAAGGAATGAGAATCATGTCCTTTGCAGGGATGTGGATGGAGCTGGAAGCCATTATCCTCAGCAAACTAATGCAGGAACAGAAAACCAAATACCATATGTTCTCACTTATAAGTGGGAGCTGAACAATGAGAACACATGGACACACAAGGGGGGAACAACACACACTGGGGCTTGTTGGAAAGTGGGGAGTGGGAGGAGGGAAAGCATCAGGAAGAATAGCTAATGGATGCTGGGCTTAGTACCTAAGTGACTGGATGACCTGTGCAGCAAACCACCACGGCACATGTTTACCTATGTAACAAACCTACACATCCTGCACATGGAACCCTGAACTTAAAAGCTGGAAATGAAAAAAAAAAGAAGAAGCTTTTCTGAATGCAAATCTGTTCATGTCTCCCTATTGCCAAACACTTTAACAGGCTTTTAAGTGTTCCTATAATGAACCTCCAAATCTTTAATACAACCTACAATGCTCTTCATGGTCTGACACCATCTCATACCTCACCTTGCTCCTCTCTCTATCTGATCCATATATTCAGCATCTCAAATACACCTGTCCCCTCCTACAATTGGCTGCTATCCTTGCTTGGAACACTCCTACCCTTACACTTTACCTGGTTAACTTGTATTCAACCTTCATATCTTACCTCAATTATCCTTTTTTCAAGAAAGCATTCCTTGGCCTTCTTGACCAGGTCACATCACCCTACGATACAGAAACTTAGAGCATCATGTACCTGTTCTCCATCACTTATCACAGTTGAATTTTATATTTACTCCTGTGATTATTGGTGATTTCTGGCCAATACTCCTCTCCTACCAAATTAAAAGCTCCTTGAGTCAGGGATCAGTTCAGCTCCCTCATAGGCCTAGCACATAATTAAGCAGTTAAAAATATTTGTTTAATGAGTGACTGAATGAATAATTGCTACTGATGACTAGTGACCATTTTAGTTTGGTGAATGGTTTGACGTCAATTTGTGACCAGCCAACCTCAGCTGACACTCACTAGTACTGTGCCAACAATACTGGGATCCTAGCCTTATGGTCATGTGTTGAGTAGACAAGGCTGCAGTTGTGACATGGTCACAGTCATTCCTAACCCTTACTGAGCACATGTCTTTAAGTTGTCAGCATCACGTTTCTTTATAGCGAAGAGCTACAAACTGAAATCCTCAATTCTGGCCTGCTTAATAAACATTGACATTTCAATACGTTTCCAGATAACAGAGACAGCGATTTTAATTTAAAACAAGGAAACACCATATTTACCAAGTAACTGAATATAAATGTAGATGTAGTGTAGATATGTTTACTCATGTTCGAAACAAGTAACTCTGAGACTGGCATATTGTTCTAATGATCTTTGGCATATGGCAGAGAAGTGACTCTGGCTTGGGCTCCCTCCATGCACATTTCTTTCTGAATTACCCAAAGGGCCTTGTTACAAGGCAGTGTCACCTTTAAGACAATTGTACATGAGCCTTGAGGGTAATATAATAAACAAACTGCTTATTTTCAGTACAGAACAGGGGGAAATGGATGCTCATCAGATTTTTCAAATAACATTTGAAAGGGTCAAAATTCTTGTGGGTATGTACAAGAGACAATTAAAAGATAGATTAAAAGATGAGAAATAATTACTTTTCTTGAGTAAAAGACTCAAGGGCATAATGACTAGCTGGAGTAAATCTTAGAATGTCGCTTATTTGCAAAATGTGACTGAGTAGCTGGGTAATAATTCATAGAATTCATAAAGACTTAAAAGACTGTTGCCTTAATGGAGTTTTTTTTTCTATTTTACTTATTAAGATCGCTTTAATAATTCATGCATGGCAACACCTTTAATGAGCAACAAAATCTCACGTATCTCATTTAAACTTGGCAACTCTGCTGACAGTTAATATAGTCTCGTACCTCTGAGCCAGCAATTGTAAAGCAGCCCTAGGCTGTTACTAACTGAAACCATCCCATTTATGATAATCCTAAGAAAAGTTATGCCCTAGATGAATGGTTGAATTTTATGGTCATTTGCTAGGAAAATTTATTCATTCTTCATTTGTGGGAAGATGACAAAACAATAATAAGCCCAAACTATAACTCCTGTTCCACACACTGGATTGGTTGCTTTGCTTCTTTCTTAATGCAGCAACTGAAAACCATTTTCTTGGAGGAAATAGGAGTTTCTATCAAGATGTTAAAGCTTTCCTATAATTAGCACCTAGTTTAGATGGTGAAAGAGAGAGTGTCATGTAACACTATTCCACTAGGCAAAGCTAATTCTCTGCTTTACTCAAACAGGAGTGGAAATGCACAGATAATTTAGATTTAACTTCTTTATCAGAATTTACTAGGCAATTTTATTTACTTTAATTTTTAATTTTTTTTTTTGAGACAGGGTCTGGCTCTGACACCCAAGCTGGAGTGCAGTGGCATGATCATAGCTCACTGCATTCTCAAACTCCTGGGCTCTAGTGATCCTCCTGCCACAGCCTCCTGAGTGGCTGGGACTGCAGGTAGGTACCACCATGCCTGGCTAATTTTTTAATTTTTTTTGTAGAGATGGGGTCTCGCTGTTGTTTCCCAGGCTAGTCTTGAACTCCTAGTCTCAAGTGATCCTTCCGTACCAGGCAATTTTATTAAGCCCTGATCCCTTTCCATAGAGACAAGAATGAAAGGTTTTTCACATAAAATAATGCTTCAGGTGATAATTCTCAAGATAATGTCCATAATAAAATTTTAAAAGCAGACATAATTTAAAGGTACATTTATTTGCTACATTCATTTATAGGACATCACTCACTCCTATATTTACAGCAGTCTCACTAGCAGAAAACAGACTCTGTTTCAGTCTATTCTGTATCCAATGGGCCTATTTTAAACGACTTGTCTGGGCATCTCTGAATTAAGTTGGAGAAGCCAAGTGATGCAGCCACTGTTTTCTTTTGTAGTTCATTCTTTAAAAATATTAGAGTTAAAAGTCAGTAAAGGCCTGGCTTTTGGGAAAACATGGAATAATGCCATGATAAAAACTGGTTTCTATTTTACTCATTAAGACAGCCTTAATAATTCATACATGGCAATACCATTAGCAATTAACAAAACCCTCACATATCTCATTAAACTTGACATGCCAAATGTTATCACATTTGGGCTCACTATACGTAGAAGCATGTGGTGAACATGTAGAAGCATTCTTACCTGGTATAAGGAGGGAGAGGCAGAGTGATTCTAGTCCACTTGTTGAAAGTGTCTGACACCAGGATCCGTTGCAGATGATAGCGACTGCATTCCACATTGGTAGGCAGACAGTCCCTTACCAATGGGTGCCATGACAATCCAAGATCTACTGAGTATTCCAATTCAATCGCTGAAACAGGAAACATTATTTTGGATATAAACACATATCTGCAGACCCAGGAACCATAATTGTTTATCACATTTGTGTATGTTTTAGTTTCATTCAAATGTCAGTTTGATTTTTTCCCTACACTTATATTTCCTGCTTTGAAATGCTTCCTAGTTTAATTTTTCTCTCTGTATATTACTAGCTATTATTTTTAAATTTCCATGTTGAAATAACTTTTAAGGGGATATGATCAAGTGAAACATAAAGTAAATGTTTGTGAATCACATCTTATAATGAGAAGCTTTTGGAACAATCATCATGACAAAAGTACTGCTTCACATACAGTTACATTATTTGAGTAACTGCATATAATTGGTAAGATATATTTGTAATTTAATATTATAGTGATAGACTATATATCACAAACATCATTTAAATGGTATATCATTTAATATAGTATAATACTTAAAAATTAATATAGTTTGTTTATTTAATGGTTAACATACAAATAAGGAACATATTATATATTTTAATAATTAGTGTTCAAACTGTTAATAAATTGAGCAGACTTCTCCAATTTTGACCATTTTATAGGAATCCTGACCAACTAATGTCAATTTTGACCCTGGTATGGGTGAAACTTCTTAGAAATTGTAAACTCTCTTCTGCTTATATATCTTGCTCTGCTGTGTTATAGAATATATATAAAATATGGAAATCCAAGGGGTTTAAGGAGGGAGTTGAAGGCCACGGAATATGTGCCAATGCATGCCATCAGGTTGTGGGTCTAAAGAAAGATATTTATTTCTTTCCTTTTCTTCTTCTGGAACATTCAACCCATACCCCCTGTCTTTTATTTCTCTCTCCCTATTCACTTTATAAGCTGCCTACGTCCCTACCTCCCTTCCGAAATTGCTTTCTCTAAGGCTGTGGTTCTCAGTCTTGGCTGCACACTGAAATCACCTGGATACCTTTAGAAATGACTGATTCCTGAGTCTCCCTACCAGAGATTCTGATTGAACTCTTTTGGGGCATGGCCAAGGCGTCAGGAGCTTTAAAGCTTCCCAGGTGATTCTCCCGTGCAGCCAGTGTGAGACCACACACTGCCCTAAGGTTTCTAGGTAAATACAATGGCCTGGTCTCAGTCTTCATTGTGCTTGCCTCCTAACAGCATTGGACATTATTGATTACTCCCTGATTCTTGAAATGTTCTTTTATTTTGAGGGACATCATTCTGAGTCTCCTGTCTTTTATTCTGACTCCTTTGCAAGTTTGCCCAGCTATGGGCATTCTTCCAGACCCTGTTTCTGGCCATCTATTCTACAAGTACACTCTTGATTCAGTGATCACCTCTGTGCCCCAAATTTCCTGGTTTTACATCTCAAAATAGAGTTGTGTCTACGGAGCCTGGCACGTGCTGGATGCTGGGTGCGCTGTGATGAGCAGTATAGACACAGTTCCAGCTTTCTATACTGTATGTCATCTTCACTAAAGGATATCTTCACTTAGAAGTCCTTTCACTTGAATTAAGAAAAACTCACCATTTTCCCTCATTAACAAACATTTCCTCTTAACTACCACATTTTATCAATAGCAATACTTTTACACTGGTTTTCTGGGTCCAAAATTTAGAAGTTACTTTAGCCTTTGGTATCAGAGGTTGTTAAGAAAAAACACAATTTAGAAGTTATTTTAGAAATTTTACTTTTCTGTCTCCTTTACCCTCTATGTTCAACTCAGTCCTGAGATCTGCTGATTTTTTTTGCATTATCTCATATCAATTTTATCTATTCCATGTCTCTTCATGCCACATAGTGCAACTCTACATTGCTTCCTACAGAGGTGACCACTGTGGTTTCTTTACTGGAATTCTTCTGTACCCACCTTCATTGGCTCTGGAGCTAATCTTCGTGAAATACATCATGTCACCCCTCTGCACTTGTACTCTCTTGTTCATGACCTTACCAAGCACAAATCCCCATGCCTGCTTCTTAAGGCCCTTCTTAATTTGTTGCCAACTCCACTCAGCCACTTTCCTCTTTCATATTATCATTCATTTTAACCTTTCTCAGGAGGCTGCACCAGCCTGTATAGAAAGTACAAGTGACTGGGCTTACGAGGGCAAAATTTTAGTCCTGGTGCTGTGCTGCAGGTTGACCATGTGATAACTTACTTCTTTGGGCTCTCCTCTACTTTCTATGTGAAGAAGGGAGTAAGAGTCTAGACTGTTTTCAAAATCACCACACTGTACTCTTCTCCACTAGATGCAGACCAAGACCTGTTGAGGCTGGTCTGCTCTCAGTTTTAGGAGAACCCCACGTCAGCTTCTTTGCTTCTGCTTACAGCCTAGTTTGGGGGCCCTTTCTTTTCCATCCACCCTTAAAATCTACTTCAAGCATCAAGGTCCACTTAAGACTTAGCTCCTTTGTGAAATGTTCCCTAACTTCTTAGATTGGCCAACCATTGGTCATCTCTTGCTCCTTTGAGTTCTCATTACATTTTGTATCAGCACTACTCCGTGGAACACTTGATTTACTGGACTTTCTTTGAGGTATCCCATCAGGTAGTCTGTATCTACTGAAGACAGGGTGTGCACCTTCTACTTTTCTGTCTTCTCTTTTCCAAGTTCCATCCCCACTGACTAATCTAATCTTGACTGACTGTGTCTGAGGTAGAAAGAGTATCTCTGGCATTCCTCCTAAAGTATGTCTATTACGTTCAGACTAATGAGAATATTAAAAATTGTGAATTCTGTAGGACCTTGAAAATAACCAAATTCCTCAAATTTCTGCCTCCCCTCTACCCAGAATCTAAAACTGAACGGGGACCTTGTGAACATTCTAGTTTTTGTCTGTTGGAAGAAGAGTTATATGGGGATGTGAAAGACCAGGAGACCCAGAATCCTGACAGGTCTGTAAGTTCAGGTAGAGAGTCCAAGTGTGCAATGATGCCAGCTTTTATCTCTCCTACGATGGGTCTGTGTGAGTGCATGGTATGTGTGAGTGTACACATGCACATACTCATTCTAGGGGGTGCAAATTGGTCACAATGAGGGTGGCCTGGAATGTGCTATGATCCACGGTGGCAAAAAATATAGGCAAAATGGGAACAACAAAATGTCATCATTTGGGGGGATATAGAGAGGAGACAATAACTGGTTTCATCTAATGCCCCAAGAATTTAAATCTGTGAATATATATATTAATAAGCCCTGTATATATGAATAAATCATATTGCTTATTCCTGGCATTCTCTATGTGATGAGAGTCCTTACTGGAAAAATACTGCAAGTGTATCCTTTATTCTGCGAGTCTAATACTATAAAACCTGGATTTACAAATTATTACTGTTTAGGTTATTTACTGTATAAAATAAGTCTTCACGTACATATGCTTAAAAAATAAGCTCACATTCTATTGCTTTCAAAAATCAACTTTTAAAACTCAGTTTTTTAATACATGCAGTATTTTCAAGAGTACAGTGTGGTTTGACTCAAAGTGCACTTGTGTTTTATTTACAGACCTATCAGAGAGGCAGAGTAGTCCTATGACAGAGGCAGCCACAGAAGCTCATGCCCACATGCCTGTCCCTCTATCTGGAGACGGCATACTCACCATAACAAGAGTCTGTGACTGAGCAGGAGGCAGCGAAGTCTATCTGTAGGAAGGAATCCTCATTCACGGCAACGTCTGTGCTGACCACGTAACGGGTGCTGGCCTTTTCAATGAAGACCAGGGCATCACCAGTAGAGCCACACACGGGCATCTTGGTGCCTCCTGGGTGAAGCAGCCATTTCCTACTATCAAGGGTTGTGAAATCATCTTCCAAGACCGTATTACCAGAAATATTTCCTCCAATAAGAATCTGAAATGTATTTTTAAAAAATCCCAAATTTTCCATTTAGTTTTAAGAAATGGAAAGTTCTGCCTTTTTCGTTTGTTTGTTTGTTTGTTTTGATCTGTTGGCCTGCTCAGAACTGGCACTGGACGGCCAGCAGAATGTGAGGGGCCTTTCAGAATGCTCTTGTTTATGTCTGCTTGCCCATCTGGCAAGAAACTACACAAAACAAATCAAAGGATTGACAAAACCATTCACAGCCTACATTGGCCAAACTGTGCCTTTGCAAACGACATGTACCCAAGCTGGGAAGCAAAATTTGGCTTATGTGTGATTATTTTCCATGTAAAATTTCTATTTAAGGACAGTTGTACCCTAAGGCATTTCAGTTCCAATTCTTTGCATGAACTCTACGGTTTGTTAACAGGTTCTTTGAGTTCTATTTGATATACATCTTATTATGTATAAAGATCCTTTGGAGCAGTCTATAAGGATGTGGGGGAGATTGATTTATTTTTTTCTTCAAAGGCAAGAAAGAGGATTTGGGAACTACTGCATGTGGCACCAATGCTAATTTGCACATTTTCCTTTTCAGAGAATTATAACCTTGTATCACGCTTGATAAAGTCCCTCTATCCATATGGCAGAATCCTCTATGAGCAGGACCTAGTCCTTCTGTTATGTTGTTTATTTTTATAAGCTTAGGCAACTGAAGGAATAGAGAATGAAAGGAAGCTAAATGCCATATCTAATCTAGCTGCGTGCCCTTGGGCAAGTCACTCAACTGTCAGTTCTGGGTTTCATCTACTGAGCAAGCAGGTTGAACTAAATGCCTTCTAAGGCCACATTCAGCTCAAGTGACGACAATTAAAATAGTTAATCCTGAAGGGACTGACCTGATCGATAACCCAGGGGCTGTAGAAGTGCCCATTCTCAGACGGTTGCCACCAGCGAAGGCGAGTAGAACCAGAACGGGCTTTCAAGGGTATCTCCAGGGCAATGTACCTGCCCACATTGCTGGAATTGCTGAAAAGGAACTCCTGAAGAAGACTCCACGAGAGGCCACCGTTGAGAGAATACTGTAGGAGCACGGGTTGACTCCTGGGGTCAGGAACGCCTTTACCACATCCCAGTCTCATGAAGAACTGCACAAATCTGACATTTGTAAACGTTACTGAAGACTTTCACTTCCAAAAGAAATCCACATGCTTAACAACAGACAAGCACATGGGGTAATGCAGGGGAACGAAAGGCCTCAATAAATATGGCGATTTAATGAGTGTCCAAAGCAATCACTTCAAAGTCTGATTTCCCTTTTTAATCAGAAAGGGAGTTAATTAAATGTGAAGTCTGAAAAAAGGCAATTCTGCACCCATATTTGTGTCTAGTGACTCTCCTCAGAGGAGAGCCTGAGGGACCTGAGTGTTCCCCACACCCTTTGGCTCTTCTATAAAAAGATGGGAGGGATCTAAAGGCGGTTTGAGTGTGGGAGTGTGTGTTGTCATCTATTTAAGATAAGTGTAACTCCTTAAACTCTGAAACTGAAAGTTTGAAACGGGAAGAATGTAATTAATGTAGTGTATGCCATATAACTGGCAGATTATTTCTTCTAAGGTTTCACCAGTCGTTTTTCAGATCTCATATTATTGGCTTTGGGAGGCACATTTAAATTCACCAGTTGTAGCACCTCTTTGTGAAAGGCCAGGCATCTTTTGGAAGAGGTATGTCAAGCCTGGGCCTCTTTTCTCTCTTTTGTGCTGGGGCAGGGACCATGAGTGTGGGGTGGTGGTGGTGGTGGCTGTGCCAGGCTCTGACTGTTGCTGGGTCTGGGGATGGATGATACTGGCCACTGAGAATGGTGGCAGCCGGCCAGTGGCAGCGTTCCCAGCTGGCAGGGAGGTGGACAGAGTGGCAGCAACCAGCTGGGGTGCCAATGAAAACTAGCTCACATGTTATCTTTGGCAGGCAAGCTGCTGCTTTCTGGTCTGGCCACGATGCTAGCTGGTAATGCAGAATAAATTTCATGTGTAACCCAACACACATACCCACTAATGTATGCATGCCGGACATAGGAAATATATTAAGATGTATAATAAAAATATTATCAGTACCATATGTAAAACCATTCATTCCTCATGAGTTCCCTTCCCCACCCCATTCATTTATCTCATGACCCTGAAAAAATTGGGATTTTACATGGAGCATATTCAGGTCAATATATGCAAATCCTACACAGCATGCTACTGAGATGAGCTAAATAATGGAGCTTTTAACATTGGAGTAATGAAAACATACATGGTTGGGTCTAGTGACGTTTACATTTGTAAAAACAACAATCATTTACAGAGAAATACTTTTAGTATATTGTCTACTTGTATTGAGAAAATCTTTATATTAACTTAGTGATAGATAAACCATGAGACAATTACTTATTTGGGAACACCTAATAATTTCTAAATTAGAGAACTCAGCTGCTAATAAAAATCTGAAATAAGGAACATCAAATTAAACTATATGCATTAAAGTGGGATAATGATAAAATATTGTTTTTATAACTGTGTAATTATTTCACAGAACTGTATTTTCTATGAAGTGTGATCAAATTTATGATCAATAAATGAAGTATTTGGGAAAAAGAAGGGGTAAAAATGTTAAGATGTATTCTAAGATACTCTGAAATATCTCAAAAGACAAAAACATGGTTTCTTTGTTCACTTGCAAAATTAGGTCAGGGTTCCATTTTACACATGTTAAACCATCTTTTTTATCTTCCTTGTTAAGTTTTCGGCCCATCAAATGATCAAGGGATACACATCTTGACAGGACATAATCCTCTGAGCCAGTTTAAAATGTTTGTTTCTGAGTGACTGTGTTCAATTTAGAAAATGACTGCTTAGAATGTGTGAGTGAATCATTGGAAAGATGCTTATAAAGAATAAGGCTGCCCTTCAAATGTTTTTAACTTAAATTGCTGGCGGAGATAAAATTAATTATGAATAATTTGAAGATATACTGCATTTCAACTAAGCTTTCTACTAAGCATGGTATAAGTGTAAATAATTTCTACATAGCGCAAGTGCTAATGAAAAGTATGTTATACAGAAAGATAAAGAAGACACAATATTTTATTGAAGTTAAAGTAAATTAAACATTGTTACTTCCTAATCTCAGTCTTATAAAATACCAGATGTTAATTTTTGCCTGTTTAGGTATGTTTCCTTTCTGATTAAGTTATTGAATAATCTCTTTCAATTTTAGAATAGAAATTATGTAACTTGTGTCTTCCTGAAAGCTTTGATAAAGAGAGAAGTTCAGTATTTACAATGGAAGGCCTTGTCCTTGAAATCGCTCTGCTTCCTTCTGATTTGATTATGTTCTGCTATTATACATTACGATGTGGTTTTTTTCAACAGCATCTAAAAATGATTACCTAGCATGTGATAAATCCAGGTCTCGTGTCATCAACATGCGCAAGCCATCTTCATTGAAAAAGAGGTTGTTTCCACTAGAAAGGATTCCACACTTTCGAGATGGTTTCCCACCACTCATTAATAAGAATCTATCAGATTCTAGCTGACCTGAAAAAATTGGAAAATATGGTTTACCTATGACCCCAACTATAGTGAGTTGTATTATATTTTTAAAAGGAGTATGGTAAATGCATTATGTAGTTTCAAAATATGAAGTCATAAATATTAAAGTCATGTTTTAGGATAAGAGGCCTTTTCAACATTTCAGCTTGTTTGAATTGTTTAGCCTTGGCTGGAATAATTTAAAGATTCTTGTGATAGGAGGAGGGGGTATTTTCTTGAGTATCTATGGTCCAGCTAGATGGATCCCTCCTTTCGGCTTGTTCACACTGAAAAAAAGGACACTGGTTAGTCAGAGAGTAGTTCAGGCCATCAGGAAGGTGGGGGCTGTGTAGCCTTTCCACCAGCCTCTCTACTGTGTCCTCTCTAATGTAAGGATAGTATCAGGCAGGGACAACAAAATATTTAAAAAAACAGTTTAGTGGGAGAAATTTCAATACCATTTATTATTGCCTATTAAATAACGCCTTTAAGGCTGGGTGCGGTGGCTCACACCTGTAATCACAGCACTTTGGGAGGCCGAGGCAGGTGGATCACCTGAGGTCAGGAGTTCGAGACCAGCCCGGCCAACATGACAAAACCCTGTCTCTACTAAAAATACAAAAATTAGCTAGGTGTGGTGGCAGGTGCCTGTCATCTTGGCTACTTGGGAGGCTGAGGCAGGAGAATTACTTGAACCCGGGAGGCGGAGGTGGCAGTTAGCCGAAGATTGTGCCACTTCACTCCGGCCTGGGTGAAAGAGCAAAACTCCATCTCAAAAAATAAATAAAATAAAATAAAATATAAAATAAAATACTGTCTTTAAAAACCAGCTCTTAAATCTGTTCAGATACTCCGATTTCGTTTATTTATTTTTTCATTGTGGTAAAATACACATCACATAAGATTTACCATTTTAACCACGTCAAAGTAAACAATTCACTGGCATTTAGTTGATACACTCTGTTGTGCAGCCATCACTACTACCTAGTTCCAGAACTTTTTCATGAGCCCGAAAGGAAACCCTGTGCCTGTTAAACTGTCACTGTCCCCTCACTTTCCCCTCCTCCAACGCTGGCAAATGATAATCTGCTTTCTGTCTTTATGAATTTACTTATTCTGAATATTTCATAAAGACAGATTGACATAATATGTGGCCTTTTGTGTCTGGCTTCTTTCATTTAGCATGTTTTTGAGTTTCATCTATGTTGTAGCATGTATCAGTATTTCATTCCTTTTTATGGCTGAGTAATGTTCCACTGTATGGATATACTTAGATCTAGTTTTAAAATGTATTGTAAAACCATAAATAGAACAAGTTTACAAAAACTGAGCAAAAAGAAAGAAAATCTTTTTTTTTTTTTTTTTTTTTTTTTTTTTTTTTTTTGAGATGGAGTCTCGCTCTGTCGCCCAGGCTAGAGTGCAGTGGTGTGATCTCGGCTCACTGCAAACTCCGCCTCTCAGGTTCAAGCGAATCACCTCCCGAGTAGCTGGGATTACAAGTGCCTGCCAGCGTGCCCGGCTTTTTTGTATTTTTAGTAGAGATGGGGTTTCACCACGTTGGCCAGGCTGGTCTCGAATTCCCGACCTCGTGATCCACCTGCCTCAGCCTCCCAAGGTGCTGGGATTACAGGCATGAGCCACTGCACCAGGCCGAAAGAAAATCTTTTAATCCCACTACCCTAATATAGATGGCTATTATACTTAAGACTTTCTTTTATGGAGGTGTTTTTCCACAGTTTGATCAAAGTGCATATATAATTTAAATGCTTTTTTCTAATCATTACATTACATGCATTTTACTATGTTGTAACATTGTCTTCACACATAATGATACTGAATTCTAGGTGTAAAACTAAACTATAGAAAGTGATGAGAGGCTATTTAAGCAGTTTGTGGTAAAGCAGTAACAGGAATTTATATTTCTGGAAACCCTTCCATCCAAGATTAAGTCTCTATAGATATATTCTAAAATTGTCATTAGGCAGAAATTACATGTGGTAGAAAAAGTTGTGAACACAGCCTTAGTTTTTCTCAATAAAGGTCTTGTAGCATGTATCAGTATTTCACTCACTGACCATTGTTTCCAAAATGGAACCCTATAAATTCAGAACTAAATGAATTCTTGGATGTTCACAATTGAAATAATAATGAGATATTAGAATTAAACTTAATGATTAGTTATCTACCAAAAATTGTGTTTAACATATAAGTTCTTTCACAAGACTACATAGAATTTGTAAGAAAAGACTACCTTCGAAATCATCTTTGAGAAAATCAGGATTTTTGGTGCTTATTTTACAGGTTGGACCTGAGTAGCCAGGGTCACATATACATTTGGTTCCATTGATACAGCTCCCCTGTCCATTACACATCTCCTCACACTGGGGACCGATGTAGACATTATCAATGGCCCATGTCACTGGCTGAGAGCCGGCAGGGTAAAATCCCTGGTACCATCTGAAACGGACAGATCTGGAAAAGAGGACAAGTCTTTCAAAAGCTAATCAACAGAACAATATACCTTCAAAGTATGCACATCTGATCAATGAACAATGGGCAGCTTCTACCTATGCTCAACACCCAAGAAATAGAAAACATTTGCCATTTCAGGAACAAAACTCCATTCCTCAATCTCCAGGATTTTGCCAATAAAGTTCTTGTTTCTTGTAAGCTTTTCCTGATCCTATCAGAATGTCAATGTTTCACTTGATCTTCCCATCTTTTTCAATATTGACTTCCTTGGTGAAGACTTCTCCATCCTTACTATTTTGTTTTATTTTTTTTTTTGAGACAGAGTCTCACTCTGTCCCCCAGGCTGGAGTGCAGTGGCACAATCTTGGCTCACTGCAACCTCCATCTCCCGGGTTCAAGCGATTCTCCTGCCTCAGCCTCCTGAGTGGCTGGGCGTGCCCACCACCACACCTGGCTAATTTTTGTATTTTTAGTAGAGATGGGGTTTCACCATCTTGGCCAGGCTGGTCTTGAACTCCTGACCTCAGGCGATCCGCCCACATCAGCCTCCCAAAGTGCTGGGATTACAAGCGTGAGCCACCGCACCCGGCCCCTTCTGTCTATTTAATACACTCTGTATAACTAACCTTTTTTAAAAAAACTGAGGTAAAATTCACACAACATAAGATTAAGCATTAACCATTTAAAGTGTACACATCAGTGGCATTTACCACATTCATAGTGTTGTCCAACCATCACCTCTTTCTAGTTTCAAGACATTTTTATCACCCCAAAAGGAAACCCCATGCCCACTGAACAGTTTTCCCCATCTCTCCCTCCCTGACAACTGACAACCACCAATCATTTCTGTCTCTATGGACTGACGTATTCTGGATATTTCATATAAATGGAAAGATAGAATATGTGACCTTTTGTGTCTGGCTTCATTCACTTAGCATAACAGCATAATGTTTTCAAGGTTCATTCATGGTGTAGCAAGTATCAGAACTTCATGGCTTTTGTGACTGAACAGTATTCCATTGTATGGATATACTAGCTTTGTTTACCCATTCATTAGTTGATGGACATTTGGTTGTTTCCATTTTTTGGCTACTGTGAATAGTAATGCTATAAATATCTGTGTACAGGTAATTGCTTAAATACATGTTTTCAATTCTTTTGGGTAGAAGGGTAGTGAAATTGATGGACCTTATGGTAAATGACAATCTTTTAAATTTTTCTATCTTACTTTCTCTTCCATAATTTTGATGGAATTTCCATTATTATAGTTATCCCAGCTGGAGTTACTTAAAAGTGTGTCTATTTCCTCTATTGGCTGTGAGCTCATAGAGGCCAATGTCCATGTCTCTTTCTTTTTTTGTACCTTTTTAAGGCACCCATATAGTGTTCACACATAGTAGATGCTCAGTAAATGTTTGTGGCATGTAATTTGTTGTGAAAGTCCTTATGAGCCAAACTAAGGTTTTTTGGATTTTATCTCATCAGAAACAGAGAGCCCAAAAAGATTATTTTTTAAGAGAAAAAGTGGCAGAATCTGATGTATTTTTAGATTCTCTTATTTCTTAACTTCTTTTTAAGTCAAAAATAATTTTCCTTTTGAATTGTCCTATCATGTTGCTGATAAGTTAGCTCCTTAGAAATAATCTACATATTTAGGTAGCTGTCCAGAAATGTTTTAATGTATTTTATCATGTGTAAAACTCAGTTCAAAGAAGACAGATTTATTTTAGAATGGCAGGATGCAGAGATGACATGTGCACTTATTTTTGTGCCCTGTGAATCTTCCCAATTTTCAATTATCATAGAAACTAAATTCTGAATAGTTTTCTGTTTGAGAAACAGAAATTAGAAGTTAAATACCAGGATTAAGGATGGGTAGTGGGGGAAAAATACATTTGTTAGGCTTCTAAAATTTAGTGGATAGTAAAGCGACAGATTCAAGTTCCTACATATATTTAACCCTAATTTCATTGTTCCATCTTGCTCTTGTCGCCCAGGCTTGAGTGCAGTGGCACGATCTTGGCTCACTGCAACCTCCACCTCCAGGGTTCAAGCAATTCTTCTGCCTCAGCCTCCAGAGTAGCTGGGATTACAGGCGCCCGCCACCACGCCTGGCTAATTTTTGTATTTTTAATAGAGATAGGGTTTCATCATGTTGGCCAGGCTGCTCTCAAAGTCCTGACCTCAAGTGATCCGCCCACCTTGGCCTCTCAAAGTGCTGGGATTACAGGCGTGAGTCACCATGTCCAGTCCCAAACTCCAACTATATCAAGCTGCCCCCAAAATGCCAGTCCATAATTAAACTTTATTTTCAAATACTTGTCAGAGTTTAGTCTTGGCAAGAAGCACTTCTTACCTTTTGAACTTTCAGACTGCTGAGCTGAGGGAAATGGCTGGAGTTTTCCTTTGAACAAAAGCCTACAAGGATTTTTTTTGAACTTCTTATTTATTCAAATGTTCTGAATACAAATGAACCACCTTAGTTGGATATTTATTATTGTTCACTTGCCTTGACACAGAAACTGCAAGCACTATGATAAATAGGCTGAAGGGTCTGGTTTCACTGTGGTTCCCTTCTGCTGAAATCTTATTTTGAAAATTTCTCACTGCCACCCTCCTTGGTGAATGTCAGCATCTGTTCTCCTAAGCCAGTTGTATTCAAAAGGATCTGTTTTTTAAACATAAACTTAAAATTTCAAGCACACAACATTGCTTTCATTAAATAGGGGTTTTGGTTGACTCATTATGAAACTGCATACAGCAAAAACAATCAGGAACTTTTAAAGACAAAAGGACTCTAAAAGCACACCAAGGTGATGTGAATAAAATTAGATGAAAGCTCATAGTTATTCTTTGAATGTAAATGGACTATATATGTAGAAGGAACAAAATTTGACTATTTTGCACCTGAGAACATTTAATACACTTTTTGTGTGTATTTCGTGTCCAATAAATGCAAGAAAAGAGTAATTTAAACATGGATTTTTGTATATATATATGCTTTTAGCATCCAGCACTTGTGCCATTACTATGTACCATGTTGAATACCAACCAAGGGATGGTTCACTGAGTTGGAGAAAATTTAACTTTTGCCTTCCAGCCATTCATGCCTGCATGGGTTTTAAGAAGAGTGCTAATTCTTTTCCTGAAACAAGGACTAGACAACACCCTTAAGGCAAATTTTTCTCTTCACAGAAATGGTTGAAGGCAGTTTGAAACGTGGGTTTATACCATTCTGAGAACAGGCATGCATGCCTCCTTGATACATTTACTTTCTTTTCATGGAAATAAAAATGACATGGAATACAAATAATGTGACAGTCTAGGTTCTGTACGCTATTATTGTGTTTTGTAAGTGGCTTTGTACCAGTGGGTGAAAATATAGATGTCTGCAAGTCTCTTGTTCAGATTTCCAAATTATATTGTCTTGCCTTACGTGGAAACACAGCACAGTGGGCATTACCAATGCTGAGCGAGGTGGTCTCTGTGACGCTGGAGCACTCCCCTGGCATGGACATCTTCACTCAGTGCCTCTGACTGGCAGGTCTTTGTCATCTTGTTTCATACGCCTTTAGATGGGATTATTTCCAAGTGGGAACTTGCTGAAGCAAGTCTCAGTTGGCAAAACAATCTAAAATCGTAACCTACAATCTATCTTTAGGGTCGTTCGTTTTCTATTTAATTCTTAGCTGGATAATTGGAGGAAATTAGAGGTCCATTAAACAGAAAACCTAGTGTTTGTCCATAATACCATAAGGGAGTTCAGTGGACTGCTCTGTATCTAGAAGCCTGTCTTACTCCATTCAGGCTGCTGTAACAAAATACCATAAATCGGGTGGCTTATAAATAACAGAAATTTATTTCTCACACTTGTGGAGTAGCTGGGAAGTCCAAGATAAAGGAGCCAGCACCTCAGTGTCTGGTGAGGACTCACTTTGTGGTTTATGGATGCTGCCTTCCTGCTGGGTCCTCACATGGTGGAAGAGGCAAGGCAGTCCACTGGGGTCTCTTTTATAAGGGCACTGATGCCAATCATGAGGGCTCCACTTTCATGAACTAATTGCCCCCTAAAATGCCCCATCTCCTTATTCCATTACCTTCAGGGGAATGAATTGAGACATGTGAATTTCAACAAAAATTCAGGCCATAGCAGTGCCTAAGCTATCTAGGCCTTTCCCCTTGCCTGTCCTGCTCATAGGCATGGTTTTTCGACAGCTATGCTTCTCTTGGAACACTTGGCTTTCAGGCTACAGCTGATAGGTTCAGATTTGAAAATTTGGAATTAAGAGCTCCAGAAAATGAAAGCTCTGGTTTGCCAAGTGATGTTAATGTGAACACAATAAAAACAAGGATCATAAACTTCTGTTGCTAAGTCCCCCACACTTTCTGAGTGAAGTCCATGCCATTCCCCAGTATCTTTCCAATAAGTTCTTTCACCTTTTTGGTAAGCCTCTTTATATTTCTTGCAACATATGATCTTAAATAATACAACCATTTCGAATAAAAACTTTTTCCTGGATTATTTTCCCCTGCCAGATTCTTCTAAAGACAAGCTCCCCACAACCAGTGGTAGCTTTCTGGTTTTGCTGGCTGTGTCATCAGCTCCATCTATTCCTATGATCTCCAGAGACACTCTTTGCCTCCTCTGGCTATCAGTTCTTGAGGACTTTTTGCTTAGTAATGCTTATTTTTAAAAAGATAGTTGGATTTCCTATGAGAATCATATCCTGGCATAATCGCAAGAATTAGTAAATTATATATTCAACAACCCAAAATATTAAAATCCTTAGCAATCAATTTATAAAAGTTATGCTGATGATATAATGAGGAGTGGATAGATTCATGTTCAAAGAGATGCAGACTTTAAAAAATTCACTTTCACCCTTTTGGAAAAGTACTAGGTATTAGTAGTCTTGTTTGAAGACTCAAGACTTCTAATTATGCTCCATTTCACAGCAGGAATATAAATCTATTTCCATCTTGAAAGTATGATATTAGTACTTTCTTCTTTTTTGACATACTCTGAAAGAAAACATTCTTAATTCTGAAAGAAAAAACAGAAATTTGGAGGCAGACTGCTCTGTTGACTTCCTCTCTTTGTTCACTTTTATTATCAGTTTTGTTTTTTGAAATATACTTTTCATTTCATTTCTCTTAGGGGTGAAGTCCTTTATCTCTAAGTTGCTTTTCAGCAGAAGAGTCAAATAAATGTAACAAGAATGCTGAGAGAGGTTGGAAAAGTAGAGATGCCTGGGGGCAACGTGCTAACTTTTTTTTTTTTTTTTTTTAATGAGACACCAGGAATATTCTGTGGGCTTCTATGCTCCCTATATACACTCTCCCTGCATGACAGACATAGGCAGGTGTTTGAAAGTCATAATATTCTAGCTGCATTTATATTGTCAGGTGGGAGTAGGCAGGAGGAACGCGTGGAAAACCTTATTTTTGTTGTGTTCTAATTGATCTAACAGAATTTCACAAGGATGTGAACCCCACTACAGGGTGCAGCCCATGGTGTCCTGTTCAAATCTACCTTCCAACTAGAAATTAGTAGTTATGTCAGCTCCGTGTCCTACATTTTAAATATCCACTGATCTGCTTGAGAACAGAGGAAGAAACGTCAGGTGGAAATTTCCCCATGATAAAGTGGCAAGTGAACGATGACTTCAGGAATAAACTGTCAAAGGAGAAACAAATGTGGCGTCAAGCAGCGGGTCCTTACCCACAAAGGTGCAGCTTCCCAAAGTGCACGACCTCCCTCCTCCAGCCCTGCATGGTTCCTGCGTAGTAGGTGCTGCTGGGGTGGTGCTCGGTGGAGCATAAAGAGCTGACGTGGCTGCTGCTGTGGTAGCAGAGGGGCAGCAGAAGGTGCCAGGTCGCCCCGAAGTCCCTTGAAAATTCCAGTCTCACTGGATCCGCGGATGAGCTATCAGTCGAACAGCCAACGTTGATCTTGGGGATGAAGAAAAAAATGATACAAATTACCTCAGAGCAACAAGCCTTGAAATGATTCACCACTTCATTATTTTCTAGGGTCCATTTTCCTGGGAACTGTCTTGCTGAAATATTTAATACTATAAAATTATGTTTTGCCTTACTGAGTAATATTGTATATTACCTTGAAATTATAATTTTTCATAAAGAACCTCAAAGGGCCTCATGAAAAATTTATTTCCCTTCATTTTATAAAAAGCAGGAAGTGGGTAAGGCAGAGGCTGGGACAATTCCAAATTTTACCTTTGGCCCATTTTCCTAGCCAAGCCAAGTAAATCACAGTGAAAAGACTGTTTCCCTAATCCTAACTGTTAGCTTCCCCCCCATCTAGGTAGGATACCTTCTATTTTCCTTCTTATGACACCTTCCAAATAATCCTAAGAGTTTTACACATGAATCTGCAATGAATATTCAATATCAAAAGAGAATACAATCATTGTCATCATTTCCCTGGCACAGGGAAAGATTTTTTTAAACTTATATATACTTAAGGTGTACCCATACTGTTTTGATATGATATACAAAGTGAAATAATTACTACGGCCAAGTGAATTAACCTATCTATCACCTTCCATAGTTACCTTCTGTGTGTGTGTGTGGGTGTGTGTGTGTGTGTGTGTGGTAAGAGCATCTAAAATCTATTAACACATTTTCAGCATACATTATTATATTATTAACTATGGTCTTCATGCTGTGCATTGGATCTCTAGACGTACTCATCCTTCATAACTGCAAGCTTGTCTCCTCTCACCTACTTCTTCCCACATCCTTCTCCTCCCCACCCTGGTATCCACCAGTGTATTCTGTCTTTATGTAAAGACCTTTTTAACCATTAGGAAAACAACCACTCCATTCCTTTTCCCATGCTTTCAAGTGCATTAAAATAAATTATATAAATGCACGCAATTCTTTCTATAAAAAATTTCCCCTCTCCAATTGAGATGAACATTTTCTTACTATCATGCCATCAAAGCATAGGAACCACTTATTGATATACACAGTAACACATAACCATCTATAGTTATAGTTATATACAATAAATATACACTATACATATTATGTGTGTGTAGATATGTGAACTTACATAACTTTTAACTTCTGATGAGTAAACTATTGACATTTGATAAACTTTCGAATATAGGCACTTGTTTCTTCCTGAATTCTTTTTTTTTTTTTTTTTTTGGAGATGGAATCTCACTTTGTGCCCAGGCTGGAGTGTAGTGGCACAATCTCGGCTCACTGCAACCTCCACCTCCCATGTTCAAGCAATTCCCCTGCCTCAGCCTCCTAAGTCACTGAGATTACAGGTGCGCACCACCATGCCCGGCTAATTTTTGTATTTTTAGTGAGACGGGGTTTCACCATGTTGGTTAGGCTGGTCTTGAACTCCTGACCTCATGATCTGCCTGCCTTGGCCTCCCAAACTCCTGGGATTACAGGTGTAAGCCACCACGCCTGGCTGATAATAGAACTCTTAAAGGTGCTAAAGATGTCATCTTTTATTAGCTATGAAAAAAATATTCTGAAAAGTTAATATTCTAAAACGCTGGTATAATATACCTTTGGTTCTGCTGATTTTATCTAAGTTTTTGAAATATATAAATATTTTTATGTTAATTATTAATTTGCTCTCTTGACAAATAAAAGGAGTGCATAAATATTAATAAAATACACAAATACATTTGAAATTATAAAACAGTATTATCTGTAAAATTAATAACATCATGACAAATATTATATAAATAAATATCCTAGCATGGCATAGACTATAGTTACATTGACCTAGTCCCTAAGAAATTTTAAGTTTCACATAAAAAGTGTGGAAATATAATACAAGAATAGTATGAGCCTTTTCATTTTTATAATGTTTAAAATAATTTATTTCAACTTCCCATTGTAGCAGGTGGGGAAACTACATCATAAAGGATAATAATTCAGAAATAAACCTTAGTATGACAATTGGCTCTGTTAATAAGAGAAAATTATGATGCCAAAATCTCTTACATCCTTGCACAAAAATGGGAGGTCATAATGCATGAAATTATCTGAGATTTTCCTCCCCTTTCCTAGGTTTTGTTCAATATAAAATTTAAAGCATTTATTATAGAACAAAGTCAAGTACCTCAAATTGTATGATGGTGTTCTCATTCACATTTAGGTCACGGGTGGTAATGGAATGCTCACCAACTTCATTTGAAACAAACACCATAGCTGAATCTTCTTCACTGTTACACAGGAAAACAACCAGGAATCCATTTAGGCAAAAGTTCATCATGATTTGTATACAGCAGTGGTTTTATTTTTAGATTCTTAATACTTACGGTGCCCCCTTTGAAGAATATGGACAATAAAGACCGATGTTACCACCAGGATAGAAAAACCAATTGTCTTCTCTGGGCCCAAAATCAAATGTATCCAAGAGCATCACAGGGTTGTTTACATTATTTCCATCGATAATGAAGTCATCAACAATCCAGATTTCTTCTTTCTTACCTAAGGCATTTTTGGATAAAGCAAGTTTTTCCAGTGATGAAAATCAAATGAACACTTTTGCTCATTGAAAGAAAGCAAAGGACAAAAGCAACTCAGTAACAATAGGTTAAACATATGCCTTCTACAGGAGGATTGTTTGAGCCCAGGAGTTCAAGACCAGCCTGAGCAACATAGTAAGGGCCTATCTCTACAAAAAATAAAAAAAATTAGCCAGGTGTGTTTGTGCATGCCTGTAGTCCCAGCTACTCAGGAGGCTGAGGTGGGAGGACTGCTTGGGTCCAGGAGTTTGAGGTTACAGTGAGCTGTGACCATGCCACTGCACTCCAGCCTGGGCAACAGAGCAAGACCATGTCTCAAAAAAGAACCACACAAACCACCCCCCGCCAAACCCATATACTTTCTGGGGGAAAAAAAAAACATAAAGTACTTGTCAGTACTTTGTATATTGTCAGTGATTAAAACTGGCCAGGCACGGTGGCTCACGCCTGTAATCCCAGCACTTTGGGGGCCCAAGATGGGCAGATTGCCCAAGCCTGGGCAATATGGCAAAACCTCGTCTCTATAAAAAAGCAAACAAATAAACAAAAAAATTAGCTGGACATGGTGGTGCATGCCTGTAGTCCCAGCTATTCAGGAGGCTGAGGTGGGAGGATGGTTGAGCCTGGGAGGTGGAGGTTGCAGTGAGCCAAGATCACGCCACTGCACTCCAGCCTGGGCAACAGAGCAAGATGCTGTCTCAAAAAAAAAAAAAAAAAAAGTGAAAAAATTAAGCTTGCAACCATATTAAATTGATATACCATGGAACTGCCTTGCTAATTTCAGAAAGCTGTGACAATGCTGTGTATATAATGTATGTGAAAGCATGCTGTCCTTCAAATAATAGCAGTGCTATGAACCCTCCCCTGGCAAGAGTGGGTTTTGAGTTGTGTTTTAGTGGTTTAGGGGAATCTGTGAGACATGCAGTCTGTGAGAATGAGTGGTCAGTTAGTGGACTTAGAGCCGAGGAACACTAATCAGTCTATTCAGGGAGCAATTCATGCTTTTTAGGGCCAACCCATGGCTTAGCACCATACTTCAGTCAGGCTGAAGGACTATGGCCATTAAAATAATGCCCTGATACGTAATTGCATTTATTTGTTTATTTAATACAGAAGAAAAATATTCTATGATCAATAATACTCCATGTTTTCTTAATGTTTTTCATATCTTCTATGTTGATCTGGAGATACTGTGGGAATATATAGGAAACTAGGGAAATCACCCTTTATACTGCTATAGTATTTGATTCAGTGATTTAGACCAGGTGTTTAAGGAATATGTTAGAGTAGATAATAACGGCAAAAGCCAGGCTGCTTTTGTAAAGCACTGTTTGGACTGACCTTGAAAAAAGGTGATAAGTCCATGCCAAGCAGGAACGTCAAGATTCCCTAGGTTGCTTCTTCACTGATTTCTACTTCAGTGCAATTCTTACAAAACATAAAAAAGGATCTGTAAACAGGAGCCTGTAGAACAAACCTGATGCTTTGAATGAAATCACAGGTCTCTATCTCTAATCCTATCAGTGTTCTAATTCTAGTAGCATTCTTTCCTCTTCTTGTTTAGAAAGTGGTTGGTGGAATCAATGAAAAAATAATTAGGTGAGCACTCCAAACATAGTATGAAGACAGCAATCCCTCCGTCACCCAGGCTGGAGTGCAGTGTCATGATCTCGGTTCACTCCAACCTCTGCCTCCCAAGTTCAGTGATTCTCCTGCCTCAGACTCCCAAGTAGCTGGGATTACAGGTGTGTGCCACCACGCCCAGCTAATTTTTTTGTATTTTTGTAGAGATGGGGTTTCATCATGTTGGCCAGGCTGGTCTTGAACTCCTGACCTCAGGTGATCCACCTGCCTCGGCCTCCCAAAGTGCTGGGATTACAGTTGTGAGCCACTGCGCCTGGCACATTCCTTTTTTGGACTTTTATTCAGTGACAAGATGTATGTATACATATATGTTTCACAATACATTAAAAATTTTGTTTTATGTTTTAGTTTTAACATATTGTTAAGGAAATAGGTTAAATTTTAGAGATGGAAGAACCTTTGCCTTTTCCATTTTTGTGTTGCCTCTGCAAAGAATCTGCTGCTTAATGTGGCATCTCCATGCTTATTTAGGTGATTATATGCATGACTTGGTAAAGTCTGGTCCTTTATAATCAGCAGTTAATAGAAATATAGAAAGCAATAAAACATTACCAATTTGTAGAATCATTTTCTGTAACCATTTGAAATGTATTAAATTATACATTCACTTTAACTTATCACTGAAGCAAGTGTATGTGATAAGAATATTTTATCTACGGCACTATCTGCTTGGTCTAAGTCCCTCTCACTTCGTCATGGCATTTTGCTATAGTATTCTATTTCACTAATGAAACGCCACACTCAGAAGAACTATGTATTCCCAAATAAATGCAACAAAAATGTCATTACAACTGATGAGTGCCTAATGATAATGCTGGATTATTTTTAAAAATCTTTAGCTCTGTAACAGAATTCAGCTATATTTACATTAACAGGAGAACCCACTAGTCAAATATGAAGAGATTATATATACGTGTATATATATATATATATGTTAAATATTTAAATATTTATTGAGACTTGTTGATACGGTTTGGCTCTGTGTCCCCACCCAAATCTCATCTTGAATTGTACTCCCATAATTCCCATGTATTGTGGGAGGGACCCAGGTGGGAGATAATTTGAATCATGAGAGCAGTTTCCTCCATAATGTTCTTGTGGCAGTGAATAAGTCTGATGAGATCTGATGGGTTTATCAGGGGTTTCCACTTTTGCATCTTCCTTATTTTCTCTTGCTGCTGCCATGTAAGACATGCCTTTTGCCTCCCGCCACGATTCTGAGGCCTCCCTGGCCATGTGCAAGTGTAAGTCCGATTAAACCTCTTTTTCTTCCCAGTCTGGGTTTGTCTTTATCAAGAGCACGAAAACGGACTAATACATTTGTCAAAAGTGAAGCATGTAAAATGTGTGTGCTGTGGACAGCTAAGCTGCTCAGTTGACAAACACTTCCTCCACACCTTAGAAACAAATGTGTTAACATGCCACTATCAGTTCTGATCACAGGAGAACACATGCATTTTTACCGTTATTATAAGGTTGCCAGAGTCTGAATCTTGTAGCATTGGTTTGGGCAGTGTATGGCAAGGGAACATTGATGAAAAGTATATTCGTTGTTTGAGGAAAGTAAAATTCATCCATCAGGTGCCAAGTGATTCCTCCACTGATGGAGAATTGTAACAGAATAGAGTGAGATCTCTCTGGGGTACCTAGGAAGAAGATAACACAGGTATAAAACATACTGTGATAAAAATGGGGAAATGGTATGTTCTTAGCTGAATCTTTAGGCATCAATGCATAAGAGAACTTATGTTTACATGGAAGCTTTATAGTCCAAATGCTTCAGAAGCAACTTAAGGGGATGACAGGTTGGGCTTTCTGTATATCTCGAAATACACACCAAAGCTTGGATTTGCACACAATAATACCTCCCTTTCTCTCTCAGATATGCACAGGCATCTTTCTGTATTTAGGAAACATTACATCAAAACATTTTGATTCTACAGGCATCACGATTTTACAAAGGGTCAAACATTTAAATCTCAGGATATAAACAGAAAAACTGTTTGAATATGTATTATATCTACAATCAATTTGTTCAGGAAAATTATTTAGTTAATATGAAAAGCCAGAATGACTAAGAATAGGCTTTTTTTGGATTCACATCTGTAAAAGAAAATCCACGTTTTTCATAAGTTAAACATTTTAAAATTTAAATTTCTTTTAGTTAGAAAGTAGTGGTGGAAAGACTCAGGGACATGATGATAAATTTAACTACCATAGAACTAATATGATTACAGCTATATGAAATTATTTAAAATCAGTAGTTTTCTTGCCCTTATATTAAGATAAACTTACATTAAAGAAAAACATTTGCAAACATTTATGTATACTAATTTATGTTAGCCCTTCCATACAACAAAACTTATGGGCCTTAAATCCGTGATTTCTTTGTGGAAAAGGAATTGCACAGGGGAGAATTCTCTTGAAGGAAAATAATAAATTCATACTTACTTTTTGCTATAAATCTAAGTGAAAACTGGACATACATTGTATTTGTACAATCTAGATCTCTTGAAATAAGCATCCTTAGTCCTTCCTGAAAATAAAAACATATACGTTAAGCAACTTTTTTTCACTTGCAAAATTGTATCCCTTTGATTTTATACACCTAACTTGCATTAGCTAAGTAATAAATACATATCATGATCAAGAAGCAAATTTTGCCTAGTTTAAAAGGAAAAATGGGATGATCCTTGTTTCCCCTCTCTTAATGGCTTTCATATCCTGTGCCTGAATAACACAGTTTCATTGTCTCAACTCTAAATCATACTTTTCTGTGACTCTTCTAAAAAGCGGTGCAAAAATGATAGCATTACATATCTACAGGCCTTTTTTAAAAACAGCCTCCTTTGATCACAGCATGTTATGAGAGGAGTAACGAGGAAGCAGATGGAAAATGTGCCAAGTGCTCCCGCTGGAAGATGGGAACTGATAGGTGACTTTCTCAGGGTTCCAAGGAGTCTTAGGAACTTACTACTCCTTTGCTCACTCTGACAGCCCCAGGGGCTCTCATTCAGGCTGACACAACAACATCCCCCAGTTGGTCAAGTTAAATAAGGCATAACTAAGGCAAGTCCTGATGCTCACGCTGTAGGCATTCATGCAGAGAAGTCAATGAACAAGGAAAGAGATCACATTAGCTTTCGTAATTTTTTCTGCTAATTTAACTATTTCTGGTTGCCTAGGATTGACAACTCGAAAGGTTCTTTTCTTCTTGGGTACATAGGATTGCAGTGACAGCCAGTAAAACAGAATTTCACTATGCAAATAGCCTAAGGTCCAGACAGGTCTTTTAGTTTTTCAGCTGCAACTTCTGAATGACGTGACTCTTTACGGATGCACGGCTGTGTGATAATAAGTGGACATTGTCACTGATTTCTCATCAACTAACAAAGGCCAAATGTAATTTTAGCTAAAAGAGAACATTTTCCTCTTCTTCATCATATACATTATAGATCACGTTCCTCAATAGCTGAAAAAAATTTAAGTAGAGCAAATTCCACAATAGCAACCATATATTGAGTGCCTATACATGCTGGGTGCTAAGATAGACATTTTACTCATTTAAAGCACCTAGCACTACTGACAGAAAAATATTATTCTCATATTGCAGATAAGGAAACTAAAACTCAGAGAGGGAAAGTAACTTTCTCAAGATTACATAGTTTATAAGTGGTGATGGTAGGATTTGAACCCAGATATGTCGGATTCTAAAACGTCTATCCTTTATGAGATACCAGTGTTTTGTTTATTAAACTATCTTTTGGTTTGGGGAGAAAAATATCCAGATAATGCCAAATGTAGAATTTGAGAATTATTTGATATTGTAATGAAAACGCAACTGCATTTAATCCATCTCATAACTTCACAAAGCATAGATTCATACTTCAGGACAGGTTGCCATGTAAAAGCCTTATATTTCTAGTCTTTGTTTTTTCTTTTATGCCTAGTAATTCACTGCTCTGTTCGGTCCATGATACCTAACCCATGCATCTTCTTCATTTCTTCATGTCTTAATGTCTTTACCCTCTTCCTTATACACTTGCATAAAGCCTTGGATTTTTTTTTTGTTTGTTTTAAGAGACAGAGTCTTGCTCTGTTGCCCAGTGGCTATTTATAAATGTAATCATAGCTCACTACAAACTCGAACTCCTGGCCTCAAATGATCCTCCCACCTCAGCCCCCACTGTAGCTGGGACTAGAGGTGTGCACCACTGTGCCTGGCTAAGTGTTGGATTCTTTTAGAGCTCAATGCCATGTGGGAGTGGAGGTTGAGAGGAAAGGTCCCTTCTTCAGATCGTAATGAAAAAGCTTTGAGATAGACAGTTGATAGATTCAGGTAATAAATATCCCTTGCTAACATCAAACTATAGAAATATGATTACTCTTTCCCCTTGATTATGGAATGCAAGTATAAAGTTGTTCCCATGGGTCAATACAAGTCACTCATAAAGGGACCTATTTTACACTGTATTTTGTAGGAGCAATTTTATTGAAAGTGAGCATGATTTGTAATCTGAAAGTATCTTTCTTTTATATTTGTAATATTTGTTTATAGGTTAGCATTTTATATTGATATTTATACAGCAGAACTGTCAAACTCTGCTGCCACATATATTCTAGTTCACAGACATATGTTTCTTTTCTCATCCTTTTTCAGGTTCAGTGATCCATTTGTGCTAAATGTGAGAAATTCTTTTGCAACAAACAAGCTATTTTAATAGTAGATAGTATTCCTGAATCTATAAACATTAAAAAGAGACTATCATATCCTTTTTCACGAAAGAATGACTTTCTAGGTCAAACTGCCACCTACTGAATGGCACATGCTGAGTCCTCTCTACATCTTGCAGAGCTGATAGATAATATGTCTAAGACATATAATGCTTGGCTGCTCTTGCATTTGGATGGCTAAAGGGAAAATATAAAACATTATGCATCTTTCTTGTTTAGAGGATCAAAAGACTAGGTTAATTCTACTGCTTAAAAATTTATCAGATAAAGATCTTTCAATCATAAAAAGTTATAGGACTTCTGCTTTTTAGTCTTGTCAACTGGTTCAAATGGGTCAGATGTGAGCTAATGGTAATGAGAACTAACATCTTAGATAAGACAAAACAAAACAAATCCCGCTGCCCCCAAAACCAGGAGTTTCCACTCTGAAATGTTCTACCTTAATTTCTTCAGTCCCTCAAAACTCTCAGAGACTTGTAAATCTCTCTCAGGCCCTATGCATTTCTTTCTTTCTCATCCAAAACTTGAGAAGGATTTGGATTCAAACAAGGATGATAACTGGCATCTATTGACTATAATTGAAAAAGTTCCAGGGTATCTAATTTTCTAGGTGTTAGATGTTAATCATTAGGGCTGTACAGAAACCCATGCAGGTTTTTGTCAAAGATTTCATTTGCACACCTAGGTTAGTCAATTTCCCCATGCTGAGAGAGATGGGATGTGGCATGTATTCACATATGAAGATATGCCAGCTTAGCACAGAGTTTCACACAATTGCTTAACATTCTCTCTAACCAGACATCTCGGTTGAAATACAAAAAGATATTAACAATGTTTGAGAATGCTATTTTACTTGACTTAAGTATTTGATTTTCTTAAAGTCACCAAATGGTTCTATTGGCAGAAAAAAAAAGAAAAGGAAAATTAAAGACCGTTCATAAAGTCATTTAGAAAATATTCCAAGTTAAATATTTAGTAACATAAAATCTTAGACTATGGAAATTTACATTCTAAAAACTATCTACATATAAATTTATGTATATAATTCCAGCAGGAAGTAAGGAAGGTCTGATCACCAAAGCAGAGGAGAAATTTTATGCCCAAGTAATCATGAAAAAATGATTGCACTCAGAAGAGGAAACATGGTTTGGGCTAAAAGTCAATAACTATGTATTAAATATTATGTCATTTGAAGAGATTCAGAAATCCATTTGTGTTGAGCAGTGACTGAAGAAGACAATGTTAGTAGTAATGTTGGGAAGGAGAATCTTATCTGTATCTGACCCCTTTAAAAATTAGAGATGTTCCAGATTTGATGGTTTCACCATTCAGATTCCCCCTCTCTGCACCATACACTTCAGGCCAAAGGTCAGGATGTAAATTCCCATTGAAATCGTCTTTAAGAATCGAGGGCAGAGGAACAACAGGAACACAATAGGGTCCACCAAAGCCCCGGTCACACCTAAGAAAGAGAGGGAGTGGAGAAAAGACATTTGTCACACGTTCAACAAGCCATATTTATTTTTGCGTTACAAAGAAAGAAACTGTCAGTTTTATTAACTTACACACAGCGTCCAGCATCACAAATCCCTCGTCCTGAGCACATCCAAGGGCACCCTGAGGCCAGTACAACATTATCAATCGCCCAGGAATCAGCCCCCACAGTGTAGTTGGCCTGAATCCATCTGAACCGGGTCCTGGGAGAACTAACCAAAAAAAAAAAAAAAAAAACACACCACTGGTTTGACAAGCAACCTTGAAAGCACAAGGACATTTATTTTAATTCCCTTTTCTCTTTAAAGTGCCTTCCTCCAGGGTCCAGTTCTCTCTTTCTTGACGTACTTTATTTTCCTACTAAGTAGTAAGAAATGCTGTTTTCTCTTGACTCATAAACAGGAGAGTAGAAAGCATGTTATTTAAATATTTCACTATTTTTTTCATGTAAGATTCTACAAACACATGTGTGAAATGGAAAAGTTATTTTGAACTATCCACTTGTTTTGTTTTTGAAATACATGCAGAATTTCAGTTTTTGCTTTCAGACTCTTATTGCTATTCAGTACTGGGAGGGATTGAAGGTGATAAACATGAGGAAAAATTAGGGTCTTAAAAGTTCTGGCAGTGAGGTCTCTATTTTACTGTCCCGGAATGGTTTCTGAGAGTAAATGGAAGCCCTTGATACTTCTGCACTCTACTTTGGTTCTTGAGGTTCTGGCTTTCTAAAGCTGAGGCCTAGAATGATGTGATGTATTCTCATATTTTCTATTTATTTGCAATCTGTTATTTGGAGTATCTTGGGTCACAAGACTGCTTTATCCAGAAATAGATGCAGACTTACCAAACAACAGTAACAGCCCCTCACTTAGGAAAAGTTTGCATAGAAGTGTGTTTGTCTGTTATGTGGAATGTGGAACACAGTCTACTTGAAGTAGAATTTCAGCAGCACCATTCTAAGTAGAACTGTTTCCCCTACACAAGTTCTCCATGGATGTGACACAGCTGTCAGCATGGTGGCTTTAACATGGAAACCTAATCACAGCAACACTGTTTACCACCCTTCAGTGGTTCCCCAACATATGCACTGTCAAGACCAAACTACTTAGGATGACATACATGGCTCCTCCATTGTCTGTCCTCTTTCCTGGCTCCAGACCTCCTACTTCTTACCTTGCAATTATATTCTGGCAACACTGAGCCCTTGAATTTCCCCATCCACCCATGCTTTTTCTGGCTTCCTGGATTTTGTTCTGGCTTATGCCAGCACAAATGCCCTTTTGCTCCCCTCTTCTCCTGGATAAGCCCTACTCAGAGTCAGCTGAGACATCAACTCCTTCAGAAAGCTCCCTCCAGTTCTCCCCAAATGAGTTAGGTAGTACCCTCCTGTGTTTCAATAATATCTCTGAGTACTTCCTCTGGTATCATCTTATAGCATAAACAGCTGCTTAGAGGTTTGTTATCCTAAATACAGTGATGTGCTGCATAATGACGTTTCTGTCGATGATGGACTGCATTTATGACAATGGTCTCATAAGATTATAATGGATCTGAAAAAAAATTCCTATTGCTAATTGACATCTTGATGATTCTGACCTTGTGTATGCCAAGGCTAATAATGTGTATTTTTGTGTCTAAGTTTTTAAGAAAGAAGTTTTCAAAGTTAAAGTTCTCAAAATATTAAAAGCTTACAGAATAACGATAGAAAGAAAACATTTTTGTACAGCTGTACAATGTGCTTGTGTTTTAAGCTGTTATCACAAGAGTCCAAAAGTTTTAAAAAAAGTTTATATAATGGAAAAGTTATAGTAAGGTAAATTTATTATTGAAGAAAGAAAAATATTCTTTTTTTAAATTTAGTGGAGCCTAAGTGCATAGTGTTTATGAAATCTATAGTAGTGTACAGTAATATTCTAGGCCTTCACATTCACTCACCACTCACTCACCCACTCACCCAGAGCAACTTCCAGTCCTGTAAGCTCTGTTTATCGGAAGTGCCCTATACAAGTGTACCATTTAAAAATCTTTTATACCATATTTTTATTGTACCTTTCCTATGTTTAGATATGTTTAGATATACAAATACTTGGAATTATGTTACAATTGCTTACAGTATTTAGTATAGCAATATGCTGTACAGCTTTGTAGCTGAGGAGCAATAGGCTATATCATACAGCATAGGTGTGTAATAGGCTAAACCATGAAGGTTTATGTAAGTTCACTCTATGATGTTCACACAACAATGGAATTGCCTAACGATGCATTTCTCAGATGTATCACCATCGTTAAGTGATGCATGACTTTAACACATTTGGATCCTGGCATCAGCTTATTCATGTAGTACCAGAGTGCTTAAAACACAGTAGATATTCAATAAGTGTTTGTTGAATTTTTAAAAAATGAATAAATGAGCTACAAACAAGTAAGCACTATTTAAAGCTTTAGCAGTCATAGGAAACTATTTTAGGCTAAATACTAAAATGTTTTGGCTTCCTGAATTTTCCCTTGCCTCTTGGTTGTACATGTCTGGATCAGGTTTGAACCAGGAAAACAGAAACCACTATAAACACTTAACACAGAAAGAAATTAGTGCAAGGAATTGGATGTATAGCAAGTGGCAGAGCAGAGAAGCCAGTAGAAGCAGTGAGGAAACCGGAGTTTAGCAAAGTCAGGAAGCCACTTACTGTGAGTCTGAGACTGTAGGGACACAGGGAGGAAGTGTTGTTGCTGGTGCCCAGGGACCAGGGTCACCTGGAGGGCCACCCAGGGGAGCTAGAGCCACAGAAGTTGGCCAAGATGCACTTGAGGCAGAAAGAGGGGGGAGGAACACCCTGATTTATCCCTTATCTCTCCCCTCCATTCTCCTGCAGTGTCTGACAGATGTAGGAGGCTGGGAAATGCAGCCTGCCATTCAGAACAGAGCACAGGAATGGAGAGGCAAGGATCTCGGGGGAGCAGTCACAGGAGGTACAGCCTCTAACCAGTCACCACAGTACCCGTTAGTTCCCAGAAACATCCTCCAATGATCCAAATGCCTACACCACAAAAGTGGAAGCCTGCTGTAAGTCAGTACAACTCTTGAATGTGATCTGAAATGCTGGGGAGGGGAAGACAGATGCAAAACAATATGAGCATTCCAAAGGAACCAACCTTTTGTTCATACTGTGGTACTGAGATGAAAAAAAACTAAGGATACTCTCCAATATGTGGTAATTTCACATACTGTTTTGTGTGAATAAGTATCAGTCTGGTTTATGGGCAGAGACTTATTTTTACAACAGTTTAAAAATGGAATCTGGTGGGCAGCCTTTATGCTGGCAAAGAACAGAAAAGTTCAGCCTCATAAAACTTTTGGTGCTCTCTAGCCACATTTAAAACTTGCAACCCAAAGCACCTTGCACTTTTTTTTCTTCCTGGCACTTCCATGCATAATTATCATGAAAGAATAATAGAATCCCCAGGCCGAATCACAATTATTTTCAAATTAAGTGACAGGCACCCAAAGTTCTGACATGTAGCCAAATGACAATTCTCACATGGTGGAGAGTGGAAGGTAGACAGTGATCCGCTTCCAATTCTGGAATCTTTCCGAGGTGTAAATTGAACTTTCCGTGTAATGCAGACAGCCAATGGTTGGAGGAACACACTCTTCGGTGACAAGATGCCAGTCCTTGCCATTGTTCAGAGAATACTGGAGCTGTACACTGTGGGAGTTGCTGAAGGGCTTGCTACAGCCCATGCTCATTTCAAACTGCAAAAAGGTAGATGCTGACACATGAAAATCCCAGGTCTCAGCATAACGAGGTTTTCCTGAAAAAAAAAAATGTGTAATGGTAGCATATATGTGTGCCATTTTCTTATTTGGTGTTTATGCTTATAATAAACATCTTCAATAGCAAACAAAAATCATGGCCTATCTTTAGTGCCCCCTATGTGCTTTGACTTTTCTTCTTATATTTTCTGCTTCTATTTGGTTACCATAGATTTAGAAATATAGAAGGCTGCTAATTTGAAAAGCATTACCACCTTGGAAAGGGCTAACATATTATCTTTAAAATATTGATATATTACAGTTATACATATATTGGGTTACATGTGATATTTTGATACATTTATACAATATGTAATGATCAAATCAGGGTAATTGGGATATCCAGCACTTCAAACATCTATCTTTTTTTAAACATAGAGTCTTAAGTCTACAAGTTATGAAACATAGGAATGTCCTCTCATAGATTTTTTTGCTCTTCTAAGAAACCTTACTCATATCATTCATGTTCTGTGAAAGACAGTTCCAACAAAAACCGTCACTAGGATCACCAAGTTGTCTTAGCACAATAAAACTTTTTTTTCACTGAGAGCCACCCTCAGCATGGGTAGTTAGGCACACGGTTTTGCATTAGAAAGTTTTCTCCTGACTTTTAGTTAATTTAGTCCTCTAGTTAATCAGATATTTTCCCTTTATCTGGTGACAATATATACCTATGTTTTCAGTGAATATCAGAGCAGTATCCATAGAGAGACAGTCAATATCAACTTGACCTCCTTGGATTCGATACCAGTTGGCTTGCAAATCTATAGAGCCATCAAATTTGTCTTGAAATCCAGTTTGAGAGCTGTCATTCATTCCTATAAGAACATCATCCAAAGCCCACTGGGCTGAATGCTTCCCTGCAATCAGATGAATAAAGGTGGTTAGAGAAGTTTTGTTACATAGCAATATGAATATCTTCATGACTGTGATTTTAAATCAAATTGTCTAGAAATTGACAGCAAATTAAGAAACACACAGTGCAAGGTGGGTATGGATACTTCATGACCTAAAAGCTACCAGAAAGCTGGAGTGAGCAGTAACTTACCATGTTGCGGTTGCCACCATCGAAATGCCGTTGCAGGTGTCTTCGCGTCCTGTGGCAGGTCAATGGAAATGATCTGTGGTTCCAGGAAGGACATGAAGTCCAACTCTCGAAGCAAATGCCAGAGTATCCCATTGTCATTTGAATACTGAACAATAAGCCCTGAGTTAAAAGACATAAATCCAGTTATTTGGACACTTTCCTAGAGGGGAAGGAACAGTATTTCTTAAATGGTGAGACTGCAGCAACCTCAAATTGTGTCTCCTAGAACGAGGGCACATTTGTGTAACTTCCAAGGAATGAATTAGTGGACCTGAAGGCTCATCAATTTTTTGATGGTTTCTAATGCACTGACTCCCAGGAAATGAAATACATAAGCTCTTATAAGACTGCTCAGCTTTGTATGAGTGATGAGTAAGTTGGTAAGGGGAACATAAAAACCTGCCTCAGATCACGTATTTGAATTTTAGATTCTGTTCTGAACATTACAAAGTCTCATATCATTATTATATATTCAGAAGAAATATCTCAATCTCCCTGGCAAAAAATCAAGTAGCTCTTTGCTGCTGACGCACTAGGCAGTAAGCACCGCCTGGTATGAAATTCTATTAAGCAGAAAGATCCTTTTACTTGCACTTCGCACTTTGTCAGATCTTGGTCAGTGAAGCCTAAGTGAAATCAAATTATTAAGTGGCAAAGCAGAAAGGCTCACGCTTCTCCAACATTAGTCTGACTTTCGTTTCTCTGTGTCACCTTTTCCCCTTTTCTTGTCCCATTCATCCACGCCCCTCCACTGTCACTAGGGTGACATGATCCAGGGGACTGCACATTAAAGTGTAAGGGACCTCATGTCCCTTCTAAAAGAGGATGCAGAGAAAGCGCAATGTTGAATGAAAGGAAAAAGTTGCTAAGGATGAAACTGTGGGAATCAATTATATACATATGTGTGTGTGTATAACGAGGTATAAATCAGTGCCTGTATTAAGAATAAGACTGTGCCAGCCTTTATACCCGCTTCTTTGGTAGGGGGGGTAGAGTGGTAGAGGGTATTGATCTAATTGCCTATTCCATAATTTTCCTAAGACTGGCACTGCATATTCATAATTACGACTAGGGATACTGAACTATTTTTTGAGTATTCATAGATATTACGCTCAGTAAAGTTGTTATTTTTACTTTATTATATATATATTTTATATATATATATATTTTAATTGAGACAGGGTCTCACTCTGTCACCCATGCTGGAGTGCAGTGGCACGATTACAGCTCACTGCAACCTTTTCCTCCCCGGGCTCAAGTGATCCTCCAACCTCTGCCCTCCAAGTAGCTGGGACTATAGGTGTGTGCCACCTCGCTCGGCTAATTTTTGTACTTTTTGTAAAGACGGGGTTTTGCCATGTTGCTCAGGCTGGTCTCAAACTCCTGGGCTCAAGCGATCTGCCTGCCTCAGCCTCCCAAAATGCTGAGATTAAAGGCGTGAGCCATTGCACTCAGCAAATTCTAACTCTTTTGGAAAATTATAATTTTTTTTGCTATACACAACCTTTCTGTTTCCCTATTCTTGACTAACTAGAACTTCTCAACCCTTTATCACATTGGATAATTATTTTAGTTTCAAAAATATTACAATAAAGTGTAGTGCTAAAAGAAGGCTGCTTACGGCTAATTAATTGCCATGGAATTATTGTCACTACATCTGACAAAGGATGATGCCAGGAACAAAAATGACAAATATGCTAAAATTAGAAATCTCAAGAGAATCAAACCTACTGTATTTAAAATAAAAGAACTAATCAGACTGAATGAGAGGATGAAAATATGTTCAAATAACAGAACTCTTTGGGGGAGACAGCCTGCTATATACAGGTGTGGGGATGAGGGTTACAGCTTCTGTTGAATAAGGTGAGACCCATGTGTTGGGAAAGGGACAGTCACACCAAAGTTCATGAAGAAAATGGAAGCAAGGCTGTTTCTTGTCTTTATTCTAGTCAAGTTGAGGAATGTGTGGCATAAGCTCTAGTCTCCAAACTCTGATGTTGCTCAAGATATGTCCTATGGGCTTTTTAGTGTGATATTGGATGTCTGAGGGTGCAGACACTTCAAAATTCAGGTTTTCTTGTGGCTACTAATTTGTATTAATATGGTTTACATTTAATAAGATGAGAGAGAGGCTGAGATTGAGATTACTTAGTTATTTTGAGGTGACCTAATCAGAAGGTAGATGATACTAGAAATGAAGCATCATGAGATAAATTGTCACTGGCTGGTCCTTTCTAGTGCCTTTGACTCAAAGTATGGTCTGAGACCAGCACCTGAATCACCTTGGAACAGGTTTTATAACCTGTGATGGTTTAAAAAATGTCCACACATTCTTTGACACTCTTCCGTTCAAAAAGTGGAGCTTAATTCTTCCCCCTTTGAGTGTGGATAGTTTTAGTAACTTGCTTCTAATGAATAGAATATGGTGGAAGTAATGGTGTGTAACTTTGGAAACAGTCATAAAAGGCATTGTCGTTTATTCCTTGCTCCCTCTCAGATCTCTTGCTCTGGGGAAAGCCAGCCTACATTTAGTAAGGACATTCAAGCAGCCTATGGACAGGTCTACAGAGTGAGAAACTGAAACCTCTTGCCAACAGCAGAGAAGAACTAAAGGCTTTTGCCAACAGCCATGTAAGTAAGCCATCTTGGAAGTAGATCACCTAGCCCTGGCTAAGTCTTCCAGTGACTGCACCCCTCCTGGCTTTTGTCCTGACTGCAACCTCACCAGAGACCCTGGGCCAGAACCATTTAGCTAAGCTGCTCCAAAATTCCTGACTCACAGAAACTGTAAGATAACAAATATTTGATGTCTTAAGCTACTTAGTTGTGGAATAATTTGTTATGTAGCATACCACTCCAATCCTACTAAATCTAAATTTGCATTTTAACAAGGCTCCCAAATGATTCAGGTGAACATTAAATTATAAGAAACATGGCTCAGGAGGTACATACTTCATTTGGTTTCTGTCTTCCTCCTCATTAGCTTTTTAAGGAGTGCCACATATACCTCAGGCAGTAACAAGGTCTGCAGAGATGAGGGCCCCAATTCCAAAGGACAAAGAAGGAGAGCCTCTCAGATAAGAATGAGAGGGTCGAGGAATGCAAGAAAGGCAAAGAGCAATATACATATCTCATATCACTTGCTGAACCTCATTAGCCATGTCATCTAACACACTGTACATCTGAATGAACCAGGCCCTTTAACTCATCTACCAAGTGTTTAAGGCATGTGAAACATTTCTCTTTTTAAACAGCAGCTCCATCTGCGTTATGCCCAGTCTTACTGAAAATAGCATAATTTTGATTTTAATTCCAAATATGTAAATTGATGCTTCAGCTTGAGTAAGTAAAGAATCTCTACTTTCATCACTGGAAGAGATTTGTTCAAGGATTTAAGCAGATTTACATTTTAACAACCAGTTTTCAATAAAAGGCTAAGAAATGCCTGTGGGATGTGAATTACACGGCCGGCACTGAGTTTATGAAAGTGTCTCAAGACTAGTTGAGAAAAAGTTGCTTGTTACTAAAAGGATCCTCAGGGAAATCTGCATCACAGGGCAGAAAATAGCACTTGTAAACAGAAGTTCAATACAGAGCAAAGACTCCTGTCTATTGTATGATAAGCAGATGCTTTCTTTTCTACCTTGCTCAGGATTTATTTTTTTAGGTCATACACAAATAAGGGTATGGATTTGTAATTTTCAGAAGGGTTATGCACAAAAATGTCCTTTAAATTTCAATGTATCAAATGTCACTTCCTTGGTGAGTCCCCATCCAGACTATTTTTGAATCTAAATCAGCACCTCCCACTGCATAAATTTACTTTCCACCTCATCAGCCTATTTGTTTCTGTCTAGCCCTTACAATCTAACATTTTCTTGCTTATTTCTTTTCTTGATTGCTTACTATCTGAGTCTTCTCACTAGAATGTAAGTTCCCCTGAGGGCAGGGATCTACCCTTAGGTGGTCATTAGTGCCCCACTGGTTCTTCACTCTCTAGCACATGGTAGGTTTACGCTTCTTTTCCCTTCACCACACTTTCTCTTTCCCTCTGTCACATGGCTGGCAACATCCAGAATCTACGCAGCAGCCACCTTATTATTCTGGGTGCTGGAATGAGGACCTCGGATGACCCATGAAGAAAATGTAGCACAGGGGAGAAATCATTTTATTTAGCCCACTGATATTTAGAGGTTTATTATTATTAGAGGTTTATTATTATTATTGCAGCATAACCTACCTCATGATGAGGGACATATGTCTTTTGGTGATATTGTATCAATAAAAGCACCTAGAACAATGTCTGGCTTAGAACAGATTCTTAATAAATATTTATTGAAGAGATTAGGGAATGCAAAAATGGTCTATAAAAGCTTCTATACTGCTTCAGTAAATAGATGACTTGGATAATTACTAGACTAAAAGTACTAAGATATTCAGAAAAAGTTATTAAACCTTTCAGTTAGTGATAATATGGCCAAGGAAATGGAGAGCTGATGAACACAGCTGTTGGTAGCTCTACTGACTAATAGGTATTGTTTAAGCCAATGTGTTTTACACAGTCATACTGAGATATTAACAAACTTAGAAGGTGCAAACTCTTTACATGTTGCTGAGACCACGGTTTGGAGGAGGATGCATCTGAGAAACCTATGAATTTTGTGTGAGGAGTCAGTTCACATTCAAGGTCCCCTAAGGAATTATATCATATCTGTAGAGCTCCCAGAGGCCACCTATGCTTCAAGCCTTTTGCATTTCTTTCAGAACTGAATCATTTGAGGCAGAAGATGGTATGAGTGCCTAGGGAGGGTGGAGTTCAGTGCAAGGAGAGAAGCAGTATAGTATGATGGTTATGGCATACATTCTGGAGCCAGTGTGAGTGGTTTGAATCCCTGCTCATCCACTTATTTAGTGCATGATCATGGGCAGGTTACTTGACCTTTCGGTGCCTCAGTTTCTACATCTGCAAAATAGAACTAATTATATTACTTATGGCAAAAGGGTATGCTGGAAATAAAATGAATTAACACCAGTAAAACACGTGGGATAGTGTCTTGCATATAATAAGTCTCAGTAAAAGATAACATTTATTATTGCCAAGAACTGCTCCTCCTACACAAGGATTCTGGTCTGCCCGGAATATAAGTTTATGGGCCGAAGTAGACTTTGATCTGCATTCAGTAATGCCCTATGCAAACAAGTCTCTAGCTTCCATGCTATATGTAAGAGTCTCTGCTATTGTTTTGGGATTTTTTTTTGTGCCTCCCTGCGGATAGTATAAAGGAATAGGGTTCCCTAAAACAAATGGCACTTTGATTCTGCCTACACCCAGAGCAGACATGATATATTTCAGGCCTAAGGATCTGTACAAGAAATCTTAGAGATCTTGGCTCTGTGCAGCCACCGATTCTACAAAGCAGAAGAGAAGAGAAGGAATGATTCAGGGTAATGTATCAGTTTTCAAAATCCTGGCCAAACTTTGGGAGGATAAAGGACTAATCTGCCAATAGTAACTGTAATTTCCATGGAAATACAGCAGCTTACCTTCATTTCTAGTTCTTGGTTTGATGCAGGTAATGCCTGAAGTTTTGCTTCCAATTTGTATATAAAATTGAACAAGTCTGGGGAATAAAAACTTTAGTTTACTTACAAACAAGAGTTCAGAAGAGCTGTAAGCATTAGCGTTTTGACACATTAGAAAAAAACCCTCCTGTATTTATTAAGTACTACTTTCAAACTCAAAGGGCATATGAGAAGCAGAAAATACATAAATTATAGTAAGTTAATTCTGTAACCATTTAGAAGAAGTTAATTAATATGACCATTCATTTTATTCTGTAATAATGAGCTAAACAAAAGGAAACCGTTGAATATCACTTCATTGTGACAGTCTGTTATAATTTATTTTTTTTTTTGAGACGGAGTCTTGCTCTGTTGCCCAGGCTGGAATGCAGTGGCGTGATCTCGACTCACTGCAAGCTCCGCCCCCCAGGTTCACGCCATTCTCCTGCCTCAGCATCCCGAGTAGCTGGGACTACAGGTGCCCGCCACCACGCCTGGCTAATTTCCTTTTGTATTTTTAGTAGAGACGGGGCTAACACGGTGAAACCCCGTCTCTACTAAAAATACAGTCTGTTATAATTTAATGGAATTACAAAAATGGAAATTCCTTAAATCTAGTTAACACTATCCTTGGAAACTCAAGATGAAGATTTTTTAAAATTATACTTTAGTTTCTGGGATACATGTGCAGAACGTGCAGGTTTGTTACATAGGTATACACATGCCATGGTGGTTTGCTGCACCCATCAACCTGTCATCTACGTTAGGCATTTGTTGCCCAGGCTGGAGTGCAGTGGCGCGATCTTGACTCACTTCAACCTCTGCCTCTTGGGCCCAAGCGATCCTCCTGCCTCAGCCTCCTGAGTAGCTGGAACTACAGGCATGCGCCACCACACCCGGCTAATTTTTCTATTTTCAGTAGAGACAGGGTTTTGCCATGTTGGCCAGGAGCTGGTCTTGAATTCCTGACCTCAAGTGATCCACCTGCCTCAGTCTCCCAAAGTGCTGGCATTACAGGTGTGAGCTACCGCATCCAGCCAAGATGAGGAAAAATCTAACTTAAGAAGCTGAATACCATATTTGTTTAGAGTCAGATAATTACCTGTCAGTTGCTGATTTAGACTCACTTGGCTAAATTTTTCACAGCAGGCCTTCAGTCAGTACGATGTAAATTATGCCTCAGTCCATAGCGACTGACAGAGAGTACCTGCTTGACAGGCACACCTCTGAGAGAACAATGCAGATGGAAAGGGAAGGAAATTGAAGGAAGGAAAAATATGACACAGGACCCCAGATTTTGTGAGGAGGTCTAAAAATTTTAAACATTTTCTCTATTTCCTTTCTTCCACTTCTCAAATAATTTAATTGCTCTTTTAAAAAGCAGTTTTATTTTAGGTGTGCTATTATTTCATTTGATCTTAAAAACCAAACAGTTCTTTATTTTACCAGTAGGTGTCAGTGTAGGCATTTAAAATTTCTGGGGACCATTTTCAATAAGTGAATACAAATCAACTTAGATAAATGAGGACGCATCAATTTCAGACATAGAATGTAAGGTTGGAAAAATCTTTGTTTCACACGGCACATGCTAAGAATAATACCAAATGGTTTTCATAATAATATCAAACTTCAGAAAATCAAGCTGGCATACCCTAGACACACAGGCCTTGGTGATGACCACACATGGATTTATGAATTGCAGCATGGTCTTTGTAGAAACCACCTATTTTATTCCAAAGCTAAAGTTATCTTCATTTTTACATATCATAATCTATATACAGAAACATTATTGTATATATTCCCAATAACAGAACAGAATGTTTTAAGTTAGACTACATCGTGTGGTAAATAATATGTTTGTGAAAAAGTATACCAGTTAATACTTGTTACCTGATATTCCTGGTGTCCAGAGGGACCGTCCGGGCTTCCCTTTTCCCAGGGCCATTGAAGTAGAGAGATTTGCCATCGTTAAGTGTTCCACAGCCAGTTCCAACCTGGGCACCTGTTATCTTGTACCACAGAGGGCTGAGCTTCCCCTCAAACCTATCGAACATCTCATTGTGATTGGGGACATTTGACACACAGGTTCCTTGTGCAGCTTCAGAAAAAGAAATAGAGAGGAGAGATGCTTTGTTGGAATCATTCAAAACGAGGTCTATTCAACACATGGGCAAAGGAAGAATGTCCATAGGGATTAACATTAGGGAGAGAGGCCACATGAAAATTTGTATCTCACAACTGTCGGTCTGAAAGACAGCCATCACTACCATCATCAAAAACACTATTCTGCCTCTGTAAATTTTTATTTTTTAATAGAGACAGACATTGGGAAGACATTGGGAACCATACCTTTTCGTAGTTCCTGCTACTGAGGATTTGTGTAAACTGAGAAACAGATTTCATCCACAATAAAACTTGCTCATTTGTTATCCTTCTATTCTAGGATCAATAGGGGCAGTCAGTCTCAAATTTAAAAAAAATCCTTGAAACTGTGAGTGACAGCACTCTCCATAGAAGGCCTGCAACAACATATGTTTGTCTTTGGTCACGTGCCAGATGAAGGCTGGGATACTGAAAAGCTGGGAAGAAGCCTTTTGAAGTTGTCTCCAGGAAAAATAATAAAAAAAAAGATTTTGAAGCTTATAATATTTTCTCCAATTTTCCTCTTTAATCTCAGCTCTTTTCATTTTTGCTTGCAGCAACATCCAAAGGTCACTGTGCTCAGAGATACTTTTTTTGTAAAGTACTCTTTTGGCAGACTTGGGTTTATCCTAAGATGCATTTTTATTTTAAATGTAAAAAATAACGTTTCCTATAGTGATGTAGAGGGCTCACAGAGGCCATGCAGCCATGCAGCATGTGGTTAAGAGCTTGGGTTTGGGTTTTGGAGAATGACTGCCAGGGTTTGATACTCAGCTCCAGCAACTCCCAGCTGAATGATCTTGGGATAGTTATTAAATCTCTCTGTGCCTCAGTTTCCTTAAATATAAATAGGGTTTACAGTACTATGACAGAGTTATTGTTAGAATTAAAGGGGATGAAATAAAAAGAACCTCAATGTCTGGCATGAAGTAGGACCTCAAGCAGTATTAATTATTATTGCTATGAATAATAAACAAATCCTCTTTAGGAAATGAAATTTGTATTAGTATGTTTCCTTTTTGGAGCAGCTCAAAACTACAAAATATCCTAGCACCTCATGTGCCTGGGTTGTGAATTCCTACAATTCCTAGACTTAAAGAGGAATAAATTCAGAATTTATTTCTTTGGGAGAATAACATGAAACACAGCAACTAGAGATGACTATTTTACAATAAAACCCTCAGACACATGTATTTAGCCTTACCAGTATATCCCAGGTCACAGAAACACACTCCTGAAATGCAGTCCCCATGGCCACTGCAGTAACTGGGACAAGGCTCGGATATGTACACTCCATCTAAACCAAATGGAGGCACGTTTTTCTGTGAGCTGCTCTCCTGGATCCATCGGAATCTGGTCTTGCTGTTGGGAAAAACAACACACCTGTTTCTTGTACCAACATCTCATATCAAAGCATTGGAATATAGAAAAATTCAGAAAAACTCAACAGAGACTTAATATTTATTTGAAAGTCATGTCTGCTTGACTGCACTTAACCTTCATAAGCTGTCTCTCAGACCTTTCTCTCTCTCTCTCTTTTTTTTCTTTTTTTGAGACAGCATCTTGCTCTGTCAACCAGGCTGGAGTGCAGTAGGGTGATCTCAGCTCCCTGTAACCTCCGCCTTCCAGGTTCAAGAGATTCTCTTTGGGAGGCCGAGGTGGGCGGATCACAAGGTCAGGAGATTGAGACCATCCTGGCTAACACGGTGAAACCCTGTCTCTACTAAAAATAGAAAAAGTAGCCGGGCGTGGTGGCACGTGCTTGTAGTCCCAGCTACTTGGGAGGCTGAGGCAGGAGAATTGCTTCAACCAGGGAGGCAGAGGATGCAGTGAGCTGGGATCGCACCTTTGCACTCCATCCAGCCTGGGTGACAGGGCGAGACTCCGTCTCAAAAAAAAAATTCTCGTGCTTCAGCCTCCCGAGTAGCTGAGATTACAGGCACATGCCACAATGCCCAGCTAATCTTTGTATTTTTAGTAGAGATGAGGTTTCACTACGTTGGCCAGGCTGGTCTCAAACTCCTGGCTTTATGTGATCTGCCCGCCTCAGCCTCCCAAAGTACTGGGATTACAGATGTGAGCCACCATGCGCAGATTGATTTCTTTTTCAGCATAAATGTTTGAATATTTTCTCACCTTCTGCTCTTTTAATAATAAAATCCAGATAGATATTCCATTATTTTACTCAATTAATATTTCACCCTTCTATCACACTCAGTTTATGGATATCTGCAGAAGAGGCTGTTTGGGAATGTTTGAAACAATCTGTCTTTCTTAGGACAGATAAGGGAACTCTGGCTATTTGCTATTGACATGCTTCAGGCAGGGAAGAGTTAAGTTTGTACCGACAGCTCTATTCACCTGCGCCTTCCCTCCTTTCCTCTTCATCTCTCATCTTTAAATCACAAACACCAGTTTTAACTGCCAAAGAACAAAAGAAGGACCTAGTCCCAGTACTTCAAAACCCTGGAACACTAGTGGGCTGGGCTACTGCCCAGTTTTGAGGTTGCCAATAGTTTTGAGGTTGCCAAACTAAAATTTGTCCCAATTGCTTTCCAATTTTTAAAATACATCTTTTCTTTTCCAACATATGGAAACACGTGCACACACGCACACACACACACACATATGTACACACACTCCTATAATTTCATACCAGGGAACTATCTCTTCCTTCTCAGTTCCGCTATAATCAAAGGATGAAGATGTATTGGTGTATCCACATTCCAATTTATTTTGCTGCCAATATTTATAGACTTTTGAGTTAATCCAGCTTCTTAGTACACAAGGATAAAGAATCTTAAAGATTAATGAAGGTTGTTAAGGACAACTGTAGATAAAGACAGCTCCCTCTCCCCTCTATTATTGTGAGGATAACATGGCAAGATCAGAATGGATTTCTTTTTGGCTCTTCAAGTGGCTTTGGAAATTTGGCAGCAATGAACCATAACCTTGGCTTTTTTCCCCCCTTCATTATTTTAAGTTACCTACTCATGGCAACTTTATAAACTGTAGCCAGTAATGTTGTTTATTAGGTTTAAAAATGTTCAGAGATAATTGCCTATTAACGTAAGCCCCAAGCCCCCGTTTCAGTGTAAGAGGAAGGTGAACATACAAATGTATTTCCTTTGCAGCTAATTTGAAATATATTGATCTTATTCTTTTTAAGGTAAAAAGAATTGAATTAAAGAAGTTTAGAAAAACAAAGCAAAAGCAAAAAAAAAAAAAAAAAGTACAATTGTCTTAGTGTCACGGACCTTGGGAAAATTCCTTCCCTTGGAGCTGTAACATTATTCAGCCTCTGAAGGTATTTGTCCTCTTGAAGGAAGTAAATGGAATTAATGTACACCAGCATTTGTCAACTACTCTTAAGGAAAATGTTAAGGCCTCTATGCCGCTTCCAAAAGATAGACTGCATGTCTGTGATAAATGAGGAAAACATGCCAATTCCCTAATACAAGTCCTCTTGGATTAGAAGTCATGCTTGCTGCTTCTTTTTTATGTTTCTATGATAGAACCCAGAGAAACATGGATCCACAGCATCTGTGGTAAGGAAAGTGATGAAAGAGAAAGGAAAACTTCTTTCCCCAGCTTCAGGCTCTCTCACCTGGGCAAGATGAGGGCATCTCTCCATCAGCTGCCCCATTTCATGGAAGAAGCCAGCTCAGATTTGGGCCCAGAAGAATTCAGAGGGTTGAAGAATCCTAAGTTTAGGTAGAATTTTAGAAAAAGTTTTGGCAATTTGATAGTGAATGAAGGACAAGTGAAATCCTTTGACCTGTCTCTGATTCTTGGGCTCTTATAGTTTTTATAGTTTTTATTATTATAAGAGAATCAAGTTCTGATTTGGCCAGAGTGAGGAGGTATCCTTGTTTGCAGTTATAGATCCTAAGGCTTCTATAGACCCAAGAAGCAGAATGCACTGTTATATGTTTGAGACGGTAAAAGACCCCAGGAGCTCAGTACTAAGGAACGCTTATTTAGATTTAAAAAAGAAAAACACCAAAAGACTAATCATTTGGTTAATAGGGTAAGTCCAGAACATGGTGAATCATAGCTTAGAGTCCTAGATAGAAGACTGTATTTCAGAGTGAAAGGGCAAGAGATGGTTCCTTTTTCCCTTTCAATCTTTGCTAGTTTGTTTTTTGTTGAAAGGTGCAACTCAAGGCAATAAAGATTTCACTGGCCATGACCTCAGCACGTTTTGCTTCATTTCCATTTCTCCAAGTTATGCCTGGTTCCTGATGTCTGCTGCTACTCTGTTCTCTTCTCAGTGGCAAAATCTTGGGATTGAACACAATTGATTTAGCAACCTCAGGGTTTCTGGAATAGGAGGAAGAACTGATAAAGAATTCATTATAAAAACTAGTCACTAAGAGACCATGAGAAGAAGGAAGGAAATAAGCAGGCTAAAGTTAAGTTAATAAGTATGTCTCAATTCTATACTTTTAGAGTAGAGGAGATACAGCCTTGCAATTGTTACTACTAATGTATTTGTGCACATGTTCTAACCTTGCCTTTTCAAGGAGACACAGTAGAATGTGGAACAATGATTTCTTATTAAGTAGCACTGCATATATTCTGGAAAAATATGAAAAAGGAAGGTGTCTTCATTATAGCTAACACCTACTGCTGGTCTTTATTCCTTATTCAACATCCCTTCATTCAGTTAACATCTAGAAAGCATCTACAGCACGCTAGGCACAGTGCTAACGCTAGTAATACCATGAGGAGCAAAACCCAGACATGGTTCCTGCCTTCATGTAGCCCACAGTTGAGTGAGGAGACACACTTAATCAAACACCCACACAAATAAATGCACCCATGCAACTCCGACAACCATTAAGAAGGACATAGAGAAGAGCATCTGATAGAGGTCTTGACTTGGTAGGAAGGTATAGAAATAATTTAGAGGAAGTAATGATTGAGAGAAAGAGTTTAATCTTATGTAATTTTATTAGAAATAGATCATAGGCCAGGCGCAGTGGCTCACGCCTGTAATCCCAGTGCTTTGGGAGACCTAGGTGGGTGGATCACTTAGTGTTACGAGTTCGAGACTAGCCTGGCCAACATGGTGAAACCCCATCTCTACTAAAAATACAAAAATTAGCTGGGCAAATTGGCACATGCTTGTAATTCCAGCTACTCGGGAAGCTGAGGTGGGAGCATCACTTGAACCTGGGAGATGGAGGTTGCAGTGAGCTAAGATTGCGCCCCTGCACTCCGGTCTTGGTGACAAAGTAAGACTCCATCTCCAAAAAAAAAAAAAAAAAAGTACGTCACAGTGTGGTTTGATTATTCTATTCAAAAAGCATTCCCTTTTGTTGTTTTGCGTGTCCCAGATAAATAAAAAGAAGAAGATATCATTCTTTCCCTTTGTTTCCTTTCCCAATTTTCATTTTTGTCTGGGGGATGCCTAAGTGAATCGATTTCTGCACTGTACCCTTCCATCACCACACAATTCAATGTGATGTTGCATCTGCTTCTCAAACTAGGAAGGTTTCTGCTTGTCCCGTGCAGAGATGCAGAGTATTCTGAAGAATACTAAGCAACTTTTTTCTAGTCCTGCACAGAGACACCCACTTTTTTGCACTCTACATAGTGTACCTAGAGCAGGCTACATAGCATATTGCCTGGATGGGGATGTCTCTGAGAGTTGCGAGAGGTGTACCAACATATATTCACCATCACCAATGTGTTTTCTGTAGGCAAGAGCCCGGTGAATTAATATGAGCACAAATGGCTCCTTTGAGAAAATCAGCTTAGACCTATTTCTGAAACAGCAATTTTCTTGTAACTATTATAAGCATGTTTGCCTCATGGCAAAACAGCTCCAAATTTTAACAATTTTAACACTTAGAATTCTCAGTTTTCCAACACCGCATTTGGAGATATCTGAGTTTAACATATTGCAGAAGGAGCAACAACAGCTCATTTACTTGGGGTAAAGTAGAAACATATTTACTGTTCTTCAGTTGAGGGCTCTTCATCACAAATGCCATCAAGCAGCAAGCTGGATGGTATCCAAATTAACCATGAAGCTGGATTCTAATGATGAATATTTTGTCTTCCAAAAGCTGAGGTCTAAGAAAATATTGATACATTGGGAGCCTCAAAGTATTGGCTCACTTTGTGATGCTAAGGACAATCTGCTCTTACTTCCAACTGGGTTATACCACCCAACATCAAACACACTGCAATTTCAGATTCAGGTGTGTATATATTTAATTAATTATTTTTTTTATTTCAATAGTTTTTGGGGGTACAGGTGATTTTTAGTTACATGGTTAAGTTCTTTAGTGATTTCTGAAGTTTTATTATAGTGTACCCATCACCTGAGCAGTGATCATTGTACCCAATACGTAGCCATTTATCCCTCACCTTCCTCCCAAACTTCTCCCTCTGAGTCCCCAAAGTCCACTGTCTCATTCTTACGCCTTTCATCCTCCTTCAGCTATAAATTTATTATTGGGCTTCAGGGGAATCAAACAAGATTTGTATTCCTTGGCTCCTCATTGTATCGTTGTAGCAATGATGTGCCACTTGATGTTCTCCAACTTCATGGCACATTACACTGATCTATTTGGAAGAGCTGCATTTGGGCCACAGTTTTGGAAAGTATGGAGGGAGGAATGCAGTGGTGGAGGTGAAGAGTACAAGGGGTGCACAGCTGGAGATGGGCAGGAAGGAGAATGACATTGCTATATAGCTGCAAACACAGATATGTTCTTATGGAAAAAGAGAGATGTTCTCAGGGGGTGAAGTCTGGAGAGTACAATCAAGAACTGAGAAGACCAGTGGATGAAGGAACCACTATCAGGGAACAGACCTGTCTTAATCATTGGAATGTTCTTGTCCTGGACATCGTTCTCAGAGGAGGGAGCCCTAGTAACAAGTCTCTTGCTGCATTTGGAATTTCTGAGGGCCAGTGACTGCTATGTGCTTCCCATTCCTTCCTTTTTGTTTATTATTATTATTTTTGAGTGGGAGTATCTCTTGTGGTTATCCTGACATTTTCTCACCATTTTATGTTGGGTAAGGGTAAAGTAGATTACCTGTCTTTACAGGTCTAGAGATCAAGGACCCACATTCACATCTCAACCTGATGGAGATAATACAACCAGGGACTTGGTGTCTGGTGCTGTGATGGGATGAGAATTTGGGGAGTCTTGGGAGGACACTGAATGCATTTTTCAAGTGGAAGAGATGTGAATTACTGGGGCTAAAACAGACCATGGTAGACAGTTACAATAATGCCTCCCACTTAATCACACTTCCTTTTGTATATGCTCCTCTGTAGTGCAACTTTAATGCACTTCTTATTAAAAAAGGAAGTCTTTTTAGCCACCATTTAAATCTAGACTGACTTTGTGACTTGCTTTGACCAAAAGGATGTGGCAAATGAGATGAGGCTTTGCAGTTACTTTTCCTCTCTTGGAATGCTGGAGCCCGCCGAACTGAAAAATACTGAGATGAAGACTACATGGAGAGAAAGGTCCAGCTGACCCAGACTCTTACCAACTCATCAACTGAGTGCAACTAGATGATGGAGCCCAGGAAGACCAGCAGAAGAACTGCCCAGCCAACCCCACAAAACCATGAGAGATAATAAATCATTATTGTTTTGAGCTCTTAAATTTTGGAGAAGTGTGTTGCATAGCAAAAGGTAACTAAGCAAATATAATCCTAGGCTCTATTGAGGAATCTCAACAAAAAGTAAAGAGGATTTTTCTTTTAAAAAGTAATTTATCTGTTTATCCCTGACTCTGTTTTCCTCCCACTGGTTAAGAGATGGCAAAATCTGGAACAGATGCCCTGGATCCAGAGATGGAAGTCAGGTGTTCAGGATGGCAGAGCCAACTTGTCAACTATGAACTGCTCACTTTTGGACCAGTATATGAGAAAGAATGAACTTCTATATTGTTGAAAATTTGTTAAGCATTTGTGTTTGTGTGTTTCTCTGTCATAGTAGCTGGGTCTGTATCCTAACTAAAGCATATGGCAAGTCAAATTCTTAATTTCATTAAAGGTGGTAAATTCATCAACTCTGCCACCTACACAACAAATTTTGAAGGCATTTGCATATCATTTTGATAAACTACAAAGAACACTAGCATATAAGGACAAATAAATTACTTATGAGTTGGAGCCACTGATTGACAAACTTTCTTGAGATAGCTGGTGTTTAAAGATTATGTTTCAAAGTTTAACAGATCACAGAAACTGGTACATCCTTAACCAAAGAAATTCCTTCCCTATCCAGGAAGTTTGCCTACCAAAGGCTGTAGTGTAATTTTTTGAGGTATGCACATCTAAGTAACAAGGAGGCAGAGAGCACAACCAGCTTATCTTGCCAGATGATGCAAAGTAAACTGGTGATAAATTAGGTGAAAGATGCCACAAACAGAATGACCTCCAAGAACTTTATGAATAAGACACGTCTATAGATTGTTAAGCTTTTACCATAAAAGTCAGAATGAGATAGGTTATGTTGCGGCAACAAACAACTCTCAATCTCTATGGTTTAACCTAGAAAAAGTTTATTTCTTGCTTATTTTATATGTCCAGTGTAGGTTGGCAAGGGAGTCTGCTTATTGTAGACCCTCATTGAGATGTAAGATTCATCTCAATACAAGCTTCCACGGAGCCAGAAAGATGGCAAAGTGTACATGGGCTCTTAAAGCCATATGTCTCATTTTCATTCACATTTCATTTAGACATGCCAAACTTTACAGGCTGTGGGGGGAAAGTATAATCCTCCATTTTTCTAGGGAGAAAGAAAGCTGGAAATATTGTTGAATGGCAATAATGAGCATCCAAACCATATGCTATTCTCTCTGAGAATTACACCATTGGCTTCCCTGGTTCTGAGGCCTTTGGTCTTAGACTGAGCCATGCTACTGACATCTCAGGGTCTCCAACTTGCAGATGGTCTATCACGGAACTAGTTAGCCACCATAATCGTGTGAACCAATTTCCCCTAAAAAAATCCCCTCTCATGTATCTACATATATAGATATCCTATTGATGCTGTCTCTCTGGAGAACCCTAACTAATTCAGATTTGATATTGGGGAAGCCAAATATCACTCCTTCTTACTGTATTCCTTACAATACAATGAAAGAGATCTGCAAATTTGTTTCCTCACAAAAAGGCTGTGACAAGTTAAGTGTGTGAGGCGACTTAATAGTGAAAGATAAAAGTTTAGAAGATTCCAGTTCAAGATGGCTGACCAGAGATATCAGACACCCATCCTTTCCACAAGGAAGAACCAAAATTATGAGTAGATAACCATACCTTGAATAGAACATCTAGGAGAGAATACTAAAGACAAACAGAGAACTCACAGGAAACACCTGAGGCACAAAAGGAGAAGGAAACAAGTAGCCAGCATGGCTGAGATTGGCCAGGAACCTAGAAGGGCTTGGAACTATGGGGAAAGAGCGTCAGCAGTCCACCTCCCTGCCACAGACTGCTGCAATCCGAGCTGTGGGAGAGCGCCACTACCCACACAAACTCTGACACTAGCATGGGTGGTGATTTGGAGACCCCGTGAAGGCAATGCACCAGACAGGGAACTCACGCTAGGTCACTCATGCCCCACTCCTGAGACCTGAATAGCTGCAGCAGGAAGTCATGTGGGGACTGCCACTGCCATAGGACTGCATCTTGCCCTTGGTAACAGCCCCCATATCTCCACATCCTAGGAGTTCCTGCTGACATTCCCAATGCCCACTTGGAAGGCTGCAGTGGAGCAGCACTGGCTGCCCAAAGGTACTGCAAGGTCCCCCAGTTCTCTAGCCCACAGGGAGTATTGCTCCCCAGGGAAAGGACAGTGCAGTGCAACAAAAGGCACAGAATTTCACATATCAGTATTAGCCTTGAACGTAATGGGCTAAATCCTCAACTAGGAAGGTACAGACTGGCAGATTGGATAAGAAAACATAGATCCAATTATTTGTTGCCTACAATAGACCCACTTAATGGGTAAAGACACCTACAGACTCAACATAAAGGGGTGGAAAAAGATATACCACACAAATGGAAAACAAAAATGAGTAAGAGTAACTACACTCATGTAAGATAAAAGACTGTAATTCAACAAAAGTTTAAAAAGACTGAAAAGGGCATTATATAATGGTAAAGAGTTCAATTCAACAAGAAGAGACAACCATCCTAAACATATATGTACCCAACCATGGAACACCCACATTCATAAAATAAATACTGCTAGGCCTAAGAAAAAAGACAGACAGCAACATAATAATATCGGTAGCTTTAACACCCCAATGACATCACTAGATAGATCACTGAGGCAGAAAATGACCAAAGAACTTCTGGACTTAAATTGGACTCTATGCCAAATGGACATAACAGACATTTAAAGAACATTACACCCAACAACCACAGAATATACTGCTTCACTTCTGCACATGGAACATTCTCAAAAACAGTCCATATGCTAGGCCACAAAGCAAGTCTCAATAAATTTTTAAAAATCGAAATTATAGTAAGTATCTTCTTAGACCATGGCAGAATAGAATTAGATATCAATACCAAGAGGAACTCTCAAAACTATATAAATTACATGGAAACTAAACAACTTGCTCCTGACTGATCTTTGAGTAAGTGATGAAATTAAGGCAGAAATAAAAAAAAAATTTGAAACAAATGAAAATAGGGACACAACATACCAAAACCTCTGAGATACAGCAAAAGCAGTGCTAAAAGTTTATAGCTTTAAATGCCTATATAAAAAAGATAGAAAGATTGTAAATTAACAACTTAACATTGCACCTCAAGGAAGAAAAATAAAGACAAAACAAACCCAAAGCTAGTGGAAGAAAAGAAATAACAAAGATCAAAGCAGAACTAAATGAAATTGAAACCAAGAAAAAGAATACAAAGGATCAATGAGATGATAAGTTGCCTCTTTGAAAAGATAACAAAGTTGATAGACTGCTAGATTATGCAAGATGAAAAGAGAGAAGATTCAAATAAGCACAATCAGAAATAATAAAGGTGACATTACAACTGGTATCAGAGAAATAAAAAAGATCATTGGAGACTCCTATGAACATCTCTATGTATACAAACTAGAAAACCTAGAGAAAACGGATAAATTCCTGGAAACATACAACCTCCCAAGCATTAACTAGGAAGAAATAGAAATTGTGAACATGCCAATAATAAGTAATGATTTTAAAGCAGTAAGAAAAAGTCTTCCAACAACAAAAACAACAAAAACCCCAGTACAAGATGGATTCAGATAAATTTTACTAGATGTACAAAGCAGGGCTTTGTACCAATCTTACTAAAGAGATTCCAAAAATTGATGGGTAGGGATTCTTTCCTAACTCAATCTATAAAACCAGAATCACCCTGATACCAAAATTAGGCAAGGGCACAACCAAAAAAGAAAACAGGCTAGTATCCCTGATGAACATAGACACAAAAATCCTCAAGAAAATACCAGCAAACTGAAAACAACAGCACATCGAAAAGATATACATCATGATTGAATGAGTTTATTCCATGGATGTAAGGATAGTTCAACACACCTAAGTCAGTAAATGTCATTCACCACATAAACAGAACTAAAAACAAAAACATATGATCATTTCAATAAACGCAGAAAGAGCATTAGATAAAATCCAACATCCATTCATGATGTTGATACGATATAAACCCTCAACAATCTGGGCATCAAAGCAACACACCTCAAAATAATAAAAGCCAGGCCGGGCGTGATGGCTCATGCCTGTAATCCCAGACTTTGGGAGGCCGAGGAGGGTGGATCACAAGGTCAGGAGTTCAAGACCAACCTGAACAACATGGTGAAATCCCGTTTCTACTAAAAAATACAAAAATTAGCCGGGCATGGTGATGCTTGCCTGTAATCCCAGCTACCCAGGAGGCTGAGGCAGGAGAATTGCTTGAACCTGGGAGGCGGAGGTTGCAGTGAGCAGAGATCACGCCATTGCACTCCAGCCTGGGCGACAGAGTGAGACTCCATCTCAAAAAAATAAAAATAAAAATAAAAAATAAAAGCCATATATGACAAACCCACAGCCAACATTATACTGAATGAGTGGGGAAAAGGTAAAATCATTCCTTCCAAGAACTGGGACAATACAAGGATGCTCACCCTCTCTACTCCAGTTCAACATAGTACTAGAAGTCTTAGCTAAAGCAGTCAAGCAAGAGAAAGAAATAAAAAGCATCCAAATTGAGAAAAAGGAAATCAAATTATTTCTGTTCACTGATGACATGATCTTATACCTAGAAAACCCTAAAGACCCTTCCAAAAAACTCCTAGACTTGAAAAATGACTTCAGTAAAGTTTAAGGACACAAAATAAACGTACAAAAATCAGAGCATTTCTATACACCAGTAACATTGAAGCTGAGTACAAAATCAAGAATTCAATCCCATTGACAATCTCCAAAATAAAATAAGTACTAGGAATACATTTAACCAAGGAGATGGATCATCTCTACAAGGAAAACTAGAAAACACTGTAGATGGAAGAAACTGTAGATCACAAAAACAAATGGAAAAAATCCTATGCTCATGGATTGAAGAATCAATATTGTTAAAATTACCACAATGCCCAAAGCAATCTACAGATGCAATGTAATTCCTATCAAATTACCAATGTCATTTTTCACAGAATTGGAAAAAACAACCCTAAAATTCACATAGAATCAAAAAGGAGTCTGAAGAGCCAAAGCAATCCTAAACAAAAAGGATGCAAGAGGCATCACCTTACCTGACTTCAAATTATGCTACAAAGCAATAGTAAGCAAAACACCATGATACTGGTGTAAAAATACACACACAGACCAATGGAACAGAATAGATAATCCAGAAATAAAGCCCCAGATTTAAAGCCAACTAATCTTTGACAAAGCTGACAAGAACTTACACTGGGGAAAGGACACCCTCTGCAATAAATGGTGCTGGGAAAATTGAATAGCCACATGCAGAAGAATGAAACTGGACCCATATCTCTCACCATATACAAAAATCAACTCAAAATGGATTGGACTTAAACATGAGGCCCCAAACTACAAAAATTCTAGAAGAAAACCTATGGAAAACTCTCCTGGATATTGGTCTAAAAAGAATTTATGACTAAGACCTCAAAAGCACAGCCAACAAAAACAAAAACAGACAAGTGAGACTCTGTTAAACTAAAAAGCTTCTGCACAATAAAATAAATAACCTACAGAGTAAAGAGACAACCTATGGGATCGGAAAAATATTTGCAACTTTTCATCCAACAAGGGACCAATATAATAGGAATAGAGTATACAAAGAACTCAAACAACAGCAACAGAAATAAATAAATAAAATTAAAAGGTGGGCAAAGGCCATGAATAGACATTTCTCAAAAGAAGACATACAAATGTGAAAAGGTATATGAAAAAATGTCAACATCACTAATCATCAGAGAAATGCAAATCAAAACCACAATAAAATATTGTCTTACCCCAGTCACAGTGGTTATTATTCAAAAGACAAAAAACAAACAAACAAACAGATGTTGGTGAGGATATGAAGAAAAGGGAACTCTTATATACTGTTGGTGGGAATGTAAACTAGTACAGCCACTGTGGAAAACAGTATGGAGATTTCTCAAAACACTAAAAATAAAATTACCATATGATCCAGTAATCCTACTACTGGGTGTCTACCCAAAGAAAAAGAAACCAATATATCAAAGGGATACCTGCACTTTCGTGTTTATTGCAGAACTGTTCACAATAGCTAAGATATGCAATCAACCTAAATGTTAATCAACAGATACATGGATATACACAATGAAATACTATTTGGCCATAGAGAAGAATGAAATCATGTCATTTGCAGCAACATGGATGGAACCAGAGGCCATTATTTCATGTGAAATAAGCCAGGGTCAAAAAGACAAATATTGCATATTCTCAGTTATATGTGGGAGATCTAAAATATTCGATCACATGTTTTTCATACATGGAGATAGAGACTGGAAAGACAGATAACAGAGACTAGGAAGGCTACCAAGGGAGGGAGGGAGGAGGATGAAAAGAAGTGGGTTAAAGCGTACAAACATACAGTAAGATAGAAGGAATAAATTCAATGCTTGATAGCAGAGAAGGGTGACTATACTTAACAAAAGTATACTGTACTCAAGTGATGGACACCCTAAATATCCTGACACAATCAGTATGCATTATGTACATGTAACAATATTTCACATGTACTCTGACAAATAAGACATACAAAAGTGTAAAAGCTAGTTATTATTGGTGCTATGAAAGCAGAAAATTGCTTAATTGCAATGGCTGAGCAATAACCAGATTTTCAGACAGCATATCCCTACAAACATTGTAGACCACAACCAGTCTCCAAATATAAGCATAGTGAGTGTTTTGAAGATCATAGAAATGAAAACAATATAAGAAATCTCCAAAAATACAAGAAATCTCCCCCACCAAATTATCCCGTCACAGGACTTCTGCACTTCCCACACTGTGCCTATTTGCTATGCTATCTATTTGATGTGCTATATCTTCACATCATTTCCAATATGGGATGTGTAAATTATGTAAGGACTTTTAGAGTTATAATTTGTTTCATGCATTTTTTTTGCAAATTTGACTCCACAAAAGTGCAATGTTGATGTTGTGTGTATGTGGGTGTACCTAAAAATATTGAAAAACTTTCTCAGTAAAGGGAGAGACATCTTTTTCATACATCTGCTTTTGTGAAAGATAAAATTTCTTCAGGTCTCAGCTTTTTGGTGACTGCATATGCAGTGGTGACCCACTGAGGTTTTTGATCAACCTCATCAGAAGAGTTAAATTGTCTGTCAGTATTTCAGATGGCCACATTTATAAAGCTGAGTGCAAACAATTACCCACCATGGTGATACACATTTATACATTTTGCTTTTTGACCTATTTCTTTATGTATACATTTTGTCTGCTCATAAATGTTAAGCCATTGCAACAGTCTTTAGTATATCTGAATGTTTATGCTTGCAAAAATAAGTATTGTGTAAAGTGGCCTATGAAGTGTTCTGTCATGTTTTTATGTTTCTCAGATAAATCCCCTTTTAAGATATAAATAAATGTTTTAAAAATTATTTTTCCCAGAATTGTATTTTCGGGGTTTTGATCTTTCAGGATTACAACATTTAGGGTTATAGCATTTGGGACTGTGTCTTTCTTAATGGCCCAAACCCATTAAGAATGATTACTTTACCTGGATGCAAGAGACCTTGGAATAACAATGGTGATTCTTGTCCATTCTTCAAAGTCCCCTGTGTGATACATGGTGGGCTCACTTAGTTCTCTGGAGTTTCCTTCGCATCCTTTGCCTGCAGAAGCCGGGTAACAGCCTTCTTTCACCAGAAACCAGGACATACCAGCATCATGAGAGTACTGAAGAAGAACTGGAGCAGTACTGCTGAATTGATTGGCACAACCTATGTTTAGCTGTTAAAAGGAAGGACAAGAATTATACAAGATTTTGGTTCTAAGTCATCACTCAACAAATTAGATGCTACAGCATCCAGGGTGCCTTCCAATGGGTCTGCACTGAATTTACAATGATAGGAATTGTGAGCTCAGTCCCAACCAAGACCCTTCAATAGATTCTGGAATTCTTTGTTTAAGCAAACAATAGGTACTTTTTACTAGAAAACTGGACTCATTTTGTGGATTTCTTGGGATTATAGGAGAGAAGAGAGAAGCACAGTGTATGTGGTTCTTGAGTCTCAGACAAAAGATATGCCAAGAAGCTGCTTTTTTCTCCCTCCTCAGAGGGTACAGACAGAGGAAACCATAAGATGGAGAAGCAGCTGTCTTCTTCAGTACAGGAAGGTTTCAGTGGAACAAGCATCCTCCTTCTGTTTCCTTGCCAAAGCTCATTAAAGATCAGTGTCAACCGGCTGGGTGCGGTGGCTCATGCCTGTAATCCCAGCACTTTGGGAGGCTGAGGCGGGTGGATCATGAGGTCAGGAGTTCAAGACTAGCATGGCCAAGATGGTAAAACCCTGTCTCTACTAAAAATACAAAAATTAGCCAGCGTGGTGGCGGGCACCTGTAATCCCAGCTACTCGGGAGGCTGAGGCAGAGAATTGCTTGAACCTGGGAGGCGGAGGTTGCAGTGAGCTGAGATCACGCCATTGCACTCCAGCCTGGGTGACAGAGCCAGACTCCATCTCAACAATAAATAAATAAATAAATAAATAAATAAATAAATAAATATAAAATAAAATCAGTGTCAACTTAGATGAAACAGCTGAGTGTTTATCACAGCATCAAATAAGCAACATGATCCAGAAATGAAACTGTTACTGTTTGGTGTACTTGTATGGAGGACTCATCATAGGATTAACAACATTTAAAAAATGGTAAAAATACAACTTAAATCCCACTGGCCTATCATAACTGTCCTTTCTTTTCTATTTTCTCTTCTGATCTTTATAGGGAAGCTATATTTTGGTCCTACAGTTGAAGTTATTACACATCTAGAGCTTTCCTCCACATTCTGTTATACATAGCGTTGCAGAGAATATACCTTTCTTCTTTGATTTGTCATCACCAGATAAATTCCTGAGAGTAGCATTAAGGAGTCAAAATGTAGAAACACTTAAAATTTTCTAGTTATCTGTGCTCATTTTGTATTGGCTGAGTCCAAATGAATCAGTTTAGGCATTGGGTATTATAGTTTAAGACAGTTTATTTCCAAATAAATGTGTAAATGAATTTTATTACACTTTTCATAATTATAAATGTCAAACTCTTTTTCTCATGTTCATTTAATTACCTGCCATCTTATATGAATGGCTTATTTACATCTTATTTCATTTGTTGGCGGGAGCCACAAATTTTGTTGTAAAAGACTTTACTAAATAAGAATAGTCTGATTTTTAGAAGGAAAATTGAAATCAGGAATGAAAAGAACATGATACGACAAAAAAATAAAGGGAGAGACATGGACTAATAATATTGAGCCATAGCTCAGGAGGTCAATCAGTTAATCCTCATGACTGTAAGGCAGCTTTATCTAGTTTTTAAAAAGAAGATTTAGTATCTTCTTTATTTCCATACTCACAGCTAGAAAGCATCTCTCAGAGAATTTATAATTTGGTTAGTAGAAATTTTATTGTGCACAATTTATCCAAGTTTATATAGTAAAACATCAAGAATATAATTAAAAACTTAACCCTCTCAGATGCATGATTAAACTCTTCTAACACAAATTCCTTTTACTGCATTATTCAATAGTAACAGTGGCCTTTGGTTGGTGTGTGGTGAGAGCAGCCACATTGGGCACACCTAGTTAACTTTTTGTCTTAAATTTGCCATGATTGCTGTTGTTTCTAACACAGACAAGTGGTTGGAACTTGAAGTTCTGTGACAAGTTCGTGCTTTAGAAATCAGATATAGGGTAGTGTAGACATACTCTCAGCTGTATTAAACATAAAATTTATCTTAAACTTTCCATTCAGGATTTAGGCCTACCTTCAACAAATATTTATTTGTGTACCTTCTATGGATCAGATACATATGTTTAAGTCTCTCCTATCTTTAAAAATAAAAATAAAACAAAAGAAAATAAAAATTCTCCCTGATTTTTGGTCTCCCTCTAACTACACAGCTAAACAAATTGAGAGAAAGGTCGTATTCACTGTGTAGACCTCTTTACTCAACATTTTAAAATCCATTGTAATCTGAATTTTGTTATATAGGTAAACTGTGTGTCTCGGGAGTTTGCTGTACAGATCACTTTGTCACCCAGGTAATAAGCATACTACCCAATAGGTAGTTTTTTGATCCTCTCCCTTCTCCTACCTTTCATCCTTAAGTAGGCCCCAGTGTCTGCTGTTCCCCTACGTGTCCATGTGTTCTCATTGTTTAGCTGCCACTTACAAGTGAGAACATGTGGCATCTGTTTTTCTGTTCCTTTATTAGTTTGCCTAGGATAATGGCCTCCAGCTCCACTCATGTTGCTATAAAAGTCATGATGTCATCCTTTTTTATGGCTGTGTAGTGTTCCATGGTGTATATGTACCACATTTTCTTTATCCAGTCTACCACAGATGAGCATTTAGGTGGTCTTTGCTAGTGTCAGTAGTGGTTTGATGAACATACACATGCATGTGTCTTTATGGTAGAATGATTTATACTTCTTTGAGTATATACCTAATAATGGGATTGCTGGGTCAAATGGTAGAGAATTAAGATTTTTCCTAAGCAGTGTGCATTCCTGATCATTGTTTAAATGCTTGAAATATTTAACACTATTTTTTAAATTTAGATTTTAAAAATTTCAGAATATTATCTTGCAGACTTTAATACCTACACAACCATGGTTTGTGATTAATTAAATAGAAAAGGTGTCAGATGAGAAACAGCATAGTGTTCTGCAAATATATTTGCTATTAACATTATTTTGTTACTACTTTAGGTATTACCAACAAATGAATATAGATTCATATATTGTTATTGATATTTTTCCATTGTAGTTTAGCATCAGAATCTAAACAAGGAAGGGTTACATTTTACTAATCATATTATTTATGACTCACTTCCTTGTTTACAGACCTGTGGAAATTGTATTTGAAGAGCTGCCTATAAACATCTGATCTCTTTAATAATTCCATTTGTAAATTATTTAGCATCTGCATCCTGCCATTATGTAAGGACCATGTAGTTGTGCTAGCTCATTAAAACTGCATTACTTTCAACCCCAGAAGTCACCTATGGGATTTTATTATAAACACAATGAAATTTTGATTAGGGTTCTGAAACAAGACCTTGTCAAAGTAAATACTTGCTATACATGTTGATATGTTATCACAGAGCTGAAAAACAAGAAGCTTTTAAGAGAACAATGATGACTGGAGTAAAAATTTACTGAATTTAAGTAAGATAATTTGTTTGAAAATAATACAGCAAAAGCATAAAATACCTTGTAAGTTCAAATACCACTAGCAAGATGAAAAGGACAACTTATTCATCATCGTTTAGAAGCTTGAGATTCATTAAGTCACAATCAGATTGAAGTTCTAAAAGTCAATTTTATTTTTAATTCTGGTAGAGTTCCTTGAGTACCTAAAGAAATGGTATACCCACAACTTTTGGGACTCCTTAAAAACTAATAACTGCTTTCGAGTAGAGCTGAAAAGCTTCGCAATTCTAACACTGTTAAGCTTTCGTACAGGTGAGTCCCTTCTTTAATAGAATATGAAAAATTTGTGTTCTTTGTGAGTTCCACTTATACATCTGGAAGATATTTTACTCCTTAACTTGCTCTGGGAAGAAGCTTGTGCATAAATACCTTGAACTGTAGCACATATCCAGGTTTCAGGGTCAAATCTCGAGTTACTGCAAATCGATCTCCATCTGATTTTCCAAATATCATTGCTGATGGTGTGGCAGCACAGAAGGTTTCATTTTTAACCATTCCTTCATTAGCCAACATCAACCACACACTCATCTGATTCATAGGGTAATCAAAAGCTGGCTTCTCATAAAAGTTCTAATAGAAACAATACAAATAAAACAAAAGGCAATTTGATAGCTTTGAAAACAAGAAAGGAATTTTCATTTCATGACATGCTGGGCCATGTACCATTTGCATTTCTAGGAAAACACAGAAGAATCTCTATTTTTTTTTACTGCTATTAACTTTTTCTCCTGATGATTCAACAACTGAAAGTATTTTACCACTGTGTATCTAATCATTTTATAAACACACTAACGATTTTGCTTGATGATTTAACCAGACTTCAGTCTTTTTTACATCTAAATTATCTGTGAAGTGGTAGCATAGAGAGGTAACAAAAAATTAAGTACAAGCCCTTAAACTTATATTATACATTCAGTGTCAAGCACTAAATCCTTAAGGAAATGAGTTCTTTATGCCATTCACTTTTATAATTATCTGTCTTCTTGGAGTTCAGACATAGGAGAATACCTGAGGTAAAGTTGGATTGATAACTGGGATGATCTGCTTCTGCTTCTCGGACAGAATGATGATGTCATCGACTGCCCACTGGTCATAGTCCTCCCCTGAGAACACGGGCTGCCACCAGCGGAACCTGGTGCAAGGGGTCTTGGCAGCAGCTGGAAGCTCCAGATAGACAAATCTGAATAAAAGTAAATCATTTACGGTTGGGAAAACAAAAGCTGTGCTTTTTTTTTTTCAGCTATTAAAACAACAAGGGTAACAACAAGAGAAAAGTTTTGTTTGGTTTGATCTCAATATTTTCCAAAAGCCCGTAAGTTTGGACATATCAGACTTGAGGTTTAACCTTGTAGGCAGGTTTAGTCCTGGTCATGTTTATTTCATTTGGAATTGTATCTTTTGGAGAAGAGGGAGAATATTTCAACTGAGTTTGATTCATTGAACTATATCTTTTGACTACCATGACAATGGTCATAACTTTTTAAAGAAATATCAAGATAAAATTGTTTAATACTATTACATGAAGATAATATTTAACATTTTTTTCAAAGGAATTCTTTCTCATTGTGGGAAAACATAAAAATGCATTAAAAATGAAACATAAATTGCCCATAATCTACTACATAGCGTTGGCTTCTGTTAACATTTTGATGTATCTCTTCACAGCTTATAATCTTTTATATAGGCAAGGCATTATACGTATAATTTGGTGATCTACATTTTAAAACTTAACATTACATCATAAGTACATTCTCATGTTAGTAAAACTATATTTTAAAATAATTTTGTGTATGTAATTTTTCATCACAAAGACATGCTATTCTGCAATTTGAGGAAGCCATTACATTTTTATTTACTTATAGAGTTACCTAGTCACCTTACTGAACTCTCAATAATTTCAGATTCACATATTACTTGGAAAAAATAATTTGAGTTATTTAAAATTATTGTTTAAGCCAGTTTGGCACCATTATCAATTCCCTCTCTACTATATTGCATCTAGGAGAATCTCACAAGGCTTCATCTCCCACCCTTTTCCTATGATATCTCTCGTTTCATCCAGTTGCCTTTTTTCTGTTTTCTCCTTCTCCCCTAAATCCCTTAGAAGAAATGCTTTCTGTTGGTCTGTTTGCATGTCTACTTATGTTTTATCATGGTAAGTTCTGTCACCTTTAAATGACCTAATACTTTAAAAAGTCAAACTTATGAACCTTCAATCTACAAAATAGGTATGCTTTAAGTAAAATGTTTAAAACATATTCAGTCTGTAAGAACTGGGTTTATATAGTCTTAAATAATTTTTTTTCAATAAACAAGTCTCATTTGTAAAATGAAAACAGGGACAAGATCCATATATTAAAACTTAATAGTAGTCAACATACAAAAAATTATTTTTTTGTTAAAATGAAAATACAGAGATTATAAAAAGTATTCTAAAATAATATCATTGAATAGACTTTAATAATACTTATATAAAATATAAATACAGAATTTCAAAATACTACATAATTGCAAAAGAACTAAATTTAAATACATATAAATACATTGCCTGGTACTGGTATTAGTATTAAACACGAGTCATCTCCCCAAACTCTTCAACAGTCATTGCCTAAGATATTTTATTACATATATTCCCAATACATCAAAATTAAGACAGGGATAGGCCAGGGCAAAATTTTTAGAAAATCTGAGCTCTATACACTTACTCATACACTGTTTAGGGATAGCCCTTGGTGCAGCCATGTGAAACACTTTAACAAAAAAATCCATCTTACTGTTAAATCTAAGAGCTAAGCATAATTTGTGTGTGCATTAAAAATAATCAAACAAGCCTGCAAATGGGAAAATGAGCGTGGAACATCCCCATATTCCATGGTTTCTTTGAGTAAACAGTGGTTACGTATCTTGCTTTTCTTCTAGTCACAAGCTTTAAAAAATCTTTAAAAATTCAAACATGAATACAAATGCTTTCTGTCCAGTCACTTAAGTGAAATAAAATCTTTATATACTGGGCTATCATTCATGTTAAATTTTTATAGGTTTGTCTATTTTTGCAACAGTTAACATTTTGGAAACACATCAACAATGATTTAACCTTTACCATTCCTGGAAACTAATGCGAGGACCATCAGGTGGGTAGTTACCTGGGTTTGCTGAAGTCTGAAAAGTACATCTCTGCTAGCAGGTGCCACTGGATGCCCCCATTGTTGCTGTACTGAAGGAGGACGCCCTCCTCTCTGCTGTCAGGCTTGTTGCATGAAGCACTCTCTCCGCCTATCTGGATGTAGAACTGGACAAAGTCCACCCAAGAAGTATCCAGGTCCCAACTCACCAGCTGTCTTTTCCCAGCCTTTCAGAAAAGAAGAAAAATCAAATTCAGTAATCTGGGAGTTCTTTGGCATTTTGTTGTTTCAGTTCCAAATTCACATGGACATCTTAGCACTATGTGGAAATGGTCTCGTCCCCATTTATTGTGGAGAGAGGGCAGTCATGCCATTTAGTTGTTTCTGATCCGACTACGGTAACTGTTGCTGGATACCTTTGGTTAATGTCTACATTACTGATTCCCAGGCTGGGTTATGAGAGACCCTTGGGAATTGCTAATTACACCAAGAGTACTAAAAAGCTTTTTAAAATTTTAACGAAAACACTCTGAATCCTTACTTTGCATATTTCCTCTAGGCAGAACCATGCAGATGAAAGACCATCTATTTGAAATCTGTTGGAGCTGGGTTTGAATCTCAGCCCATTATTCATACTGATCACTAGCTGTGTGACCTTTCTGAGCTTTTATTTTCCTCAAAGGTACAATATGGATAATAATACCTTCCTCATATGGTGTTGTGACAATTAGATGAAATAACATGTTGCATGGAACTTGCTAGTACACAGCATGCCTTCCAGAGGGAACATCCTCTCCAGAGATATGGCCCTGACCCTCCTGTCCTGTGGGCATTAAAGTAGACCAGGCAACGTAGAAGCTTCTTGACAAAAAGAAAGAGTACTTGAGGCCAGGCGCGGTGGCTCATGCCTGTAATCACAGCACTTTGGGAGGCCGAAGTGGGTGGATCACCTGAGGTCAGGAGTTTGAGACCAGCCTGGCCAACATGGTGAAACCCTGTCTCTACTAAAAATATAAAAATCAGCCAGGTATGGTGGCACACACCTGTAATCCCAGCTATTCAGGAGGCTGAGGCAGGAGAATCACTTAAACCTGGGAGATGGAGGTTGCAGTGAGCGAGATCAGGCCACTGCACCCCAGCTTGGGTGACAAGAGTGAGACTCTGTCTCAAAAAAGAAAATAAAGAGTACTTGAATCGAATCTCTCAGGATCCTAGTCTCCTTTCCTTCTCTCTCACAAACAGAAGTTAGGAGAGATCATTTAAATAAATTGTTGCAACCACTAAATGGTCTCTGTGTCTTAAAAGTGTTACAAATTTCCTGAAATCCAAGAACTTGCTTCCTTTGCTTAGTGAGTCCCCTGCAGGTCACAGTCCTGTGGTGAGGTGTCAGACAGAAATTAACAAGGTTTGTCATTGTTCCTGTTGTTCAAAATGATTTCAGCTAATGGGGCTGAAGAAAGGTTTGCTTATGAAAGTCTTCCACCTAAACAGATTCTTCCAAAGCTCATCCATGGATTTCTCTTGAGCTGGTCTCTGAGAGTTCCCAGGAAGTTCAATTAAAAGTCGGGAAGAAAACCTGAGATAATATACATAGTATTACAGAAAAATGGCTCTCACACTTAGGATTTAAACTCTAATCCACTAAGTTAATTAAGAAAGGGTTTCGGTTATTAGAAGTCACAGGGGAAATAACTGGGGTTAATTAAAAGACTATACTGCTACTGATAGGTCTAAAGCCAATTAAGAGTTTTCAAAATAAACAAGGGTGCTAGCAAAATGAGAACTGAAGTTAATTCAGAGACAGAAACTCATTCTTTGGAAATCTCAATTTTAGGTATGTATTTGAGGAAATCTTGTAAGTTACATGCATTTTTAAGTTGTTATATATGCCTTTTAATTTTTCCTGTTGTTGATTTGAAATATTGTAAGTGAGAACAACTCAGAGATCCTAGCATTTTCAACCCTCCCGATCATTACAGGAAGAATGATTTTTGGAAGAAAAACTATAGAACCTAGCAGGTTAATTCCAGTCCAGCAAACTCCTGTGAAAAACCTGGCATGTGGAAATGAGCCAGAAGGATAAAGATCTAAGGTGAGGGGAATTCTAAAAATCCAGTTATCACAATTAGTTGGTTGAAATGATTGCTCTACTGTGAAATTCAGAGTAGTGTTGTTTTTCCAGGAGACTATGGTGTTAGTCTACAGAGGTTTTGAAAGAATGTTTTGTGAGATTTTTGTAAATGATGGAAAATATCACACAAATGCTTAGTTTGGCACTGAAAGTGTTTTTTCCTAGAGAATAGCACAAATCATTTTCTTTTGTTTGGTGACCTGAAATGCTGAACATTGTTTTAAAGGAAGAAAAAAGAAAAGGGAAATGGCTCATGGCAAAGTTTTTGCCAGAATTCAGAATTCAATGTAACATATGCTTTGCAGTTTTTCTGTTACGCTGTGATCAATGTATTTATGTGTATATGTGTAAACACATGTAATGTGTGTGTGCGCATATGTGTTGGAGTAATAATATTGTGCCATTCCTGGTATATGGAAAATGGCCTCCAATTTCCCCCCAAATTCTAGGTTAAAATGATTTACTGCTTTAAGGGTTTAGCTAAAATAAAACAAGTTTTAACAGGTAAGGCTTTCAGAATCTAGAACGTTTATAACAAAACCTCCAAAACATTTCATGACTAATCACCTTTTGCTTTCCATTAAAGTCTTTCTAAATTAATCAAAATGTCACTAGAAAGCAATTCTATTTACTTGAAAATAACCATTTCTTCAGAATCTTTTATTGTTTCCCAATTGTCTTTCTTTTTTTTTCATTCATTTATTCAGTCTTTCTTCAACAATTATACCAGGCAGAACACCATGTATTATAAAAACAAAAATGAAGGGATTCACAGACTTCTGGCAGAGACAGGAATGGCAACTGAGGGCTGCAGACCCAGTTCTGATTTCTTGTCAAGCCCCATTTAGTCATATGATCACTTATTAATTTTCCAATCTATTTAGTCTCAAGAGTATGTATTGATTTGTAAATGTCTAGTGCATGACATGCATTTCTGAGCTGAACACCTTAGCCAGAGTTTGGCTCAGTCTGTGAGACTCCACATTCTGCTTGGTATTGTGAGGATGAAAATTTAAATATGATCTTTATATGTAAAAATCAGAGAGGAATTCTAAGAAAAGAGAGAAGTACAGTTTGCCAGAGCTCCAGAAAGCTTCAGGGAGGCAGTGGAATTTGAACAGGACACCGAAATTTTATGTGAATGCAGAGAAGATGAAAGGCATAATGGTAGGCAGTGGCAAAAACTTGGATGGTGAGAAGAGCTTTGTGGCTGGAGCAAAGGGCTCATGCCTAGAAAATGAATATAAGCTATGTAGTTAGAGCAGGAGTATCAGAGACCATCTTGAATATTTGTGATCGGATAGGGAAAGAATGAATTATGTATGTATGCATGTATTATTTATTTATTTGAGACAGGGTCGTCCTCTGTCGCCCAGGCTGGAGTGTAATGGTGTGATCACAGCTCACCGCAACCTCAAATGCCTAGGCTCAAGCGATCCTTCTGCCTCATTCTCCTGAGTAGTTTGGAGTACAGGCATGCCCCACTATGCCCAGCTAATTTTATTTTATTATTTTAGAGACAGGCTCTTGCCATGTTGCTTGGGATGCTCTTAAACTCCTAGCCTCAAGTGATACTCCACCTCAGCCTCACAAAGTGCTAGAACTACAGGTGTGAACCACCACATCTGGGTGGAGATAAGTTTTAGATAATATGATCTAGGCTGGTGGGCAAATGGTCTAAGGAGCCCTTCCTTTGGGTTACTGCCCCTTCACTTCAACATGCTTGCTGGTGGGGGCTGCCAGACAGTGTATCCACCTTGCTGCCAAACAAGTGAGTGCATGAATCTGGCTATACAATTATAGCACACCATTCCTCCCAGGACACTGTGACTGGCCGCCAGGAGTCTTCCCTGTTTTTTCCTATGGAGCTGGTTGGAAAGCCCTGTGGCTGTGGTTCCATTCTCATAGTGAGAGCTGGCCTGCAAAACGGGTCTACTCTTTCAAATCGGGTCTACTCTCAAGGGGAAAGTTCTGTGAGCTTCAAAGTTACTGGTTCCAGGTCTCCCTTGCACCAGCCCCATTTAAGCCCTCCTTGTGTTTTCCCTCCCATAAATCAAATTTCTCCCTTTTTTTTACTTAAGATAGTTCCTCTTACTTAGAATTCAAAACAGTTCTGAATGAATCAACAGAAAAAAGTAAAATATAACCCAGGGATATTTTGACAAAAATTTAGGGGGAAAGCTGAATTGGAAGGGGCAGAGAATTTTACTTTTGAAATGATGATTTTTAGTTAGTTGCAGGGCATAAATGTGAAAATATTCAATAAGACAAATTTGGAATTTATTGTCATAAAATTCAACTATGATACCTAACACATATGATCTCTTTCTGTGTTCCCAACATTATTCTTTACTCTTTACTTGCATCGACTTACTTATTCCTCTCAATATCCACTTTTCAGTCAAGAAACCTGAGATACAGACAGTTGTTATAACTTTGCAATGTGAACCAACCAATAAATTTTGGAGCCCAGATAGTCTGTCTGACTTCAGAGATCATCTTGAATTAAGTGGAAGAAATATTGATATGTAACCCTTTACATGTTAAAATGTGTGTGTGTGTGTGTATGTGTATGTGTGCTTACTGGGGTGTCTGAGTACATACTGGTAAAAGAGTCACAATCTTACTTTAAAATTGATGCTTATAGGACCACAACCTTTCCATTTCTGAACAACAGGTGATCCAGATATGTGCAATGCATTTTGATAACTGAGCGACTATTATCTTTAACAATAATCATCAGGGGAGGACCTTCCATGTCAACGGATAGGAAATACTGTTAAATGGACTCCTTTCCTGATTTTCTATAATCCTCTATCTTGTTTACTTGCTGTTTCTTTGTTCTTCACCTGCATTAAAACAAAACCTGCAGCTATTTTTGTATTTGCATAAATTAACACATCTTGGATTTCTGCCCAGATTCTGCAACATATCAGCCCTGTAGCATATCACTCACACCTGTCTACGTGTTACATGCTGTAAAGTGGGACACCTCCAATTGCCTCAGAATTGGTGGCTATATTACCTGCTTGAAAGAAGTGATATTACACACTCCACATTCCAAAGATTAGGGTTAGACACATTGCTCAGGTTGGATACTGGACCTGCTGTCTTTTTAGTCCCTTTCAAGACTATATAAGGAGACAGATTGGAAAAGAGAAAAAGAATGTCCTGCCTAGACTGCAGTGAGGGAGGAGAGAGAGGTGGTTACCCCTCTCGCATCCCTAACCAAGCGACACAGGTTGAGGTATTCCAAGAGCATCAATTTTAGTGATTCTGGTTGGCACCTCAGTCCTTAGTTGGTTTCTAGCAATCTGCATGCCTAATCTGGTGCTACCACTAGGGAAGCTGACTACTGCAAGAAAAACTTTCATACAGAGTCCCACATCAGCAGATGCCACCAGCAGCCACCAAACCAAGTCAGAGTAGGACCTGCGATGTCTGCCCACCCCAGACAGCTGGTCAGTTCTCTAGGAACAGCTCTACATACCCCCACTCTCATCACTATTCCTCCTTCTTCCAATCATATTCCTAAAATTAATGGATTGACAGATTTAATAAACACATACAGAAGTGCTTCCTATATGTTATGAAGTGTTCTACATGATTTACCAATATTAACTCACTTAATCTACATACTAACCCTCATGAGGTAGACATTCCATATCCCTGCTTTACAGATGGGGAAGCTAAATCACCAGGAGGTTGAATAATGTGCTTCAAAAATCACTAGAAATACCATTTGACCCAGCAATCCCATTATGGGTATATACCCAAAGGATTATAAATCATTCTACTATAAAGACACATGCACACGTATGTTTACTGCGGCACTGTTCACAATAGCAAAGACTTGGAACCAATCCAAATGCCCATCAATGATAGACTGGATAAAGAAAATGTGGCACATATACACCATGGAATAGTATGCAGCCATAAAAAAGGATGAGTTCATGTCCTTTGCAGGGACATGGATGAAGTTGGAAGCCATTATTCTTAGCAAACTAACACAAGAACAGAAAACCAGACACCACATGTTCTCACTCATAAGTGGGAGTTGAACAATGAGAGAACATGGCCACAGGGAGGGGAACATCACACACTGGGGCCTGTTGGGGGATGGGGGACTAGGAGAGGGATAACATTAGGAGAAATACCTAATGTAGATGATGAGTTGATGGGTACAGCAAACCACCATGGCACGTGTATACCTATGTAACAAACCTGCACGTTCTGCACATGTACCCCAGAACTTAAATAATTAAAAAAAAATCAAAGAATCATAAAGTGGTCAAATTGGATGGAAACAGGCAATCTGGCTCCAGAGTTGCTGCCCATAACCTCTAAGCTCATCCCCTCGTTGCCCCCAGGCCTCACACTGACACACCCTCCAAAGGCCAGGGTGAGAAGAGACCAAAAGCCTTCCCTACGCAAACTTCCTCAATACACAAGCCTGGCTGGAAATGAAGGAAAGGAAAGTAATGGTATTTAAATCAGGTACAGGAGGGTAGAAGTTTTAAACTGGCTTAACCTGATTTTTTAGTAACCAAAAAGAGTAATAAAAAGAACAACAAGAATTTCCCAAGACATAGCTAAGGAATAGGAATTTGATAGAGCCCACTCAAAAGCGGGGAACGTGGGGAACAATAGAACCACTTCATATTTGTACATTTGGAATTCAGAGTCTCATATTAAACTAGCCATTGCCCCGATGACTTATCCCAGCTGTTGGTCATACCTTGCTGAAGTACAGAGATGATCCAGAAGAGATGACACCACACCCTTGTTCTGGTTTTACAATTTCTCCCCCAATAACTTCTTGCCAGTCAGACTCCCAGCCATTCTGGTTCTCAAAATCTGACATAATTGTGGACGGAAGGGCAGCTTCTGGGTGGCATTCAGTGCCTTGGTACCCCTGGTCACACCTATGAGAGAGCAGGGCTGAGTAGGCAGGTTACAGGCCCACCTGCCAATGCAATGGCCCTCTGACCTCAACCATTTCCCATGTCTTACTTTTGCTCAGGTCTTATCATTCACACTAGATTCTTCCCTACAGTGTTAATCTGGGTATGCGGTAGTAACAACCCTCAGTTTTTCATACTCCCCTTAAAACTGATAGAATCTTTTCTTAAAAGAAATAATGCTGTAAGGGTAGAATTTGGGCATCAAGTATTTACGAAGGACAGTGGTGTGTGTGCTTATGTGAGTGTGTGTTTGTGGGGGGCTGAGGGATAGTGGGATTTCCCTATTGCCTTAAAAAATCACATATAAATGTCTGTCTGCTCAACCAACATATAATTCAGGCAACATTTTATAGTTCCTCTTTCTGATTAAACTATGCCTTTTTTAGAGTCTTTAGGTATTCAAGTGTGTTCCTCTGTCCTCATTAGCAATAATCACCATCTCCCCATGTATACAACCTTGAACTTCTGGTGAAGTGGTGTAAGAGGGCATGCAGCAGGGTTTGACTAGTGCTCTAAGATTCTCAGTGGATGAAAAGGGAAACAATGGCAAGGCTCTTTTAATAAACTCTGACGTTGAAGCTCAGGAGGCCTTGTCTTGAGGTTAGAGTTTGAGATTTAGAATATATGGTTTCATACTTATTTTAATGTAACAATAGCTTTTACATCTAAAATACAAACAGAAAGGAGGACTTGTTTCTTTTGGCTATGTCATTATTTATCGGTCTATCCATGTCACTCTGATGACAACTGCTGTGGTATCCTCCAGCCACAAATCTTGAGAAGCATGGACCTCATCGTGCTTTCTGGTGCACATACCTGCATATGCCATGATCGCATGAGCCATGCCCACTGCACATGTTGGGGCACTGCTGCCCAATGTAAATGCTGTCCAAAGCCCACTCGTCTTGAGCTGTGTAATAGCTCTGGCTCCAGCGGAAACGGGTAGCACTGGACCTAGAAACACGGTATAGTATAACAAAAACGGTTTCAACCTTTCAGCAGTGACATTGGCAAAGAATGTCAGAGTCCAAAATCTTTCAGCTAACTAACTTTCTGGAACTTGAGCTTAGCTGGCATCATTTTTCTTTAATTTCCACTCAATTATTGTCCAATGCAACAATTCTATCATGAAAGAAAGTTAAAGAGAAATCTGTCTATTGGATGCAATTCAATCTTAATTTGAGATGTTTTAAAGAAAAACACAGTATCAGATTTTGTTGGTTGCACAGATTTGTTGCTAGAAAAAGTACTAAGAAAGAACATTAAAAAATAAAGACATCTACTAAACTGAACCTATCTTTCTTTTTTTTTTTTTTTTGAGACAGAGTCTCACTCTGTTGCCCAGGCTGGATTGCAATGGTGCGATCTCGGCTCACTGCAACATCCGCCTCCTGGGTTCAAGCCATTATCTTGCCTCAGCCTCCCAAATAGCTGGGATTGCAGGCACACACCAACATGCCTGGCTAATTTTTGTATTTTTAGTAGAGACAGGGTTTCACCATGTTGGCCAGGCTGCTCTTGAACTCCTGACCTCAGATAATCCACCCGCCTTGGCCTCCCAAAGTGTTGGGATTACAGGCGTAAGCCACCGCGCCCTGCCAACTGAGCCTTTTATAGACAAAAATGTAAGATGTTTAACCTTAGAGTAATAGAGTTTCTTACAATAAATACAGTAGTTATTAGAACATTTTCAGCTAGTTCGTAATATAAGACAAAAGTTTTGTTTGGGGGTATTGTTTTGGGGTTGAGGGGACATACCACAATGTACTATATTACAAAGAAGAATATCTGGATGCTAAATTCTACTTATTTCTGAAACACTAACTTGCCTGAGTTTCATGGATAAACTGATCTTAAGTGGGGATGAAAATTAAACAGTTCATTACACAGACAGAAACACTTGGGCCCTTAATTCACTGAAACGAAATATAAAGTCCAGAGAAGTGGATATTTTGAGAGTAATGTCAAGAAGGTGTCTGTCTATTCATTGACTGCTATAAAACATTCTTTTAAAATTATAGCATATTTTTCACCTGTAGGAATTTTCAGGGACCTGTGGTTCTTTTGGTCAAAGGGCTAAATGAAACAAAGAAACAAAACATGATTTGCAAAATTACTGTGTATGCTCAGTTCCACTGAAGGAACCTTTCCCAAGCACACTATATACAGATACCCTTGATCTTAATGATCTAAATGATCCATTAAAGTCTATTGCATCAATTACCCACATATTAAGTACTCCCTAAGTACATAACAGACTGTTAAAATTCCGACTAAGCCTTTATTGTTTATTTTATCAATGATCTGTGACTAATAGGTTGTATTTTCATTCCTAGTAGGATAATACCAGGATTCACAGAGACGCATCCAGTAGACACAGGGTTGCTGCATATCAGTGCTTGTCATGGAACATACGATGGGACAGATGCACCACCTCCTCTATGGTAATCAGTTTATATTTGTAAGCAAACAGCCATCACAATATTCACAGTCCCACTAAGAAATGGTTTTTAGAAAAGCCTACTATAAAAGTAGATGCATTATCTTAGAGCAGAGAGCACTACAGAATAGACGTAAATAAGACTTATGCACCTTGTCATCCTGAAAAGGAAAGCTGAGTTTACTCTTTTAAGATAGATTTTAATCTGAGTCAAGTCCACGGCCACGGGTGACTAGATTGTGAGCTCTTTGGGGATAGGGATATCTTTAGTCTCCATAGTTTGCACAGGAACAGAATAAAGTAGGTGTCCAAAAAAGTTTGCTAAAACAGTAAGTCAGTGAGTGGATGAACAGGTCAGTAAAGGGCAGCCTGCTTATGGCTTCTGTAGGTGACGGAATGAAGAATGTACTAGTAGTTGGGGGACAAGGCCCCCAGGACCCTGGTTCTGCAACTTAGCAGCTGTGTGACCTTTAGTGAGAAATATAAGCCTTCAGGGGCTTGTAGTTCCTCACCTCTCAAATAAAAGGTTTAGGCAAACTAATTTCTAAGATCCCTTCCAGCTCTCAAATATAATGATTCCTCTGCTGGTACGTTGACCAAGTGACAATTTATTTTCTTTACAGTTACATGCCTATAAAAAACCCATGGCACCCATTAATTTGAGATTTTTTTACTTCCAAATGTGAAAATGGGCATGGGGAAGGGTTTCAGAAACTTGTCTTAGGTTACATAGTTTATGTTTCTAAACAGTCACATGCAGACACATTCTAAATTGTTTTCCTAAGTAAATTAATCCTTATATGCATCTTATGAACTTTTAAAAAAGATATTATTTCCTTAGGACACAAAACTTCAAGGGGACAATTCCACTTAAAACCACAATCCGGTATGTGATGTTCCCCTTCCTGTGTCCATGTGTTCTCATTATTCAGTTCCCACCTATGAGTAAGAACATGCGGTGTTTGGTTTTTTGTCCTTGCGATAGTTTGCTGAGAATAATGGTTTCCAGTTTCATCCATGTCCCTACAAAGGACACGAACTCATCATTTTTTATGGCTGCATAGTATTCCATGGTATATATGTACCATATTTTCTTAATCCAGTCTATCGTTGTTGGACATTTGTGGGGTGGGGGGTGGGGGGAGGGATACCATTAGGAGATATACCTAATGTTAAATGATGAGTTAATGGGTGCAGCACACCAACATGGCACATGTATACATATGTAACAAACCTGCACGTTGTGCACATGTACCCTAAAACTTAAAGTATAATAATAAAAAAATAAAATCACAATCCACAGTTTAATGTGCTAATGTTAATTAAGAGAAAAGGCAAGAAAAAGAGATTGAATATTGGCTTCAGTTTTATTGAGAAAAAAAATTAGTTGTGTGAGCAATCTCCAGCTGTCACACGTGAGAAGACAAGGTGCAAAGTCTCTGATCTGCAGCGGTATCATTGCTGTGTCTCTCCCTCAATACAAATATTTAAATTGCCAAGTTTTTCTTTCTCTACCTCTCAAAACTAAGTAATCTTAGGAAGAAAATCTTGTCCACTTTGGATTGAGTCTGAAGGCAGAACTACTGTTGTGTGGGTCATGAAATGAAGTTGACTTGCATTTAAAATCTAAACTCTCCGGATTCCCCAAAGCAACAAAACTTGACTCCTTTATTTGATTTTTCCTTCCCATATAACTTGAAGACTGAAATGAAACAGTATTGAATCATCTCTTCATAGTTATGTTACCTGAGGGATCAAGGTAAATGAAGGCTGACTAAATTGTATTTTCCACCTTCAGAGTTCCTGTAATTACATTTACCCAATTATTCTGAAACTCATTCACTCATTAGGTGTTGATTTGTTTATGAAGTCAGCGACTGATAGCTGTTTGGGTCTCATCAGGCCATGTTCTTATGTAAATGTCTCTCATAAAAACAAAATTAATTTTCATTGGGTAACAAATGTTCATACACAATGTAATTTCTCTACGCAGGTACATACATTCAGTATTTTCATTCTAAGTTGCCCTATCTAGCACATTTCCCAAAGTTAACAAATATGTGATAATGCAGGGACCACATTTGCTTTTATGTATTCAATTTATAATTGCATATGTTTAAATCAAAACGGCAGAACAAAGATTTGGCCAAAAAAAGATTACTGCTACAAACTGCATTCCCTTTCCCCAATGCTTGAGAAAAACCTGCTATTTGCAAAGGTTTAAAATTATCAAAATAAATAAAGTTATCAAGACTTCCAAGGAATGTAAATATACTTTATTTTTATGGCAGAGCTTTTAAGCATTATAGATCCAAAAACAATGACAATAACTAGTAGAATATGATTTTTTTGAAATGTAGCAATAATGTTTAGTTTAAATATTAGTCAGTAGGAATGTTAAGATAAATATTCTGCTGGGTTGTTTTTTAAAAAATATTTTCACTTTTTTTTTTCCAGGGCTTTGAAGGAAATTTGGAAAAGCAGAATTAAATTACTTGTTACATATACTTAAAGGTAAATGGTCCGGGGAATAATTTAGTAGAAACTTTATCTAACATCATAATATTAACTATTTATTAAAAGAGATACTTTATAATAAAACATCTCTTTAGCACATTGAGGCTCATCAAGTTAAAATTCTGTTTAATTCCCCAATGTCCAATAAGCACAACTACTACCTGCCAGGTACTCCAGGGAATTTAAACGCTTATGGGTTAATATATTTCCTTTCAGTGTGTGTTTAACACTGAAGATAATTAACCTTTTCTGACTATACTAAAAATTCCAGCTTGGTGTTGCTATCTTTTGAGCTAGAAAATAATAATGTAGCACACAATTTGAGTGTCAAAGAACCTGCAAAGGCTTTTCTGATAAGGACAACACTTTCTGAATTTGCCTAAGCTACATTAAATAAGAACAATAGTTCATAATGTTTCTAGGGACAAAAAGACATCTCTAAAATATACTATTAGGCTAGGCGCGGTGGGTCATGCCTATAATTTCAGCATTTTGGGAGGTCAAGGTGGGTGGATCACCTGAGGTCAGGAGTTCAAGACCAGCCTGGCCAACATGACAAAACCCCATCTCTACTAAAAATACAAAAATTAGCTGGGTGTAATGGGGCATGCCTGTAGTCCCAGCTGCTTGGGAGGCTGAGGCAGGTGAATCACTTGAACCCGGGAAATGAAGGCTGCAATGAGCCAAGGTCGCGCCACTGCACTCCAGCCTGGGTGACAGAGCAAGACTCTGTCTCAAAAAAAAAAAAAAAAAAATACACTATCAGTAGTATTTTACCATCATAATTTTGAAAGTGTGCTTCACATGTCAATGAGTAAAAAACAATTTTTATGTGAGGGAAATAAAATAATGAAAAAATAAACCTCAGTAGCTCTGCTTTGAGTATGACCAGTATTTCCATTGTTTGAAGTGCTGTTTTGCATACATTTGACATATATGCTTGGAATACCATTGAAATTAAATAAAAGTCTTGATTATATTCCCAGCAGTAGACATAAAAAAGTAGAATGCTAGAGAAAGTAGCAACTTGTTATACAAAGCATTAGTAGAGTATCTAGGAAATGTCTCACAGTTGGAAACAGAAAAATCTGTGGAAATCAAATTTCAAGCATTGTATTCCAACTGACATAATAATGCATCCTTCAAAATAATCAAATAGGCATTTTTACATAATGCAGGAATTCAATCTTCAACTAAAGGCATAAAAATAACTCTAGGTTGGTATCTAACCAATTGTTTTTGTGTAGAGTCTAACTTTTATATAAAATAATCTGAGAAGGTTTATTTAGTAATTTTCTTTTTACAAAAGAGCGATTGTTAGGCAGATACTACAGAATAATATAATACTTATCTCTTTTATGCTTTTTCTTCTGCACAAATTACAGAATCTTAGAACTACAGGACTGGAGGGACCTGTAAGATCATGTAATTAAACCTTTTCATTATACTTACAAGGACCTGGCCTTGAAGAGGTTGTGAATGGTTAAGATCACGTGATTAATTAATCATTGGTAGAGCTATACTGAGAATTCAGGCCTTCTAATTTCTAGTCTAAGGATTTTTCTTTGGGTGATTTCATCCTGAACCAGAAATCGTTTAATTTTTTCCCCAAATATTACATCTTTTTGAGTGATCAATCTAACACAAAACAAGGTAATATTTGGGAAAAAACTATTGTGCTTTTTTCTTTCACACTATCAAATGTTTAACTTTCTTCCTAGTTTACTGAAGCCTCTGTTTCCTGGGGGATAATTTTTAGTGTTACTGAAAAAACATGAATAGAGAAAGGGTGTATATTAAGCTTTTGATATACAAAAGTAAGGGTTTGCAACGAGAAAACAGCTTTGCAATCCAAATTACTTGAATTTCTAGATTCCTATATTCCTTTTTGTATGTCAAACTGAAAGTAACCGACTCATTGAGTTCTCCCATAAAAAGAAAAAGCTGGGGCAAGTAGGAAAGTCAGAGAAGGCTAGGACAGTTTGGAAACCACATTTTCATATTTGTTATTAGCTCTCTTTTTCAAATATCATTCACATAAATGAAAGGTTTTGGTCTTTTGATAATAAAATAAAAAGAATAAACATCATGCTATTGTGCTTAACTTGCCTTCATATTCAAGTCATACTTGAATCAATAGAGACAGAATTGAATCAAAAGGGATAGTCAAAGTTAAAGTGACAGCCATATCTAAAGATGTCATCTCACCAAGTTTTCTGGGGAAGAAGCACTATGACTCTCCTCCACTGTGTAAACTCACTGGCATGGTAAATACTTGCTGATGTAAATTCCTGACAACTTGGCATACTTGGAAGGCATTCCTGAAAGAAAGTTAGGCACAAATCAAACCCAGCTTCTGTTTTCCTCAGGTGAAATATGTCTACTCACCCACTGTAAGTGAAAAAGACCTCAGAGAAATCTAATGTCATAATCTTAACTATTTGTGATATGGAAACAATCCATGATTTTTCTTTCCATGAAGCTAAAACTTCATAGAAAGTCTTAAAATTATGTAAGAAATAATTTCAAATGAGGTGCCATAAAGAAATTGAGTATTTCCCAATACTCGCACATACAAACAGAGACGGATTAGGATTCTGTTTTTAGGCCTGTTATCGTAACACTGGCATTTGGTAAAAATTAGTTTATTCACTATGATATTTATCCATTTGTTGCAATGGCAGATTGCTAAGACATGTATGAATTTTATTCCCAGATCTATATATTTCTTCTTTGTTTCTAAAGACAAGAAATACCACATTCTTAATATGGTCTACCTATAGGTAGAGACAGATGAAGACACATTTATAAAGAAAGGGACACATTTATAAAGAAAGAGGGATAGAGAAAATAATACTCAAAACATCATTTGAGGGTAGCCAGTTTTGGAAGTTATTTTCATTTCTTTTTTATTTCCAATTATTCTTTAATATCTGTCATGAAGAATGTGGCATTTTTGTAATCCTTTGCTGACTTTATGTTAATTCTAAGTTACAAATATTAAATAACACTGTTTCTTTTCAACCAAACCTAAACTTCTAGAACTGTAATTTTTTTTTTTTTTGGCTTCCTAGGTAAAAGGCAGAAGGTTACCTGTTACAAGGTTTAAGGAAACTAGACTTACTTCTTGGACGAGGTGCCAGGTAAGGCCGTGGTTGGTTGAGTACTCCAGCTTCACCTGGTTGTCCATGTGTGGGGTGTATTTCTGGCCACATCCCATCACCAAACTGAACTGAATCATATAGGATGCTCCTATCTGCATTGATTGTGTTTCCACATAGCGCATACTTGAGGCAAGTTTAGAATCTCCTGTAAAACTGAAAGAGACAGAGATGGAAATCAGAAAATTCTAAACACAATGTATTAGAGAAAAATTAAAGTCTTCACTTCACACTATATACCAAAATAATTTCATTTTACTTGTTTAAACCTTGCCAAATTCTAGAATGGATTTCGGTCAATCTAATAAATGCAATTTGAAACAAGCTTTCAAAGATGAAACTTTTTTAAAAAAGTTAACATCTACAGTTGTCAAATGTACCTAAAATTGGGTACCCACTCATATATTGCTCATGAATATAAACCTTTTGACTCATTAATCTCACTTCTTGAAATCTATCCTGAGAAAATAATTTTAAATTTAGAGACAGTTTTTATAAAATATGAAAAGTATTACAGGATTACTGCTAATAGTAATTGGTAACAATGTCAATGTCAAAATGGAAGGCTTAAGTAAAATGATAGAGCACTTGACGGAACATTATCTATCTTTCAAATACTTATAGATAATATAATCACATTAAAATGTATATGATTAAATAAGCCTTTTTTTTTTTTTTGAGACGGAGTTTTGATCTTGGCTCACCGCAACCTCCGCCCCCCTGGTTCAAGTGATTCTCCTGCCTCAGCCTCCCTAGTAGCTGGGATTACAGGCATGTGCCACCATGCCCGGCTAATTTTGTATTTTTAGTAGAGACAGTGTTTCTCCATGTTGGTCAGGGTGGTCTCGAACTCCCGACCTCAGGTGATCTGCCCATCTTGGCCTCCCAAGGTGCTGGGATTATAGGCATGAGCCACCGCGCCCAGCCTGAAATAAGTCTTAAAAAGCCATAAAATTATGCATGAAGGAAATTCACCAGAATGTTTGCAGTAGCTGTGTTTGGTGGCAGGAAATTTGCGATTTACAATTTTCTTTTTGTTTTCCTTATTTTTCAAATGGCCTTTACTGAAAACATCATAATATAGTTTTAATGGTTGTGTCTCAAATCAGTAAAATTCACGTCACGGGTCCCAATTAAGTACTACATAATTACAAATTGTTTGAAGGCAGGCAAATTAATTTTTTAAGAGAAAACTGCTCAGGAGCTTGTAATTTATCATAGAAGATTAAAATATAGACATATTATATTGTAGTTACATGAGTCAATGTAAATATTCCCAGGGTCAATCACACTAAAGTTTGTCCATCACAGTACTTGTTTCTGCTACTCTGAAGCAGTCTTGCAAATCCATTAAGAGACAGCAAATGCCACAACTTGTTTATTATTATTGTTAAAGATGTCTACCATTTGTGGAATCTCGGCCATGTCCTAAGACACAATACCCACATTACTTTCCTTAGTTCCATCTTTCAGTAACTCTGTGTAGTAGGAATAATTATTTCTTTTTAACAGATGAGAAAATGGGGCTAGTAAATGGGATACTCAATGGGAAATCAGCTTTGCCTGACTCTAAAGCTTCTTAACCAAAGACACTATATCTTTGTTTTTCTGTTACTGTAAGATTGGGAGAGAAAAAACACTGCAGTTTGGAATAATTTTTTTAATTTTTGTTTTGTTTACAGTGAATTTACAAATCACTAACTTTCAGTTACTATGCAATGATACTCTGATGTTAAAAATATAAAACCATGATTGCTGTTATGTGTTTGGATCCACAGGATGCAATCTGGAAAATATCAAGCTGTAGAATGCAATTTTTAGCAATATTGGAAAAATAAAAGAAATCAACACAGAATAAAAATCATAGTAAGCCATAGAGGCACACACTTGTCTATACTGCTCCTAGGGTCTTTTAAGTAGGCAAAAGAAATCCCAAATGCTTATCTCTGTAAGAAATAGGCATTGCTTTTAGCTTCAAGGGTTAAATGTCTCTCTAAAATCCTTTATGAGGAAGATACTTAGAGGCAGCCAACTAGGCTTCATTTAAATTGTTTGCTTTAAAGATACACCAGTCTCCTGGGCATCAGGGGAGAAAGCCTAACAGTGCCTGGTAGTACATGGGCTGAAGGGTCTGCAAATGACAGAGCCAACAATGCTTTCTCACTCACACCATGAACAGTATTTCCCCACCTGAGCATTTCTGAAATAACTTAAGATTATTTTTACAATCAGCATCTTGTAAATTTCTCCCTTCTGAGATGGTTTCGTGTCCTCATAATTCTATAGAGAAACAGAAGGAAATGCTGTGTTTTATAAATATTGCCTGCACCTAATGTTTGCATGATTACAAATGTAACTACGAAATTGGCTGAAGAGAGGAAGTATTCAATGCTGAGGAGAGTCATGTGCTCTGTGAGCTATTTTGGAATAGCTGATAACAGATTTTAAAGGTGCCAAGACACCAAGAAAGAAACAAGATAAAAATTACGTAAAATAATAGATTAAATAAGCAAAATGAAGGCAGTTAAACAATGATAACCAAATTTTTGCTTAGCAACTGTATCTGTTCAACTGGTAGAATAGGAATCTAGAGTTATTTGGTGTCTCCCATTTCCTATTGCAAATGCTTTGGTGTGGACTGATCCAGCTGCCAGTCACAGCCTCTTCCTTTTAGTCACTATCCAGTGATTGGTCTAGGGGTGGCCATGTGTCCAGCAGTGGGTTCTCACCAATGAGATATAAGTAAAAGGTGGAAGGTGAATTTATCCATTTGGCTTTCATTATAAGTGTTTTAAAAGGGAATCAATGGAATTGGCTGCCATATCCTTTTCCCTGTTGCTCCTATGGTCATCTTTCCTCTCTAGGGGGCAGCAGCCATCTTGTGACAATAATGGAACATTATTAGATAAAGACCTCTCTGCTGAGACTGTGGAACAGAAAAGTGAGAGAGCCTGGGTCCCCAGTGTCCTTGTTAAGGTGCTCACAAGCCCAGGACTGCCTATTCTAGGACTGCTTGTTACAAATGACAGATAAGCCTCTTTACTTTCATCTATGTCATGGTCAGTCTTTTCTTGTGTTTGTTGTAATCTAGAGCTGAACGCATTTCTAAGTGATACATCTGTCATACTTCCTGGTACCATATGATATCTATCCTGATGCCTTAATCTGAAGCAAAATAACACTGAAAAGCACTTTAAACTCCAGACCATTCATAGCGTTAGTCTACTTGATTGTTTCTGGTTTATTCAAGACTGGCAGTGATACTGGGTCTGTTTTTTTTCACAGACTATGAATTTCACAGACTGTGATCCTTTAACTTACAAAACTGCTCCTCTTTGCTGCTTGTCTAAATCAAGACATATTTATAAAGGCAAACATGAAGCTGAACTTCTTTTCTGTTACAATCATAGGAACAGAAAAGAACAGCCCACATCAGCATTTTGGGGAGAAATTCTGGAGAGAGAAGGCATTGGGAATCAGGAGGCTTGGCTTTATTTATATTGACTTGCAAGGGTGCCTCAAAAATAAAGCTCCTACATCTAATTGCAAGATTTAATGAGAGAATGGGGATAACTCCACTTAGGACAGGATTACCTTTCTAGCCTTCTTTATTCCCACCTCCAAGAAGGCTAGTAGGCCATGACACTGGCCAAATGGATAAGAGCTTAGTAGAATTTGAGTCTCCACAGTTCTCTGCTTAGTCCATACTACAGCTCCTTTGCCTCGCCCTCCTTTCTTAATCTCATGTATTGCTGAGGATCTGTTTTTTGATCAGGTCGGAAGCCTGTCCACAGGGAGGGATCATACCTTATTCATCTCTGCATCCCCTAAAGCCCTCAGAACCTTGCCTACAACTCACAGAAGCACATTGTTTTGGACATCGTGATTTTCTAACAGCTGGATTATCTCACTTGACCTTTGAGTCAAGACCCTCTGGGAGACCATCAGGGATCCTTAACATTGTGTTATGGAGAAGGAAAATAGAGAAGCTGAGTTGCTAGCCTCAGGGTCACACAGTTACTAAAAAGCTAGAAACTAGGCTTTCTGGTTTCTCCTTTGAAGTCCTTTCTACTATGTCCTGTGTATCAAAGGCTCCCAAAGAATGTTTGTTAAATAAAATGAGCATGTGAGTAAGGTCCCTCAACTGGGGAGTAGGGAAGTTTAACAAAACTATAGTTACTTAAATGCTGTAATGAATACCGACAAGGTTTTGAGGTTATCTTCACTTAAGTAAATCAGTTTCTGCATTCTTCCCAGAGCCTCTTTCCCATCTCCAGAAAAAAGGCTCTTTTATATGAAAGGCAGACACACATAGCCAAAGTAAGTGGTAGAATACTTGAGCCACAAAGTTCCTTAAAAGCAAATTCATGTCAAAGAGCCAAGCTACCTAGGGAACTGAGCCATTTTTTGCAACTGAGCCCATCTCTTTAAGAGCGGTTTAGTATATAAGTCAATATGGATGAAATCTCACTATTCATGTGCCATAAGAGAAGCTAATGCATCCATATTTGCATTTCTTAGAAATCTAAGCAACATTCTATTATTTTCAAGGGTCCCACAGAAAAAACAGCTCTGCAGAGCTTATTTCTAGAGAAACAGAAGAGCCATACAATGTTGTTTTTGTTTTGATACCATTCAGAAGTTATATTCATCTGAAGAAGAAGAGGTGAATGAATGTACGCCTCTCTGATATCATTCTTTTATTGGTTATGTTCTTGTAATCATCAAAGAAACGTTTACTAGATTAGGCGGAAAAACTTGTTGATGTTGTGGGCTTAAAGGCAGCATTTTAACTCACTTGTTATTTCTATGGTATTACATTTCAAAACAAACAACCATATTATTTTAGTGGATTATAGAAATTGTATACTTATTGGAAAAAACAACCCGATAATATAAAAGCAGCATTTTTTAAAAGGTAAAAATGGGCAATTCCACCTTCTAGAGATGACCACAAAATGTACAGTTATGTTTTGGTAAAAATACTTCCAGACAGTTTTTCTCATGTGTACACACACATACTTTTTTTTAAAAAATTATGAAATCATAATAAATATGCTTTACTCCTTTTTACAACATTTAATTGCCATCTTTCTATATTGACAAAATATGGTGAGACATTTTGATTTTTAATGAATCAAGCCAATCTTCAATTATAAAAATTTGGTGAGGTTGTTTTCACTTTTTACTATTATAAGAAATGCTTCTATAATATACATCCTTGTATATCTTTGTGCACTTGTCCAATTATTTTCTTGGGATAAATTCCCAAAAGCAGATTCCTTCGTTAAAGCAAATACACACTTAAAAAGTTGACACTTATTGTCAAGCTGCCCTCCAAAAAGATTGCACCAAGTTACATTTACCAAGAACATCAACAATGACTGAGGTGCCACTGCTTACTACTTGTCAATACTGAACTTTTTATTTTGGTCACTTTATGCCTACACTCCCTTAATCTACATTTTTTGATTATTAAAGAAGTTTAGAAGCTATTCATGTTTATTGGCTACATATACAGTGTGTGTGTGTGAAGCCTTTTCATGGACTTTGCCCATTTTTAAAGTGGGTTTATTTTTACTTACTGATTTGTAAGAGTTCTTTATACATTGAGGATATATAGTCTGTCATATGTGTTGAAAATATTCCCTTGCTTCAAATTTGTTGTAATGTTTTGTTTCTTTAAGGAGGTTTGTCCTCCTGAAACACAAGTTTAAAACTTTTAAGTAGTGGAATATGTGACTGTTATAGTCCCTGATTCTGGTGTCATGTTTTATTGGTATCTTTTGAGACTGTCTCTAAGCCTAGTTCATGATATTTTCATAAATGTCTATTGGACATCTGAAAGGAATCTATATATATGTGTGTGTGTATATATATGCATATATGTGTATATATGTGTAGATATATGTATATATATGTGTGTATATATATTCCTTTCATATATATATATTCCTTTCAGATATATATATACACATTTATTATATATATACATGTGTGTATATATACATTTTATTTGTAGGGTACAATCTTTATCTACTAAATCTTGCCTGTTAATTACTGCTATAGTTTGGATGTTTGTCCCTCCAAATCTCATTTTGAAATTTGTTCCCTAATGCTGAAGAGGGGGCCTAATGGGAGATGTTTGGGCCATAGCGGTGGATCTTTCATGAATGGCTTGGTACTGTCCTTGAGGTAATGAGTGAGTTCTTGCTTTATTAGTTTCCCTGAGAGCTGGTTCTTAGAAACAGCCTGGTACCTCCCTGCCCTCTCTCCTGCTTCCTCTGTCACCATGTCATCTCTGTACCCACTGGCTCCCCTTCTCCTTCTGCCAGGAGTGGAAGCAGCCTGAATCCCTCACCACAGGCAAATGTCGGCACTGTACTTCTTGTACAGTCTGCAGAACTGTGAGCCAAATAAACCTCTTTTCTTTACAAATTACCCAGCCTCGGGTAATCTTTATAGGAACACAAATGAACTAAGACAATTACCTTCTTAATTTGTCTATGTTCTCACTTATTTTTTGTTTGCTTGCTCCATCAAGGACTAGAGCAGAAAATTAAAATAACACTCTAAATTATTGTGGTTGTAATTTTCCGTTTGTAACTTGAACAGGTTTTCCATGATGGTCCCCATTCTATGGTATTCAATGTGTGGAGACACTAATTTTACCCTCCCATGGGCTTCTCCCTCTGATAGCACCACCTGTTACTCGTCTCTAGCCTCTCCTTCTGTGTAGAAGAGGCAGAAGCTACAGCTCCAAACAAATTTGGAATCTCTCTACCAATGCATTTTGGCATGTATTTACCCAATACTTCATTTAAAATGTCTTTATGGATTTCTAAGTGGATAGACAACTTCTTATTTATCTAGTTAAGATTTTTGGGTTATGTCAGGAATCAAAAATCTTTTGGAATACATGTACTTCTCAGCATCTGTTTCAGGCTCTTTTTATACTTTTTGTTCTTAGCACCTGTGTCGTTTTGCTTATCTTTACCTTTCCTATTTAAAGTTCACAGTGTATATTCTTCAGCTTTTTCATTCCCATTCCCATTCTCTCAGTTTGGAAATTTACACATAAGTTATTCAATTCAGGGCTAGAATCTTAAAGCTAGATAAACTTTTAGGCTAGTAAAAAGCATAAGTTGAGTTTCTTGGCTGCTGTTAATTAAGTATTTACACTGGCAGGGTGTGGTGGCTCACACCTGTAATCCCAGCACTTTGGGAGGCCGAGGTGGGCAGATCACGAGGTCAGGAGATCGAAACCATCCTGGCTAACATGGTGAAACCCAGTCTCTACTAAAAACACAAAAAACCAAAATTAGCCAGGCATGGTGGCGGGCACCTGTAGTCCCAGCTACTTGGGAGGCTGAGGCAGGAGAATGGCATGAAACCAGCTTGCAGTGAGCTGAGATTGCGCCACTGCACTCCAGCCTGGGCGACAGAGTGAGACTCCCTCTCAAATTAAAAAAAAAAAAATTCAGCATTTACAGAAAGATGCTATCCAATGAAAACTCACATCAAATTGGGTGCTTAGTGGCAGTTTATTCTCAAGGGTCAGATAACTTCATGGGAGATAGAATTGGGGGGAATGTGTCCACTGTGAGGTTCAGGTTGTCTGTACACAATGGCCATGATGACCACAAATGAATGCTGTCTCTTCTTCTAACTGGGCTATGTGCACTTACAGCAGTGCTGCTGTGGGACGGGAGATTCTTTCAGAAGCCACAGAGAGCAGCTCCTCCACCCCTTCTGTTGAAGTCCAGATTCCATTTTCAGCCCGGCCACTTGCCTGTGTCTCCTGTGGAACTAGGCCAATTTACCCAACATTCCAGATGCCAGCAGCTAATTCCAAAAACTTTAACAAATATATAGTTTTAAAGTTTATAGAAATTTGTTGGTGAGATCATGGTTTCAAAGATTTCTGTCAAGTTTATGTTAATGAGTCTTCATTTTGCCCACGTCACCGCATTTTTAGAAAATGCGCGTCAGCTGGAGCAATCTGTGGACAAAAAAGCAAACCTCTGCTAGGTGCCTGCTGGAGGGGGAGTCAGTGCAAAGCACAGCATGGGCTGTGGACCCCAGAGAAGAAGGGAAAGAGGGAGACCAAGGGTCAGAGAGGGGCCGACTGCAGGAGACCATGCACCCAGGGAAGAATCAATCCTCACAGCTCTTGTGGTGCCCGCCCATCTTTTGTCAGGAAAGTAAGAGTGTGTGTATATGTGTGTTTGTGTGTGTGTGTGTGTGTTTGTAGATGAGTTGTCAGGGGCAACACTTCCCTGCCACTAATGTGGGAATGAAGGTGATCAGAAGAGCCTTAGCTGTTTCCAGCTCCTCCTGCTTCTGTCCACTACTTTTGATAAGGTTTTGCTGTGCCCCACCCAAATCTCATCTTGCATTGTGGTGCCCATAATTCCTACGTGTTGTGGGAGGGATCCAGTGGGAGATAACTGAATGATGGGGATGGGTTCACCCATACTGTTCTCATGGTAGTGGGTAAGTCTCATGAGAACTGATGATTTTATAAGGCTTTTGCTTGACTCTCATTTTGTCTCATCTGCTGCCATGTAAGACGTGCCTTTTGCCTTCTGCCATGATTGTGAGGCCTCCTCAGTCACGTGGAACTGTGAGTCCATTAAATCTCTTTTTCTTTATAAATTGTCCAGTCTCAGGTATGTCTTCATCAGCAGCGTGAGAATGGACTAACACAACTTCAATTCATCTCCGATCTCAGGCTATCCATAACTCCCTGACTCCTCTTTTTCTTATGTTGCATCCACATTATCTCCAGATTCGATTTTGGTTGAAGATAACTCACCCGATCCACATTTTTTTTTTTTTTTTGAGATAGAGTCTCGTCTGTCGCCCAGGCTGGAGTAACAGTGGCACGATCTTGGCTCACTGCAGCCTCTGCCTCCTGGGTTCAAACGATTCTCCTGCCTCAGCCTCCCAAGTAGCTGGGATTACAGATGTGCACCACTACACCCAGCTAATTTCTGTATTTTTAGTAGAGATGAGGTTCCATCATGTTGGCCAGGCTGGTCTTGAACTCCTGACCTCAAGTGATCTGCCCGCCTCAGCCTCCCAAAGTGCTGGGATTACAGGTGTGAGCCACCGCGCCTGGCCTAACCTGATCCACATTTATACCACTTCTCATTAGGATTTGCCCTTTCAACACACTCCTGTCTCTCTCAGTTCTTTTCTGTCTCCTCTATTTCCTTGAACATCACTTCCTTTTAGAACAGAACACACTGGTTGATGTAGTCAGGCCTGACAGCCCTGGCTGAAAACATTTAGCATGGAGGGGAGAGAGAAAATACACGAGGAATCTTTGAAATTATCTTTCTTTTTCCTTCCAACTCTGTGCAACCACGTGCCTTATTTAGAGCATACTCAAACAGAGCCATTTTAAGACTTTTGTAGGACCTCGATACTTTTAATTTTGAAATTTCATCTCACTTCACAGCAAACATATTAAAATGCACCTATGTCTCATGTTAAATATAAGTATTTTAGGTTGCAAAAAGTAGTCAAATGGATTTTTTAACATTGCCTTTAAATTTTATTTGGCTACTAGTAATGCATTTAATATACTTTTGGCTGTGATTTCTCAGCATACTCAGGAATCTGACCAAAAAATTATTTCCATCTTGAAATTTTATGAATATTAAATTTAGCAATTAATGAAGTTAGCCTAATGTTGTATTTTGTAGACATTTAATTAAAATATATTCATTTTAGTTTGGTGAGTTTCTTCTCATATTTTTTAGATAATACACATTTTTGCAGCCCTTGGACTTTTCCCAGTCTCCTGGAAAGCTTGGAGGCTGCAAGCACTGTGCCCAAAAGGAGTAATGGAAGAGGTTCCTAGGCAGAGGCACAGCTCACACAAAGGTGCTGGGAGAGGAAAGAGCTTGGCTTGTTGGTGTAGAGAGAAGGAAGTGCAGTGTGACTGGAATAGACTGAGTGAAAGGCAGCAAGGCAGGGGGCAGGGGAGGAGGCTGCAGAGGCTGACCCACATGGCTCAACCAAGGCCTATCAAGATTTTGTGAACCACTGTCCATAGAAAATAACTGTCTCAGACTAGGCTGGGTGCAGTGGCTCATGCTTGTGATCTGAGCACTTTGGGAGGCAGAGGCAGGTGGATCACTTGAGGCCAGGAGTTTGAGACCACCTTGGGCAACATGGCGAAACCTTGTTTCTACTAAAAATACAAAAATAAGCCATGTGTGGTGGCAGGCGCCTGTAATTCCAGCTACTCAGGTGGCTGAGGCACGAGAATCACTTGAACCTGGGAGGCAGAGGTTGTAGTGAGCTGAGATCGTGACACTGCACTCCAGCCTGGGCAACAGTGTGAGACTCTGTCTCAAAAAAATAAAAATAAAAATAATTGTCTCAGACTGCTAAATTTCTGTTTCAACAAACCAGAAAGAAGCACAAATCTAAACCATCAAATGTAGACTTTTCTTGCCATTAATTTGTTCAGTGGTCTGTCTCCTTACTTCTGAAACCTCACTCAGCTATTCAGTCCAAATGAAAATTTTTAGAGAACTCTAACTTTGGAGAAATACATGACTTAAAAATTAACCCCGTGGACATCAACATGGCATAAGTTTTAGAATATGGCCATTAAATTCATCCCTTAGGCAGGTCCTGATCATTACTACATCCTCTAATATATATCTTCAAATAGTCCATTCATCCACTGCCACCATCCTATCCTAAGAACATGCAGATGACATTATTAGCATCCTAGCTGAGCTCCTTCTACTGCTCCTTCTATTATCCTCTACTCCTATTCTCCACAAGGCAACCACAAATATTTTTTAAACATAAGGAAGATTACATCACTCCCCTGCTCCAAATTATTTGCTGGATTCCTGTAACACTAGAGTAAAATCCAGAATCTTTATATTGTCCTATGAAGCTATATGATCTAGTTTCTTGGCTGCCTCAGGGTATCTGCCTTGCTGTTCCCTCTGCCTGCAAAGCTCTTTTTCCATACTTTTACATAGTTGTTTCTTTCATTATTCTAGACTCTAATGCCTCCCAAGGGGGCTTCCCTAACCCTCTTACCTAAAATAGCTCCACTCTCCACTTCTGCCACATAAAACCCCATTTCTCTTACCCTAACAGCACTTATCACGGTCTGGAATATTATCTGGAATATTATTATGAATTTGAATACTTGTTATTTCCCTCTAGAAGTAAGGTCCACAAGCAAAGGGCCTTTCTATCTTCGTCTCCAACACTAATTGCTACACTTTTAGTACAAATAGTGCTTGTAAATCAATCAATAAATAGCTGAATGTATAAATTAGTCTATCAATAAATGAAAAACTTCAGGTAATGAAATCCTCATGGTGCAAAAGCTAAATAAATAGGCTCTAGCTTAGAAATTCACTTATAAATCTATTCCATTATGTTAGCCATTTTATAGAGGCACTGAAAGTCTTCAATACTGAGAATACTCTTCACAGCTGTTGAGAATAATAGGAAGTGACTTTTCCATTTGCCACTCAATGTATTTACCTATCTATCTGCTAAGCTTCCTAGACAATCATTTACTGTGAAATGGTCGCTGAGGTGGCTCCTGGGAGCCATCTCACCCGGACTGACTTCCTTCAGCAGTACAATTTTAGTTGATTTAATGCTCTTTTTAAGAGTCTTTGTAAGAAACAATTCCAAGAATACTCTAAGCTTGCTAATAAACTATTTAAAAGACAAAATTTCTGTATAAGCTACAGGTTAATGTTTCGTGAAAGGAAAATCCTAACAAAATTTACTTGGCTGTTATTCTATAGGTTGATTCATTTTATAAAAGATTGTCAGTAATTTTTTTCCTTGTAAACCAAGGAATACAGCTATCTAATATTGCATTTAGGCACTAATCTGACTCCTCCTTTGCTCATGTTTACCAACAACACAATCCTTACATTAGTATCAGGCAAACACTGACTAGTTTCCCAAGATTGGTCTGAAGGAATAAAGATCTGCATGTAGTAAAGATTCTGATTCAAACCTCTGCAAACACATATTCCTATTTCAATAAATTAACCAAAAGGTAGCAGAAGGAGAGGTAGATCTCATTTTAAAATGTGTGGTATAATGCTTGCTAACTGTGTGCAGATCCTTCTGGGGCCTGAATGTCCCTACAGAAGCAGGTTTGTGCAGCATGAGCTCTGATGGTCATTTTCCAGGTCATTTTGGAAAATTCTTTGAGTTACCCATTACTACACATTATTGTGGATTCCTGATGGTCCTTATAACCTACACGTACCTTAACAAATAACCCATCTTTTGTAACTTAAAATTCCACCTATCATTCAGTTCTGTCACATTATTATATAATAATATAATACTAAATTACTGGTTAATTGTTAATAAGCCACAGTACTATTTTCTAGCTCTTATGCTAAATGAACTGTATTTAACTTATGAGATAAACAGGCTTTTAGGATCCTTTTTAATCTGGGATTTTTGCCTGGGTGACTGCTGCTTCTCATAAAATATACAAATAATTTTTTCTTGTTCATGCTCATAAATACCCCATGAAATATGAACATATACTTTTAAAATGTCCTGAACATGTAGCATTTGTCAATTCCCTTTGACTTGGGCCACCCACACTGCAACTGTTCTCTTCATTTTACACCTCTAGCTTCCTACTCTCTCGGGCTGATCACGCCACCTGGGGCTGGTGTGGAAAATCAGGCTTCAAAGATCCTCCCACCACATCGTCACATACCACTCAATGTTACCCTTTTTTCCTCATGTCCCACTCTACTTTTTTTTTAAGTCGGAGTTTTACTCTTGTTGCCCAGGCTGGAGTGCGATGGCATGATCTCGGCTCACTGCAACCTCTGCCTCCCAGGTTCAAGTGATTCTTCTGCCTCAGCCTCCCAAGTAGCTGGGATTACAGGCGTCCGCCACCAGGCCCTGCTAACTTTTTGTATTTTTAGTAGAGACGGGATTTCACCAGGTTGGCCAGGCTGGTCTCGAACTCCTGACCTCAGGTGATCCACCCGCCTCGGCCTCCCATTGGGATGACAGGTGTGAGCCACCGTGCCTGGCCTCCTCATGCCTTTTGTAATTCACAGCTGATTTCACTTTTTTCATGTTGCTCTTTTACTTTCTTTGTACTTTCACTACTTTAGGAAATTTCTTTCTCTAAAAAATGACCAACGGATGACTAGTACCAGTGATTTACTTGTGTTTTAAAAAAAAAGCTTTAATTAAAAAAAATAAAATTAGACATAAGGAATGAGTACCTTCTGTCTTTTATGCCCATGAAAGTACCCAAGAGGCCCTTCGAACATTTCTACAGGTATCCATCTTTAAATCTTTTAGTTATATCTGCTGTTCCTCAAGCACCATTAATGATAAACAAAAACTATAGCTTTCCTTATCTTAATTCTTGCTTTAATTATTAGTAGAGTCATAGTACTTTTTTCTACCTTTTTATTGCAAATGAACTGTGTTTAAATTACATTATGAGATAAACAGGCTTTTAGGATCCTTCAGGTATGGGATTTCCTAGTAACCTAATCACTCACCATTCACAAAATACTTTCTATGATAACATATTCAGTGTTGCTAGAATGTAATCCATCTGTGTAGTGATGGTGATTGGCATTTAGATAGGAAAGTACTGGCAAAAATAAGTACACCACTATGAGCTTTCTGTTGCACAATGCTTCAACCTTCTCCCTCAACCAAATCTAGTTTATACAATAAAGCTTTTATTTAACATTTCTTTTTTGATCTCTTTAAATTTCAGAGAATGCTCTTTTGTATTGCTCAGGCAAAATAACGTCTGTTAGCTTCTAAAATTCAAAAAAGTTGCTCATTATGTGGACCTTATATATACCAGTTTTCTTCCTTTCATTGAGACAGTGAAGGGAATGGAAATGGCAGGCTCATGGTAGGTATTTGCTATCTATGATCTCATTTAATCTTTACGACAATTTTGAGAGTAAGTATCATTGCTCCCATTTTACAGATGAAAACCTCAGGTTCACATGTATCCCCCCTTTTTTTAGAAGAAATAAAGAAAAAAATTAAAAAAGATAACATGCAAAGAAAAAAAAACCACTCAGGCTCAAAGAGGCTAAATAAATTTCCTTGAATATGTGGCCTTTTGATGTTACTGTTTTGATTGGTATGGGAACAGGTTTGGTAATTCGAAAAAGAAATCATTAAAATATGTCACCTTCTAGAAATTATAAAAGAATGTGCAAGACTGGTGTTCTCACTCTATGCCCAACTAATAGTTCATTATTAGGGGCTGGCAATGGAGTGAAGCTCAGATATAGGGCAGTGGTTAGAGTTGGAGTAAGGGTTAGGGATGGCACTAGCTCATGAATGGGATGAAAGACAAAGATGGGATGAATGGGTAGAAATTCTGGGTGGAGCTAGAAGTCAGGGATGTTTGTCATACATTACTAACAAAACTCAGTTATTTCCTCTTTTGATAAAGTTGCTTTGATGCAAACTTCCTAAAGCAGCTACATCAAAATATATACTTCTCAAAATTCCTCTTTAGTTAAAATTATCTGGCTTTAATTTTACAAGCTTCTAAGTGGCAGTGTGAGAATTTGAAATCAGGCCTACGACCTCAAAGCCTATGTTTCTACCACACCATATTTCCTAAAAACAATTGCCAATTCTAAATGCTACAACAACTATTCTCTCTCAATTGTACACTTATATATTTATTTAGAGACAGAGTCTTGCTCTGTCACCCAGGCTGGAGTGCATTGGCATGATCTCGGCTCACTGCAACTTCTGCCTCCTGGATTCAAGCGATTCTTGTGCCTCAACCTCCCAAATAGCTGGGATTACAGGCATGTGTCACCACGCTCGGCTAGTTTGTGTATTTTCAGTAGAGATGGCGTTTTACCATGTTGGCCAGGCTGGTCTTTGAATTCCTGGCCTCAGGTGATCCGCCCACCTTGGCCTCCAAAGTGCACAAGCCACTGTGCCTGGCCTCAACTGTACACATTTTAAAACCCAAACTCTATATTTAATACGACAGCAATTTCCTTCAAACCTGTTGTATCTAGCTGGTTTATTAGATGGGGCAGAGGAATGTTAATGTTCCCTTGGTATTATCACTAATAGTATTAGATGCAATATTTAATAAACTTCAATTAGAATTTTTCCCTTACTGATCTTAAAGTATATGTAAGAGGTTTTAAGGAATATTAGAACCTAAAGCAGACAGAAGTTCTGAGTTCAGATACTATGTATGGAAGAAAGTATTCAAAGAATTCAAAGCAATTCATTTCTCCACTGGAAAAAAGTGCTCTAGGATGACATACTGGAAAGTGATTTGTAGCATACTGACTGTAGTTCTTCTAATGAAAAAGCAATTGTCCAAGTTTTCCCTGAAGAACACTCTGAGTAACGACAGTCTATGCTCATGGAAAGTCATGAGTTAGAAAATGAGAACCAAATGAACAACCAGCTGAGAAAAACCAACAATAATTAATTTAACACCAGCCATTTGTAAGACCACATATATATTTCAAAATTTCCCTTGAGAGAAAAAAGGTCATTGAAGGGCAGAGACTGCATACTTAAATATGTTTAAATAATTTTTACTTAATAAGACAATATGCTCCAAAGGTTTTACATTTAAAAAATGACAGCTTGTTTTAGGACTATGAGATTATAATAAATAGTTGGTCAATATCATCACTTAAATTTTAATATTGTAACAAGTATTTCTGAAAAACATCCCCAAGGTGAATTCACATTAAATCTTGGACAATGTATTCCTCAACAGGGGCAGAGAGAAAACAATGTCACTAAAAGGGGTTTATTCTGACTCACTGGCTAAGAAAATAGGAACAGTTTGAGATCTTCCATGTTGTTTCACTTTAATGAGAAGCAAGCATTTTTCATGTCCTTATTAAAGTGGTTAATGTGTTTCTCTAGTCTCATTATCACCACCAGGGTATACTCTCTGTTGTTTCATAACCAAGACAACTCCTTTTTGCTTCAGAGAAGATCAGAAAGTCAAATCGATTGCTCACATGTGGTTGTTAATAAAACTCCTATGGTGCTGCTCAAGGTGCCCATGGGGATTGTACAATTATTTATGTTTTCTTATGGTTTTTCTATAATTACTGTGATTGTACTTTCACAAAGTAAATGTATCTCCACCAATTAAAGCGGTGGTGGGTTAAGAATATTCATCAGACTTGTGTGAAGGGATATTGTTCTTAGGGTTTTGATCAAAGCACAGAAATTAAACTGCTGTTATCATGCATTCAATGCAAGTGTTAAATTAAAATGCTCAGCAACTTTTGCATTTATCTGAGCAGATGCTAACTATTTATGAAAATAAACATGATACAGGACTTGCATTCATGATATGATTCTTTGTTATATTAGAAGTGTTAGGAAAAAACTCTTCTATACAAACTTGAAGGATATAGTTTACGGTACATGATCAGTTTGAATTACTGTCAATTCAGGTCAATTTAAATGTTCAGAAGCATAAAATTCTAAGAAATCTCATTTTGTTCTACATCTTTACACCTTCTTTGCTTTAATCGTTTATCTTCTTTAAAGTCTCCAGGACTAAGAAAGAACATCTGTAAAAACAAGCATCTGAGGCTATCAAATAGAAAATGTGTCGTTTGAGCCCGGGAGGCAGAGGTTGCAGTGAGTTGAGATCGCACCATTGCACTCCAGCCTGGGTGACAAGAACGAAACTCTGTCTCAGAAAAACAAAACAAAACAAAACCAGAAAGAAAATGTGCAATATAACCTTCCCTACTTTGTCTTATAGAAATTTAGAAATTTCATTCTATCCAGTTTGACAGTGCTTGCAGCAAAAGTGACCAGCTGTACTTCCATTCCATTAGCTGTCATTTTGATGCTAGAATTTTAGCCTGCTGTGTGTGAGATCTGACTATACATGCACAAGTCCCATCAAAGGTAATTTTCTGTACAATAGTGTGTAAAATTTACCTCTAATTATGATAAGGTCACTGATGGGTCATTTATGATATGCTCTCTGGAGGCAACAGTGGTGAATAGCTTTCAGTGATATTCATCTGAAGGAATTAAATTGGTCTGACCATGACTTAATACAAAATAAAAGTCTTTTAGAAAATTATTCTTCAACCATATTTCCAGTCCTAAAGGAACCTAGAGAGGGGCAGTATACACAGTGGTGAAGGTTGTGGGTTTTGGAATCATGCAGGACTGTGTTTAAGTCCAGGATCTCTGGGCCTAGAAGACCCTAAAAGATCTGGCCTCTGCACATCTCTTGGTTTCCTTGACACTCACTACTTCACTACCTGGTCTCCAGGACAACTGGCCTCCTTCCTGGTCCTTGAATACGCCATGGTCACTCTCGCCTGGGGGAACTGTGTGCACTGCAGTTTCCTGTAGTTGCATTTCTCTTCCTCCAGATATTTATGTGGCTGGAGCTTCCATGTTCTCCCACTTTCCAATCAGTAGAATGTGTTATATCCACCATGTGAACTACACAAAGGTAGCTTTCTCCGAGAAGCCTCTCGGGAGTTTCCTATGTAAAGTAGCCAGCTCCTGAGCCTACTCAACACTGTTGTATTATCCTACTGATGTACATGAAGTACTAATCACCTTTAAATTATTGACTGTTTGTTGTATAATTAAATTCGCATATGACCACAGGAGGAAAAATCTAAAAATGAAGGGTAACTTAATTAGGCTATCCCACAATTTTGAAACCCCAATGGCATTAACTATATGAGTCACTGGTCCAATAGTGTTTGATAACATGGATTAAAAAGGAGATGTTAGTTAACCAATCATGGCTAAAAATACTTCTGGGGACTTATATAAGAGAGCATGAAAACAGAGCTACTCATGATAAATTTTATTAAAATAGTCACTAGAGTGACTTCATGTTTCATTATAAACCCCATGGGCCTCTGAGGGCGAATATGGTCATCACTTTAATAACTAACACTTTTTGAAGAGGTTTTTTTTTTTAAAATATGTAATTGTGGGAAATTAAAATTTGAGATTAAGAAATATGGGAAAATTTTATGTTTATTTAAATCTATCAGTATTTTGTTTTCAGTCCTACAAGACATTTTACTTGTAGACAAACAAGTAGGGTTGTGTAGACATACTTGTAACAACCTGAAAACAGTAGTTCTGTTTTCAAGTAGTTCCTATTTAGTAAATACTTGTCAACAAATGACTAAATGCTGAATAGACTGGAAGATCATCCTCATGTTCTAATTCCTAGTGCAAATTGTAACAATAACAATGATGAAATCCTTACCAAAGGGTCCAGTCGTGGCCACAGTATGGCTGAACATTTCCAAGGTAGAATCCCAGAGACTGAGTGACCTCCACAAGATTGGTAAAGTCAAGACTAATGCTGTTGAAAAGCACAGATGTCATGATAATCTCATCAATAGCCCATACATCTTCTCTCTGGGAAGAATGATACGGTTGCCACCATCTGAACTGAATTCCAAACTGCTTTGCATCACCTGGTAGTTCTACGGAGATTATTCTAGAGAAAAAAAAAAAGTCAAAATTTAGATTATTTTGGTATCTTAAAACACAAATATTTATAGTGGGATAGATTTCCCCTGAAGTATAGTATTAAAGAAATAGTTCTCCCATGATTATAAACATTTTTTTTTGAGATGTCCAGTTTCCTGTCTGTTTCCAACAGTCTTCCACACACACCCCAAAATGTAACTTTGCTTTCACTCATCTGCTTTTGAAAAAGCTCTCAATAAACATGGTGGTCAAAGTGACAGTATTCATCATAGTCTAGTAAAGGATCTTGGACAGCTTGTTACACATATTACAGTTTTGGCTGTTTGGAACCAGGACACTTCCTCATTCCCATGAGTTTAGCATAGTGTGTGAGGTCATCTGCTGTGTCATGGCAGCTATGACAATAAACCTGCATCTGACAAATGGGGAAGAAAATTAAGAATAATATCTAATTTCCAGGAGCGATTATTGTACACAGCAGCGGGAACCATATATTAATTGCCACTGCAATGACACCTACTTGAAAGCTCCATAAATCACAGTACCATGCTGATCGCATCCATACACAGGTGAGATGTGAAGCAAATGGCAAATGGAACATTTGTCACCGTCAAAGTACAATTAAACACCAGGAAAGGTGCTTGCATTAAAGACACACTGAAAGGGCTGAGTTATTTTTTTGTTTTTTTTGTTTTTTTTTTTTTTGTTTTTTAACTAATGAGCAAATAAAAACTTCCTAAGCCAGGTGACTAGTTGAATAACTTAGAAAGAAATTATTTTAAAACTTCAACATCTAAGGCTGAATTTACTGAGAAACTGGATTGGCTTTCATATTTTTATTGTGTGAAGAAACACGCTAAACCACCTCTTGGGAATGTACTGTTTTACATATTGAAAGTTATTTAGAAAAATAATTACCTATTTTTCCTTTAAATAATTTGTACATGGATATATGGGGTAGACTAACATGACTATCACCATTGATTATACAAACAGTACAGAACTGGTAGGACTTGTTGCAATAGAAGAAAACATATTTTCCAATAGAAGAAAACATATTTTCTAAATAAAGGAAAATCCATATGCAAATACAGAAATAAAACTTTAAAAACACTTCTTTTTTTTTTTTTTTTTTTTTTTTTGAGATGGAGTCTTGCGCTGTTGCCCAGGCTGGAGTGCAATGGCACAATCTCAGCTCACTGCAACCTCTGCCTCCCAGGTTCAAGTGATTATCCTGCCTCAGCCTCCTGTGTAGCTGGGACTACAGGCACATGCCACCACACCCAGCTAATGTTTGTATTTTTAGTAGAGACAGGGTTTCACCGTGTTAGCCAGGATGGTCTCAATCTCCTAACCTCGTGATCTGCCTGCCTCGGCCTCCCAAAGTGCTGGGATTACAGGCGTGGGCCACTGTGCCTGGCCCTAAAAACACTTCTTAAACTAAAAATACATAGCTATAATACATTTATGAGTTTTAAATACTTTCTAAAATCTGTAAAATTTTTCATCAGTGTAAATTTATTAGAAGAGTCAGGTTTTGTTAAATTAAGTATTTTAGTAATTTTCAATTTTAATTTTTCAAATCTGTTTATTAAACAAATGCATATATTTATAAAACTACATAATATATAGAAAGAAACTAAATAAACTATATTTAAACTGGTTTAACAATGAAGATATCAGTCATGGATTTAATAATTTGTTTAGCATTATGTTATTAGAAAGTTATAATTTTTCTTCATATTAATTATAAAAACAGTTAATATTCTCTCTCATGAAAATAAATTATTATTTTTTAACATAACAATTGAAAACTAGAATTTCCTAAGCAACTTTTAAGGAAAATAAAGTATTATTTTTTAACATAACAACTGGAAACTAGAATTTCCCAAGCAACTTTTAAGGAAAATAGTGTATATGAATGTGATATTGGTGACTGAAGTGACCAATATTTTCACGGCAGAGGTGTTAAGACTACGGGTCTGTAATCAGACTCTTGGGCCAGAGTTCCCACTCTGACTCCTACTGGTTAATGATTTTGTAACTGTAGATAAAGCACTTGGCTTCTATGTGTCTCAGCAGCTTTATCTGTGAAATTAGAATAATGCTATTCTTATGGCAAGGGCCAGAAATTTTTTTGTCTGCTTTTCACTATTATACCTTAGTACCCAGAGCAGTATCTGGCACATAATAAGGACTCAACAAATTTTTGCTGCATAGTACGTATTATCAGTATATGCCTGATAGAGATGTGAGTACAGAGGCACAAGGAGGTTAAATAATCTCTTTAAGATTAAGCAGACTATAAGTGCTAATGCCAGGATTTGGACCTGGGGAACTTAGCTCTAGAGCCTTGTTCTTAACTTCTACATCGTATCTTTGGGTGTAGGGGGAGTTCCTAACGATTTCACCACTCTTTGCAAGTTATAGTGGCTGGTTAGAATAGCTGTGGAACTGTCTGATCAGAATATTCCTAGAAGAGAACACAGAGACTTAAGTCAACTTTCTGCCTCAATTTTCCTTTTGTTTGTAGGTCCTAACCTCATAGATTTTTTTAAATGTTTTATAGTAATATGTACTATTGAATTGGGTGACATATAGAAACAAAGAGGAGACCAAATATAAGATCAAATTGTTTAAAAAATGTTTTACAATGATATACACTATGGAATTGGATGACATGATAGAACAAAGAGGAGATTAAATATAATAATCAAGACATAAAAATAAACTAAGATTAGACTTCATAGTAATTTTAGAGTAAAAACAAGCCCTATAATTAAGAAGAAAAGCTAGGATAATTTTAGTCTCACCAGTGACACATAATTTTAAATTAATAAAAATACCAATTAGTTCACAAGACATTCTAGTCAGTTTGAATTAAAAGACTAACTTAGATATATTAAATTTTTATTAATAACAAGCAGATAGAGTTCTTTTATTTACTGAATGAATCATAGGCAAGCAAATTATTTAAAATAGTTGAGGAATAATAGTGGTTAGCCAACTAGCATGTCTAATTTATGAATCACACTTCATTTTTGAACAACAATGGCATAAAGAAGCAATATGGAATTCACGGCAATTACAGGCAGCAATTTACACTGAAGGAAATATAGCAAATAGCTAAAGGCATCAAGATATATTTAACTTTCTTATGAAGAATTTACATGGTTTGTATTATTTATCATATAAAATATAATTTGTTATCTAGAATGTATCAACTTCCCCTTCTGCCATGTCACCTTTTATTAATATTTGTAAGAGAGAGGGGGCGGGAGGAAGAATCTCATGGACAGAGATAAATATATATATATATATAGAAAATTAAGGCGTTTTTGCTACCATTACCACGTTCTCCTTTTAAAAAAACTCCACTTTGATCTTAATCTTTCAAGCCATGCACATATCTAATACTGAAAAGCTACCTTGATTCTTAGAAGAAAAATGTTGCTGTCAAATGGCAGGCAAGATTAAACGCGCCTTTGCAATAGCACATTAAATGTGTAATTATTTTTCATATCAACAAAGATTAATTAAATTTCATGATATAGATTGATTACTGAATTTTGCAGCTGTCCATCTTTCTTAGAAAAAATTGTGCTTTAGGCCAACTTAACTTAGGATGGTGATATTTTCTTCATGCTTTCATCATCATTACCTTGATTTTTTGTTTAATTTTCTTTTAATGGTTACTATGGATAGTCTATGAAAGGTTTCTTTAGGATTCATTTGTCTCTACTCAGTAAGAAAGTTGAGTTTAGCACTAGATTTTTACCTGTACAGGGAAAATACCCAATACAGCTGGTGCATTCTTAAAATTTTATAATGTATAACACTTATAAGTTATAATAGATGTTAATCATTATCTGTTACATGCTACTTCATTTTCTATGAAAATAAAAGTTCTCATCTATTTGCAAATACTTAAATATGGAGGCAGTTCTAGGAAAAACTGTAAAATATATAAAATATATCCTCAGTCCCCTCTCTCCTACTTTCCTTAACCCTGTCTTTTTTCCAGGGTGCCAATGCAAACTTTCGTGTCCAAATCCTTCTGTCTTTCTCATCTCCTCATGATTAAAATATACTTCCAGGAAGTGAAGTGGAATGTTACTCCATTTATATGTGACTGTGAATGTAAGCCACAGTATCAACTACTCTGATGGAATTTTAACTTTAAACCTTAATTTTAAGCTTTCCCCATCCTCCTCATCCCTTGATATTTTTAAAGGAATTTCAGTGAGTAGCTCAATAAGTTTTAGGAGTGGAAAGGATCTTTTAGACACACCTAAAATTGTACCACTAATGGTGTTACTATTCTGCCAACATTGAAAGATAGCCCAGCTTCAAGTAAGACTTAAATCTGACAACGGATACTATATATGATGAAATCTATATACTAAAGAAAAATAGAAATGGCCTGAAGAAAGGGCTTTAAATAAACCCTAACACCCCATTTTTGCCAGAGACACTATACAGGCTAAAAAATTTCCTTGTATTCATTGCTTAACTATATTACATGTAAATCTTAATAACATATTGGTTATAAGATATATATAATATAATTTATTACAACATATTAAAATATATCACTAGTATTTATCAATAGCATTTATAATTTAGTGCCATATTCTATTCCTGTGTAATAGTTTACATTATAGTTAAATAAGGAAAACAGTGTTAATTACTTTTCTCTCTTTTTTTTTTGAGACAGTCTCGCTCTGTCGCCAGGTTGGAGTACAATGGTGCAATCTCGGCTCACTGCAATCTCTGCCTGCCGGGTTCAAGCAATTCTCCTGCCTCAGCCTCCTGAGTAGCTGGGACTACAGGTGCGCACCACCACACCCAGCTTTTTTTTTCGTATTTTTAGTAGAGACAGGGTTTCACCATGTTGACCAGGATGGTCTCAATCTCCTGACCTCGTGATCTGCCTGCCTCGGCCTCCCAAACTGCTGGGATTACAGGCATGAGCCACTGCGCCCAGCCTACTTTTCTCTTGATGCTTATAAGCATCAAAATATTTCCCTTAGATCCATATTTAAAACTATGACAATAAATTCCTTCAAATGATCAGAAGTCAGTGGGACAAATGGATGGGTTGGCTTGGTAGTTTTTCACTGCAAGACACATCAATCTTTGTGCGCTCCATCTGTCAATGGAAAAATATCTAGAATTTTATACCATTTGAATTATGATTTCCCCAGGAGAAGATTTCACTCTACAACCATTTTTCCAAATGCTTTCCAACATACCTGGGCTCATGATAGCTGAGATATGAATAATGCTCCAGGAGTTTCCAAGTTATCCCATTATCATAAGAATAATGCAACAAAACTCCTTCACCAGGCTGATCAGGGGCTCTGCACGTGCTCAGAACAGATTTGCTCCCCAGTCTCAGTGTGAACTGGAGAAACCTAGACAGAAATTGTCTATAATTAGTGTATGCATAAACATTTTTAATCATAATGTTCATTTTGGTCTTTAAAGAATTTCAAATTATGTTTCTACTCACCCCTCTTTTACAAAATGTTAAGTAATTTCATTGTTAGATATATGAATATGTGTAGATATTTATGTACATGTTGATATACATATTTTATGTACAGATAGATCCATAAAAATATAACTGGATGTTTATGCACACTTGTATACTATGTACTTGTGTACATACACTTAAAATGCCAATCACTTCTTTACTGCATTATTTATTAGACACTGGGGGAAGGGAAGTTGTAGAGTAAATCTAATCAGCCTCCTCAAGCTGTCAAATCAATAAAACTACATAAATAATTAACTAGCTCTTGGCTTAAGAACATAGTTTTGATGCTAACATTTCATATTTTAAAAAACCTAGTCAGTCATTAATATCCAAGTCATTGGTGAGCCTCCTAATTTACTAAAAACTAGGGCAAATTAACTCTCAATAAACTGTAGGCTCCCTCCAACCCTAGTTAAAAATGAGATGTCTATCAGAAAAAATATAAGAAATAAAAATGGACAGTATAACTAAATTCAACATTAGTATCTGGTTTTTGTATGTATTCTACCCTGCCTTCACTCACCTGGATTGTGAGCTGTCAAGGAAAGATGTAATTAGCTGACGCCGCCCATCTTTGTTGAAAACCAGGGCCTTACCACTGGCCAAGACACCACAACCAAAGCTGACTTCAGCACCACGGATAGAGTAAAAGTTATGGTAAGAGGAGAGCCTGGAACTGCCAAAGCTTTCAGAAATAAACATTGGGAATGTCTGGGATGCCATCTCACAAGCTGGGCCAGAAAATCCAGGGTCACACCTGAAAGAAATATGGTGAAATTAAATCTTAAACTGTTGGCTGTTTCGGAGATTCTCGAATCTACTTTGGGGAGGAAGAAGTCCAGAGACTAGGATTTGATTGAATGGTAAATGAGGCTCATTAGTCTTTGGAGACTACTGAATCTAAAGACTTGATAAGGGCTAATCGACTGTAAATATTCCAGACAAATACAGTATTTGCACAGCCCTCCCATAAAAAGCCTACGATTAAAACAGTAATTCAGCAATTTATCTAAAATACATCTATGTTCATACACATTTCCAACTTAGAATATCTGTAAAAGGTTTATGTATAATTTTATTCATAACACTCATTAAATTTATAAAAGAAACAGCATAAAGCACTTCCAATAAGATACCCAGAATAAATTTTTTCTAAGAACAAATGTTAAAATACATGTTATGTTCGTGATAGGAATTAATTTAAATATTTAGAAACTATTGGAAAATGAATCTATCTTTAACTATTTCAGATGTATAAAGGGAATGTGTACACCCTTGACCTAGATAGATGTCCTTAGCAGAACTGTGTTGCCTCTCAGTGGACTCTCCCAAATTAGTGGCACTTCAAGAAAAACAAACCTTTCCCCACTCCCCAACAACCTGCTTGCTTCTATGTAAGAATGTGCTGTATTTATATTAGCTGACTAGAATATACAGGAGTGCCCCAAGTTTTCTATCAGTGAGAAAACCTCATCACAGATGAATCAGCAATGGAAACATCTACGTTTTAAGGAGATTATTCATCAGGAAATAGTTTCAAATTATTTGTTTTTACTGTGCTATTTCCTTCTCACTACATTTATAATGTTGCTCAATTGGTATCTTTTTGAGTGGGGGATTCTCATGGGAGCATTCAAAGCTTGCTGAAGTCTGAAACAAGCCTTTACAAAGCAAGTGTACCAATGAAGTGATACTATGGCATGACTCAGGATACTTCTTTGGCAGTACTACTGAGACTTGGGTCTATGCTGGCCTTTCAAGGAGTCCATGGAATGTAAAAATATGCTAAATCAAATGACCAGTTTTATGTATATTGGATTTTCTGGGGAGAAGGTCCATAGGTTTTATCAGATTACCAAATAAGTTGGAGCCTAAAATGCTAAGAACTACTGTAGCATGAAGTTTGAAGGTTGTCTTGGTATCTTAAGTAGCATCAATAAGGGGATGAAAGGAAAGCCAATATTTACTGGATGAGCCTTCTTTCACATGTTGTCTAATGGACTTAGACTGAACTTAGACTGAATAGCCAAGTTGTTTCCAAAAAAGAATTTTTAAAATCAGCTAAATTGAACACATTTTAAAGTCAGGAAACTGAATGTGTTTTACCACAGTCACGAATTGGAATTAATTTTCCTTAGCAAGACTATCTATTCCAGAGTGCATTTTAGGGCAATTACATTTTTGTGTATCTTAAATGTGTCTTCTCAGGACAAGTGACTGGGAGAAACTGGTGATCGTTTAGAGATGACTCACATTGGAGTCACTTTCCATTTAGTCGTTTTAAAAGTCTACTTTTAATCAAAGGTTATTCAGTTGAGATATAATGCTGATAAAGATAAAGTAGTTTTTTAAAAATATTTTTTAAAAAAAACAAAAAACTTTGTAGTCTTTGTTTCTCAGCAAAACAACAAGGTCACACACATTGGTGATTTCGGGTATGACACGAGGCTCTCCTGACTCCCAATATGTCTGCTACTAATCCATCTACACATGCTTAAATTTAGCGGTATAGTCACCCTGTAATGTCAGGAAAATCACCCCACTGTTAAGCTACATGGATGACACTCGTGAAGAAAGGGGTTCTAATGCTCTGTCTCCTCATTAGCATCTCTAACAGGGTTGGGCTTATCAGGTTAGTAGTGTGTCCATTTAGAGAACCAGGCCTGGGATTGTACACAGGCCAGAAAGTGTTAGAGGGAACATGAGAGAGTAGAATCTTGATAGCAAATAGCAGTAAAACACGGGGGAGAGGTGGAGTAAAGAGGAGAGAAAAATATAAAGTTGCAAAGGTCCCAGATTCAATGATTTGTTTAAAGGAAGTAAGTGGTATTACATATACATTTCTTTTCTGTGTGATTTTGCTCAAATTCAATAAGGTACACATTGCTGGAAAAGGAGGTAGTAGTCAAACTTTTAGCCCAGCCGTAAGCGAACAAAGCCAATGAATATTACATAAAACATTGTTAGAAATAGGGAAAAACACTAAAGTTCTAAATGGTGAAAATATTCCATAAAACCTCAGAAGGAGGAAAAGACTATGACTATTCGGAATAATGGATGGTGTCAAAAAAGAACAATGTCCAAAAGCATAAAGCTACCATTTAGATTTGTTTGTATCCACCATGGGTGGCATAGATGGTAGCCTTAATGAAACCACTTAATTCTAAGAGGAATATGATACACATAAAATGAAGTCTGAAGTATAACTACTGTAATTATGGATAGGTCTTTTTAGAAATGCCACTTTCTATTTTTTGAAAATAAAAGTTGTCATTCTAGGTAATTTTTTTCCCCAAAACTTTTTAGGACAACATCAGGATTTGCAAAACTATCTGGCCTCATGTTAATTTTATTTGAAATACACTAAGAAGATGGTCTGATTATGGATAATGGATGCACATAACAACTTGAGGAAGATATCAGCCAATGTTTCATAGATCTACTGACCAGTGTTTTGGAATGGGAGTTGGTAGTTTTACTAGAAAACACAGGAATGCATATTCAGTTTGGAAATATAGATGGAAGCTTTTCAATTCTTCACATACTTTATAAAAAATTTCCATTGGGAAAAGTGATCTCTTTGTTAACTAAATTCACTGAAATATAGTTAGAAAGTTAAAAAGCCACACTAATCTCAATGTCAACAAGCGCTTGGCTCATACATGCAATTTCTTTTTTTTCTTTTTCTCTCTTTTTTTTTTTTTTTGAGATGGAGTCTCACTCTGTCGCCCAGGCTGGAGTGCAGTGACACGATCTTGGCTCACTGCAACCTCTACCTCCCGGGTTCAGGTGATTCTCCTGCCTCAGCCTCCCGAGTAGCTGGGATTACAGATGCACGCCACCACGCCCGGCTAATTTTTGTATTTTTAGTAGAGATCGGGTCTCACCATGTTGGCCAGGCTGGTCTCGAACTCCTGACCTCAAGTGATCCACTGCCTCAGCCTCCTAAAGTACTGGAATTACAGGCATGAGCCACCATGCCCAGCCTACAATTTCTAAATGATCCAGGTTCAAAGCTCTTTTATGAGTTCTCTACTCATTAACTAATTAGCTAATTGATTAATTACTCTTTTTGTTGGAGGGACAAGAAAAAGTAGACTAGATGATCAGCTGTTGAACACTTATCTTTATTACAGATTGCCTGTGGTTTTGGGAATTCCCAGAATATTTTATAATTAAATATTAATGTAAGAATGACATAATAAATGTGAATATCCATTTTTTGGTATAAACATAAAATAATTCATTGGTGGTAATTAGATATTACATTATTAATGTATAATTTCAGACTTTATATTCAACAGCATTGTTTTGTAAAATACTTTATAATTTATTAAAGACTCAAATGATTTTCAAAAGTAAACAAGACGCTTAAGTTATATTTAAAGATGATGAATTTGCTTATCAAATCTGCTAAATTTGGTCCAGTCCAGTTTCCTTTAGCATTGGATCTATGGGTCATTACTGATTTTTACAATCATTTACAAAGCATGCTAGGAATTACAATGTGACTCATGAACACCCGAACAAGTTTATGGAAAAGGATGTAACTACAGGCAGGAAAGGCAGCCATCAAGCTGTGAGGAATTCCAATTTGTTCACAAATTCACATGAGGAATGCTAAATTTGTCCACAATTTAGCCTAATATAAAATGTATTAATTTTCACTTAAAAATACATTTGAATTACACTTAAGTTCTAATAGAAATATCCAACTTTTTGTCTTAAAAAGATCCCCGATCCTAAAAAAGGTTATTAAATGACTTGCGACTTCAACACATACATTACACATCAAAAAGGAGAAGCATAAGTGTTATTTTAAGATGCTTACTTGCAACCATGTCTAGTGCACTGTCCTCTGCCAGAACAGAATTTGAGACATGACGGGCCAATATAAACTGTGGGAGGGAAAAAGAGAACATAATTACAAAAACATAGAACACTACCAGTACAATTTTGTGAAGTAATACTCATGAAATATGGCCCCTTGTGTGTATGTTGTGTGCAGGAACCCAGGGTGACATATGGAATGCTGTGTAATAAGGTAAGTGCTTAGTTACAAAGCTGCTGAAACAGTCACAAGTTATACAGATAATCCTTTTAAGATTTTAACATTTCATATCAAAGAAGATAGGAGCTTATGATTTGAATTCTTAATAGAGTCTATTAGACAATATTAGCGCTTCTGCCTTGAACATTCTACAAAGTTTATTTTCATTAGGTAGAAAAAAAATATTTAAAAAGGACCAATCTGATATATCACAATATGGAGAAGTCACCCCATAATTTTCATTTCTATCAGGGGAAAATCTATAACACTGTGGATGACCGTTACATATATTTCTAAATATTAATCTATCCTTCCTGGAAATGAGGAGTTAAGAATATGTTGTTGAGCCTAAAGGCTACTGATTGTTGAATGGTCGGTTCTGAGATACTCAGACTCCAATACACTTAAATATTATTAATTCTTTTGTTAATCAGCAAAATTAACAATATACCAAATGGTGTAAAAGTGGTATTAAACTAATGAGAAATTCAAGATGCAATAAAACCTCATGTGTTCCATTTTTTAGGCATAAGCAAATTTATAATCTGTTGTCATTTTCTTCTCTGTCCTGTAGTCATTTCAAAGTATTTACATAATTTTATTGTAAAATAAACTTTCCTGTAGCCTATGCTCCTATAAGCACTTAATACCTGCCAATTAACAGGTGGAGTAATTCAAATTCAATGAATTGTAGGCCAATGGAAAGATCTTGGTGATGGAAACTGCTGGTTTAGGAAGAGATTAGATAGCAGGCTGAGTCATTAAAGATATTGTTTCAGGTGTCAGATAATCCTGGCTTCAAATTCTGGCTTCACTCAGGAAATTCTGATAAGTAATTTATCCTGTCTAACCCTCAATATTCCTATTCCTTAAAGTGGGATAATAATACTCCTTGGAGGAAATAATTAAAGAAACATATTATGCTTAGCATGGTACCCAGCACTACATGGTTATAATCAGCACCATACTGAGGTCAAGTATTCCTTGACACCCTCCTGTCCTGTTGCTTTGATGTGCTCCACTGTGCACCAAGGAACAAGAAAGGGGCTGGCTCCATTCTTCTTCAGCCTGGAAAAGCATATGGATTGTTTTCCCAGCACACTTGATTTTATGGCTGAAGGAAGATATGCTCTAAGAGATAGGGCACCCATGTCATAGTTCAAAAAGCCTCCATCATGAAAAATTCAACAATAAATTAAGACATTCCAAGTCAATGAAAAAAGTTGCAATTAAGAATTTTATTGTCATCTCTTCCTGCTAATTATGAAGCCATTAGGACTCATAACAGGCTTCTTTTTTCCTAAGAGTGTGAATAGGATAGAATAGCTTTCTTCACTATTATCGGTAATATAGTCAAGTTGAAAAAATTTTTAAAATGACAAGAAATGTACTTTGCTTTAGGACTTTCCATTTGGCTAAGATTTTCAGGGTGATTTCCAAAGTAATTTCTTTACACACTAGCAGAAGTTGACTCTGCCATGAAGGAAGACTATACCTAACAGAATTATGATATTGATATGTTTTTCTCTATTTTTTTCTGTGACATAATTCTAGAATTACATAGTGAAATGGGAGAGATTTCATAGTGTTTTTTTTTTTTTTTTTTGGCAAGTAAGCACAAATTTCTCTTGGGAAGGAGTATGTGTCCTTTTCTTCCCTTGTAAAAGAAGCCAAAGAGTGGGTCCTGTTTCTGTGAAAACCTCACATAGAATGATAACAGAATTAAAGAGATTCTGCACCAGGTTTTGCATTCAACATACCTTGCTAACCATGTGCATTCCATATATCTTTACCCTTTCCCATTCTACTCAAAGCATGATTCCACTCAAAGCATGGGAACTCAGAGGATGTGTAGTGAACACTTTCTGAACTAAAATTGTGTTGTAACAGCCTTCTTTAGGAAATTGAAACATTCTTTTCATAGGCTTACATGTGCTTCATTGCACTCTTAATTTTCTCATATACTTTTTCATTATTGGTTTCTAAACCACTTTGATGATTATCAAAGTAATAAAGGTTCATTATAGAATCCTTAAAAAGTGTGACAGCAAGAAAAAGTCACTCGTATTCTGCTATCTAGAGGCAAATGCCTACTCCCTAGAGCTAATGAACAGGTGCAATACTTAAAATGCTACGCAAAATGTTCTACCAATGAAAAAACTCCATTTTAACCCCTTCATCTTTAGATGTTTTTGCAAATTCACTATGTTTATATCCATATAACTCATAAGGTCTTTGAGGGTGGGCTTTCCATTCGTCTGCTTTTTGGATAAATATTGGGAAATAATTCATATTGGTTCATCAGCAAATTATCTTGTCTAAAGTTTTTCTCCAGTTTCAAGAATTTGGTCATTTCTCAATGTCTAAATTATTAAAAAATAACAGACCTGATTAAGACATGGAAAATCAACATTAAACAAGGGTGTGCATTTTCTCCATTTTATAAAATTGACCTCAAATCAGTGGCTATGCTAAATTTGCTTAGCTATTGACATTTTGTCCCTTCTCCTCTCTTTCTCCCTTTCTACTTACTTGTAGTATAAGCCTTCAGCCAACTTATATGCTCTCTGAAAATAGGAATGCTATTAATCTACCTGTAATTAAAATAAGAAACCGAACAATCAGGCAGGGATTCACCATCTTGTATCATGGCTTCCCAAAACTACAGCTTCTGTTTGTAAGTCCTTATTAAGGGTGTCTTCCTAAGAAACTGAATTTGTCAGCCTCCTTCTTTGGACTCTCAGCTTCCATGGTCTTTGGGGAGATGAGATCTTGCTATGTTGTCCTGGAGTACAGCAGCTATTCATAGCTAATCTTAACTAACCTGCACATTGTGCACATGTACCCTAAAACTTAAAGTATTAAAAAAAAGATTAGCATGAGAAAAATGTCTAATTATCTGTAAAGAAAATTCCATCAGACTAACAGTGGAATTCTTGTTAGAAACCTTATAAGCCAGAAGAGATTGGGATCCTATTTTTAGGTTTCTAAAGAAAAAAACTGTTAACCATGAATTCTGTATTCTATTAGAATACATAGATGAGATCATAGTACACAGTAGCCACAAACTCCTGAAATCAAGTGATCCTTTTGCTTCTGCTTCCTGAGTAGCTGGGAATACAGGCATGTGCCATGCCTGACTACCAAAAACATTTAAAAAGAGTAGGTTGAAAATTATTGCCTCTTCATGCCCAGTACATCACTACTACAATCAGCATTTGATAAAGCCACTACACTAAGGATATCTATAACCAATGAACTCATAGAGAGTCTTTGCCACTGAATGCTCAAGAACCAAGGCCAAATGACCCTACACAGCATACATTATAGTCACATCCTCAAGAGAAAAAAAATTCCATCCAAATGAAAGTAAATTAAAAAAAATAATGAGATAGTTTCTTGAGATGAGAAGGAAGCAGCAGAACAATTCTGGAAGCATGCAAAAACAGAGTGTTAAAAAATCATACTAATTCTGTAAAATGGATCCTAACCAAAATGAAATCCTTGAAATACCAGATAAAGAATTCAAAATATTAATTTTAAATAATCTCAATGAGATCCAAGAGAAAGGTAAAAGCTAACACAAAAACATCAGACAATCAATTCAGGATATGAATGACAAATTTACCAAAGATATAAGTATGTCTTTTTTTTTTTTTTTAGAAAACCCAAACCCCAAACAAAACTTTTAGAAATGAAAAATTCATTGAAGGAATTACAAAACATAGTTGAAAGTTTTAACAATAGACTAGACCAAGCAGAAGAAATAATCTCAGAGCTCGAATACAGGTTTTTCAAGCTAACACAGTCAGACTGAAAGAAAGAACAAGAATTTTAAAAATGAACAAAGACTTTGAGAAATAAGAGATTATGTAAAATGTCCAAACCTATGAGTCAAAGGTATTACCGAGGGAGAAGAAAAGCAAAAACTCTGGAAAGTCTATTTGAGGAAGTAATTGAGGAAAACATCCCTAAAGACTTGCTAAAGATTTAGACATCCAGATTTAAGAGGCTCACAGAACTCCAGAAAAATACATTGTAAGGATGTCACCAAGTTATATAGTCATCAGACTATCTAGAGACAGTGTGAAGGAAAAAATCTTAAGATTAGCATGGGAAAAATATCTAATTATCTGTAAAGAAAATTCCATCAGACTAACAGTGGAATTCTTAATAGAAACCTTATAAGCCAGAAGAGATTGGGATCCTATTTTTAGGTTTCTAAAGAAAAAAACTATTAACCAGGAATTTTGTATTCTATTAGAATTAAGCTTCATAAATGAAGAAGAAATAGTCTTTCCCAGGCAAGCAAATGCTAAGGGAATTCATTACCACTAGACCAATCCCACAAGAAATGCTAAGGGAGTTCTAAACATAGAAATTAAAGATCAATACTCACCATCCTAAAAACAAATGACAGTATAAAACTCACAGGTCTTATAAAACATTTACACTAATGAGACTGCAAAGCAACAAGATAACAACTAACATTATAACAGGAATAAAAACTCACATGTCAATATAGTTCTTGAACAGAAATGGATTAAATTCTCCATTTAAAAGATACAGATTGGCAGAATGGATTAAAAAACACAATCCAACCATATACTGCTTACAAAAAATCCCACCTAACTGGTAAAGACACTTACAGACTAAAGATAAAGGGATGGAAAAACATATTCCAAACAAACAGAAACCAAAAATGAACAGAAACAGCTATACTTATCTAAGATAAAACAGACTTTAAATCAACAAGAAAAAAATAAGACAAACATTATAAAATGATAAAAGGATCAATTCAACAAGAAGATATAGTAGCAATCCTAAATACATATGCACCCAACACTGGAACGTACAGATTCACAGAACAAATACTACTAGACCTAAGAAAATAGATGGGGTGCAATATATACAATAATAGTAAGAGACTTCAACATGCCACTGACAGCACCATACAGATCACTGAGACAGAAATTCAACAAATAAACACTGGACTTAAATTGGACTTTAGGACAAATGAACCTAACAGACATTTACAGAATATTCTACCAAACAACCACAGAATATACATTTTTCTCATGAGTGCATGAAAGATTCTCCAGGACAGGCCATATGTTAGGCCACAACACAAGTCTCAATAAATTTTAAGAAATCAAAATCATATCAAATACCTTCTCAAATGACAGTAGAATAAAACTAGAAATTAATTCTAAGGGAAACTCTTAAATTACACAAATACATGAAAATTAAACAACCTGCTCCTGAATGATCTTTGAGTTAATGACAAAATGAACACAGAAATTAAAAAAAATTTTGAAATGAGTGAAAATAGAGACATAACAAAACTTCTAAGATATAGCAAAAGCAGTGCTAAGAGAGAAGGCTATAACCTTAAATTCCTACATAAAAAATAGATCACAAAGTAACAACATAATATTGCACCTCAGGGAACTAGAAAAACAAGAATGAACCAAATCCAAAGCTATCAGAAGAAAATAAATAATGAAGATCAGAGCAGAACTAAATGAAATAGAGATCAAAAAAAATTCAAAGAATCAACCATATGAAAAAGTTGTTCTTTTAAAAGGTGAACCAAGTTGACCAATCACTAGCTAGACTAACCAAGAAGAGAAGAGAGAATATTCAAATAAGCAGAATAAAAAATGAAAAAGGAGACATTACAACTGCTACCACAAAAATACAGGAGATAATCAGTGATTACTGTAAACATCTTTATGTGCACAATCCAGAAAACCTAGAGAAAATGGATGCATTCCTGGAAACATACCTCCTCCTAAGATTGAAGCAGGAAGAAATAGAAATCCGGAAAAGAAAAATAACAAGTAGTGACACTGAATCAGTAATAAAAAATCTCCCAACAAATAAAAGCTCTCAGGACGAGACTAATTCACAGCTGAATTCTGCAAGATGCACAAAGAAAATCTTGTACCAATCCTGCTAAAACTGTTCCAAAAACTGAGGAGGGAATCCTTCATAACTCATTCTATGAAGTCAGTATAAACCTGATACCAAAGCCAGGCAAGGACACAACAAAAAAGGAAAACTGCAGATCAATATCCCTTATGAACATAGATGCAAAAATCCTTAACAAAATATTAGCAAACTGAATCCAACAGCACATCTAAACAACATGATCAAGTGGGTTTCATTCCAGGGATGCAAGGATGGCTCAACCTATGCAAATCATCTTAATAGATGCAGAAAAGCATTTGATAAAATTCAGCATCCTTTCACAATAAAAACCCTCAACAAACTAGGTGTAGATAGAACATACCTCAAAATAATAAAGGCCGTATATGACAAACCCAAAGCCAACATAATATGGAATGGGGAAAAAGTCAAAGCACTCCCTCTAAGAACTGGAACATGATGAGGATGCCCACTTTCACCACTCCTATTCAATATAGTAATGCAAGTACTATCTAGAGCAATCAGGCAAGACAAAGAAATAAAAGGCACCCAAATTTGAAAATATAAAGTCAAATTATCTCCGTTTGGTTATGATATGATCTTATACCTAAAAAATCCTAAAAAATTCTCTCAAAGACTCCTAGATTTGATAAATGACTTCAGTAAAGATTCAGGATATAAAATCAATGTACAAAAATCAGGAACATTTATATATAACGATAATAAACGGAGGATAAAATCAAGACGTCAATCCCATTTACAATAGCTACAAACAAAATACCTAGGAATACATTTACCCAAGGTGGTGAATGATCTCTACAAGAGAAACTATGAAACACTGATGAAAAAAAAAAAACTGTAGGACAAAAACAAATGGAGAAACATCCTATACTCATGGATTAGAAGAACCAATATGATTAAAATGATCACACTGCCCAAAGTAATCTACAGCTTCAATGCAAATCCTATCAGAATACTAATGTCATTTTTCACATAATTAGAAAAAAACAATCCTAAAATTCATATGGAACCAAAAGAAAGTGAATAGCCAAAGCAATCCTAAGCAAAAAGAACAAAGCTGGAGGCATCACATTACCTCACTTCAAATTATACTACAAGACTATAGTAAACAAAACTGCATGGTACTGGTATAAAAATAGACATATACATCAATGGAACAGAATAGAGAGCCCAGAATAATGCCATCTACAGACAGCCAACTGATCTTAAACAATATTCAAAAAAACATACACTAGGGAAAGAACACCCTATTCAATAAATGGTGCTGGGAAAATTGGATGGCCATTTGCAGAAGAATGAAACTGGACCCATATCTCTTACCATACACAAAAATTAACTCAGATGGAATAAATACTTAAATGTAAGATATGAAACTATAAAAATCCTAGAAGAAAACTGATATGGTTTGGATTTGTGTCCCTGCCCAAATCTCATGTCAAATTGTAGTCCCCAATATTGGAGGAGGGGCCTGGTGGGAGGTGACTGGATCATGGGGGTGGATTTCCCCCTTGCTGTTCTTGTGATAGTGAGTTCTAACAAGATTTGTTTGTTTAAAAGTATATAGCACCTCCCCCTTCACTCTCTCTTCCTCCTTCTCTGGCCATGTAAAACGTGCCTGCTTCCCTTTGGCCTTCTGCCATGATTGTAAGTTTCCTGAGACCTCCTAGCCATGCTTTCTGTACAGCCCATGGAACTGTGAGACAACTAAATCTCTTTTCTTTATAAATGACCCAGTCTCAGGTAGTTCTTTATAGCAGTGCAAGAATGGATTAATATAGAAAATCTAGGAAAAACTCCTGAACACTTGCCTAGGCAAAGAATTAATGACTAATAGCTCAAAAGCACAGACAACAAAAACAAAAACAAAAAGACAAAGGGGCTTCAATTAAGCCCAAAGTTTCTGCACAGTAAAAGAAATAATCAACACAGTGAACAGACAACCTACAGATTGGGAGAAAATATCTGCAAACTATGCATCTGAGAAGGGACTAATATCCAGAATTAACAGTGAACTCAAATACCTTGACAAGAAAAAACGTATAGTTCCATTAAAAAGTTGGCAAAGGACATGAGCAAACAGTTTTCAAAAGAAGACATACAAATGACCAACAGGTATATAAAATGCTAAGCATCACTAATTATCAGAGAAATGCACATTAAAACCACAATGAGATACCATCTTACTCCAATCAGAATGGGTATCATTAAAAAGTAAAAAAATAACAGATACTGGTGAGGACGTGGGGGAAAAGGAAACTCTTAGACACTTTTGGTGGGAATTTAAATTAGTAAAACCTCTGGAAAACAGTATAGATATCTCTCAAAAAATGAAAACTAGAACTACCATTTGATCCAGCAACCTCACTACTGAGTATCTACCCAAAGAAAAAGAAACCAGTATATTAAAGGGAAACCTTTACTTGTATGTTTATTGCAGCACTGTTCATAATAGTAAAGTCATGGAATCCACTAAAATGTTCATTAATGGATGATTAAAGAGTATGTCACACACACAAACACACCATGGAATACTACTCAGCCATGAAAAAGAATGAAATCGTGTCTTTTGCTACAACATAGCTGGAACTGGAGGCCATTATCCTAAGTGATATTACTTAGAAAGTTGTAGACCACATGCTCTCACTTATAAGCGGGAGCTAAATAATGTGTACACATGGACATAGACAGTAGAATAACAGGCACTGGAGACTCAGAAAGGTGGGAGGATGGAAGGGGGGTGAGGGATGATAAATTACGTTGTACTCTATTTGGGTGATAGTTACACTAAAAGTCCAGACTTCACCACTATGCAATATATTCATATACAAAACTACATTTGTACCCACTGAATCCTTAAAAATAAAAATAAAAATAGAAAGACAAAAACCAAAGAGTTGGTGATTAATAACAAGTATAAGAAATGTACAGACATGCAACCCAAGAGCTTAAAATATCTTCTGTCATTGTCATAAGTGGTATCGACTTTAAAATGATGCAAAATTCCAAAAATTCACTTGAAAATGAAAGATAAAAGATTTAAAAAGATATATATCTAAGTTTTCTTTCTATACTATTTTCTGAAAAGGAGGTAAAAGTTTCACCTCCTTTTTTTAGAGATGATGTTTCCTTCTGTGTGTTGTCTGCATGTAAAAGAAAAGCATTCCAGATGTTGTGGTAGTTACTAAGAGAAGAATGGGTCTTATTTTAATACATGCAGTATGATCAATATTTATGTTAATTTTATACAACATTCAAAGAAAATGTTAGGATATCCCTTGTCATCAACTGTGAATTTCAGTTTCAAGGTTTTATGCATTTTTTATTTATGTATGTGAAACATTCTAGCATCTAATACTGCTGACTTCACTGGCTTTTTTTTTTTTTTTCCTGATTGCACATCCCTAGGCTTCTAACAGAATGCAAAGGAGAAATGGAAGAAAGGGTGTTTAATGAATTGCAAGACCATGACTTAGAAATGTGATTAAGTCTGTGCTGACGAACAAAAGCACAGGAAGACTCTACATCAATGGCATGTGATTATGACAGGCATAAACACTAACCATTATCAATTGCCCACATGTTTCCAAGGATTGGTCCTGTTTGTCTCCAGCGAATCCTGGTGTTCCGGGTTAGTGCTGCGTTAGGAAGGGGAATTGTTATTCGGTTCCACCTGCAAGAAATTTAGCACAAAACCATCTTCACAACTATGTTCATATCTTTAGAATCTATTTTACATGGTTTTCATGTTCTAGCTTCTGTGTGCTTGGAAAAGCACTAAAGTTTACCAATAAACTCTTTAAATTCACTTGTGGAATTTGTTTGTATCTTTAAAACAGACATACAATTTGTAAAAACATCCACGGTATGCCAGAGCAATGGATTTGTTATTTTATATTACTTAAACATTTTTAAAGCTTTAATTTATTGTTAGAGACAGGGTCTTGCTCTGTTGTCCAGGCTGGAGTGCAGTGGCACAATCATAGCTCACTGCAGCCTCAAAATCCTGGGCTCAAGCTATGCTCCTGCCTCAGCCTCCTGAGTAGGTAGGACTACAGAAGCATACTACCACACCCAGCTAATTTTTATATCTGTAGAGACAAGGTCTCATACTATGTTGCCCACACTGGTCTCAAACTTCTGACCTCAAGAAATCCCCTTACCTTGGCCTCCCAAAGTGCTGGGATTACAGGTGTGAGTCATCATAACTAGCCAATTTATTCTTAATAGTGAGGGATATTTAGTTTTTATATATTCTTTTAAGAAATTTTTCCATCAGTGCTCAGACCTTAGATATTATCTTATGCTAGGCATCTGTGCAGAGATGTACTGCTAATTAGCATCAATTATTTTTATTTTTTGTTCTCCCCTAGCCCTACACACATTTAAAAGGGGATAACAAAGAAAATAATTCCCAACTTAATTTTGCCATTCTTGCAAATATTTTTACTATTCTCATAATGCTTATTCTGTAATGTGGCAAGTATTTTATATAATCATCTTTAATTCTCCTAATAGCCCCCAATGAGGTATATTAAATCTTTAATTATACAGAAAAAAGTGGAAAGTCAGGGAGAGTAAATATGATTACACAGAATGGAATCCAGGTCCAATTTCAAAATTTAACTTTCTTCCATTTTTTCTATGCTGCATTTCTCTATAAGTAGCGTGGCAATAACCACAGAACTGCCATATAGAATTTAAGTTCATGCAGTCCAAAATATAAGTCAAGTACATAAAGAATGAATGGCCTTACAAATGTTCATTGTAATCTTGCATCCAGTTTACCAAAGATACTATCTTTCTTTCTTTCTTTTTTACAAGACCACTTTTAAAGAGGTTAGGTTTCTTACCTATTATGACAAAAATGCTAATTTCAGGATAACTCATTGATTTTTATTCTGCAACATGGATTCAAGTATTTCAATATCTCAGAGAGAATGTACTCACCCACTGTAGTTTTCAGAGGAGTAGACAGTGCTGTGGGGGAGGTGGGGTCCAGCACAGATCTCAGGTAAGCATTCAGTGTGAAGGAGGGACCAGGAGCGCCCATGGTTGGTAGAAAATTCCAAGCTGACACTAATAAAACCAGAACAAGCACACACAAAAGGTGGGGAGGGTAAAGATAACAAATCAAATGAAATTTTCAACTCTGGTTAAGTACATTAAACAACTGTAAAAACAGTGTAAAATTTTTTAAAGATGCTGTTTCCTAAATGATTGTTTTCTCTTTCACTAAAGTCTGACCAGCTTTCAAAGGGCAATCAGTTAAATTACTGCTATAAACAAACTATGTTTCAAAGACAACAAATGGTAACTTGAGTTTGTGTTCTTGAGTTTGATAGGTGGCAAGGCAATTACCATGTCTCACACTGTCACTTCATCCTGTGAATGTGACACCGACAAAATTCCTAGAAAAAATATGAGCAACACTTGGGCAAGTGAAACTGAGAAGTCATAGCTCTTGACATGCTAATTGATTTCCATGCTTATTATTAGCAGGTCACCAGCCGACAGGAGGTCAAGCTTTTTTTCAGTTGCTTTTTTTTTTTTTTCTCTCTTAGCAATCTGTTGTAATGGATGGTTGCCACAGCACATGCAAACACCTCTGATACCTAAGATCAAGCTCTTAGAATGAAGCCATTCCTACTTGAAATCTATCCAATCATACCCCTCATATTAATTGAAGAACTTTTCATTTGGCAAAAGTGTGTTATTTCATCAATGAGTATTTTACTTAAAATCCAGTTAAAACTCTACCTAGAAACTACCTCTTATTTAATAGCCAAATCTGCAAACTCATTTTTAGTTTTGCACACTTACAAAATAGGGCTTCCTACCTGTTACCAGGCTGATGCGTTCCACATCCCAGATTGATGGAAAACTGTATCATGTGAGACATTGTAGAAGGGAGAACAGGCAAGACATGGAAAAAGTCTACAGCCCAGACATTCCTATTATGTCCTTGATGGTTCTTTTGCCTGAGACAAAATTTGGTAGCAGGAGTCTGAAGTTCAGGATTGATGACCACAGAAACCAAAGACGGAACCTTTCAAACAAAGGAGACCAGAATCACTCAAAATCCTTTCTAGGCTAGTCCATGTAAATTCTCCTAGATTTGACCTAATGAACGCTATGTACATAACTGCCATTTATTAAGCACCAGGACACGTCCTTTGTGTTGCATTTGTTATTTCATGAAGAAGATGCTATCCTCAAGGAGCATTCGATTTAGTGACTCAGAATTCTTCCTGTGCACGAGGTGGGGGTCTCTGCGTGTGTTTGATCAGGCTCTCCCTAACTGAAGATAAACTGATATAAGGTCTTTAAGAGTTATCTAAGCATGTGTATCCATTTTATTTAATTAGCACAAGACAAAGGCAACTTGACATTTATACTTTATCATCAGTCCTCTTTGAAAGTGGATTGGTATCAAGCTAAGGGCTTTCCAAACTAGTATTGTGAAAATAGGACAGAAACAACCAGAGCCAATGAGTCAATGCATTATAACTCACAAAGCTGATTTGATATGAGGCATGAAGATGACCACGGCAGGTATAGTTCTACCTTGCCACTGCTGGAAATATCGTCTTTTATGAAATCCCAAATGGTATAACTTGGGTTACCCTTGCATGTGGAATGTGCTGGATATTCACTCTGGTTGTTTCCCATTCTAACCTTGATGTTTGTTTTGTCTTTCTAACTTAAACCCTGAAATGCTAGATGTTAGCTGCATTTAAGCTTTTAAAAGTACTTAGGGTACCATCAGTGCAAAGAAAAGACTAACTAATAATGAGTATGTGGGTGTGGCCTCAGCACAAACAAATCTACTTTTACAAAAAATAATTTTACACTTTATGACGAGTATCTCACATAATTTTGAAGATGCTTGCAAATAACCAGAGCTAACACCTGTTCTATATGCAAAGGGTAAAGAAAAAAGGCCAACCTCAATCGGTAGCTCTAGTTAGCAAAGAAAAAAGCAAAGATAACCTGTGCTTCTACAGTGTCTTCTACCCAGGAGATCTCAAAATGCTGGACAAATACTCATTATGACTGACAGCAAGTGCATGAGGGGGCATAATTAGAGTTACATTTAGGGCTTTCTTGGGGACAAGAATAACTGTCAGAGTATTGGGTTCTGCCTTACTGTCTGATGGACTGTAATTCACTCTTCCTTCCTGATAACTCATTTTTCATTTGTATTAGGAAAAAATATGAAGGTTAAAATGTCTATTTCACTTTTAAAGAAACCTGGCGACCTCTGGCCTGTCAGAACAGGGATGTATCTTCTGCATCTGGAGTGGTCTTTGTGGTTTTGACTTGGGCTTGTCCAGGGTGGTCTGAGGTGGTCTATTTGCCACACAGACTGGCATGTGTACCTTATATGAGGAATAGGAAAGGGTATCCAGTGTTATATGCTCTTTTCTTCCTTCAATTTTTGCATACAGGATTATGTCATTTTCATGAGAATTTCCAGGGTCACAAATTCCTCCTGCACAAAACAAAAATTTTAAGTTGCTAGTACCAACTAGCATCCATAAACATATCAAATATAGTGTTAAATTTCAGAATGAAAAATCATTATAGTACCCAGATGTCACTTAAGAATAACCCTAAACAAAGGTAAACAGACTCAAGGAAATAATTTATAACGATAGTTCAAGTAGGCCATGCTAAAGATCAAAGACTTGACATTTGTGAAGGCCAAAGTAGCTATTTGCTTCATGAGATTACTCAAATAATTGTCTACTTTGAGCAGCAACTACACGTCCATGTTCTAACCCACATTAAAAAGATGTGTTCTGCTTTTTAATAAACTGTTATTTCCTTAATTTGAGGTTTTTATGACCAAAGTTCAGAACCTGTTGGTTATGGTTTTAAAACAAGGGTGATGACTTCCTGCATCAAGGAATTCTGAAGTAGTGTTAGTCAAACTGTTGCACATAGTATCTTTAATATTTTAGCATATTATTTGTACTTTAAATGCAATTTGTTTTACATTTTTCATTTTTATATTTGGTACCTCATTTGATTGTTAGAAGGTACATAGAGTATTTTATTCTCTATTACTCTACTTTATAGTCATGGAAAACAATATGCCATTGAAGCTGAAGAGCAATTAAGATCATCTTGATGATGGTACTGAATGACAGAGCAGGTACTTGAAGCTAAGATCATGTAACTAACTAGTGGAAGAGCCAGGGGTACATGTATGTCTTCTAACCTATTATTTTCATAACTGCATTCCATCAATAATTCTTTTTAAAATATTTTATTTTGTAGAGACGGGGTCTCCCTATGTTGCACAGGCTGGTCTTGAACTCCTGGGCTCAAGCAATCCTCCTACCTTTGTCTTCTAAAGCATTAAGACTGTAGGCATGAGCCACCACGCCTAGTCCCAGTCAACAATTCTTGCTACTGTTTGCTTCTATTAACTGTCTGTATAACCTGAATATTAAAGGATGACATGTCTAACTAGAAGCCTCTCTTAAGCCACCATTATCCTTCATAATAGTACCAACCAAAACAGCTGGGACTATGGGCATGTATATGTATTTCCTGGCAAATATTCTATCCCTAAGTCCCCATATTTATAACACTAACTTCTTTTTCTTTTATTACTGTCTTTCTAAAATTCCTTCAGTTCCTAAATCAACCACCATCAGTGTTAATTTTTATCTACAGGCAATTGCTGTTGCTAATACTCTCTGGTGACAGTAAAACAACATCAACATTCTAGAATAAAACTACCCTCTGAGAGTTAATCTAGTAAAATACACAAATAATGGCTGAGACTTAGCATTTGATATTAAATAAACTAAGAAGAAAGTGTCAATTGTTTGTAAATGCCTGGGTCAAACTCGACCTGAGTAATTGGGTCTGATCTTGGGGAGAAATGACTGATATGTGATATTAAGCGGGAAAGCTAGAACTGAATTAGTACAATAAACTTCATGAACAATAGAAGGAATATTAGACAAAAGTAGATATCAGAGGGCAAGACTTTCATAGGATGTCCATACACTGGGTAGGAATAGAGAAGTCCTTAATGACCAAGGCAAATCTTGAGGATTCATTTGCAAAATGTGTCCCACAGTGGAACAGGATGCATCAGGCTATCATAGTTCTGGAACCGCTGCCATTAAAATTACTGGGTGATATATATCTTTTTTGATCCCATAAACATTGATTATTCCCTCATGCTTAGCAGTTAAATTTCCATAGTCTATTGATGAGAATTATGATTTGTTCATAAGCCTCCTCTGAGCTTAGAGCATGAGTCAGTCTCCAATTTGTCAGCTCTGGAGTAATTAAGAAAACTCATTTTCTGAATCTATAAACCTGAGACCTGTACAGTTGACTGCAGTAACCTCATTAAGGTCACCTATGAGGCCCATTCTGATTGGCCAGGTGTCTTCTCTATATGACACATCTTATTTCATCTCCCGCAATGCAACAACTTTTGATGACCTAAATTAATAATTTAAATAACAGATGATTTATATTTGGCTTTGAAAATACACTATTGGAATTATGTTGTGCAAATATTCCTAACTAAATTGTCCTAGGTGAATTCTAAAATTATTTGGCATATCTGAGTATACATCAGTTGGAAGCAACCCAGGAAGTTGGCTTGATGGCAGAAAAGCTAGTGTCTGACTTGAAAACTAAGCCCTTTAAGACAAACTGGAGACAGCTGTAGGAATCTGGGGGTGAGCCTGTTACTAGAGTTTCTAGCTGAGCCAGGGAAGGAGAGAGTTTAGCACACATTCTCACCCCATTGGTGTGCTCCTAGAACAGCTCAGTTTATGGGATAGCAGTGAGTTACAGGGTGAAGCCATGGTCTGAAAGGTTTTACAGGTAGATCAAATTTTCTAGCTCATGACACACTGTTTTTATGTTTGAGTCATTTGTGAGAAAATCGCCCAATAATTTTGTTTATTCCCAAGGAAATTTGTGGGTTTTTGTTTTGACAAAGAGTTGATGTTGCAAATGGTGGTTGGTACTGTATGGATCAGGGTTTCTTTTGGAGCCAGACTCCTTCAGTATTATTAATAATAACATAAGGGTAAAAATGCCTACTTTTCATTAGATACTTACTATGAACCATGCACCATGTAAAATCAAGTACAAGGATTATCTCTTTTCGTCCCTTAACAACATTTTCAGGTATATAGATCCACTTTGCTGATAGTGAAACAGAGGCCAAGAAAGGTTATATAATGTGCCCATAGTCCCAAAGTAAAGCATGTCTTTAATGTTATTCTGTTTGACTTCAAACCTTTACTACCACTCAATAGGTAAGTCTTGGAGGATGGTTTTTGCAAAGCATTGAAATCTGGCATGCTACACATGTTAGGCACATGTAATTTGGCATATAATAAATATTTACTGGATTAGGTAATTTGAACTGAGAATGGAGAAGTCAAGTATGGTGACAATGTATATCTCATCCTAATAATGTTTACTGTTCAACAACCTGTGGAGAAAAATCTTATGATTTTGACATTTATATCATATATTCAAGCATTTCCTTACATGCTTCAGTGTTATGATAAATACAGCTACTAAAGCCATTGTAATTGATGGTCTCTGGAGAAAAAATCCACGTGAAAATGAAATTCCTAATAGAAAACAAAACTTTTAAATTGAGGATTATATATAAATACGTATATATGACAATATATACATATAAGGATATTTATAATTATATATTAAGGATTTACCAAAAAAGGACAAAAAAGGTGAATAATCACAGGCAGTGTGGGTTTAGTGCACCATACCTAATGACGCAGGCACTGAACTATCAGTTTTCTCTAATTTCATTCATCTGTTTTCTGTAACTTCTCTCTGCTCTCTTAAGAACAGTTCATGAACTGCATCTGCCCTTCAGAGATAACTGAAACACACGTGAGAGCCACACCCAGCCCAGAATGGCAGAAGAAAAAAGTCCTAAAGGAGCCAAGACTTTAAAATGATGACAGATTTTATCTGAAAGATTCTTCCGGGAGCAATTTATAGTTCTGTGAAGTGTCAATGACAGCAGCTTCTACAGGGAGATATGGATTCTTCTTCAGCTTCATAGCCTTTGGCACCTTGTGGAAAGGTGTGACTCAGAGGCATCTTGTACAGAAATTAAGGTGCAGGAAGATTTCAATAAAAACAAACGGGGCAGTCAGTTTTAAAATATTTTAAATATTGTTTTAAGTCATTTTTAAAGAATAATAATAGGCAGTAAACTGTGTTGTGCTGCCCTAATTGCAGTAAAAATTCAGAGAAAAGGGTACAATGTGAGCTAAAAGAGCTGGGCATATAGCAGATGCCTAGTAAATATTTGTTGGAGGAACAATAAACAAATACACGAATGAGTTGATGTCTCTTAGGTTATTTTTTGTCTAATACACTGCATTCTGGTTCTAAGAACAGTGCTCTGTACTGGTCCTCAATGAATGTGTTGAATACGTCAATATATGAATAAAGAAAATAGACGTTGAACTGAACTTTGAAAGTTGAGCAAGTTTTCCAGAAATATGCTCACAGCAGACTGATGTGAACCAAGGGCAGAACATATAGTCAGGGCCTGAGAGGGAGAGACTGTGATGTAATCCAGATTAACAATCAGTCTGATTTTCCTAAGGTACTGTATTTAGTGAGGGGCTACTTATAACTATCTCATTCTAAATCTCTTTCCATATGGCTTTATCTCCCATCAGCCAAGAAAGTTTTAAAGTGTTTTCTATAGGTCCAGTCCTATCCTATCTATCCTGCCCTATCGTATCCCACCATATTCCATCCTACCATAACCTACCCTATCCTTACTCTACCCTATGCCACCCTACCCTATCCTATCCATCTATCCCATCCTAAAAACACCTTTCCTGGGTGCTGCTGTTCCCTCAAGATCTGGCCACCATTTCTTTTCTTCTCTCTACTGATAAAACTCTTGAAGTAGCCATCCTCCTCTTTCAGTGACACATTTTTATTTTTATTTTTAACTCCATGTATTATACTTGGGCTTTCCAGGCACCACACCATTGGGGAAACTCCCTCCAAAGTCACTGGTGGCCTCTCAGCCCTTATCCTGGTTGATCTCTCTCTCTCTCTCTCTCTGGCATTCCTTACACTGTTGATCATCTCCCTGCCATTACCCCCAAACCACTGTCTTCCTTCCTCCTGTAGGCTCCAATGACACCTTCCACCCACCTCTGTTTATGTTCTTTCTCAGTCTCCTTTACTACTATTTTCCCCTCTACTTATACCTAGATGAGGGTTCTCCCTAAGAATTGTTTGTCTTATGCTACCTTCTGCTTGGGAGAACATAGCAGTTCTAGTGGCTCCAGTTATCACCTGCATATGGATGATTTTCGAATCTGATTCGAATTCTGAATAGAATTTCTCCCTTCATATGGCATTCCAGAAACCTGATCTTAACATAAGCAACATCAAAATATTCTATTCCACACTTACTCTCTTATACATATATTTCTTTTCTAAATCTAGCAACCCTGCCCTAACTGATCTCTTGCCCTTTAATTTCTGATTATTTCAATCTTCCATCATACTCCTGCTAGAATTACTTTTCTAAAACACAGGTGATAATGTAATGCTGAACTAACAGGAATTTTCTGATAGCTCCACACTACCTAGAGAAAGAAAATCCAAACTCCTTAGTAGGAATTAAAGAAAACACTATTCTGGTTCCAATTTGCTTTTCTAGTTCCATCTTACGTGCTTCCACTTATCTATATTGGGAAAATCACCCAGCCCCAAACATATGACATACCTTTATTCTTGTGCCCTTTTTTCATAATGGCTTAGCTTGGAATTCTCTTCCTTAAATTTAAATCATGCCCATCCTTCAAGGGTGAGTTCAAATGCCATCTCCTTCATGAAGCTTTACCCTAATCCCTCCACTGCAATTACAGCTTCCTCTATACTCTCATAGCATTTCATTCCATTACAGCACACTGCATTCTACCTTATAGTCAGATGGTACTTGTGGGTGGGAACTCAGATTAATTTTTATATCAATAACAACAGAGATATACTGAGTCTAAATATTTATTTGGCAGTTTTGAGTGCTTTTCATACATTAACTCATTTGACCAGCAACTCTGTGATTTAGGTGACATTATTCTCCCCATTTGTATTCTCCATATATCCTGGCTTAAGGCTCTATATTCAGTAGGCATTCCTTACTGTTTTAATTGAATGAAGAGGCTTTTACTTGGGATAATGTACTTCTTTGGGCTCACTCAAATCAATTCCCCATCATAGTAATACTGTTTTAATTCATTGATTAATAATATGCTTTGTTCCAGAAAAAATTAAAGATTAATCTTATATAAAGACAATTATATAAAGGAACTTATATAATGATGACTTAATCTCATATAAATCACCAAATATGGTTAATTTATTATAATAAAATCAAAATATGGTATGAAATACATTGTGTCAAAAATGGGGAAAAGGGAAAAAACTTAAATTAGGCTGGCATACTAAATGTTTATTACAACTTTTTTGGAGGAGGGCTTAAGGTTTTCCAGGAATCCCTTTTGATAAAATGAGAGCCAGTTTGAATTCTAATTATGTAAAGAAAATGAGCTCTGGGCCTTTAAATAGACAAACCAGTTCAGAGTGAAGGTGAGGTTGTCCTTAAATGTGAGACTATATTACTTTATTTTATATGCACAATTTCTCTGTTATCAAACACATAATTATGGAAAATGAGTTAGCATCACATAGGTAATATGCTTGAGAGCATGATACAATCTGAGGTTTCCCATGCAACCCTGAGCTGTATGATTATCAAAAAGGTGAAGTGAGGAATACAAGAGAAATAAATCGTCAATGCTGAAGTTAGACTCAGGAGATCTGTTTGTCCTGATGAACTGACATCTTTGCTAGTAAGTTCAAAGGTAGACAGTGTTTATTTCCTGTTTCACTTCCAGATATTGCCTGTGCTTTTCCAGTCACTCAACAAAGAAGGCATGTGACACCTACTCACATTTCTGGAATGACATCAGTGAGAGAATATGTAACTGTGGCTCTTGTTGACTAAAAGGATTAACTTTGGAGGTCACAAAGTTCAACCTTCTAACTCCTTTTTGGGTAATTTTCCAACTATCTTTATTTGCTCTACAATACTTTGAAGAAAACTATAACTTATGAACACATGTTTTTCTTAATGTGTTTGCAAACATATTAGAAAATAGAGAGTATTATTAAAGTATTAACCTAAATTTCTCAGCTTCCTACTACAAAAGAGTTATGCAATGATGAGATATTCATGAAAACAAAGGCTCACCTTGATGACTATTTTTGGGGGGAAGCTGGGAAAAAGAAATCGCTTTGTTTTAGCTTATCTCTCATTGTCTTTTCAGCTATGACCATGGAGGGAGAGGTGGAAGGAAGGTATTATGGCATTTCTTCTTCAGGCCTCATCATGGCAAGCCATGACTAGATCTCTTTAGGTTGGCTCCAGCGGGGCTGGCCTGAAACACGGGGGAGTACCACAGGCTTCTGCTCTGTCTGGAGAGCTCACGTTTCATGAATTTTCATTTTACGTAGTTGACAACAAACAATCTTACTTCCTCAGGAATAGGTGCTGGCCTAGGATTTGCCCCACGGTGAACAAAGTTTGTGAAAATGTACTTACCCATCACAAAGTAAAACCTCAGGTTCCCATAACCGGTAGTGTCCATGGATGGAGTGCATAATTTCCTCTCTCCATCTTTGAGGAAGACCATTGATAAGCCTGATTCTATCGTTCCACATTCTGTACCAATGACAGCTCCCAAGACATCCCATCTAAAAAAAAAGGGGGATTAAGAGTTAGAGTTAGAATATTAAGCCAAATCTTTATAAAGAATAACATTTAGTTTTTAGTGAGGGACACTTACTTACTTAGTAATGAATAATTCTGAAATAAAGATATGGCACTTTATTTAGGCAATGATTAAACTTTAAACACAAATTTTAGGTAGTGAATACACTTTAAACACATTACATTCACAGTTATAGTTTTCCTGTAGAGGGATGAATTTAATCAATCTTGTATACGGTGTGTCTACTTGTGATCAGAGCCATGCTCCAGACTGAGATACTTTTCATTCTTTAAGTACTTATAGTTGAGTTGGGAAATCAATGAACTAAGGAAACAGTGAATTATAAAAGACAGACTCATAATATAAATACTTGTATGATGTTTTACCTATTGAAAATAGTAATAAAATGAAAAGTCATAAGAATTGGCAAAAGTCTAGCAAGTTTTCAAAAAGGAGATGGGATTTAAACTGGGTCTCATCAAACAGGTAATTGGATATGTAGAAGAGAATAAAAATAGCTGGCTTTTATTGAGTGCTAACTACCTGGCCAGATCCTTTTCTAGGGCCTTTACACATTAAAGTCATTTAATTCTCACAGTGACCCTATGAGGTAGTCACCATTACTACCCCAATTTTAGATGAAGAAACTGAGATGAAGAGAGGTTAAGAATGACTAGCAAAGGAAGAGGACAGTATTCAAAGCCATGCAGTGTGACTCCAGAGCCTATGCTCTTACCACAGTTGCATAATGTGTTGACGAAATCACATGACTATAGGCTAAGAAATGGGAATGACCAGCAGGCATGGTGGCTCACACATGTAATCCTAGTACTTTGGGAAGCCGGGGTGGGCGGATCACGAGGTCAGGAGATTGAGACCATCCTGGCTAACAGGGTGAAACCCCATCTCTACTAAAAATACAAAAAAATTAGCTTGGTGTGGTGGTGCATGGCTGTAGTCCCAGCTACTCGGGAGGCTGAGGCTGGAGAATGGTGTGAACCCAGGAGGCAAAGGTTGCAGTGAGCCAGCTGAGATTGCACCACTGCACTCCAGCCTGGGTGACACAGCGAGACTCCGTCACAAAAAAAAAAAAAAAAAAAAGAAACGGGTGACACTATTAACAGTGCAGAAATCAATAGACCTTGGTGGAGGATGTGTGTTAGGGGAGAGTAAAAAATACATTTGAATAGTACAGTGGAACAAATCCATGGAGAGTTTGGAAAGAGGGGAGTTCAGACTCTATTTAGTAGACACTCAGTGATATTTCTAAACTGCATACATGATTACATCTCTCCTTTGTTTAAAGTCTTTCAGGGGCTCCCCCATTGCTATCTGGACAAATTCCAAGTTCCTTAATGCAGAACATGCAGTCCTTCTTGGCCTGGCCCAAGAACATTTCTAGCACAATCTCTCGCCTTGTACCATGTCTCTTCTGCCTTGTACCCAAACTCTTTTGCCATACAATGTGAATTCAAAGTCACTAAAACATTCTGTCAGCCCTCTGAATCTTAACTTTTTGTCTATCAAACAAACTCAGGGTCATTCTTTAAGATGTCCTTGAAATATCAAACACCTTTCTGTACAGTCTTTCCCAAACTTCCTGGCTCCTCCTACCCAGCCCCACCACTCCATCTCAGACTGTTAGATTCTTCCTTTGTGATCTAATTTCTCCCAGTACACTGCCATTGTTTCTTTACATGCCTTTCTTTATTCCTGATATGTCAGCTCCTAAGACAGGATCTGCGTCTTATTTTTGTGTCCTGAGACCCTAGCACAGTGTTCAATGCCCAGCAGATCCTCAATAATTCTTGTTGAGCGATGGCGGGATTAAGGGATTCCATCTTCAGAAAATAAATGAAACCTGTAGAGTTTCCTGACTGTATCCTGTCCTCACTTTCCTCTGCTTTCTCTAGTCACATCCTTGCCCTGTCCTCTGAGACAATTCATGCCATTAGCACAAATTGGCACAAACTGGAAAGCAGCCTTTTCAATTGGCACATTGGGAAACACCCTCTTCTTCTCCCGACCACACGTCAGGCAGGTCTGACCACCACTTCCACTCAAAGTCCCCTTGTACTTGTACTTAATGCCTACTGCTACTATTGCTGCCAGGCTTAGGCTTTGGTACTGAATCAACTTACAGTCATAGCTCTGATGGTTCAGCCTCCTCTTCCCCTTAGATATTTGCTACACCATCTGCCTGTCTAGATCCAAGCCCTGCAATGACCACCTGGTCTTTAGCTTCTCTGTTGGCCTAGGTTCTAGGCACACACTTTAAATGCCCAAAATATTCAGAGAGGTTTTCAGGTTTAGATCTCTTTTAAAGATTCGCAGGCCTAAATGGATGGTCTTATATAGAGGACTGACCTCTATGGCCCCAGGTGCCTGTTCCCTTACTCATACTCTTTCTCTACCCTTGCTACCAGTCTGTCCGATTCCTTTTCCCTCACCTTTTCAAGGCGGACCCATCTGTTGCTACCCAAGTCCCGGTTGTGTCAGTGAGAAGTGAAAACAAAGCAGAAGGTCAAAGACAGCTCCATGGTTAGGGGAACACGTATTTATAGCACACCACATTCAAGAGGACTCTGAAGCTAGTCAAACAAAAACCTTCCAATACATGTTGGCTATAACAGAAGTCATAAACTGGTGTTTGGGGGAATGACCATAAACTTTTGATAGACATTTAGGTCATTTCTATCTTTTTTGTTATTATTAACAATGCTATATAAAAGGTCCTTGTGTGTTTACATATGCATGTGGGAATTTCCCCATCAGCCTTTCTTAACTGGTGTCTGTGAGAGAAATGAGTCCTAATGCCCCAAGGCACCCATTATATTAGTGAATTGCTTTTTCTCCTTTGTCTCTAGAATCACAGGTGCACCAGCTTTAGGAGAATTGAGGGCATAGCCAGATCATTTTCTGTGTTCTGGGGTTATCACGAAGGAATCTCTGCTGAGAAAGGCTGGTAGAGTATATATCTAGAAGTGGAGTTGCTGGGCAACGTGGTACTTCATTATTGCTCTTCAAAATTGTTGGATAAATTTATGTTTCCACCAGGAGGGTAGAAGGTTCCTGTTTCCCCACAAGCTTGCCATCACTTCATTTTGTCAAGCTTTTAAAATTTGGCCTATTAGATGATTATGAAATTTTATCTCAACTTTGCATTTACATGATTAGTAGTGAGGCTAAATATATTTTCATGTTTATTGGCCAGTTGGGGTCACTCTTATCTTGAGTTGCCTATTTATGTCCATTTTGTATTAGGATCACTCTTTTCTTTCTCTCACTTTCTTATGATTTGAATTCTTTATATATTCCAGGTAGTAATCTTTTCTTGACTATCTGTATTGTACTTTTTTTCACTTTGTTTATGTGTCGTTGGATGTATGGATGAGTTTTAATTTTAATATAGTAGAATTTATCTATCTTTTCTCTATGCTTTGTGCCTTTTTTATCTGATTCTCCCTTACCCTCAAATCATAGAGATACTCGTCTATATTTTCTTCTAAAAGTTTTAAAGCTTTGCTTTTCACATTTAGGTGGTTTTAATGAACCTGAAATTGATTTGAGGTAAGGAATGAGTTTGAGATCCAATATGGTTTTTTCTATACAGATAGGCATTTATTCCAGAACTGTTAACCGTTGGCCCTAATTATTGGTAATGCCACTTCTGTCACATAACAATCCCCTATAAACGTGAGTCTGTTTCTACAATTAACTTGCCTCTCTTTTTTCCTCCATTAGTCTATATGTCCATCTCCGTGTCCAAACCAATTTAAATATCATACATATGGTGTGTGTGTGTGTGTGTGTGTGTGTATATATATATATATATATAAAATCTGTATATGTAAAATAGCTCTTGATAGCTGAGCTCCCTCTGTCCCTCAGCCACACCTTTCACTTCTTCACAATTGTCTTGGCTACTGTTGCCCTTGTTAACTCTTCCTAATGAATGTTAGAATCACTTTGTTGAGTTCTATTAAAAACCCTACTTGGATCTCGACAAGAATCCGATGTCTCTTTAGTTACTGATAAGAAGTTATCTATTGAATTGTTGCTTCTTTGTAAATAATCTTTCTTTCTCTCTGGTTGCTTTTTTGTCTTTGGTATTCTAAAATTTTTCTGCAGTGTATGTAGGTATAGGTTTATTTTATTTATTCTATGGAAACTTGGTGTACCTTGTCAGTTTGGGGATTCAAACCTTTAATCAGGTCTGGAAAAATGTAAGTCACTATCTTTTCAAATATTAACTATCCTCTATTCATTCTATATTCCTTCTGGAAATTCTATGGGACCTGTATTGAAATGTCATATTCTATTCTCCGTGTCTCTCACTCTCTCATTAATCTTTATTTCTTTTTATATTGCATTATGTGTTTTTTTCTCAGATCTGTCTCTAGTTCAGTATACTAATTCTCTCTTCAGTTGTTTCTATATTTTTACCTTTATAGTTAATACTTAATTTCTATCACTGTATTTTTCATTTTAAAAAGTTTTCTTTGATTTTTTTATTTTTTATTTATTTATTTTTTTTGAGAAATGGTCTTGCTCTGTTGTTCAGGCTGGAGTGCAGTGGTGCAATTCATGGCTCATGGTAGCCTTAACGTCTTGGGCTCAAGCGAACCGCCCACCTCAGGCTCTCCTCAGAGTAGCTGAGACTACAAGGAGGCACCACCATGCCCAGGTAATTTTTGTATTTTTCCTTTTAGAGATGATGTTTTGTCACGTTGCCCAGGCTGGTCTGAAACTCCTGGGCTCAAGCAATCTACCGATGTTGGCCTCTTAAAGTGCTGGGATTACAGGTGTCAGCCACTGTGCCCCACTTCTTTGATTCTTTTTAATATTTGCTTGTTCTTTTCTCATAGTACCCTCTTCTTTCAAAATGACTTAGATTTAAAAAATCTTTTAAATCATTTAATCATATTTATCTCATATCTCTCTTATCTCAATTGGAATGCACTTATTCTTCTGTTTGTCATATCTGATGACTGTCCTTTTTGGTGAATCATAAAATCACACAGATCATAATTCTTGTTGTGAGCTCAACTTTAGTGGACTTATTTCCAGTGTTAATTTTACACACTTTGTGTAGAAGAAATATTTTTACAAAGGGGTTCTGCATTTGCGTTTGTGAGCATCTTGGAGGTTCCCTGGTCCTGAATTTCTTTTTACATTAATTCCTCAGTTTAGAATTTTCCCACCACCTGGGTGGAATGAATGTGAATTTCACATTTGTTTGGAGTTTCCATTCTTCTGGGAGATTTTTTTTTTCACACTTGAATCAATGAGAGAAGTTGTTATCCTAATTACTTCTTTATGGAGAAGGAGCTCTTCAGGGTCCCGTATTTATACAAGAGTATCAGTTCTATCTGTCATCTGCCAAAGATCCTGTGTGAGTATTTTTAACTCTAATCTTCAGCCTTCGATTACATATGTTCAGTCCATCCTGAACTGCCTAAGTTTCAGCTAAAGGCTTATTACTCAGGTTTTTAATTTCCCTTTGTTTTAGGTATCTGCTCATTTCCTCCCCTATCCTAGGGCTACATATTGAAGAAAATTATCATACTTGATCCAACATTTCTATGGATTTGCAGAGGAAAAGGAATTGCATGAGCTCAGCCAGCCTTGTTGTCACAGCTTCAAATTTTCAGCTGGCTGATTACTATTAGCAATGATGGGGAACTAAAAGAGGTAAGCTAATTAGTTCATTTTAGGCTCTCATTTAATTATGTCATCAGGAGTGTTAACAAATTAAAGGACGATGTCATCTTTCAAATCAGCAAGCTTCTCTTTTAGAGTAGGTTCAATTTATTTTAACATGTTAAATAATCAATTTTTAAATGTAGTCTGGTTATTAACTTTTTTCTTGTTTCTAAATATCCTTGGTGACTTTATTATATAAAAAGCAATTTTATAAATAAAAACAATTGTTAGTTACTGAATATTAATAATTATCCTAAGGCATGAAGATATGTTTCTTTTCAGGAAAATAAATATAATGTTTATTAGCCATAATTTCTTCATCCAAAGCTTATATATCAAAGTGTCTCTAAGCAATATATTTAAGCCACAGGCTGAGTTCTCAATATATGGACAGTAGTTTTACTAAATTTCATTAAGCAGTCAAACTTTGTTGGAAGTCATGAATATGCAAACAGAATTACAGCTATTTTAGGTAAAATGTTTAATCATTCTAGTTTTTGAAAACATGTATATTTATTCCTTGCACAAAGTTTATCATGTATGCTTACTTTAGAATTAGTTAATTCTATTTTCAAAGCAAAGACTATCCAGGGAAATAATTTTTAGGAACACCAAACAAATAGCATATATCTATAATATCACACATTTGGCAACAGATATCAAAGGAGATATGTGAATTATTTTAAAATACATTACAGGCTGGGAGTGGTGGCTCATGCCTGTAATCCCAGCACTCTGGGAGGCCAAGGTGGGCGGATCACTTGAGGCCAGGATTTCAAGTTCAGCCTGGCCAACATGGTGAAAACCCGTCTCTACTAAAAATACAAAAATTAGCCGGGCATGGTGGTGCACACCTATAATCCCAGCTACTTGGGAGGCTGAGGCATGAGGATAGCTTGAACCTGAGAGGGGGAGGTTGCAGTGAGCTGAGATTGCACCACTGCACTCCAGCCTGGGTGACAGAGGGAGACTCTGTCTCAAGTAAAACAAAAGGTATGACATATAATTATATATGTATAATTGTATACTTTGTATAATTTATGAGAGAAGCTTGATACTTTGATCTTGTGTTTAATATTTAAAAAGTTGAAATATTTGACATTTTAAAACCAATTTCTCTTTAATTTCTTGCCATGTCTAATTTGGCCTTTGTTATTCACACAATTAACTGGTCTACATTTGGAAGAAACTGGGACACACAAGGGTAAGTGGCTTGCCTAAGGCCAACCACCTGTTCAGCTCTAAAATTTAGATCTTTTCTTTCTTGATTTGCTCTGATTTTCTTACAGTTGTAAAAAGGATATTATGTATGCCAGGATGATTAGGTTGAACCATCCCAGTTTGTAATAGATTTGGGACAAAAATATTAGAAAATTCTTTTAAAAAAATTTTAACAGATTACATCAATCATTCAAGGAGCAAGCACATGGAATAGTAACTTTTTGAAACAGCTCTTAATAGTATTGCATCATTCGCAAATTAACCAGGAGCCTCTCTTGACGCATACATGAAAATTTCACACTGGTTCATTGGTCTTTTGCTTGCTCCATTTATCCCAATTAAACCACTCAGCCTACTGATCCACAAAGCAAGTTAAGGTTATAAATGATGCAGATGATGACTCCTTTTTGATATCTATCTGCTTTAGAGTATTATTAAAGTGAAAAATTAAATTGAAAAAGAATTTTCATGGACTAAAAGAACCTTCTATTTAAGTGAGAAATGAGATTAGTAGTCTTTTTCTTTTATTTGTCGTAAATGAAAAACTTTTCTAGATTAATTTAAATGAGTTATTATCACTTCTACCACAACATTGTGTGAGATATGATTCAGACCGTATAATAACTTTTAATCTTTATTTAAGTCTGACATATCCATTTTTTTCTCTCAATTAGGTTTTATTTCTCCCACGCTAACTGTTGGAAGATAACAAAAGTGAAGTTACTTCCTTTAGAAATCCAAATATTTATAATCAAGTAAAATGGGAAGTTTAGTCTACTTTGAAGAGAAAAAGGCAGAGATAAATCTGCTTTACTGAATTTTTACAAGATTCATGTTTTGCAAAAGTCCTGTTGCTTTGAATAACTTACTTTGCATTTATTAAAAATTCAGGAGGAGCCTGTTATAGCACAAGCTCATTCTTTCATGAATTTGTGTAAACACTGGCTCAAACATGGTTGGAGGCCAAGTATCCTTAAGGAGATCCCAGAGCTCTATCAACTACTGGGGGACTTCAGGTAGAGTCTTTACTCCCCGGACTTCAAAGTCCCAATTTACAAGGTCACAAAGTTGTGGTCATTTCCTGTTACAAAAATTATATAGTTCCTGACTCTCTCCAAATATAATAATTACATGAAGTAAAATTATAATATAACCAAATCTTTGAGACCAGTAGTGGTTATTTGAGGAGCTCTATAGTTCTGTCAACATCTCGGATGGCATGGCAATTTTCCTCCAAAGGTATGTTACTTCTCTGTGGTTTAAATTATGCTTTCCCCAAGGAAATGCAGTTCTATGTGAAGTGCATTTGAAGGAATGTCTGCCTGAGGGAGAGAGCTCTCTACAATGCAGCAATTTATATTTATTCTTTTATGATTAATTCTAAAATTAAAAAGCCCTTACCTTATTTATTATAAATACAGTGGTATCTATTATTTATTACAAATAGAGTGAGGTGAAGTTGGAGCACAGAAAAAGTTTTCTAATCAATAAAATGCCTTAAGGCAACTCTGTTCCTTAGAGATAGCAAGGTCACAATAATATTTAATTTATATTTTTAAAATAAGGTTTTCTGTTTTTTCTGCCATTAAAAGAGTAATATTTTTGTAAGCAAAAAATAATGTAAAGAGGTGTCTTAGCTGGAAAGCTGATGGTCTTCTCTATCAGGTGTTTTGGAATGCTTTGTAACTAGGATTAATTATATTTTAACCAGCCCACACTTCAATACTTTTAAGAATGATATGCATTCTTGGTAGGGTAGCTTGGCAATAACTATCAAAACTGAAATTATATACCTACATAAGTATGTATATGTGTGCATACACATCTGATTATCTAGTTTTCCTTTTCCTTTTAGGAACTTACCTTTCAGAAATATTTTAACAAGCACACAAGAACGTTTACTACAATATTCTTTGTCTGTCAACATGGGGTTCAGTTAGATTAACTGGCCTTTGTGAAATAATGAAGGTCTATATTTATTGACTAGAAGGGACTTTCATAATATGTTAAGTTTTGAAAAATCAAGTTGAAGTATAATATGCAAAATGTGATTCTAGTGTTTTGCGGGTTTTTTTTTGGTATCATCATAGAAAAATTTCTGAATGACTATATGCCAACAGTTTAACAGTGAAGAATGGGAATTAGCATGGGGGGGAAATTTTAGACTTTTACTTTGCTCATTTTCTTTGCAGTAAGCAAATAATTTCCAGGAAAAAGTCAGGCATTCAGTTTATATGAATTATAATTCAGAGTGAAAATTTAAATTATCTCATTATAGGTTGATGAAAATATTAAGAATATGAACATAGGAATTAGAGATATAATATCTTAGCCAGATCCTTTCCCTACTAATATTAGCATAAAAGTCACTAAACGTAATGGAACATTTCATATTTTCTATGAATTTTTAATTTATATTATCCAGAACATATTAAAACACCTAAAGTTGGCAACTTTAAGTATGAACTAAGATCCAGAATAAAGCCTGGCTATAAGATCCTATATTGACCAAATTCATAAGGTTTTTAAAAAATCTCATATAAATTCTCTGAGGTTGAAAAAGTTCATTACATTTATAAGGTCTATATTTGGGATGGATGCTCTGCTCTTTAATAAGGGATGTGCCATAGGTGAAGACCTTCCACATTCATTTATATTCATGAGGTTTATCTCTAGTACGAGTCCTCTGAAGTCTAGCAAGATGTATACTTTGAATGAAGCCTTCTCCACCTATCGTTGCATTTATAGGTTTTACCTCTAGCAGAACAGCTTAGGTGAAGGTAAAAGGATGAGCTCAATTTGAAGCCTTCCCTGAATGCATTACATTTCAAAGATTCTTCTCTTCAATTGGTTCCTCTTGAATTTAATTTTGTTTTAGGTTTTTATGACATGCATGTTTATTTACACTCTCTTTGGAACAACACTAATAAAGAATATTGGGCTTCAGAACGGTTAGAAAGCACCCAGCTTTCTCATTAATAAGACACTAATATAACCTAGACTAGAGATTGTTTAGAGAAAATGATGTATTGCCTGGGACATTACAGAATCTCAATAAATGTTGGTTTCCTTTTCTCCTCCCGTAAAATGTAGTGATATTTTCATTTTAAAATAAGTCAAAGTGGTAATTCAAATGAACTTCTAAATTATAATGAGTGTTTTTACTTTTTTCATGCTATAATTAATAAACAACCTTAGATGAAGTTGCAGTACAGTATGCAAAGTGTTATTGCTCAAGCAATCTTTAATCAAGGATATACTTAGCAAAAGATAAACTGTCTGCACTTTATCTACCTGTAGGTCTTTAGCACTGTTTAAGATTTTAGTTACAATGTATCTGGGCTCCATAAATTTATTATTTATGTTATTTAAGTGGTTGTTTTACTTTAATAAAAGTGAACATGACTGTAAAAACAAAACTCACTTAATATAATGTTAACTCAGACTGCCACACTACCTTCAATTCATTTACCTTGAATTGCAAGCTTACATAAAATCCCTCTATAGCCTTATGAGCATTTTGTGAAAATATTCTAAATCAGAGGTAACAATTCATCTGGATAGGATGAATTAAAATTTTAGTTTAAGAGGGGATAATTTGTGGAAAATAAGATGCTTAAACTGTTCCGAAGAGCTCTAAAGAAATTTCAGCCTATTTTTAATAAAAGTATCAACTTACATCAAAAGGGCTACAATGGAGATTGTTCTTGTTGCTCTATATGCAAATTTGTTTTTTCCTGGTAATGTGTTAGATTCATTGGTTCTCTCTCTTGGGAACAAGGATAGGGAGTCAGTTGCTGCATTCTGGATGCTCACATGGACAGTTACTATGGGGCTGGGGGCCTATTAACCAACTCAAGTATGGCAGTGCCAAGAGCAAAGATGGCGTGGAAATGTGCTGTAAATTAAAGAAGGGCTCAGGACTTCTATGAAGGAGCTCCAGAACAACTCCGGCATAGAGAACTTACATACTTGTCATTTGAAAAATTACTGTTTTTATTTTTAAATTATAAAAACAATTAGCCTAAAAAGAAAGCAATATTAGCACCTAGGTCAAAAGAAAATCAGAAAAAGGAGGAAGTAGTACATCTCTTTTAACAGCTTGCAACAAGTTTACCCTGATCCATTTTAGCACTTGTGTGGTTTTTAAGCATATCCAATTCTTTTAATTAATATTTTTTTTCCCAATAATATATTTCTTGTTTAGAGAATGATTGAGGTTTCACTGGCTATTTAACTTTGTGTTTAACCTTTTATATCTCATTAATTAATTAATATTAGCATAATTTTCTTTTGAGCACCACTTTGGCCATATCATATTACTGATAGTGATTATGTTTTGAATAACAACTAATTTTTAACTTGTTTATTATGTGCCATGCTTTATGCAAAGTGCTCTACATGTACTGATGCATGAAATATCCCTTTTTGGTCTTTTAATGCTGAAACCTGAATTCTATCTTATTTTAATATGCCTCCTTGCTGCTTCTGTTACATTTGTCTGGTATATTAGTTCCTCTTTGACTTTCTATTTCTTTGGTTATGTTAGTTTAAGTCTCTCATAAGGGCAAATATACAGCTTATTTTTCAAAACTTACTGTGAGAATCTCATTTAATAAGTGAATATAACTCACTCTAATTTATCACATTACTGGTATGTTTGAATTGGCTCCTGACAAATTGTTTTCTATTTTCTATTTACCCTGTATTTTATTGTTTACTTTTTCCACTTTCCTGACATTACTGAACTGTCTTCTTTGTTCTAATTTTAACCTAATGCTTTAGAAGTTATATAACCTCTATCTGGCTTATCTATTTTTTAACACACATATTTATATTTTATTTAAAGTTTTCTATTAACATTAAGAGTTAACCAAGATCTACAGTTTCATTCTAAACAGGTTAAGAACTTGGGCAGTATTTTATTTCCTTTTTCTGTTCCCTTTCCTGTCAGCCACCTTCTATACTTTTCATGTTGCAATCTTCTGCGTTTTAATTCCAAGTTTTTATTAAAGTTTTCAAATAATCCATACTTATTTAGACTGAACTAAAAGTTTTACTTTTTTACTTGTTTACTACTCTTTCTTGAATATCTCATCTTCCTCTTGGATTAGTTTCCAGGAATGTATCTTGCAGTAAATCTTTCAGAGAGGGTGGTAAACTTTCTGAATCCTGTGTGTCTATAACAGTTTTTGTTTTTTCCTAATACTTGATATTTGGCTGGAGAAGGAATTTTACAACTCACATAATTTTCAGAACTTCAAGATAACTGCTTCCTTTAAAAAAATGCTTAATGCTACCAAGGAAAGTACAATAAATCTTACCTAGAGGGTTTAGAATTTTCTTTTATTGGTGTTCTAAAATTTCTCCCTGATTATCTAGGACTGGCTACTTTTCCATTCATCTTGCTAAACACTTTCACTCATAGCCACTATACCTTTCTCCTCCTCTTCCCTGCCCCTCCTCCTCTTCTTCCTCCTCCTTCTTCTTCTCCTTTTTTTAATCTTGGGAACTTCTCTCAATTATTTATTTGAATATTGCATTCCATGTATTCCTTCTGGCTTCTTCTTTAATTCCTGTTTCTAATGTTGGAAGTGCAACTTTCTCTCCATACTTAACATCTCTTTTTCTGTAATGAAGTAACATTTCAATACTCAAATTTCCAGCTCACTAATTTGTTATTTAGCTCTGCCTATACTGATATTCAGGAAAAAAATCCATTAAACTTGTTTCAACAATCATATATTTCCATTTCTCGCATCTCTAATTGTTTCTTCCTCATAAAATTTGTTCTAATTTCACAAATGCAGTGTACGCCCTTATCCTGTTGAGGATATTAATTATACTTGTTATACAATCTCTGTTGGTTTAATCTGTTACTTCCTTTTACTTATTTGATTCCTAGTCCTTTAGTTTAATGCTTTCTTTTTTCTTTTTTTTTCCCATGGAGGTGGTTTTCCTTAGATTTCGTGATTTAGATTATTTGCTTAAATTCATATCTGCTATTCTCTCTTAGTTTCAGTGGAAAAAAGCCCACTGACTGGGAGCAGATGTGCCCTTGGGTGAGGATTCCCATGAGGGCACAGTGCCCTGCTTCTCCATTCCTCATGTCCGCATTCATTGCTCGTTCCTGGGGGGCAGAAGTCTCTGCTTAGAAGTGGGTGTACTGCTGCTTTGCAAACCGAATCTAGCAGCACATCAAAAAGCTTATCCACCATGATCAAGTTGGCTTCATCCCTGGGATGCAAGCCTGGTTCAACACATGCAAATCAATAAATGTAATCCGTCATATAAACAGAACAAAAGATAAAAACCACATGATTATCTCAATAGACACAGAAAAGGCCTTTGACAAAATTCAACAGCCCTTCATACTAAAAACTCTCAATAAACAAGGTATTGATGGGACGTATCTCAAAATAATAAGATCTATTTATGACAAACCCACAGCCAATATCATACTGAATGGGCAAAAACTGGAAGCATTCCCTTTGAAAACTAGCACAAGACAGAGATGCCCTCTCTCACCACTCCTATTCAACATAGTGTTGGAAGTTCTGGCCAGGGCAATTAGGCAGGAGAAAGAAATAAAGTGTATTCAACTAGGAAAAGCTGAAGTCAAATTGTCTCTGTTTGCAGATGACATGATTGTATATTTAGAAAACCCCACTGTCTCAGCCCAAAATCTCCTTATGCTGATAGGCAACTTCAGCAAAGACTCAGCATACAAAATCAATGTGCAAAAATCACAAGCATTCCTGTATATCAATAATAGATAAGAAGAGAGCCAAATCATGAGTGAATTCCCATTCACAATTGCTTCAAAGAGAATAAAATACCTAGGAATCCAACTTACAAGGGATGTGAAGGACCTCTTCAGGGAGAACTACAAACCACTGCTCAACAAAATAAAAGAGGACACAAACAAATGGAAGAACATTCCATGCTCATGGATAGGAACAATCAATATCATGAAAATGGTCACACTGCCCAAGGTAATTTATAGATTCAATGCCACCCCCATCAAGCTACCAATGACTTTCTTCACAGAATTGGAAAAAACTACTTTAAAGTTCATATGGAACCAAAAAAGAGCCCACATTGCCAAGACAATCCTAAGCCAAAAGAACAAAGCTGGAGGCGTCATGCTATCTGACTTCAAACTATACTACAAGGCTGCAGTAACCAAAACAGCATGGTACTGGTACCAAAACAGAGATATAGACCAATGGAACAGAACAGAGCGCTTAGAAATAATACCACACATCTACAACCATCTGGTCTTTGACAAACCTGAGAAAAACAAGAAATGGGGAAAAGATTCCCTATTTAATAAACGGTGCTGGGAAAACTGGCTAGCCATATGTAGAAAGCTGAAACTGGATCCCTTCCTTACACCTTATACAAAAATTAATTCAAGATGGATTAAAGACTTACATGTTAGACCTAAAACCATAAATACCCTAGAAGAAAACCTAGGCAATACCATTCAGGACATAGGCATGGGCAAGGACTTCATGTCTAAAACACCAAAAGCAATGGCAACAAAAGCCAAAATTGACAAATGGGATCTAATTAAACTAAAGAGTTTCTGCACAACAAAAGAAACTACCATCAGAGTGAACAGGCAACCTATAGAATGGGAGAAAATTTTTACAATCTACTCATCTGACAAATGGCTAATATCCAGAATCTACAATGAACTCAAACAAATTTACAAGAAAAAAATAAAAAAACCCCATCAAAAAGTGGGCAAAGGCTATGAACAGACACTTCTCAAAAGAAGATGTTTATGCAGCCAACAGACACATGAAAAAATGCTCATCATCACTGGCCATCAGAGAAATGCAAATCAAAACCACAGTGAGATACCATCTCACACCAGTTAGAATGGCAATCATTAAAAAGTCAGGAAACAACAGGTGCTGGAGAGGATGTGGAGAAATAGGAACACTTTTACACTGTTGGTGGGACTGTAAACTAGTTCAACCACTGTGGAAGACAATGTGGCAATTCCTCAAGGATCTAGAACTAGAAATACCATTTGACCCAGCAATCCCATTACTGGGTATATACCCAAAGGATTATAAATCATGCTACTATACAGACACATGCACACGTATGTTTATTGAGGCACTATTCACAATAGCAAAGACTTGGAACCAACCCAAATGTCCACAATGATAGACTGGATTAAGAAAATGTGTCACATATACACCATGGAATACTATGCAGCCACAAAAAATGATGAGTTCATGTCCTTTGTAGGGACACGGATGAAACTGGAAACCATCATTCTCAGCAAAATATCGCAAGGACAGAAAACCAAATACTGCATGTTCTCATTCATAGATGGGAATTGAACAATGAGAATACTTGGACACAGGGTGGTGAACATCACACAGCGGGGCCTGTCATGGGGTGGGAGCAGGGGGGAGGGATAGCATTAGGAGATATATCTAATATAAATGATGAGTTAATGGGTGCAGCACACCAACATGGTACATGTATACATATGTAACAAACCTGCATGTTGTGCACATGTACCCTAGAAGTTAAAGCATAATAAAAAAAATGTGCCACATATACACCATGGAATACTATGCAGCCATAAAAAAGGATGAGTTGCTGTCCTTTGCAGGGACACGGATGAAGCTGGAAACCATTATTCTCAGCAAACTATCACAAGATCAGAAAACCAAACAGTGCATATTCTCACTTATAAGTGGGAGTTGAACAATAAGAACACATGGACATAGGGAGGGGAACATCATACACTAGGATCTGTGGGGGGTGGGGGACTAGGGGAGGGATAACATTAGGAGAAATACCTAATGTAGGTGATGGGTTGATGGGTGCAGCAAACCACCATGGCACGTGTGTACCTATGTAACAAACCTGCACGTTCTGCACATGTAACCCAGAACTTAAAGTATAATAATAATAATAATAATAATAATAATAATAATAATAATAATAATAAAAAGAACAACAACAGTTGTTCTTAGTGAGGGCCGGGCACGGTGGCTCATGCCTGTAATCCCAGCACTTCAGGAGGCCAAGGCGGGCAGATCACTTGAGGTCAGGAGTTCGAGACGAGCCTGGCTAACATAGTGAAATCCCGTCTCTACCAAAAGTACAAAAATTAGCTGGGCGTGGCGGTACGTGCCTGTAATCTCAGCTACTGGGGAGGCTGAGAGACGAGAATCACTGAAACCCAGGAGGCGGAGGTTGCAGTAAGCTGATATAGCACCACTGCACTCCAGCCTGGGCGACAGAGTGAGAATCTGTCTCAAAAAAAAAAAAAAAAAAAAAAAAAAGAACTAGGTGTAGTGAGGGTTTCACCTACTTAGCAGTCCTTATAGCCCCACCCTGATTCCTTCGTGCAGCATCCATGACCTGGAGCAATAATGAGACGCCTTTTGTAGTGTCTTCATTCAACATGTGTTCTGGGCTATTGTCTACTTCCTTCCATCAGATCCCTGCTCTCTCTGGTCCAACTACAGGTCACTTTCTTGTTTTTTAGTGTCATTATAGACTCATTTGTTCATTTTCCGTCATTTCCAAGGATTTCGGGCAGGTGGGGAAGACTACAGCATACTGTCTTGATTCCAGCTTTTAATATTCATTACATTTGTGGAGTTTCTCTTTAGTACGAATATTGTGGCAATAGCAGTAAAACAGATTTTTTTAAAAAAGGTGTTTTGAATAGTAAAAGCATATAATGTTTACGTTTGGGATGAAAGGCAAATACACAAATTCCATATTATAGCAATGTTCTACAAAGCTACCTTCCACCTAAAGACAGCCTCAGCTAAGTGAGATGTGGTAGCTGCTAATTAAATGATGTGTTTGTAAGGTTAAGCCAAAGTTCAGAAAGACTCACATAAATTATCAGTGTATCTATTAAAGTTTCTCCCTTGCTGAAGTAACAGATGTGTCTTCTTTAGAAAAAAGAAAAAAACAACTTTAAAATCCCACTTAAAAAAATAAACCTATCAACACCGGATTTCGGACAGCTAAGTGATGTGAAAGGCACACAGCTCTTGCATCCTTGTGATCTGAGATAAAATACTTTAATTCAAATGGTGGGAAAATATGGATAATTGGGAAAACGGTTTCCCAGAAAAGCCATAATGGCTTACTGGCTCTCTTTTCTTCCTTGCCATTCATATTAAGTCTTTTGGAAACGTTATTAGAGAGGACTGCATACTCTTTTTTCTCTGTCATGATTCTTACATAACAAAAACATTGCTAAAGAGATGAAAGCATTATATCCACATTAATAATTTTTTATTTCTTAAAAAAGTGAACTCAAAGCAGTAGAATTCAATCAATTCAACTGGCCACCCTTGAGTGAGTGAGGATTTGCCATCTATGTTTTCTGTCTGTTTTAGCAGATGAGCTTACCATGATAGATTGTTTGTGTGGGTGGTGGTGGATGAAAGAAGGAGACAAATATTCGATTAACTGAGCAGAGAAAACAGAACGCATCAAGAATTTTACTACCAAATTTTTAATCTGTTTTTCTTTGTCAGCTCTTACCCTAGATAAACATGCTTCACATTAATTAGATTTTGTGACTTTTAAAAAAAATTCAATCTGTGACTAAAAATTATTATATCAGCATTATTTCCTGGACCAACAAAGCAACATTTGGGACCAGGGGGGAGGGCGGGCCCCCCAACCCCCAACACATACAAGCACACAAAACACTATGGATTAAACTATCATTTTTATCATCACCCAAAACAGAAAATACTAGGTCTTCTCATTATCCTTTTATACTGTATAACATAATGCCAACTTCATAGCTAGGCCACCAGATGACAACATGAATGAAGTAATTCTGGGGTGTAGCCTGACGTCCTGGCCAAAAGCCACAAATAAGCCCAAAGTGTGATTGCTAGAAGAATTACGCCACTTTTAGAATTTAGATAAATTAATTGCAGAGCAATGAGAGTGGTACGGTGCTTTTCTCAAGCACATTATTATATCTTATTGGAACAGAAATCTGCTGACAATGCCACAGCCTGGAAGTACCAGCTTCTTAACTGTGACCAAAACCCTGGTCAATCTTCAGTCCTGAGAAATGTCCAAAGAGCATAATTAAAGAAATGTCCAAAGAGCACCTGAGTCATTTGGTTAATGGAATTTCCTCTGATGTTCCTCTGTGTCCATATTGACTTCAGAGCTCTTTTTTTCAGGCATAAATAGTTTTAGTTCTTTTTTTTTTGTTTGGGGGAAATGATCGATTTAGTTGTAGCCAAAAATTCTCTTATATTATTTGTGCTCTATGAAAGCAGAATGTCTGATCTGTTAATTGGAATATATAATTTTTGCCAGCTATGTTTCTGGACTAGTACATTAATCTTCTAAACTATGCTTGGTTTCTTCTAATATCAAGTCAATTCCTTTCTAAGCTTACTTCATGAAGGGGTTTTCCATGTTTTTGTACCAAGTCTCCACAAGTGTTACTCATAGAGAGCTGAATGGACTATTCATTCTTTTACTAAGGCATTTCTTGTGTCCTTTTATAGACAGGCTTTGCTAATAGAATAAACTAAGAAGATGGGGGGCATTTTGGGAGAGAGAACAGCTGGTATGAAGGCCATAGGTAAAAATAAATTTTATTTCCCCCCCAAACAATAAGAGCAAGTTACATTTAAAACATTGATTTTTCTTGGAAGATACAGGCACACACAGAGAAGGAGAGAGAAGTGGAGGGTGAGAAGGAGAGGGAGGAGGGAGAGAGAGACATATTGGTATTTATGTGTGTATCAGAATGGTACTCCTGGAGAGGAAATGCATCTCTTTAGCTCTGCTTTAATGGGATGGGGGCTGGTAACACTGGGGAATCATCTGAGTCCCCAGGGGCTCTGGGACTCCCTGAAGAGGGTGATTTAATCCCTGATATATGGATGGAATTAGCGTGGAGAGATGAAAGCGTGGGAGTAAATGAGTCTCTTGTGCCTCAACATTTGGATCCCCTCATCTGTGATCAAGCTCCATAATCAGGAAAGGGAGTCGAATTGGTCTTTTTTTTTTTTATCAGCAGTCAGAACGAACTGGTGTGCTGGTGATCCTTTATCTCCAGAAGATAGGTAGAAAGACTTCTGTGCATTGTCAAAGCTCTGGACTCCACCAAAGCTCTTTGATCTGGGAGAGGAGTGCACTGTTCTTAGAAGAGCTAGAAGGGACCAGAAACCACTGTTTCTTTTTTTCCCTCTAGGGTCTCCCCAGCCTGACCCTGGGGAGGTCCTAGAGGCTAAAATGAGAAACAGTGGTTTCTGGCGTCTCAAGGAGACATTGGAGCTGTACTGCACATGAAACTTCAGGGTGTCAGGAATGTCAGAAAAGGCCGTGTGGGCTAAAGGACTGAGCCTTGGTGCTGGGCCTGCAGAGGTCAATAGGCCCTGAGGGGGTGGAGTCATTCAGAGTCTCAGCCTTCTGCAGAGGCTTAGCCTGCTGTGCCACAGGCTGGACCTGAGCCACTTCCCTGAGGCAGGGAGGAGCAGGGCTGGGTCAACTGCAGTAGAAATTCAGAGTTTGACACTGAAAGACCCCATTGTGGCAGCAAAGGGTCACAGTGGCAGTGTGGCTCAGGCTGAGGGTAAGAATTTTTGTGTCTTTCATAGACAAGCTTTGAGGATACAACAAGCTAAAAAAGAGGGGCCCTTCTGGGAGAGAGAATGGAAGAGTCTTATTGGGTCTGAATGGAGTTCTTGGGCAAGGCACAGGACAGGGAGCGCAAAAGAGCAATACTAGCCATCTTGCCACTCAGGGACTTCGAAGTTTAATCAGTTTTGATTTAATTTGTTGAGATCACAGTGACACGACTATACCTCAAATGTTGTATTATGGAAAAGTTTGTCAGTCAATAGTTAAATTATTGCTATTTCATATTCATTATGAAATTATATTTAATGTTAATATCATTCATCCTTATCACAGTGTTACAAAACATAAATTTACCTCCATATCACGTTATGGGTTTTGAGTTTCTAATCTTATTAATGTTTTTTTTCAACTTGAACTTCTGAAAGTGCTGCCCAATTAGTAGGATATATCTTAGGGACTTAAGACCCAGAAGAAGGCACACAGCTCAGAACAGCAAGAAAACACTACCATCAAACAATGCTCACAGCTTCAGGTCTCCTCTATTTCAACCTCAGTCCCAAATTCCCCCTTTATAAATCTCTGGAAGACAAATTTTATCCCCTAAAGAATTTTTATAGATCAAAGCCACATTCCAATGAAAATCAGGTAGCAGCATCTATAAATCTCAGACCCCAGGAAGACAAACAAAAATCTCAATATAATAGTAATGGAAAGATTTTGTATTCTATAAACATTGGGAAAAAAACCTTTCTCCCAGTAAAAGCTGAATAAACTAAAATGAGATATAAGTGAGTCAAGTGAACTTAAAAGCATTTGCAATCACAAATTTTTAATATGCAAAAAATAGTTAATTATAAGCTTAGAATCTTTAGGGTAAGTGCACCCCTTTTGGCTTGTCTACGATAAGAATCATCAGTATTGATCTAAGTATGCTTTCGCCATTTAACAATATGCATTTAAAACACGTCCAGTAGAATAAATGTAAGTGCTACATACACAGCATGGGAGATAGCAATTACTTACCCTGTAGGCTGGCTCTCAAATTCTTCTGACCATTGCTCTTGAATATCTTCTGTGGAAAGATCTACATCCCTGGTGGTGGCAAAATTGAACTCGCTGCCTTCATTTCCATGGAAATAAATGGAGTTCCCATCTGACTGACAGCTATGCTGTAGGTGAAAAGAGAGCACGGGGTGGCTGTTGAATTGGTGTTGTAGCTGTATCTGTCTTACTCATGTATAATTAGAGTTTTTAGAAAAGTTATTATATTAGCTCCTCTATGATGGACTCTCAAATCAAAAGAGCTTGTTACCTCTTTTTTGCCTTGTTTAATTCAATTACAATTTCTTTCTAACCTATTAAGTTATCACAAAAAAGGAGTCAAGGGGGCATTTGAGCTTTGCCATCTCTGTCTTCAGTATGAAACAAGAGTATTTCAATTGGAATAATTTCCCATCTTTACCACTGTCCTTGTTGTGGGAATTAAATTTGATAATGACTTGTCATGTATTTCAAATTCTGTGGTTATCGGCTAAATAGCATTGACCTTTTCAATATTCCATATATTTCTTACTTGCCATTCAAGTCTTTCACAATTTATCTGTAAATGGAATATGAGTAGAACAGCCAGCTAATCTAAACATGCAATGTAGAAAAGGTCAAAGTAAACCCAGATATAATCACATATTCTCAACCAGTTTCTGAGTAAAAGTTTCTGACCAGACCTAAAAAGTGCATACTATCCCAAATGAGGAACTGGGAAACTATGAACTTTGTTAATCCCCAAAAGAACACATAAAAAATAAGGAAAATATATTTCTTGTGATACTTTTTCTAAAGAAATTTTTTTTTCAGCTTGAAGAGAATAAAGGCAAGATCAAACTTTGGAGATAGTAAATGTTAGTTACTTTAAAAAATTATTATAAGTTTGCATTAACATTTTTTGGTAATAAGTCATATATAGAGAGATGCTTGGGGCTGGGCATGGGAAGCTAAAACAATAAAAAGGAGAAATAAAAAGAGAAATGCTATACATGAAACATCAAACATTCTTTTAAGTTTTATATACTCTTAAAATGAAACAGAGATGAAAAAAACCAACTGGACAAAACCTATCAGTCAAGCCTAGGGACTGTGAGTTCTGTAGGGCAAGGACAATGTCCATTTTGTTCCTTGTTATATTCCAGGTCTTAGCACAGTGCCTGGCATATAGCAGGCATTAAAAAATGTTTGTTAAATAGTTCAACAAATGAATGAGGGAATGACATGGAAATGCCCTTTAAGGTAATTATATTTTTAAAAGAAGATAAATTTATTGTGTATGCCTAAGATATATAACATGATTTTCTAAGACACATACAGTCATGTACCACATAACAATGTTTCAGTAAATGACAGACCGCATATACAATGGTGGTCCTATAATATTATAATGGAGCTGAAAAATTTCTATCACCTAGTGATGTCATAGTTATCATAACATCATGGCATAATACATTACTCATGTGTTTTTGGTGATGTTGGTGTAAATAGACCTACTGTGCTGCCAATCCTATAAAAGTATAGCATATAAAATTATGTATGGTACATAATATTTGAAAATCATAATAAGCGACTTTTGGGTGTGGAGGGAAGTATTGCTCTTTGAAAATTCTCTTCTTTAGAGTCTTAATAGACTGACATATTACCAAAGAAAGGCTGCAACACACCCAAAGGAAGCAGCCATCCTTCAGTGGGAGGTGGCTAGATGTTCTCTATCTCTTAGCAAGATGGGACTGTCACTCTCTAGGGAGCAAGGTCTGGAGATGCACAGAACCCACACAGCTACAGATGGCTTGCTCTGCTCCTCACCATGCTAAGGAGATCAAGATATGATTTCTACCTCTGCCATTCTGAATAGAACCCAGTGTTCTCAAGGTTTGCAGTGGTAAAATGCTCTTTTAAGGATATATGAGCCCATAGTATACTGGGCCTGTAAAACTGGGGATGGTCTTAGTGAAACCAGTGAATTCCTGAGCTATTTGAGAGCAACGGGTGTACTGAGTCTCCATTTCTTTCTAAGGAGTTGATAATCATAGGCCCTGTATTTTGGAGCCTTAGCCAGCGTAGGGGGCCATATTAGGGTTCTCATTCTGAGAACGCCTAAATCAATTACAAGACAAGTTAGAATTTCATGTTAATTCTGTTTTAGGATTGGGCACAGCGGGCTTGGTGTCTTGGAATTAGCCTGCTTCCTAGATGCTCTCCAAACTACAAATTTATGCCTGAATGCATTCAGATTGAGATAGTGTCCCCGGTCCTTGCTTGCTTTCTATCTGCATTTCTGGCTCTGAATGGGAATCCACGGCTTCCTTGGTTAGGCATTGCTTGAGCTTTCTCCTAGAATCTAACTCAATTAAATTCAGCACCTACATGAAGTGAATAAATTAAGATCGGAAAAGAACAAAAATTGGAAACCAAAAACAATCAAGATGATAAGGACTGAAATCCCTCAAGGAGTTTCAGGATTGGGATTAGAAAGCGTGTTGAAATATTTTCTCTATTTAATGGCTCCATGTTTTTGTAGAAGCCATTTAACCCCTCTACGCCTCGGTTTCTCAGGTTGTAGAATGGAACCAATAATATCTACCTGCTAGAGGTGTTGTTAGTGGCACAAATAATATATGAGGAAATGCATTTTGAAACTTCTAAGTGCTACAAAATAATCATTATTTCTAAATATACATATTTTTTCAAAACCATGCTATTATATTCCATATGCCTAGCAAAGGTGATGGAAAAATAGAAGAGCATTTCAATCTATTTTAAACTATTTTTCATCAGAATAGTCATTAAAATTCTTTGGATCAACTTAAAACCTTTAGTAACATGCATGGAATATGTTCCACAATACAACAGGTAAAAATACTGCAAACATTCATTCATCTTCAGGGCAGACTGAATCATTAATTAGAACTTTAAAAGCCCTCCTCCAAATTTTGGCAGATTATCAAATATTCTCCTAAAACAGGAAAACTTAATGCAAGATGTCTGATGCCACTTTTCTTACAGGTAAGTTTGCATTGTATAACATCGATCTACTATGTTAAAAATCCAAATGAAACATTCATTGAAAGTATGAAAAGAATTTTAAAAAATTGGTCTCGATTTTAATACCCAGCTATTTTTGTTCAACACCTATTCGAACTCCTATCATTTATATGCAATAACAATTCAAATCTAAACAACTTCAAAACCAATTAAATGTGTAACTTTGTAAGATACATGAGCTCTTGATATGAAAAAAACAAGAATTTTTGGAATTCAGGACTATTTTACTTTGAGCATCATGAAAATCTACTAGGTTTTCTTTAGCAGATGATTCTAAATCACATGTGATTTCCTGAGCCACAGCTTTTGATTGACATATGGTGAATATATATCAAGCTACTAAGCATTTATTTGGGGTAAAATAAAGGTATAAATTCTGCAGCTGGTTCTAAATTTTTATTTGTATTTCTAGCACTCCTAATGTACATTATTATATAATTATAATTGTTTGTACTTGTTTCATTATTTTAGCCTTGATCAATGACATACACTTTATGCTTCTAAGTACTAGTAGGTTACCGATTTCTAAAGTCCCTTAAGTATGGCTCTTATGTGTTTCTCTTTGTCAATCAAAAATATTTTCCTACTTTGCCACTAAATGGATTTCCTTTACTTGAGAAGCAGAACACAGAGTAACTAAGTGACAAGAATTTGCCATTCAGAAAATCATCAACAGGAAACATCAGTGCAAATTCTTCAATATAACAAGTCCTTGGCCACAACTCAGGATAGCAGTTTTCTAAGGTTGCTCCCTATACTCTGCTGAAAATGTTAATGACTTCACCTCTGTACTTGTAAAAGTGCTTACATTTGCCTCTACCATTGTTTTATTAGGTTTTCATCAAAGATGAACACCGAAGCACCTCTTAATATGATCTCCCTGGGGTCTAATGACCCTGATGATTCTTTCAGGCATCTGTAGCCTTACCATTTATTCTTTGACGATATCCTTTTTGTTGGAATGAGGGTATTGGGCATTTGGGCAATGCCAGCTTGCAGAGAGCTGGTGGCAGATGGAATGAAATCTGCCTGGTATGCCTTCCCCTCCACATGAGCAGAGAGCCATCCATTTCCTCCATTAAGGAGTTGTCACTCAGCCCACCCAGCTGGAAGACCATTTTTGATAGCCAAGCTGGCTGGTGGCAGACAATTCAAATACAAAGTGCGCTTTAAAAGGAAGCTAAAACATCATTTGTAGGAAAATTGAAAATGCATGGCTTCCACCACAGCCAATTTTTTAATGACTGTAATATTTTAAGTGATTATTTTTGCCACTTCAGATTGCTCCTTAGAGAGGAGAGGTTTTTTAATTAAAATCTAGGCAATGCAAACAGATGAGATATGAGGAACACAGGAAAGAGAAATAAGATGAATAAAATTAATTAAAATGGCATTGTTGGCAGAGTCATAAATTAGCCACTGTCTGGCTGGAAATAAAATATATTGGTATAGGAATTTCTGTATTAAAGTGAGATGTGTGCTACAGCCATTGGAAATTGACTAATTTATAGTCTACATATTATTGTGTTTTTCAAGTCTTTTACTATGCTATACCCATTATCATATAGAAATACATATTTCCTACATCCCAGTTCAACAGACTTTAAAGGTATAGACTTTCATGCTATATTAAAAGAAAACTTAAAATAGAAAGAGAACGATTTCTCTCATGAGGCAAAATAAATTTCTATCATTTTCCACACATTCAATTTCTAAGAATTTAATGGCAGTTAAAAAACTGAAAACTTGGCTATAAATACAGTCCAGGTGCAGGAGGGCTGAAGTGCATTTTCTCTAGTCAACACAATAGATTCAACCATGGTGAGTGAATTTTATGGAGCTTAAGGAGTGTTTTTTTTCTCATTAATTTCTGGATTCATTAAACACATTTGAACTACTTTGTACTACGATTTTTAAAGATTCAATTTATGGTATATTTTGTGACAAGTGTATAATTATTTGGCAATAATTATGACAACTCTAAAATGGCAATAGTGACAGATTTGAATTGGAGTAATGAGAGGCAGAATAACAATGTAAAATTCCAAAGAGCAGTTGTTAACCTTGTCTTTGGGGATCAACTTGACTTTCACAGTGTTGGAGGCTTTTAGACTTGCCTCCTCAAATTAAGGGCAAAGATGCCAGGCACAGTGTGGGAGACTGCAAGATAACATGGAGTGGTTGGGTTTTACAGTAAAATAGACCTGGCTTTGAAAGTTAGAGCTATTTGATCTTGGGGAAGCCATTTGGCATCTCCGAGCCTCTGTTTTTTCATCTGTGAAATGGGGATAATTGTGAGCATTAGATAAAATACTGCAGGGAACATGCCTAAAGATTGCTGAGTCTTAGGAAATTTGTAAACACTATTTCCCTCCTGATTTTTTTCCCCATCTTCATTCATTAACAAACCTTACTTTAATGAATGAATGTCACTATGCAAGCTATTGTGCTAGGTGCCATGCTAGGTACAAAGATGATAGAAACTGTAACTATGTTTTTAATGTTCATTTGGAATAAATTTCACCTACTGAATATTGTGTTAACTCAATTAGTGATTGAATGTGTCAGCCTCAGACCAAATAAATAAATAAATAAGGCAAAAGATGCATTAGGCAGGGAGCTTCTGCATATTTGTTTAAATGATTATTTTCTGTATAAATTATCAAAATTAGTTGTTTCTGTGCTATTGCCACTCTTGTCATGGCGATCTGGCTCATTTCCATGTTTCACTAATGTTATTCCACATTAATTACTGTACAAATAGGCCTCATTGGGGGGAATTGTGAAAAGCACACTACTTACATTTAACCCTTCAGCCCCAAAGTCCTCTTATTAGCTTAACAAATTATATTCTGGCTCATTCTACAATATCTTATACCCACCTCTTGGGGGAAACATGACAATAAGAGCAATACGATCCAAAGTGAAGAACATCCCAAGCAAAGGGAATTTAGGTAGACAGCATGCAATTAACCATGCTGGAATCTGGCCAGGAAATCATAGTTAACATTCTGATTCTTAATGAAAAAAGACATGGGAACATGGGCTAGCCACAAGTCTAACTGAGCTCAGGTTTATCCTCATTAGAAAGCCACCACTCAAATCCCTCAAGTTACACACTAGATAGTTTCCAGTAAAGTGATAATGCAAAGCACATTTCTGAAAAGTAAATCTGATTTTCTCTTATTTGTCCTGTATATTGTCAGAATATAAAACCATCAAGTGAACTGCTGAAACCTTTTTTCTGAGGTGCCCAATTGAACATTGCATGGAAGATGAATTAGGTATGATAGTATTGCTGTGTCAGGGGGTTATATTTCCAAAAAGTAGGTTTAAAGGTGAATTCTACCTTGAGTGTGATCTTTCCTTTCACCATTTGTCTTAGATTTTTTTCATTAGCTTTAACTTGTGTTAAGGCTAAATTTTTCGGACAAATTACATTTTTTTTCATAATTTGATATATTTTTTCTCCATTGATGGTTCAGCAATTGTGACAACAGTACTAGATGGGTGACAGCAGAAGCCCAGAATAAAAGATTCAGTTCTTATTCAGGACTGGAGACTTGCCTAGTGTCCACTGGGACAATGAATTTGGCAAATGCATAAGGTACAAGAGCAACAGAAAATTAATAGACTCTTGTGTTCAGATTTAATGCTTCCCCTTAATGGGTTGCTGATTTACCTAACGTCTGTTGTCTTCATTAGGGCCTTTTGATGTTTGTTAAACTAGAAAAATTGTCTTTATTATTGGATATTTATCAATAGTAAAGGTAGTAAAGGGGAGGCAGTCAAATTCAAAGTAGTAGTAGAGGAAACATTAAGATATGACCCTTCTAAATTCAGTAACTTAGTTACTCTAAATCCTTGATATTAGTTTGCAAAATTTAACAAATTACTTTTTTTAAAAAATAAAATGTCTTTTAAATACATGTGATCAAATCACAGCCTATTCTAAAGGAGAAACAGAGTAATCAGACATTTAGTGCTGATTTACTTCTTAAAACAAGTTGACATAAATGTGTAGAAAAGGTAATCTGGAATTCTTTGCTATCCACACAATGAACTAGGGTAATAAAGAGAAAAAGATTAGCAGGTGCAGGCACAGCAATCAGAGTGGGAAGATTTCTTAAAAATAAAAAAAATGTGGAAAGTATCTATCTCATAGTGATCTGCGTTTAATCTGTAGGTCAATTCCAGAGTTGACAGAAGCCAGTGATTTATGCCTTTGCAAGCTGAGGGTAACCACGATAGCTGAGCAGATATAAACATTTATTAACTGTGAGTGAGCAAAGCACTTTTTCTCTTTTGAAAACACAGACACACACCCACACAAACACACACACACCAAGTGTTCAAAGATGATTCACGCTTTCAAAATAAAAATTTTGGCTGCCACCAAAGACGAGCGTAAACAAACAAAATGAAGCAGCTGCCAGACCAATATTCACTTCCATGGCATATTGATCCATTCAGAAACACTGCTTCATGGGGTACTATTAAAGGATGAGGAAAACAAAAAAATAAAAACAAAAAGCCCTGCTCACAGCTCTTTCCAAATCAATTGTCCCTGGGTTCTCTGCGACGTGCTTCACTGACCTTTGCAGCTCTTGATGATAACTTGTGGAAAGCAGGCAGCTGCAGCAGCTCCAGGCTGACGCTCTGAAAACTTACATCTAATGTTTTTCTTTCAACTTAAAATTAAGAATATTCTCAGATTGCAGGATGTGTATTTGAGGAGTTGGGAAGAGATGACTTCGATGGACTTGCCTAGATGTTTCAAGAGTGACTGAGGAAAACTGAACATTGAGCATCCAGGGTTTTTACAGACACAAAATGTTCATCTACTCTAGATATAAAACTGGATGGCAAGATCTTCCTCATGGTGCTGGCATCTACAAAGTATTCATGAAATGCTATCAATACTTCTACTATCATTATTATTACTATTATTTATCATAACTATGGTTACTACTATTTATTGTTATTATTTTTAATCACTATGCAGTGTTCATGCCACTGCAAGTATCATTCCTGAATATGAGAATTCTGCCCAAGGTGATACGTTGAATCTTGTTACTGTATATCTTAAATGGAAGGAGTGAAAAAAAAAATCAGTTCATAGCCTTTAATCCTTGACGGTAAAACCAAGGCCATTCTCACAGAGCTGGTGCACTAGATGTTCCTTGAGATTAATCATTCCCCCACTACAGGGAGGAAGAATGTGCCTTTCGTTCTTAAATGTGGAACACCCATCCACAACCACATGACAGAGGCCCTGCCATGGCAGGAACAGCTATTCTAGTAACTGCAGATGATGAGCTGATACAGTGTACCCCTTATCTTTAGAATAGGAGCAGCTGGAAAAAAATACTTGATTATTCTAGAAATCATATACACAAGTACAAAGAAGGATACAATATTCTGTGAAAGAGAGCAAAACCATCGTAAACAACAGTTGTGACAGGTGATTTGATACTGAGTGAGTTTCAGGCACCTTCCTTTGCTGAGTGCATGAGCTGCTTACTCTGGGAGATTACGAATGAGGGTGGGGCTCTGGGGAGCTTTTGAACTTGTAGCACTATATTTATTGGTATTTAAAGCCCTACCTCCTTGATAGTGAACAAAAGGCTGCTTAGGGATTTGTGGGAAATAAAAAATTATGATGGTAATTAGAAGCAGGATAGGAATGTGGTACACCTTTTCTTCCACATGGGAAGTTCTCTGTAAAAACACTGTAAGATGAGTCAGGCAAGGCCACGGACTTGGAAAAAGAAAGGAGGAGAAACAGATGGTGACATAAAGAATAGATTAATTCTGTAACCATTTACAGTCCTCCTCAGCTTTCCAACCCCAATTCAAAAAGCACAACAAATATAAGGCCAGGTTCTACATTAAAAGCTGATAGTGTTATACATCTATTTCATATTAATTACTAAAAAAGCCAACAGATGGTAAAGCCTTCTACCAACCCAGGGCTGACTTCAACTTGTGACCTACAATTATAATTCTCCAAATCATATAAAGTCCTGAAGCTAATTACTCTATTTGAAACTATTTGGTCTTATATCTGAAACTATTTGGTCTTATATCATTCTTCCCTACTTGAGATAAACAAGAATAGGCTCAGATGAAATGGTTTAGATAGTCCCCCCCGCCAAAAAACAGAAAGAAATATCTAAAGAAGACAAGAGTAATATGTACTGTGAATGACAATGGTTTATTTTTCTCTTTTCTATTTGACCTGCCACTGTCAACATTATTTTCAAGATCAGCAGTGGAGTGTTTACATACTCACTACTCTGTGTATTCCCTTGTTTTATTGACAGTAGCATTAAAACAGTCATTCGTAGGCCAGGAGCAGTGGCTCACACCTGTAATCCCAGCACTTTAAGAGGCTGAGGTGGGTGAATCACTTGAGGTCAGAAGTTCCAGACCAGCCTGCCTAACATGGCAAAACCCCATCTTTACTAAAAGTACAAAACTTAGCCGGGTGTGGTGGCGCACACCTGTAGTCCCAACTACTCAGGAGGCTAAGGCACAAGAATCACTTGAATCTGGGAGGTGGAGGCTGCAGTGAGACGAGATCATGACACTGCACACTAGTCTGGGCAACACAGCAAGACTCTTTCTCAAAAAATAACAATAAAAACTAAAATAAAAAGAAAAAATCATTTGTAGTTAATAAAACTAGTATACTTTAACAGTATCTACTATTTAATATTTTCTTATTTCGTCATGACAACATGAGGTGGATACTAGTATTATTCCTGTTATAGGCAAGGACACTGAGAGGTTAAATAGCTTACCCAAGACCACATGGCTAACAAATGGTTAAGCCAAGATTTGAACCCAGACAAGTTTTAACAATTATGTTATATCCAGTCCCTTTCATAACATTTTCAGTGTCTTTAAGTCATCACTGAATTAAAAATTAATCTTCCTGCCTTATAAACTAGACCCTCTTGATATTTTTCCAGCTTTTCTAGGTTGTCTGAGATCCTGTCCCAGTGGGATCACGAAGGGGCAAGGAGCCCTCAGCACAAAAATGTTGTATTCATTAGCCAGAGATGCAATGCTAAGAGAGGAAGCATGCATGATCTGCCTGAGAGATGCTTTGGGGTGAGTGAGCCCCAGCTTTGGTGAAGAGTGGGAGGATTTCCAGAGAATCTACTGGTAGATTCCACAGAAAGCCAGTTTTGATCACTTGCCAGGCCCAGGAATCAATGCCAGCTCACAATAATACCTGCCTCTTGCCTCTTCTTCTTCTTCCAGATCCAACCCTGGAGGATTAAGGATCTGAAACTAGTTGGGATTGGGGGTGGTGAGTGAGGAGGGAGAAGGAGCTGACCACTGTCCCCATTTCTACTGCAGGAGACCTACATTGGAGGTGAGCAGCTGTGGATGAAATCTGGAGCTTGCATTATCATCCTTAACTGATCATATTGATAGTGAACTGAGGTATCTGGGAGACTAAAGTAACTCGATGACTCTTTTGGTCTATCAGCAGTCTTGGGACCTACCCTAGTTTCATGCAAAGAGGGCAGGGATAAAGGAGCTGCCACAGCAAATTTGAATGACCAGTGGAAAAAGAGTGGCATTTTTTTTTTCTGTCACCTGTCCCCACCCCGACAAGTCCTGTTTGTTCAACTTAATGGTTCCACTAGCACAAAGAGGAGGGAGACATTAGCTATGCAAAACTTCTCAGAGACAATGGCATTTGAACTGAGCCCCTAAAGATGGAGGGGAATTACTAGGAAGGGAATAGAGAAATGTTGAAAACCACACCTAAAGGAATGTGAGTGAGATTTTCTGAGTTGGTTGTATTTGTGACGCTGGAGCACAGTGGATCAGGAGATGAGGATGAAAATTAGGCTGGATGACTAACTACAATAGCAAAGACTTGGAACCAACCCAAATGCCCATCGATGATAGACTGGATAAAGAAAATGTGGCACATATACACCATGGAATACTATGCAGCCATATGGAAGGATGAGTTCATGTCCTTTGCAGGGACATGGATGAAGCTGGAAGCCATCATTCTCAGCAAACTAACACAGGAACAGAAAACCAAACACCACATGTTCTCACTCATAAGTGGGAATTGAACAATGAGAACACATGGACACAGGGAGGGGAACATCACACACTGGGGCCTGTCGGGGGGTTGGGGGGCAAGGGGAGGGAGAGCATTAGGACAAATACTTTATGCATGTGGGGCTTAGAAGCTAGATGACGGGTTGATAGGTACAGCAAACCACCATGGCACATGTATACTTATGTAACAAACCTGCATGTTCTGCACGTGTATCCCAGAACTTTAAGTATATATAAAAAAAGAACTATAACAAAATCCAGCAAAATAAAAAAAAAATAAAAAATAAAGGATGAAAAAAGGTAAAAAAAATTAAAAAGAAAGAAAATTAGGCTGGATAAAAATTGGAAAGGGCCTTGAATTATAAGTGAGGGATTTTGGCTTGTATCCTCTAGGCCTACATAGGAAGTCATCAAAGGTCTTAAGCATGGAGGCAGCATAATGTAATTTGTGTTAAGGAATGATGCTAGAGTTTTTGCCAGTGGCATCCCTTTGGATGATCCTTGGTTCCAACATCTTGCCAGGCAGTTGGCTACATTAGACTGTTGATTTATCTTTCTTTATTGTTCCAAGGCCCCTACTCTATTTCATCTCCTCTGTAGATTACTGAAAACACCTCCTGCCTTCATAAGGGAAATATTTTAATACTTTTTCTTCCTTAAATACACAATAGTTTGCCCATCAGTAGCTAAGATGAACCAGGAACTAGAATTTTGAAAACAAAATCAGCTGTTACGATGTGGAAGAAAGGGAAGCAAACAGTGTTTGGGCTGCACTTGCTAAACTGTAATGTATAACAAAACCAGTCTTCTGGAGGAAGGAACAGGTGGTACGCATGGAACAAAGCTGGAGCAAGATCAAGAGACTTGAGAAAAACAAGAATCTTTTAACCTACAGCCAGAGAGTGATGGGGGAGAAAACACACAGATAATTTAACAGGTGGATGTTGGGAAGAAACACAAGACAATCAAGAAGCACGTCAGTTACTCACTACTTGTGACAGCAAAGCTATGTGGCAACTGAGAGCAAGAGTTCTAAAGTCAGTTCCTGGATTTGAATCCTTACCCTGCTTCTGGTGAGAGATGTATTTTGGACAAGGTATTTAACACCTCTATGTTCCACTTTCCACATATGAAAAATGGGACTAACACAGCATCTTCTTTACAGGTTTATAAGGATCCAGTTAAATGAGATGATGATGATGATGATGATGATGATGATGATGATGGCGACGACGATGATGATGTGTGTGTGTGTGAGTCTGGAATGGTGAGTGCCTAGAACAGTAAGTGTTCAATAAAAAGTAGCTTTTATTACTTGGTCAAAGTTAATCTTATCTGTGTTTGGAAATTTTTCCGTAAATAGCTCCATTTTATAATTAAGCATTGCTGTTAGATGTACTCTTTGAGATAATCAAGATGGAAACACCTTGGAAATTTTTTTTTCAGATCATAGCTCACTGCACCTTGAAGTCCTGGGCTCAAGCAATGGTCCCATCTCAGCCTCTGGAGTAGCTGGGACTACAGGTGTGCACCACCATGCCTGGCTAGTTTTTTTTTTTTAATTTTTGTAGAGACAGGGTCTCTCTATGTTGTCCAGGCAAGTCTTAAACTTCTGGCCTCAAGTGATCCTCCCACTTTGGCCTCCCAAAGTGCTGGGATTACAAGCATGATCCTCTGTGCCTGGCCATCTTGGAAACTTTTAATGAGTAGGTTGAACAAAAAATACAACTCCAAAAACTAAAAGTCCAAAATAAAACAATGTTTTAAACACACCTCATGACCAATAGGAACACTGAGATATGCTTTCTAATTTGCTGTATTTAGTTTTCACCTCAGAGGCCATCAAGTAAAGAAACAATATTTGACAAACAAGTTGCATATAGTCTAAAGAAACAATTTTTATTTCTAGAATTCCAAATCACTTGGCAAAAGCAATTCTTTCATTCTCAGATGGTGGAACCAAAAAACAAAAGGGCAGTCATGTAAATGAACTAAAATGACAAATTCTTAGATATTATGAATGCATTTATTTGAAGTTTTAAGAAGAAACATCAGAGAAAAATTTCTACTTAACGGCCAAGTCAAAGATAATGTTATAAATCATTACTACAATGATTTTTTTTCCCTTAATAGACATAGGTCACTCGGCAAGTCTCAAATGTGTGATTGGAAAGCTTATGAGTAGGATGAGGGACCACAAAGCAAAGCATATTCCACATAAAGTTGTAATATAATTAAAATTACTACCGAAGCAAAACCACACCTCATGCATTTTTATCATGGGTGGTAACAAAGTACATGCAATGAGAAACCAAATAGCTAATTAGATTAGTGTAATGGCTTGTAAAATGAAACAGAGGGTACATTTATGCCATAAAGGGTACTCAGACCAAATGATAAATGACCATCATCACAAAATGATGTGAATCCCAGGCCCCGAGGTCTCCTGGGTTTATGCATCTGCTTGCCAGTGTTGAACAATGACAGCAGAAATTCCTCTTTTAATCAAGTGGTAGTGGGATATGACATACGCTATTCTGACGAATGTTTTTTTCTAGACTCATACAAAAGAAATCCATGGCTCTTGAAGGAGCCATGACTTCAGACTCAATCAGAATAAATTTCCATAAGGTTTACTGCTTGTATTGAGCAAAGATGATGCCTGTTCCTAATGTCAATTAGTATACTTTCAAATCAAAGCAACATGACTAGGGTTTGACTTGTTAAGCAAGAAGTCATTTCCATCAGGAGAGTTCCTGTGTTGAGGGTTCACCAAATAATTTGTAATAGTTTTTCTGGTGCTCAACTCTATTATTAAAAGGAGGTGAGCATTCTCGATCTTTCTATTCTACTTGCTACTTTTCTTGTGATCCTCACCCCTTTCTAGCTCGGGATGTTCTGTAAGCCGTGAGACACATGTTAAAAAATTCTCCAAGCTGTGTTTGTATTTTATTTTCATATGTTGGAAACTTGAGGGGATACAGTTGAGGGTCTCATGACATTTTCATATCACCTAAGTGCAATTTCATATTCCATGCACTCTCCGGGCAGGCAAGCCCATGATTTGAATCCCCACTCATAAGGCTAATGATTGCCAAATTTGGATCTTTCTCTGAGCTTCTCACCCAAACATCTAACCTCCCACCAAATAGTTCTTCTTGCTTTCCCTCAAGATAATCAAAATTGATATGTCCAAAGGGACTCACCAACTTCCCATGAACCTGCTCCTTCACTATGTTTCCTTTTCAATGAACAGCACCTGTCCATCCAGCTGCCTATACCTTGTCCCTGACATCTATCATTCCTTCATGTTCTCAATATGTCCCCAACCTTTTCTGTTCCCTGTCCTATAAATCTGAAATAGCCACATTTTTCCATCCTCTCACTCCTAATTCTGGCCAATATGATCTCTCACTCCTAATTCTGGCCAATATGATCTCCCATTGAACTACTATCATAAGCCTCCTATTTGGTCTCTCTGCATGCACTTTTTCTTCCTTCCGTTCAGTCCTCTATCCTCAAAGGGATATTTCAAAAACAAATATGATTGGCTCCTGTTTAAAGCACTTCAGTGGCTCTCTATCACCTTCAAGATAAAAATTCAAACTCTACAGAGTCTTGCAAGATCTTCAAGGTCTTGTCACTGGCCATATCTTCAAACTTTTCTATCACAAGTCTCAACTTAAAATGTGTTAGACAACTATTCTGAATTTTTCCCAAGACTTTTACTTTGTGCTTGCACCTTCCAGCCTCAGTTTGGGCTGCTATAACAGAGTACTATGACTGGGTGGCTTAAACAACAAATATTTCTTACAGTTCTGGAGGCTGGAAAGTCCAAGACCAAGGCACTGGAAGATTTGATGTTCGGTAAGGGCCACTTTCTGGTTCTCAATGTGCTCTCTGGGGTGTCTGTACCCTTGTCACTTAATTACCTCCCAAGGGCCCACCTCTAATGCCATTGTATTGGAGTTAGGATTTCAACATATGAATTCTGGGGAGGTGGAGGGATACAAACATTCAGCCCACAACACAGCCTTAATGTATCTGATTTATAATTCTAGACACACGATTCCTCCTTCCTGGCCAACTCCAAATTACTGTTCAGCCTCTACTTGGAGTCCCTATTCTCCTACCCTGCCTTTGTAACCCCCCAGGTCTGGATTTGGTACTGTTATACTGTAGTTTCTCAATACTCTGAACTTCCCCAGCAAATCATAACCATCAGGCTGTTTCGTATTTGTATGCTGACATATTTAACTCCCCCAAACTAAACTGACATCCACACAATGGGAAGAGACACATCTGCCTTTTTGTGGTTATATTCTCTGGGTTCAGCCCAGTACACAGCACAGTGAGTTCTCAAAAATACTTGTTAAATGAATGAATAAGTGAATGTTTTATACTAATGACTTTCCATCCTTAAAAGGTAGGGTAATATAAATAAGTATATTATCTGGTCCTTTAATAGTGGTTTTGGTAAAATAGCTATCTTTATACAATTTGGTTTATTGAGCTTCACTTTTAGAAAGGAGATGAAGGATTAAAACAACCCAAAAACTAAAAAGAGCTCTAACCTTAACTGTAGCTCCTGGGAAGAAAAGCCAGTTGCCTGTGTCCACTGGGTCGAGACTATCTTCTAAAACGACTTGTCTGTGAGCTGAATTGATGATCAAGATGTTATCTAAGGCCCAGCAGGCTTCATACACTTCACCTACACGAAGATTTTCCTGCTTCCACTGAAATTGGACATTCTCCCCTTTGGCGTCCTCAGGAAGGTAGAGGATATGGATGATTGTGCTGACATTGGAAGGGGCTCTGGAACATACAGAGAGATGGCAAGTTTAGCAATGCTGACTTTTTCTTTCTTAGAGATGAATTTTGTTTCTTAAGGTTGTAGTTTCATGATCTCAAGAATGTTATATTTATTACAGATAAAATAGCTACAATCTCATAGCCCTTAAATCTTTTAATATTTGCTGACTATTAAGATTTTCATATTGAATGATGACAGTTCAAGTATTAAATACCTACAAAAGGTTTACATGGAAAACAAGTCAGGCACTAAGTATGTTCAAATAAGTCAGTAAAGGAAAAATTAAAGAGAAAATGGCACACACTGCTATGGCTTGTGTAAAAAAATTACAAATCACAAAGTATATCCAGCACAATTTTTTGCACATGGTAAACATACAATCTAAAACAGGTTACCCAATAATAAGGATAAAAAATATAAAAGTGTGATTTTGTTTTTTTGAGACAGGGTCTTGCTCTGTCATATAGGCTGGAGTGCAGTGGCACTATCACAGATCACCGTAACCTTGAACTCCTGGCTCAAGTGATCCTCACTCCTCAGCATCTTGAGTAGCTAGGACTACAGGCATCCATCACCATGCCCAGCTAATTTTTATTTTTATTTTTGTTGAAATAGGTCTTGCTATGTTGCCTGGGCTGGTCTCAAACTCCTGGGCTCAAGTGATCCTTCTGCCTCAGCCTCCCAAAGTGTTGGGGCTGCTAGAGTGAGCCACCGTGCCTGGCAAAGCTGTGATCTTAATGTTGGTTTTTACTTTGAAATTATTCACCTATTACAAACCACTGTGTGCAATATGTTTAATAATCAATCTAAATTATTTTATTTCTACTAACCAGATGTTTTCATATGTTTAGTCTATATGAAATGTGAGATTTGCCATAATTAAATGCTCTCACTTATAATACCTCACAATTTCACATAGATCATCCTCAAAAACATGATATAACATGATTTTTTATATTACCTCTACTAGAATCCAGATCCTTCTGCTATATAATAAAATATTTTTATTAAACATTTTCTTCCACCAAAGTAGAAACCTGCTGTAGTAAAAATGATTGCCTTTGCTAAGATTAAAAGTGGTACTAAAATGCAAACTAGTGGTACACCCTGGGCTTGTCATAAATCAGTTTTGAAAGGACTAGAGAAGAGCCATATTTCTCACTCACCAATGAAGCACATATATATCCGTAAAATTGTCACCATAGGTTATAGATGGTGTACCTTACCTTTGGGGGTAATCAATTCTCTTTTCTTTTAAAATATTTCATGATGACTATGCTTTTAGCTTCAAAAAGAATTGAAATTGATGAAGAGAATATATTTAGGTAGTGATTGGGAGCACTTTCACTCTAACCTCCACTGGTAAGGGAAATTTGCATTGGTTTGGTACATGGCCTAAAACTGAAAGTACCATTTAGTGAAAAATAGATGGGTTCAGCTGAACACAATCTTTATATGTTCTAATTAAATATGTAGTTTCATTGTTCATCATATCAAAAACATGTAGCTGTTTTCCAGTAAGAAATATGTACCATAATTTACTTCAACTATGATATATAACATACTAGAAAGAGAAAAAAAATGGAGACATAGGTAAATTTTTCAGTATTTATGCTTCTTTGTTTAAAGCCATTTATAGAAATATTTAATATGAATGCATTTTCATAACTACTAGGAATTACAAAGAATAGCAAAATGTTCTGTTATAAAATTGTCACAGCTCAGCTTGTATCAGATGCCTATACATTACATTTTGTCCTGACACAGAGAGAGACAATCTATTAAAATCCATGAGTTAGAAACACTTTTCTCAGTTTTTGGTTAGACTAAAGATTTGTGAAGTTTTTATTTTATTATTATTATTTTTAAACACCACTACCAAAGAAACTTTAGACAAACTGGCTTAATATTATACTGACAGCCTAATATTTATTCTGCTACCCTAAATAATAGTTATTTTAATACAGAAATATAATAAAGAAAATAGCTAGTAGAAAAAAAGAGAGCTGTCACGAAACTGATAAGAAAATATTCTACTTAAGTTATGCTAATTTAAGAGCTAACCCAATCATAATAATCACTTTATAAAAGTTTAAGGCATTTTTTCCTTTAAATATCTTATACCTAAAATTAAGTATCCATTTAGAATTTTATTTCATGGTTTAAACTGTTCAGTAGTGGCAAACATAATTTGAGTTTTGCTAATCTAGCCAAATCTTTTTAACATGAATGAGTTTCTTCATCCTCAAGCATCCTACCTTATTTTCTTATTGAGGGATATTTTTTAATAAAGAAAATGTAATATGTAATTACAAGTCGCATCACAATTATGTTAATAGAATTTTAGAACTGGCCTTAGGGAAGTTAGAAAGGATGTGACAGAACTGGAGATTAGATGTAAAAGGCCCTGTGGCTATTAACTCAATATCATCACAGACTGGAAGGGATTTAAGTAGTCATCTGATGTATTTCCAGACCATAAGGCAGGCCAGAGTCAGGCCACCTAGAGCAATGGGTGGTGATATTATTTTGTGGAGAATGCTATCAAAAAAGCTATGATTGCAAATTTACTTTTACCAAAAATAGTTTGTTATAAGTACTGCTGATGGGAGGAAGTTCTGAATGGAAAATGACACTTTTAATAATATCTTCTCCGAGCAGGGCTGGTCATAATATGTGCATCCATAGAATTCAACATAATTAACAACCAGAGTCCTTTTTACCCTAAAGAAAAAGTTAGTGGTGGATTGAAGGCATATAGGAGAGTAGAACTCCATCTATGTCAGAATTTATGAAAATACTTTAAATTACAACAAACCTAATTTTCTCTAGCTGAATCCAGTCCGCAGAGTTATTCTTGGCATATAACACGATGATGCTGGGGTCTGAATAACTAAAGCGACATGAACCTGACCCTGTAAATAGCAATAACAATAAATTTCAAGGTTAAAAAATGGTGCAAATACATATTATCTTTTCTGATAAATATTTTAGATAATTTTTAAACTATTAGATATTTGTCTGGTAACTTCCCCATTCTTCTAATGATGCTGAAATCTCCTGTGATCTGTTCTGGTAACTACCATTTGATAAATAATCTTAGGAACCAGAAAAAAAGGTAAAAGAAATATAAATTGCAGATTTCTTTAGAGGTACATGAACTACTAAATTAAATTGTAAAACAAATACTTAGTGCTATGCCAAGAAATAACTAAATATTATGGGGTGACTTATAAGGTCATTATGGTTCTTGCAAGTTAGTATCAATTAGGAGTGATTATATTAAATGGTACATAAGTCATTACATTGAGGAATAAAAACACCATTATTTTTCTGTGTGTGTATTATCTAAATGATGAGACAGTACATGAGAAACTAAAATACTGTAAAGAAAATTCAAATACTAAATGAATGAGTACTCTTATGGATGTGATTGATATTACTCTCCCATAACCCAGCATTACAGATTTAAAATATAGATTATATCCCTTTGTGAATATTTGGTGATTATTTATCATTATTATTTTCAATAGTGGAAATACTAGCATCAAAGAAAAATTTTAAGCTGATAAGAATTTGTTTCTACATGTCGAATGAATTCATATAATAAAGCATAGTATGACTACAATTTCAAAGCTCTCAGAATGCCCAAAACAGCCCTGAAACATTTGCCAGAAGTTTATTGTAATGGATGTAGCAGAAATTTTTATACTATCTTTAAAATGAATGAACCAAAACAAAAAAAAATAGTGCAATTTATGTTTAACTTTCACCCATCTGATAGAGGAGCCTCAGTTTCAGCAAATGGCATCTGTTGACAATTTTACGTTTGTAGTGCTCAGGGGTTCCAAGCTTTAATCAGACTCATTTATTTTATTTCAGTGGTGTTTAGTACAAAACCAGTTAGTTTGTAATTGCCAGAACTGGCAATGTACTAAAAAGCCAAACAGCAGTTTTCCTAGATTTATTCTCACAGCCAAAATGTAAGTGAAAAAGCATGAAAGAAAAGGATATTCAAAGGAAAGCTACTGAGCAACCCTGATCTCAAATGGAAACCCACCTTATGCTACTTTAATTGTTGCTAAAACTCTACTTTTCATGAGCAGCTGCTTAAAATAAATATCAAACTGTGCGACTGGAAATGGTGACAGGCAGAATTATGTAGGACAAACTTCAATACAAACAAGAATGAGGTCTAGCAAAGAATCTGTGATTTAGAAGGAAAGTTCAAATTAGCCTCAAGAATTTAAATGTTACTCGTGTGCTTCCTTTATGTCTTACACACCATAACCACTTAAAAGCAAATGTATAAGGTAAATCTCTGAAAAAGGAAAGCATTCAACAAATGATAACCAAAAATATTCCTTACAGAATGCAATTTCTTGTGAATTGTTTACAAATTAAGAAGAGAGAAGGAAAGCTGATATACATCAAAATAAAAATGAGTCTAAATATGGCCTTGATGACAAATACGACTTCTCTTGTCTATTTTCTTATGCTACCATCTCAGCATCATGAGGTTAACTTTTTTATGCATCTAGAAAACAAAAACGCACCCAGCAGATGACTCACTTTTCCTCAGCCACTCACTCACATTTTCTTATATCTAAAACATTAGTTTTTGTTGAATGCATCTCTTCCTTGACATTGTCAAGGGACCCTCACTGGCTCTTGCCAGATCTCTGCAATAGTGATTAGTCAGTCTCCCTGTCCCAGCCTCACCGGTTCTCACCCAGCTAGTGTTGCCAGTGCTCTTTCTGCAAGTCAACGGAATCATGTTACCTCTGTGCTTATAACAATTCCTCAGTCCTTTGAGGAAAAAGCTGCACTTCCATCCCCAGTAGGCTAAAGGTGTACAGTTCCTACAGATCAAATGTGTACCCTGAGAAACAGAACTGGCCCAGGGTTATCTTGAAGCATTCATCATAAAAAGATGACCAAAAAGGCAAGGGGATTCCAACAGAGGGGTGGACAACTGGAAGACCATGATTGGAGCTCAGGATATGAGTGGTCAGTCAGTGGAGAGGCACTGCCCATGCCAGAGGAACTGAGGTGGAAGGTACCAGCTGGAAGGAGCACCCCCCAAGAGAGCGCTCAGCTTTGGAAATCTGCCTCACTCAGAGGCCACTCCCACCAGATTACCCTTCCAAACATACCAGACCAGTGATAAATGATTCCCTACTCCCGCCCGGTGTAGCTGTATGTATAACTAGGTAAGCTTTTTCTTCACACAAACCCTCCAAATTGCAATCCCACTATCCCATAGACTTTGGTCAGCAGAATAAGCTCTGTTCTTGCCCAGATGGAAATGGCTCCTTGATTCTGCCTAGGGTAAGATGAGGAAAGAGTTAGTCATTGTTCACCCCTTTGTCATGTGCCCAGGTGCTTAATGTCACTCCTGGCTCCCTGTACCCAGACACTGTGACACCTCTCAAGGTACCTTCTTAGGGAGTGAGGAGGGAATGCTAAGTAGGCACCACCTGTAACAGGCACTTCTTTACTTTCTCTCTTAAATCAGAGATATTTAATTGCCAAAGTTGAAATTTAAAACCAGAAAGGAAGGACAATTTCAAATGTCAAATGCAAAATATCATCTTACTTGCCTGTTCGTTTCCTTCCTTCAGGTCACTTCCAATGTAATCCTTCACTCTGAGGCAGCAATTTTTTAAGGATTTAAGCAGTTGTTGAAGGAGGAAAGGTAATGGAGAACTTTGGCTATTAAGGTATGGTCTGAGAGGCACTGATGAACTTAAACTGGTCTAAAAATGCAAGCACTTTCTTTTGTTCTTTCAGGCAAATGAGGAAAGCCCATATACTTCATTTTTACCCACAACAAGGGTAAAAGTGACTAAGGGTTTCTAAGGTTTGGTAGTCATAAACAAAATTAGCAAACATCCTGGATTTACTGAGGAGCCCACACAGTCAAAGAAATCTGGCCCCCATACACTGATGTGCACAGAATACTTCTATGCCCCCAGTTTGGGAGAAGAAATGATGTTTTTTGTGAAAGGTAGTTGGTTCCAGTGGTCTTGGTTATCAATTCTTGATTTTAAATTGACAAATAAGTTGGTAAATGATAAAGATAAACCTAGTCATAGCAACTGTCACACTATCACGTTGTTTACTCAACCCCATAATATATAAGGCAAATTGTTACCAATTATGCCTATGAATTTGTCATTTTAATAACTTCCTTTGTATGATCAAGTATAAAAATTCTGGCTTTTAAAAAATTTCTAGCATTTTAATGTAAAATCCTATGTATACGTTCATTCTTATTAGGTTAACAATGTAAAACATGTAATTACAAAAAAATAGGAACACAGATTATAATGCCCTCATCTTTCACCACAAATCCACACGTACCATCCTGCCAGTGTTTTCTGTCATCCTCCTCTTACAGTGGATGAAATATTTCTGTTATAATCAAAGGTTAATTTCCTCATGTGGTCTATCTAGATCCCACCTCCCCTTGCTTCTGAAGAGTCCTCCACTCTTCCTCCTGTATCATCAATTTCTCACAGTGATTTTCCTGGATAATGTCTATTATCTTACAAACATCTACCAATGCACAACTCATCTCCTATCTAAAAAAAAAAAAACTTTCTCGATGTCACACCCCCACCTTCTGCTCCTTCCCTTCCTATTTTTGCTCCCTTTTTGGGCAAAACTTCTCCAAGGGGTTGGCTGTCCAGTGATTGCCTCCACTTTCTCACAATCTATTTTCTTTTCCCCACTCCATCCAGGCTTCTACTCTCAAGCACTCAGTTGAAACCACTCTTGGCTAGTTCCCAGGTCATTGGGGAGTTCATGTTGCCAAATCAACAGATTGCTTTCCCAAATTCAGGTTATGTGACTTTGCAGCAGGATTTGTCAAGGCTGATCCGATATTTCTGGGATGTTCTCTTCTCTTCACTTCCACCACCCTCTTGATTTTTCTCCTGCTTCACTGGCCATTGCTTCTGAGCCTCCTTTGTGGCCCTTTTCCTCTTACTCTCAAATATTTTTATTAATTTCATTTTTAATTTATAATAATTGCACATATTTATGGGGTACAGTTTGCTGTTATAATATATGTATACATTCCAGAATGATTAGATCAGCCAATTAACATATCCATCACCTCACATACTTCATTCATAACTCCTAAATGGGCATATCAATCTTAGTAAGTCAAAATTAGAAGTATTGATTTTCCAGCAACCAAATATTCTGTGTGTCTTTTCATTTCGAATGACACCACCCCAAATACAAACAAACAAACAAAAAAACCTAAAACACTTTCGTGTTTAGGAAGAAATATAATAAAATCGTAACCTTACAGAAAAATGGTTCTCTAATTTGTACTATGATGAAGTAATGAGAAAAATCTGATAGTAGGTGTATCTTATAATTTATCACCTAGCCTTAAACAGATCATACTTAATTTTTCTTATTTGAGAGAAGTCTACATGATAATGAATTCAATGCTTATTAGCACTAATAACAATTATACATAATTTTGTACTCCACTTTTTAGAGTAAAATTGCCTCTGATATAAGATATCTTCCAGAGAGGTATTACGTGTAGGGTTACGAGAATGGATAGAGGGGACAGGCTGCCAGGGTTACAATTTGAGCTTTGACACTTCTAAACTGTGTGGCCTTTGAAACTTCAAAGCTGTGTGGCCTTGGGCAAGTCACTTACGCTTTCTGTGTCCTAACTTCCACACTTGTAAAATGTGAAAAATGACAGCAACTGCTTCACAGAACTGTTGTAAAGATTAAGGCATTAACACAAGAAAAGTACCTAGACAACAGTTATTGGTGCATTCTATTTAATGAACTTTAGCTATGATTGAATATTTTAAAATTTCATTTCATAAATTTATTTATCCCAGAAAAAGGAGGTAATGCCTGATCGTATTTGTTCATGGGCTAAATTTTAAATTCATTACTGCTTACTAAAGAACTTACAGTACATTTTTCCTCTATACTTTCTTTTACTTTGGGCTATTTCCCTACTCTTTACTGGACATGCTATAAATTCAATAACGATATGAAAACCAAGATCTAACTGAGTAGCCCACCTATTTGTTAGCATCATTGGTAAATATGCTAGTAGGGAAAGAGAAGAATCTCCTTTCACTTGTTAAAAAAAAAAAAGGAGCTGCTCTGAGAGCAGGCTAGTAAGACAGATTAGGATAAAGAGATACACTTCATAAGGTCTATACAATTGCTAGAGTGGAGTTAGAAATTTAATTGTGCAGTTCCAAGCATTCAAAGAAACCAGAAAATCTGATTAGTTAGAAATTTAATAGCACCCATCCAAAAAAAAATTTCCAGCAACTCAAGAGAACAATTATAGGGGTTATGAACAGATAGGCCCTGCTATTAGTAGGCGTTTCTACTTTACAAGTAAGGAAACTAAGGTAAAGAAGTTAAAAATTTCACCCAAGGACACCTACTAACAAATGAGATACAGAATGGAGTAGATATAAACCCATGCTTTCGACTTCTTCACTATACTTCTCCTGGTGTACAAAACACCCTTTCTTCTTGTTTCTTTATCTTTTTTTTTTCAATAGTGCTACATTTTCAAAGGGTACATGAACATATTAGGATGGGTCTATGTGCTGCTGCTTCTACTCAGGCTCATGACTCAAGGCCATAATGGTCTTGTTTTTGATAAAGAGAGAAAAACCAAAAGGACTAAACCTTTAACCCCCCTGCTAGTCATCATCTCAACTCTCTCTCAGGTTTTACTATGGGAGAAGATCACAGAACAACTGAACCAAGAAGAAATATCATGTGTACTTGGGCATCACTTTCTCTGCACATTCCCTGACCATTCCTCTCCTTTCTCTGCCCTCATAGCCTGTCACCCAAACCTGTAGACCCTCCTCCTGCTCATTTGTTTATAGACAGGGGTCTCACTGTGTTGCACAGGCTAGAGTGCAGTGGTGGGATCAGAGTTCATGTAGCCTCAAATTCCTGGGCTCAAGAGATCCTCTCACCCCAGCCTTCCAAGTAGTTGGGACTACAAGTGTGAGCCACCATACCAAGACTTACATATTTATTAAATTTATACCCGTTTTTTCCCTTCACCACCACCTCCTTAGATCATCTTTCACCCAGATCAATGTGAGACCCTCCTAACTGGGCGCTCAAAAGAAATACACAAAGATTAACCTTCTAAAGAATTTATTATGTATTTGCTTAAAAAAAAAGAAACTATGGAAAGGCACTATAAAGAGAGCTAAAAAAGTTGCATTCCAAGAAAAGTAATATCCCAACATTTCCCAACTCAATTATGTGAAAAGTGTTAACCTGATATAATACTGCAATCATAAATTTAAGATACACATGTAATTCATATTTGCTTCCTAAATAACACATTCCATGATGGCTTGCAAATCTATTTCTTTCTTTTCTTTTTTTTTTTTTGAGATGGAGTCTCGCTCTGTCGCCAGGCTGGAGTGCAATGGCGCGATCTCGGCTCACTGCAATCTTTGCTTCATGGGTTCAAGCAATTCTCCTGCCTCAGCCTCCTGAGTAGCTAGGACTACAGGTGTGTGCTACCACATCCAGCTAATTTTTGTATTCTTAGTAGAGACGGGGTTTCACCATGTTGGCCAGGATGGTCTCGATCTCTTGACCTTGTGTTCCACCCACCTCAGCCTCCCAAAGTGTTGGGATTACAGGCACGAGCCACCACGCCCGGCTGCAAATCTATTTCTTTTTTTACAAAAATTTGGCCTCTCAGATAAGCAAAACAAACAAAAAAACTATTTCTAAAGTTACAATTTTACCATAAAGAAACAAATAATATTTACCAGTGTAAAACAGTACCCTGTACTTGTTATTTAAAAATGATGGAATAAAAAGAATGACAGCTATTTCTATACAGTTGCTTCCTTTTAATGTTGGAGAGATTCATCAGTATAATTCTAACAAATATTTTATTGTAAACTTGGTCTGATCTAGGAACTACTTTACCTAATCTAAAATTACAACTGAAATAGGTATCCACTTTTACTCTGGTTCTATTTAAATAGTACTATCCCTGGTATCATTTAGAAAAAATAGACAAGTAACTTCCCACTTTTGTCATAGGAAGCCAGACCAAGATGATGAAATAATCAATCAATTCATCAATGAGTCGACCAACTATTAAAAGTATCTCTTATGTTAGAGGTACATGTGAACTCAAAAGCCTAGTTGCTGTCTTGTGATTCAGACTCATTTCTTTTAACCTCAGCTGTCATTCAGAAAAAAAAGTAGGAAAAACAGACCTCCCAACAGCCTTTCTCACTTAAGAAGTAAAACATCATTTAATACTGACATTTACATAAGGGCTGTTGTGGTCACCCAAACACCAGTGGGTATGACTCTTTTTTTTTTTTTTTTTGAGACGGAGTCTTGCTGTGTCTCCCAGGTTGGACTGCAGTGGCGCGATCTCGGCTCACTGCAAGATCCGCCTCCCGGGTTCATGCCATTCTCCTGCCTCAGCCTCCCAAGTAGCTGGGACTACAGGCGCCCGCCAACACGCCCGGCTAATTTTTTGTATTTTTAGTAGAAACGGGGTTTCACCGTGTTAGCCAAGATGGTCTCGATCTCCTGACCTCGTGATCCGCCCGTCTTGGCCTCCCAAAGTGCTAGGATTACAGGGTATGACTCTTAACGCTGGTTAGTCCTTCTGCTGGGTTAACTCTCTTACACGATTCGGGCCTCTGTTTAATGGTCACGCCCCTCAGAGGCCTTACCCTGGCCACCTCTAATAAAATGCTAACCCCGTCACTCGTTGACCTCCGATTTAATTTTCTCATTGCATTTATTACTCCCTGACATGTCCATTTATTTGACAGTTGCCTCCTCTCACCAGAATGTTGGCCCCTCCAGAGCAAAGATTTTGTTTCACAAATTCTAAGTGCCTTGAGAGCTGCTTCACACAGAAGAGGAGCTCAATGAACACTTGAATGAATGAAGGCAATAAAGCCCTTCCGAGACTCATCAGTTAAACTCCAGGAAGAGTGTCTTTTGGAAATACAATAATACTATTATTATTATTAGCTTTTCTGTAGTATCTATTTTCAGCAGGATAGGGAGATGGGGTGATTTATAGCCCCTGTCCACTATTATACACACTGATGCTCTTCTAGGAAGAGCCAGAAGGACAGCATCTCAGGGTGGCACCAAGTATTATCTGGGTAACAACATCACATGGTTCTGCCAATGCTACATTTCTGTTCCTCTGTTTAATATCTTTCCCTGGTGACAAAATAAGCTACAAGTATAAATTACAATTGGTTAAAGATATGGCGACTGCTTTAATATTTCTTGTAAGGGCTGCCTTAACTGAAACAGAAAACATAATAACCATGTTTTTAGCCAAACTAAATTCCTGCTTAACTCATGGTTCATTGTTGTTACCCAGTTCTAGGACTTAGGACCACAGTGGTAAGACATTTAAGAGATCACAAAGATGAACATGCTTACTTGTGAAGGGCCCAGGCAGCCTCTACTACTACCCATGGTTATGTGGGGAGTTCAACTGGCAGAGAAAGGACTATATGACTTGACTCCCAAATCAGTGCTCTTTTCCCTCTGCCCATTTATACCAACAGTAAAAGTTGTTTGTCAGTATATATGAGTCATAAACTGATGTGCATATGCTGTAGAATATTCCAAATATAAAAAAATAAATCCATGGCTTAAAATATCTACATTAAATAAAAAATATTGTTTTGCATTAATGATTATTTCTTATTGAGAATCAGAACAGTAGCTATAGCAGTATATAGAAATCTCTATGGTCCCTATAAGACAAGGCAAAAGCAATAGAACATCAAATAAAGGGAAGATAAGATGTAATCAGAATTTGAAAGGGAAAGTTGAGGCAACTTGCAGGGGGATAAGAAAGAAGGAAGTGTCAATAAGACAAATGTCAGAATGTGAACGTATATTTATCAATGTAACAAATCTAAGTGTAATGTTCAATTCCAACATGTTTGTCATAGACAGAAGAGGATTTACCATGAAGCTGATGAAGCTTCGGCTTCATGGCCCTCACTTTGGTTAGCACTGTCTAAGGTCCTGGGAGAGGCTCTAGCAATATAGTCTGATGGCCATATTTTATAACACTTGCAGTTGGTTAAGATCCTGTCTCCATTTGGACTACTCCTTCATCACGTTGCCCCTCATGTCAGGAGGTGTCAGAGTGGACCTAACTGCTTTTGGGATTCTGCTAAGAAGAAGCTGAGTTGGAAATACATTTATTTTGGGTTAGTGTGATACAGCTACGTAGTTTACTTTCCATTTTGTAGTCTAGTCATTCTCAATATAAAAACAGCTTCCAGGAACTCCTACACCCACAGTGCTGATGCATCCAGCATCATGACTAAAAGATAATGATGATACACTATTTAATGAGTGATGTCAATTCAGAGATCAGCTAAGATTAGTCACTATACAAGGGAAGTTGAAATGTCCTCAAATATAAATAAGAGAGAGGTTTTCCAATTCTATAGTGATTCTAAAAATCTAAATGACATGATCAATAAGGAGTTGCAAAGGCAAATATTAAGCATCAACTCTGATCTAACAAGCTAGAGGCAGAATACCCTTTCTATTATTTCCAGAAAATATTACAGAATTGTTGTCACAGGAAAGGTGATTTGAGAGTACATGGCCAGCCGGGCGTGGTGGCTCATGCCTGTAATCCCAGCACTTTGGGAGGCTGAGGTTGGTGGATCACGATGTCAAGAAATTGAGACCATCCTGGCCAACATGGTGAAACCCCGTCTCAACTAAAAATAAAAAAATTAGCTGGGTGTGGTGGCCCATGCCTATAGTCCCAGCTACTCAGGAGGCTGAGGCAGGAGAATCGCTTGAACCCAGGAGGCAAAGGTTGCAGTGAGCCGAGAGCACGCCACTGTACTCCAGCCTGGCAACAGAGCGAGACTCCGTCTCAAAAAAAAATTTTTTTAAATAAATAAATAAATAGAAAGAGTACACAGCCAAAAAGATATAAGGAAAAAAGTACTATAGAACATTTCAGGGAGTTAACAAAAATGTTGTATTTCTTGATTTTGTGATGTTTGTGGTACAGTCAATTTTGAACAATTTGTAATTTGTTTTTATTTCTTTTTGCATTCTAAATAAATTTTCACATTTGTACCTAATTTGGAATGTGTAACTTTGTATGTTTTTTCCTTAGAGAGAGACCCTAACCCTCACCCAAGTGGTATAAGCTTCAAAGGTGGACCCACACAACTCAGACCCACCTCTGTACAGAGCTTGCACTGCACTACATTCCTACATTTCAAAAATGTCTTAAATCACAGGTCCCAGAGCAAGGGAATCCAGAATACAAAATTCATTTTCCACTTTGCTTAGCACGGCACAATCAAATGTATTTAATGACAGGACAAGAATAAAGAGAGAATAAGACTTTGAAATTTTTGAAATTCTTTTCTTCTCTTAAGGCAGGTTTGACTCAATTAAAATATTTATATATGGAAATGAATCACAGTACAACTAGATTAGAATCGATGAAATGACTTTTAAGCTATATTTACACACACAAAAAAGCTATTTTTTTAAAGGCAGGGTATTGCTCTGTTGCCCAGGCTGGAGTGCAGTGGTATGATCACAGCTCACTGCAGGCTCAACCTCCTGGGCTCAAGGAATCCTCTCGCCTCAGCCTCCCAAGTAGCTGGGATTGCAGGCACCCGCCACCAAACCTGGCTAATTTTTTTGTATTTTTTGTAGAGACAGGGTTTCACCATGTTGCCCAGGATCGTCTCAAACTCCTGGGCTCAAGTGATCCACCTGCCTTGGCCTCTCAAAATGCTGGGATTACAGGTGTGAGCCACCACAGCTGACCTGCTATTCATTTTTGACTGTGTTGTCAAAATGAAGCCTACATTGACCCTCATAGACCTCATTAAACCTCAGGGACTCAAGCCAGAGAGAACCAGAAACTTCCAAGGCTTGCTAACTGGAATGTTTCTGTGCTATGCCGGCCTGGAGAATCCTAAAGAGCTTTTAGACTTTATAATCTCAAGAATACACAAGCACACGAACCTGCAGCAATTATACATTAATCAAATGCAATCCATATTAAGTATATCAAAATTCTGCTCATTGTGCAGTAGCCTATTTACCGTAATATACATGTAATGCATACAGAGCCAGGAAGTTTCTGAAATTCACAAATAAACTTTGTCTGTTCTTTCCATCCCTCTTGAGTAGTTGGCATAACAAACAGTATAAAGAATAGCGTGATTTGATATAAAATCAAAGCCACTTAAAAATACAAATATTAGTAATCCTACTGAAAATTAAAGAGTTACTTCCTCCCTTGGAATAACAGCCATATAGGTCCATAATCCCTTGAGGTTAGATGAATTCTATAATTCAAATAACTTAATTAACTTATAGATTTCCAAAAGGTAATATGGTGCATATGCCATGCCTAGAGCAGCACTCTATAATCCAACACATTAATACTTCTGCAGTGAAATGCATGATAATTCACATAAGTAACAGAAATAATGATCATAAATAGCTTCAAATCCTTTCAACTCAGGTCTTGCTGCCAAATGAATTCAGCTCATGTCAAACTTTGCCACCACATACATTTTATAAAAACTGGCTTGTGATATCTCCATGTTTTTTGTAATATGAAATTACAGATTAGGGATTGTGAGTCTGTATCTTCAAGAATTTCATCTATTTTGTTTTACTTTTATACAAGGATCAATCAATTGGTGTTTAGTCTCTCAAGTCCTGGGTAGTTTTGGGTAGTTTTTTTTTTATTTGGTTATATCATTCCCCATCAATCCCAGGACTTTTCAAAGTAAATCACAGTAGAATGCAATAGAAGAAGCTACTGTTATCTTGGGGATTGGTAGTGGTTGCTGGGAGCAGCCTCTTTCCCCAAAGCTCTGCCTTAAAAATGAGCTGCCTTTTCAAATGCAGCACAGGGCCACAGAAGGAGAGAATTGATCTCACAGAATTTATAGATGGGGAAAATCACTGCCAGAAATCACGCCTCTAGATAGCATAGTGGGACCCATAAATACTGAAGGCTTGAGGAGTGTCTGGACAGAACCTTATTGAGGATTCCTGCAGCGCGAGTGCTGCCACTGCCATTACTCAAAACTCAGACCTCAGAGACGAGCACAGCTCTAGGAGCTGCATGTAAACAACAGCATTTGGTATAGAAAGATCATAAAGTTATAGAATGGATGCATTCTGGCTACTCAGAACTCCCTGCTACAAACTAGAGCAACTCTTAGCAGGATCAGCCCATTCTTTCATCTTTTCTAGATAGATTAATGGAGAACAGGACCATTAACTTGAGGTTGCAGTGAGTGGAAAGAGAGATAGAGATGAATGGACAAATTTTAGGGAGCTTTTAAAAAGCTAGAAGCTGTTACTCTCAGGGGATATTACATGTTACTCTAGGCTAGGGCATTCAGGAGCATTCAAGAAACAGGCTTGCCTCATTCTACACTGAAATGTGAAAAATGTGATGAGCAACATGAAGATATTGGTATAATAAGCAGTTCTGGCATTTATCCTTTTTTTTTTTTTTTGAAGGTAAGAGTGAATTTTGAGGTCAGTATTATTCACTAGGGAGAAAATACTCTTACTCTACCTCCCCAAAATTAAGAAACACAGTAAAATCTTCTTTGCTACTTTGCAATTCTTTTTCAAATAATTCTGTCTCAGATAAGACCATTATTATCCAGATTACCAATAGTTTGATAGTTCTATGAACAGCACTGTAGAAAAATGATTATATCATACTTAGATTTTTATTTCCTTCTTTACCACATGCCAGAAAATCCCTAAAAGTATTAGCTCTCTTGACCCACGGCATCAAAATGATCTACTGTTAAGTAGAGCAACATCTTGATGACATGGCAAGTCTAGGAATACTAACTCATGAACAGTATCTAAAATATGACTCCCAGTCTTAGGCATATAATGCTGTAATTTCCAGGATGGCTGGTTTAATATGTTTTTTGTTTTGTTTTCATGCTGTTTTATTCCTCTCCTAGTACAAAAACCTATGCTATATAACATTTTATGTATCTGAGCATTTTATTTAATAACATGACTACCTATATAAATTTGTTCCATTAATGTTTAAATTTTATAAAAGTATAATTGGTTATTTTCTAGTAGCTAGCTTCTTGCTTGATAATATTCAAAGCAACTTGTTTTTATTACTCTTATTACCTTACTGTACATCATATATCCACAGGGTACTTTGGAATACAGAGTTCAAGACAAGAGGGAAAATCTACTGGGAAGATGAGAATTTGGTCCTAAGTGTGCTATTTTACCAATTCTCTGATCACGGGTAAAATAAATGCATGAGGAATGGCTACATAGGGAATGCGGTTGAGTCAACGGTCTGCCTGGTTGGTATGCTCTCCGCTGCTGTCCCTGACGTCTGACAGTGTGTGCACATCCCACCATGCAGAGCAGCTTCTGGCTCTCATGAAATACAGGCTTGATTTGCCTCGCCTATGCCTGCACATAGAGGCAGCTCATGCTTTGTCGAAGTTCAGGGGCCGTAGCCAAAACAGCAGCAGTTTGATTCAAGGGTAAGAAGCAGAGCAGGAAAAAATGGTTACTGTATCGGATAATGCTTTGTGGCAGCCCAGGAGGGAAGTGTCCTGGGGCTTCTCAGTCCCAAGTGACAGGGATGGCAATTGTGACTGAAAGGAGCCCACAGATATTACTTTAATTAAGAACAGTTCCATTCTGCATGAACAGAAATCCTCTAATTACTCTTGGATCTGTCAAGAACTGTTCTTGACAGAGCAAACAAATTTAATTTTGGTAAAATATGGTCACCAAAGTTAAGATAATTCATTATTTTATGAATAGAAATTGTAAATTGAGAGAAATGAATATGTCCAAAGTTTTTGGTCAGCCCAAATTATCAATTAAACAATTATTTGGATAGGGAAGTCTAGACTTTATGTCTATACCTCTGTTTTGCCCACCAAAAAATACCCATGGGGGAATTTAGCGTTTATTAACGAGAAAACATATTTCAAGGACAATGCTGTATGGGGGAACATAATATGCAAGCAAAATTTTCATTCTAAGCATCTACTAAAAATGGATATTAAGGATTAAGAGAGGTCAAATAAAGTAGAAAAATAAAATCAATAAAAATCTTCAAAAATATTCTGTACTTGAACTAAAAACATGCTTCCTTTATACTTGAAATACTTTTTTTCATAATATATAGAAAAAGAACCAGGTTCTAAAAGCAACTGTCTTCCACTTTCTGTTTTATATTTATGTTTAAACTGAGGCTACTAGTAATAATCTCTGTTTTGACTATCAGACTTACAAACCTTTCTTTCTGGCTAAATGTGACAGTGCGTGATTTATTGTACTTAATATTTTGTCCCTCAGTCACTTTCCTGGCTGAATTTCCCAAACCTCATTAGGGGACTTCTTCCAGTTCATGGCAGATGGACAATGACCACAGGATATAAAATGAACAGCTGTCCTCCTCCCTGCTTGTGCCTTTCTCCCTTCCAGTCCTATCCCTCTTCCCTCACTTCCAAAATATTTGTATTTCTTCATTGTCACTGGTACTCCTACCATAATGGAGAGAGGGATCCATTCTCTCCCAATTTATGGAAGGCCAAGCCACATTCCAACCACTTCCAAGTGCCCACCCCCTGCAGGTTTTCTCCCAAGCCCACAGTAGTTTCATTGCCATGTTGCATGAAACACAAGGAAGAGAAATGTGTCTGGCTTTGCCAGGTTCCCTGCCAGGCCGTCCTCCTTTCCCCAGGGCCCATGTAAACTACACCCGAATGCTCATGCCTGGCCCATTTTCTAGGAGGACTAATCCCCATCCCGGGCAGCAAGTGTTAACTGTCTCCCCTCCACCACTCATGGCAATCTGGAGACAGCATTAGTATCATTGTTGCTGTCTGGCTCTGACCTTGGTCCCCAGTTCTTAGCAGGGCTCCTGCATCTTGTTCTTCCTACAGGGTGCCATTCCCGTAACCTTCACAGTGACGCCTGACCCTCTGGTGGTACCATGCCTGCTCTTGTCAATCTCTTTCCCAAATAATGAAGTCCTCCCTCCAGCCCTCCCTCTTTCCTGGACTTTCTAACAAATTAAACTCTCATTCTCCTCTGTAGTCTGCATCTGTTAATCAGCAATGTTTACTGCCATACTTGTTTTCTTCTCCCACGTGGACTCTCTCCCCACCTCCTCCCCTCTATTTGATAATGAACTTCTCAAAGATTGGGGCAGCGTCTTAGGCTTTGCTTTCTCTACAGGGAACGTAAGCACATTATGATACATATAATAAATATTCTAAAGAGCTTAAAGATCTTCTCTTTGACAGATGAGTCCCTGGTTAATTGACAAGAAACTGGAAACTGCAGGCTCAGACTAAATTCTAACAATGCCCATGGATTTCATTTAGCATACTCCCTTGCTTCAGAAGTCAAGAATGCAGATAGTATTCAGCACCAATGTGGAACAGTATGAAATCCCTAACCTAACCTAGGAATTCAATTTAGTTACATTGTTTTTAGTTCTAGGTGTGTGCCAAATTCTGTCTTATATACAGAAAGGGACACTTGTAAGTTCCTTAGCCCTCAAGGAATATTTAAGTTAGAAAAGGTGAAAGTGAATGTGCAGAAATGGTCAGTGTATCTATCAAAGCAGAGTGAAGTACCTGTCATAAAATAAATTCAGAGCAAGTGGGGTTTCAGAGATATCAGTCTGGGGCAACGGGATGAGTTTTCATGGAGGAGTGGTGTTTGAGAGACCATTTGGTCTACATCAATAATGAATTTCTTCTCATCCTGTAGTTCACTGCTGTATTCCTTCTACTAGTACAGTCCCCCCAAAATGTTAATAGCACGAATTTATGAATGAATTACTGACATTTTTCTAAGCCTCATTAGATGAGTGACAAATTGAATATCTCAAAAGAGAAAGGGGATAATACCTGTGTCAAATTGCGCATTTTAATTCATATAAAAATATTTAATTATCAGTTCTAATAATTAAAAAACACTTATAATCAATCTCAACAATCTTTGCCAGAATTTTGGGTTTAGTGGTATTTTACAGGATTTCAGAATATTCTCTTTTATTACTTAAGCTAGGGCTTAAGAATTTGGGGTGAGGTGGATTTGAGATAAATATATATTTATAAATATTATAGATAAATATACATATGTTTTATATATATATATTTCATTTAAACTCATTTAAAAAAATAAACATTCCCTAAAAAGGTCATCTCTGGGATGACAAAGCAGGATACCCTGCATCATAATCAGTTTCACACCTTTACTTACCAAATTTTAGTTAACATAGAGGTATTCCATATATAAAACAAAAAAAAAAATTTGTTTTAATATAGATATTTGAAGATCTGGAAATTAAGTCTTAAATCTTAGTTGAATACATTTATATCCAAGAATCTTACCCTTAAATAAAACACGTATTTAACCTTATAAAACATATGTATTATTTTTGCCATTAAAATTTTCTAATGTTTCATTTATTTTTGTTTTGGGCTTAGGTCACCAAATATTTTGTTAGTCTTATACTTAGAGGTGTCCATGTTTCAGAAGAGGTGTTCACTATTTCATAATAAGTTCCCCAAGGTCTTACTCACCAGGGAGAGTGATTCTGGAAAAAAAAATGAGAATCTAATTTTAAATATATTTCAGTAAGTTCGTGGAGGAAATGAGCAACAATTCATACCAAGATATGGAGGAATCGATTTCTCCTCCTCTTGAACTACCTGTTCTAAAAGAGTTGAGAGAGAATTTCTCTACTGAATCAAGTTCTGAGTAATTAAGATGTTTATGAATTAGGCTCAAGGGAAAAATCAACTGCTTTTCTTATGCTAAATGAAATAGAATACCTTTTACAAGTGACATTTTATCCTTTACATCTATTAAAGAAAAAATAATACCAGATCTCTTTTCTTTCACAAAGCAATATTCCAATTCAGCTAAGAGTATTTTTAGCTTTTGTAATTTCCAGTTTTTATTTTTCAAAATACACTCGTGTAAACAGAGTGGCTCTCATTCATCTCTGAGACTCCGTAGCATGTACAGTACAGAAGGACAATAATTCAAGCCTAAGAACATCTGTGTATCTTAATAAGTAAATATAAAGCATTTATGATTTAATGACTTCCTTCTGTCTTGAAATGATAAAAACAAAAACAAAGCAGCAAAAAAAAAAAAAAAAAATTAAACACACGTACAAAAATAAAACCCGAATGTTTAGGACATCTGTAAGTAAAACTCAAGAGAAAAGGTACTAATTCTATAAATCATGAACAAATAATAGATTCTAGTTAGCTCAGTAATTACGTACTGATAAACACTTGCATATGTATTTCTGTCTACTTGTTTCACTTAAAGTATAGTTTACTGGTGATTCTGTTTCTTTCTGGGTAATCATTTCCATTGACTGTGGTCCTCAGATCACCTCCCCCAAGCCCCCTCTTGCCATGAAATGTCTGCATCACATCAGTTTAACACTTGGTAACATACTATTATAGATGTCTTTGTAATGGTTACTTGTCACTCAGGGAAGCAATATTTATGAGCATCTATTTATTATGAGTCCCTGGGCTAGTGACTGAGGATACTGTGATGGACAAGATAGATTTGTCTGGCAAGCCAAACTATTTATTCTTCATGGTGTGTTTTTAAATGCTTTACCTTTATTCCTTGTTTGGCTAATGAATCCTATTAATCTGATGTAAGAGGTAAGCTAAATTGAACAAGTATATTACTTGGTAAATTCTTTTAGAGTGACTCAATGCAGATCTCTATCAAGGAAGTGACAAAGAACCCCTAACACAACTACCCAAACAATTTTTCTGAAGAATTAATTTCATTCTATTTCTCTATTGCTCAAGAGAGAAAGAGGTTCTTTTGCAGACCTCTATTAAATAACTAAAGAACAACATTATTTTACTTTTAAAAAGTTAAATTAAATGAGTTTAAAACCTCCATTTAACATTTATCCCTCTATTAAGTAAGTTGAAGCCCTGAGCTGATACAGATTAGTCTTCAGATAGATGCAACTTTATCTGACATTGCTCATAGCTACCAGGCCCAGTTCCTCTGCTCTAGGAGGGCACGCATGTTCCCCTCCAATGTCTTGCCTGTATTCACTCTGCCTCTTCACTTGAAAAACCTTTCCCTGTCCTTTCAAGTGACTTGGGTTGTTGGCAGGGATTCTCCTTCCTAAGAAGCCTTCCTCAAGAACCTCATTAGGCACTGCCACCCTGGGGACATATACACAGACCCACCCTGTTTACAACAATGCCGTTTTCTAGAGATTTCATGCTCTCTATGTACCCAGTGCCTTCTACTACATTGTTAAGTGCTGTAAAAACGTTCTGTTTTCTCACTTATTTTGTTTTCCCAGTTGAAGCCAGCTCAAGCAAATACTGAGCACACAACAAATATTCAGTGAAATTTTGTTAAGACTGTGTGGTAGACACAAGGTACTACCGCCATTTCCTTTGGGTCCTCAACCCTGCCTGAGAAAGTAGAGTTCGGAGGCATCTGTAGGATAACACTTTGCAAGGATGTCATCTCAAATTTTTCTTCCTATCCCAGAGGAAATCTAAAGGAAGTGGGCAAATGCCCCTAAGGCTACTACCATAAATTCCATAAGTTGCGTCTAATGAATCAAGTGAGGATGGTAGCAAATCGATGTCTCAGCACAGAAATGGATAAGAGATCTTTCACTGGAATGGAAAAATGAAAAGTTCTTCTACGAATATTTTAGGACACTTTCCAAGATGATTTAGCTGTGGATAACATGATAAATTTCATCTTGCAGAACTGCATTTTCAGGATTCTTTGACTTTAAAAATCATTGGTTAAGACAGCCTTACATTTATGTATATATATGTATGTGTGTGTATATGTATATATACACAAGTACATAATCTATATACACATGTATAATATATATAATTATATAAACACATCAGATACACACATGTATGTATACATATATAATGTAATATATGTATATATTGTATAAACATTGTGTGTGTGTGTGTGTGTGTGTGTGTGTATTTGAAAGAACTGAGAGAGTATTGCTGCTAAACATTGGCATATGGAATTTATTTGAGACACCCCTTAGTAATTCAAGCAATTTTTGTATGAGGAACTTGGGAGTCTTTTGGATAACATTTGTTATGCAACTGAAAATGTTTACAAGAGCAATATGAAAGTATCAACACAATAATTTCTCCAATTGTGGTTATACATGCCCAATTATGAACATAATTGACCACTTAGGTTATAATAATAGAATTCCCTAGAAAACTGCTTGAATCATTGTGTTATACAGTGAACATTTAACATTTAATATCCTAAAGGACTTCCTAAGGAGTGACACTAAAACTAACTGGACATATTATTATTAGTATAGATTTGGAGAATTCCACAGTACACAAGGAAATGTAAATGTTGAATTGTTAACATATAGTTTTTTATAACATAATCTTAATATAATTTTTGAACTGAGTATAAATAAAATGGCTATTATGGCTGCTATTGGATTGGTTGGATTCATTTTAATTTGCTATTTTGGTATCTGATTACTATGGATACCCACAATTATGGCATTTCTAGAATTTGTGAGTGTTCCTCAGTCTGGCCCTCATATCACCCAAATAAACAGAATGATGTCACACCCTTATACCTCGTAAACATCCATATAAACAAATGATAATGAGATACACAAAACATTTCTGGAAAGTTCTGCCCGCTATACGGTATTCACCACATACCACCACACACCATACAACAGATGGTTTGCTACTACATTGTTTCTTTGCCATTCTAACTCTTCTTGGTTTCCCCCAATTTTTTACTCTCAAAGTGTAGTAAGTAAATTCACCAATGAAGTTTATAAACAATAAATTACAATTTCTTTTACTAAATTGTTCCATTTCATTCCTAAGGATATGTTAAAATTTCACTTCTGGTTCTAAAACTGCCACCTGAAAAGATTTATAAATGTATTTTTAGTTATAAACTTGAGATCTCTTTTTCTCATTTCCTTCCTCCCTCTTTCCTTCCTCCTTCCACCCTTCCTTCATTTTCTCCTTGCCATCTCTCTCTCTCTCTCTCTCTCTTTCCCCAATTCTGTTACTCTTCCAGTCTTCCAGCAGGATTCAAATCCGTGCTTTAAATAATATAAGTTGGCCTGATGGCTACAGTCCTCAGGCTTGTGGGGAGACCAAGGGCTCTTGCTAAGTCCCATGTTTATGTCTAGTCCCGAGACCTTGGCCCTGGTGCTTGCTATGGGTTTTGAGTCTTAGGTAATAAACCCTTCATTCTCTGATTACCTCCTCTTCTTGGTACTTTTTCATCAAGTCTGTTGTAATTGGTACAAATGAAAGGCAAGGAAATAGAGAATCTATGCCATATTAGCAGTATACTATTCACCAAAATAGTAATTTTTCCCTGTAATAAAGGATAATTTAATTGGTGTAGGAGCTCTCCACCCTTGAATAAAGTACAAATAATATTAGAATTAGGAGACATATATTTTAAAATTGATTCTCTTGTGTTCTTTAATTGCTTAAAGACAATATCTGAAACTAATGTTCATCTCTCTAACAAAAAGAACAAGTACTCAGAATACTGATACATTATTAACCATTATTCAGCTTATGTTATATATTAATAGCATAATTAAACACGTTTATTGTGATTAAGAGGCTCTAAGTTGCCTGTCACGCTACAGTTAAAAAAATTTGTTTTTGTAGCACCACAACTCTTTAAAAATAAAACTTTTTTTGATTATAAAAACATTACGTGTTTGCTACAGAACAGGATACACTTGTTAATAAGTCAAAGAAAACTCTTTCATCAAAAAAACCATTATTTTTGTTTTTTCTAACACTTTACTTATGATCACACATGGACTTCTGAACTGTCTGTAAATTGTTGTAGGTAATACTGTCAACTGGAGAAGAAAATAACCCAAAATGTAATCAGGTGACTTCACATAGTACCTCCTACACAGGCTGAAACAAGGCACAGTGATGAAAAAGTGACAAATACATGACTTAAAGAAAACTGTTCTTCAGCACAATCAACCACAGTGGGCTCCTGGCTGTAGAACACTGACTTGCAATTTGGAATAGAAGAATCCTGAGAGAAACAGTCCTTTTGCTAACGGCAGACCTTCTAAGATATGGAAGCGACTGGAGGATGCTGTTCTGAGCATGGCTGGGGGACACCTGCAATTCTCATGCCATAGGAAATGGTCAGGAGGGGGTTTCGCTCTAATGGGACCTAGGCCCCATTAAAAGACAACATGTTTCTTCCCCTAGAACATTTCCTCTGTAAATTTATACAAGTTATTTATAAATACATACCCTTGAAAAATAAAATGGAAGGTAATAGAATAGACAGCAGAACTGCAAACACCTGATCAGAAGGCACCTTATTTTACTGAATGCTTTGGGTAGGAACTTTTAGCTCTAAAACAAAAGCACTTAAAGGAAACACTGCCAGATATGGTCATTGTTTTCATTATCTATGTTTGAATTTAACATAGATTATTTATGCCAAACATAAAGCCTTAATTGGTTTCTTTCGGTTACCAGTAATTATCTTTCTCACTACCAGTTAGTCAGAGCTCAGGAAATGGAACATATTTCAATCTTAATCTGAGCAAAACACAACCAGCAAGGTAATCCTGCTGTAATAGAATAAGCCAATGTATGCAAAATACATATGTAAATCATCTTAAGATTTTTTTGAATTATCTGCAGTATTTTTAATACCATTCACTGCTGGAGAGAAGTGAGAACAGAATGTAACATTTAAAAATATTTATTTCACTTTAAAAATGTTGTAGATTATTTACTGCAAAATTAAGACTTACTATTCTGTAAATCCAAAAGCATCTGGCATTATAATCCTGATTGCACACTATGTTTAAAGCAAACATTTCCAAATTAAATCGTTATAACTGCTAAAAAACACTTACCAATGGAAAATTGGAGGACAGAAGCTGTTGTTGTATTAAGGCCTGTGGTAATCTAAAGAAAAAAGAATACATAAAAATAAGACAAGACAGAGAGGAGAAAGAGGAGAAAGATGCTGGGAGGGGTACGGGGAGGGGAAGAGTTAAAAAAGAGGAGAGAGGAAATCCATTAACAGAAGTTGCATTTATCCAGTTGTTAGTTCATTTTATCAATGTGTCTGAACACAGACCTGTTTCTTCTTCCCCTGTGGGGAATAAAGAAGTGAAATCCTGACTTGGAGACGGATAGCATATTTCTCAATGTCCTTTCACAAACTGTTCTTAGTGGAATCCAGCAGGTTATCTTGTGAAGGCATTTAACAAAGCTCCTCTCCACTCATTCCACCATCTCCCTTCCATCCTACCAGATCAATAGATCGGGGACCCAAAGAGAATGTAGCAAAAGGGCTACCGAACAAAAATTGGGAGATAAACTAAGAACAAATGAGTAGAATAAAATTATTTTGAAAAGGAAATAGAACTACAATAGCTAAAGGTCATAGGCTTTCTTTGTGGAGGGGTGTGATGAAATGGTCTAAAATTGACTGTAATAATGGTTCCATAACTTTGTAAATAAACCAGAAGCCTTGAACTGTACACTTTAAAGAAGGTAGAATCTGTGGATTATTTCTCAATAAAACTGTTACCAAAAAAAATGAAGAAAAGAAATAGAATTATGAACCTAGAAATAGTCTTCTGACAAGTTTCTGCTACTTTTCCTTAGTTTCATGCTTAAGAAGCATGCTTAAGCAAAATTTCCCCCTTCTGAAAGAAGAATGGTGCTTCTTTAATTTTAAAATTTTATTTATTTATCCTTTAGAGCAGTAGCTTTGACCCATACCAGCTCAAATGAGACAAAAATTAAGGTTCTCATTTTGCTGGGTTCTGAAATTCTGTACACTACAATATAGGACATTTCAGTTACTCCACCGTATGCAATAGAAAGTGGATAAGTCTTCACTGTGGCAGAGGCAGTAGGTTGTCTTACTTTTGCTGCTTTTTTTTTTCGTTGTTTTGTTTTTTTTGAGACAGACTCTCTCTCTGTTGCACTTTGCTTCTTATATGTCTTAATAACATCTTTAGACATATCCTTGCACTTTGTTAGCCCTTATATGACAGAGTCCACAATTGCAGAAGGGTCAAGTGCTATACAATTCATGAAGAGCTGTAGGAAATGAGTGAGCAAGCCTCTTGCTCTGTCGGAATTCAGTTGGGATGTGAATATTAAAAGATCAGATACATGTGAATATCAAAATATCTATATCATGACTTGGAGAGGTGACTGAACGTGTGCTTTAAATACACGGCTATAAAGCTACTGCTAGTGCATTAAATGTACTGAAGAGTCTTAGATACTTATCCTGATGGTGTAATAAATGATGCTTGTGTCACCTACTTGATCAAGTTCCACAGCTGTGACCTCTGCTAGCGAACAGCAAGTTGTGTGGAATATCGCCAAATTTCAAATTATGTGTGCTAACTGAGGGTGACCCTAGACTTTGATTGGTTACTGATTCTAATTTTTTTCACCAGGGAAGTTTAGGACTGGTATAATGGTTGACTCTCATTTCTTTACCTTTACCCATTTATTTTATTAGTAAAATATCAGCTACAAGAAAGAACAGGAAAGATGAAGGAAAAAAAAAAAGAAGCACTGCCTATGAAATCTATTCTGAGATCTATTCACCTATATTTATACTTGAGTATTATAAATAAATATAAATTATACCTATATTTATAATTGGGTAATATAAATTATTAATCTTGAGTTCAAATATGAGTTATTAAGCCTTTATATTTGACATTCTGAAAACAAAAGGGGCCCTTAAAGAGCTTTTGATAAATAATATGGTAACTATGAATGGCTGATACATAACTTTTTTCTTACCAAATCTCTCTTAAATTATAAATACACTCAAAACTATAGGAAATTAGTATGATAACTAAATGAATCAGAAGAAATCACTGTAGGTCAAAGCTGTTCATTCTGTACTTTTTCTCTAAAATTTTTTATTGAGTTTGATATTGTTTTAGTCCAAACTCACCCTTGTAATTAAAATGCATTTTCAAATATGTGAGAATAATTCAGTAAATAGGCCTGGTGCAGAGGCTCATGCCTATAATCCCAGCACTTTAGGAAGCCAAGGCAGTAGGACTGCTTGAGCCCAGGAGTTCAAGACCAGCCTAGGCAACATAGGGAGACCTCATCTCTACAAACAATTTAAAAAAATTAGCTGGGTGTGGTGGTGCATGCCTGTAGTCCCAGCTACTTAGGAGGCTGAGGCAGGAGGCTGAGGTCATAGGATCACCTGAGCCCAGGAGGTCAGGGCTGCAGTGAGCCATGATGGCACACCTGGACACCAGCCTAGGTGACAGAGTGAGGCCTTGTCTTAAAACATAATAGTAATAATTTAGTGAAGAATTTCTTTTTTTAAAATGGAGGGTAACATAACTCATTTCATTTTAAATTCTGAGAGCATATTTTCCTTTAAATGAGTGAGAAAATGAATTCCTTTTTACCTTTATCTTATACTAACAAAATTAATAAAGTTCAGTGTCACCACCTGAAATACAGAGACTTCACTGGGTTAAATAAAACCCAGTGAGGGGTGCATGGCACAGCTGTTAAAAAGAAACAAAAACTTGTGCTATGTCCAGGTAACAGTTTCTTCCACCCCTCACTGACTAACTTCTCCAGAAATGAAATGGCTATTTAACTACATTCACAAAAATGGAGATCCTCCTTTTAGCATTTTAAAAGATAAATCCTTAGCCTAATAAGGTTCTTTGCTCGTGGTTCTTTTTCTTACAACTTCAGTAAGAATGGGCTTTATGAAAAATAAGAAGGCATATTGTTTAAAAAGTGATGTTTGGGGGCTGATAACTTTCATTAGTTCTCATGCACAACAATTTTGACGGCATTCAGTCACAAAGTACCATGCAAATGTTTGGATTTTAGTAAATATTGAATATAATGTTAACTGAAAACCGAATTCCTCACTTTTCATTTGATTGATCTGTCTTCTATAAACACAACTTGGGTACAATGTATATTTTTGCTTCAGGAACACCAATACAGTATAAAAATTATGAAAAATTAGAAGTTAGTATAAAATGTGGACATCATCGCCATCATTCTCAATCTGTTTCATTTTATTCCCTTTGAATCTCACCATACAAATTCATCTTAGGAAAATACTTATAATGGAAATATAAAAACTACATACTTTCTTATTTCCCAAATGAACATAATTATTTTGAGTATTTTCCTTTTTGGTTGAAAGGCTAATCCCACATTAATTATAAAACACAATTCAAAATTAGCCCACTGAATATATCAACTCTAATGCTAAATAAACGGGGATATAGTGAAACAATCAGGACTAAACATACATAGGATTAACTAATACTTCAGTATTATGCTATGAAAATGTGAATTTTGGCATTATATTCTTAGATATTTTTATTTCCTATTAACCAGTGGCAACAAAAATAACTTGTCAAGAATTTCCAGGAATATTACTAAATGAGACACCTTCTAAAACAGGCATTTAGTCTAAGCTCAATTAACTACAGTAAAAAAATTAAATTTGTGTTAAGGTTTATAGATAATTAATTCTGTCATGGTATATTATTTAAAATGTACTAGCAAATCTATTTTTTCAAGAAAATCTTCACCACCAGAGTCATACTTGTCTGCAGGAATATTATAGCACTTTTGAGGCTTGAATTATGAGCACCTACTATTTTAATTTGCATCCAATTAATTCTGTTTGTGTTGTAATTTCAACTAAAAACTCCTCAATTTATCAATGCTCTGAAGCTTGTATCTTTAATAAATTAAATGTATCTATTGGCATGAAAGGGGTATTCAAGCATCATAAAATAAGAACCATCTTACAACAATTAATTGGCTTTCACATTTTGATAACTAAATCTTCTTTTAATTGCCCATCTAGGCACCCCCTGCCCCACAATTTACATTGGAAGTCAGTCTTTTGACAACTTTTAAAGTTAATGATTTTGAAACACAATTGTGACAGAAGGGTGAAAAATACAACCTATTACTAGAAGCCCTCTGAAAGGGAAGATGTGGGAAATAAAAGAACAAGCATTAAAGCCCAAGCTGAAAAGCAGAAAAGTAAAGCATAAGAGATGGTACAAGAAGAGTATTAGGGACAAAGGAATTGAGACAGGATATAACAATTGCTTTTATATTATTTTCCAGAAGGTAAAATGAAAGTAGTCTTCATGCCAGAAATAGTTACCAAATTAACAACAACCAAAAAAAGGCTCATTAGCCACATGCTGATGGCTAGTAGTTTTACTTCTTTCCATTTTGAATGCTCATGTTTCATTTTATATATGATTTGGCAAGCAAAAGCTGCTAATCAATCTGAAGTAAAGGAAAATAATCTGCTTCTAAGTAATTTGAGATGAATCAAAATTTTTAAAAAACTGGTTTATTCAGCGTGCTCTTTCATGTAAAGAAAAATCCATCAGGTTCTTCTATGGCTATGAACCAAAGTTTTAAAATAAAGTGATAAAACTGAACATCTAACAGTTTTGACTTGCAAGGAGAAAATAAGGACAATTTTAAGAGCATGGCTTTATAGAAGAACTTAGAAGGTCATAAATTGTTTATTATGGATATTATAGCAAATACTCATATTTTTAAAAAGCCATCTAATCATAGTGATGTTCCATGTTTAATGATATCCATTGATGCTGACAATTTTATTACTGAATTATTTATTTTTACATCCAAAAATAGGCCATAGAATCACCCCTCCCAATTTTAAGATATTTGTAATAGGACTCATAAATCATATTTGAATTTTCATCTGAACTTTAAGAGCATAAGAAAAACTTTTGTTGGCAAAAAGCTCAGTAAATACTATAATGGAATAATGTACATGAATAGCACATACTTACCAGTTCTCGTGGGCCATATGGTTCACAGAAGGTGACGGCATTGCCATGCATAATCGCGCCACACTGTTCTCCAGTCTCACAGTTGTTACATTCAACCCTGCAGGAAAACAGAACACAGTCCCCGTCTGAGAACTAAGTAGCACACGTGGTTTACTGCTCAGGTAAGAAACGATATAATATTTATTGTTACTCAGCTCAAATCACCATTTTGAGGAAAGTAGGAGTATTTTGCATCATGATAAGGTTAAGAAGACCTGAAACCAGAAAGACTTGAACATAAATCTCAATTCTTTCAGTTACTTACAGTGGTGGGTAAGTTACTTAACCTTCCAAAGTTTCAGTTTCCTCACCTGTAAAACGAGGCTAACCATACTGATCTAAATCTCACATAGTTATTGTGAGGATGAAATGAGAGATTATATACAAAACACAGAATACAGAACCAATGTCATAGCAGGCATTTAATGAAAGATGATATTATAGTCAATAATTATATAATATATACATGCCCAATACAAGGACGTTTGCAAGTATTAAAAATAAGCAGAGTAATAGCCACTTACATAAAAACTTGTATCTCTGAAATTAAAAGGTGTTTTATACATTTTAAACATTTTTCTTTGGAGTTATGGTTAATGTAAATGTTTAAAATGACTGTCCTCAAACAAATCTGCATGTATACGTTCCACCATGCTAAAAACAATGAAATCAGATTGTATTTAATCCATGTATTAGTATGATATACACACAAATTCTAATTCAAGCACATTTTGGATACTGAGCTATTATGCTAACCTCACGAATAACGGAATTAGCTCCTATCTTTATACTATAAAACGAAGTGGTTATTAAAATCTTAGGACAGGATCTCAAAAATAAATTTATTCATATCTCTATCTAGCAGAGATTGAAGGTATGTGTATTCTGGACTTGACCTTGTATATTTACGGTAACATTTACAATTTTCTGCATTGTGACATTTCAACCTACAATCATTACATTCCTAACATGTAGAAATAAAGAGCAATGTTTCCCCTGTCTGAACCTCAAACCACATGAGAGCTATATTTCATGCAGAAAGAACATTTTCAAAGACTTTCACATTCCAGGTGCCAAACATTGCAGAAAGGGCACTATGCCCTTTGTTTAGGAGATTATTGTATTATACCCTTTCAGCCGTTTGTTAATTTTAAAGAAAAGGAGTAGAACACCCATCCAAATAGGAAGAAGACAAAAGTGTGAAAGGAGCGCATAAAGCCAGGAGGCAGAAACACTGCACGTCAAAAATTGGCAAAGAAATGAAAGTACTTCCTATATGTTTACCACATTGATTAAATGATATTATTTTCATCTTTTGAGCCGTGTTTCCACACAGAAGATCAACAGTGCCAAGTATTTTTCACATATTTTAGAAAAAACATAAATAAATTTGATACAGAATTTGAAATGTTAGTATCTCATAGCATCACAATTCTTAGGAGATTCAAATCTTCCCTTGGTTACTGTGAAGCAAGACATTAGAAGAGACAACAGCAGTAGCTTCGTAAGGACAATAAACCTGTCTCTTGTTCATCATTTATGGCATGTTCCTTTTGAGCACATTGTATTCCTGAAATATTTGTTGAATGAATAAATGCATATAAGACAACTTCATAAATATAACCATTTTAAAGGTCTGAGGTCTAAAGAACTTAGAATAGTGCCTGGCACATAGTAGGCATGATATAAGTGTTAGCTGTTATTATTGCTAAGAATTTCTCATGGATTTCCACCATTTTCCTCTACTCCAGAATTTTATATTAGGGTTTTTTTTTTCCATAGAGACTGTATTATGCAAATGACTTCTTACTACTTTTCTAATTCTTTAAACTGATTGGGATTGTGATAAAAGTACAGTGAAGTAGCACAAAATTTATAGTAGGCTCCTTACTTTAGTGAGAGATGAAGGTTATTTGGCCTCCAAGTCATTGTGAAATGGCTTAAGAGAAACATCAACTTTGACAGAGAAAAAAAGTAAAAGAATGTTCAAACCTCACAATGGCTATCTGCCATTTGTCTCCAGTGACTCTAAACTAAAAGTGTCACTGTTGATGTGAAATTTGAGGCCTGCTGTTTGAACTTCTACAGCAATCATTTTGTCCATAAATATTGCTCAGCAGTTTCCAAATCAACTATTTATCAAGAAAATATCTATATATAATATATGTATTACAAGCCCCCTCCTTCCATAGTTTCGCTTAAACAGAATTCAGGTAGAAACTGGATAACTGTATAAAAGTGATGGCCTACAGCCTGGAATTAGAGAACCAGTACCTAGATGACAGATGTTTGATGTCTTTGGAGAATCACTTCTATGTGGCAGAATAGCAGGGATTTAAAAAAAAAAACAATAAACACAAGACAAAAGAAAACAGATAAAGCTATTCTTCCCATTGAACTCAACAATCCACTAGACGCTTCTCTTCTTCATTGTGCTTTATAACCCCAGAAATTTATAACAAATGTAAAAAGGCATTGGTAACCCTGCTGAAGAAACTAAAAGATTTATAATTATCAGATATTACCCACTGTGTGGTTGCTACCTCCAGAAACAATGGCTTCACCAAGGACTGATGGGACAAATCAGTCCGATTTCTGCCAAGGTCTTTTAAATGTCCTTTACTTGAATTTCTCACAGTCTGACTGGGTTTGTCAACATAATTTATTTTAATTTACCCTGAATGCCCATCCCTCTAGGAGGTCAAATCCAACCCTCTCTTAGATGCCAATGGTGTTATTTATTCATCCATCATTTATTAATCCATTCTTGTATTTAACAAATTTAGGTTGAGGGCTCACAGGCACTGCACTAAGCTTTACTGATACAAGGACCAATGAAACACTTGTCTTTTCTTCTAGGAGCTTACGTTTCAAATGGAAAGGCAGAGAAGTAAACAAACAGTTACAATAGAGGGTGTCAATGCAATGATGCAATGATAGCTATTTACTGCATTCTATCATTGCTCTTCACTCATAACAGGAGCATACACTGGTTGCGATGGTACCTAATGCAGAGACTGGGGAAGTAAGAGAAAGCCTTCAAAGGAGATGGTCCCGGAACTGGTCCTGAATGAGAAACAGGAGTTACTCAAGCAAGGAAGAAAGATGAGTGTGTGATAGGGCACATACAATGCAGAAATTATGACACACAGCTGAACTGTTAGTTCAGTGGGTCAGTATGATGGAACCACATTGGTCCATGCAGAAAGGCAGCAAAGGATGTGTCTAGAAAGTGGCAACCACCTCACAAAGGCTTCATGTGCTGTTTACCATGTGATAGGTGCTGACAGAAGCTCTACAAACAATGCCCCAATTAATTGATACCAAATCCTCTCCTTCTATTTTTTTTTATCTCCACTTAGACGATGCTAGAACTGAGATTTAGAAATATTAAATTACTGTCCAAGGTTACACAGCTAGTCAATTGCAGAATTGGGAGTCAAACTCTAATTATTTTGTTTCCAAAGTCATGTGGCAAATCCAACTTTTAGAAAAATTACTATAGCAAATTATGGGCTGGAGGTAGAAAAGCCTGGGGGCTATTAATGTAACTCAAGTAAGATATAATGGTGCCTTGAAATAAGGTGGGATGGAGCAAAGTGGACACCTTCCACTGCTCTATAAAAACCTAATGTAAGCCACTTTTTTCATTTTCCACTTCTAATGGTTGCATTAAAAAGAAACATTAATTTTAACAAGATGTTTTATTTAACTCAATATATTCAATTATATTTTCACATGTAAGTAATATAAAAATTATTAATTACAATGTTTACATTTTTAAATACTGTCTTCAAATTATGGGGTGTATTCTATGCTTACAGCACATCTCAATTCAGACTAGCCACATTTCAAGTGTTCCACAGCCGTATGTGACTAGTGCCTACCATGTTGGACAATACAACTCTAGAGAATTAGAGGGCTTGGAAACTGCCTGCTTTTTAGTTACACTGAAAATTGGAGATGATCAGCTGAACTTTCAGAGAAAGGAGATTGGGACTGATATGACAGTTTAGGATATAGTTGAAATCATGGGAGTGTATATCTTTAGGGTCCTCGGGATAAGGGAGGATATACAAAGTAAGAAGAGAAAAGGTCCAAGAATGAATCCCTGGGGAACAATCAGATTGCCCATGGGCTAGTTTCTGGAAAGCTCAAACCATCATCATAATCCTTCAGTGTGTATCAATCCAAGTGTATCTCCATTTACTTCCCCATAATTATTGGTGGTGGGGTTCATTTCTATGCATGTTCTTAATCTGTGCTGCCCATTAAGGTGATCTTCCTAATATTTTTTTCTATCAATAAAGTATTGTACAACTACACATATGAATGCCATTATGATAAAGGGAAAGATAAATCATAATTTCATGATGAACACAATGATCCTAATGGAGACAAGGCAAGACCGTACAGAAGGCAACTGGTGGTCATGGCTTCCAAGAAGAGAATAGTGATCCATGTGAAAGACGAGATGAATTTTAAAAACTTATGGATATAAATAAACATTCAAATTCCAAGGAAAGTAATTCCTGGCTTACCCCAGAATTTGAAACAATACTTAAATGCATAAGTGCTCTTTCAGTCCTACCCTCCTCACTTTCTCAGAATGCCTCTGTGTCTAACAATTTAACTTGGTTGAGTGCAGTGAGGTATTTAACCCCCAAAAATGTTCTCTATAAGTAGGTTGCGAAAATTTTCTCCCATTTGTAGGTTGCCTGTTCACTCTGATGGTAGTTTCTTTTGCTGTGCAGAAGCTCTTTAGTTTAATTAGATCCCATTTGTCAATTTTGTCTTTTGTTGCCATTGCTTTTGGTGTTTTAGACATGAAGTCCTTGCCCATGCCTATGTCCTGAATGGTAATGCCTAGGTTTTCTTCTAGGGTTTTTATGGTTTTAGGTCTAACGTTTAAGACTCTACAATGAACTCAAACAAATTTACAAGAAAAAAACAAACAACCCCATCAAAAAGTGGGCGAAGGACATGAACAGACACTTCTTAAAAGAAGACATTTATGCAGCTAAAAAACACATGAAAGAATGCTCATCATCACTGGCCATCAGAGAAATGCAAATCAAAACCACAATGAGATACCATCTCACACCAGTTAGAATGGCAATCATTAAAAAGTCAGGAAACAACAGGTGCTGGAGAGGATGTGGAGAAATAGGAACACTTTTACACTGTAGGTGGGACTGTAAACTAGTTCAACCATTGTGGAAGTCAGTGTGGCGATTCCTCAGGGATCTAGAACAAGAAATACCATTTGACCCAGCCATCCCATTACTGGGTATATACCCAAAGGACTATAAATCATGCTGCTATAAAGACACATGCACATGTATGTTTATTGTGGCATTATTCACAATAGCAAAGACTTGGAACCAACACAAATGTCCAACAATGACAGACTGGATTAAGAAAATGTGGCACATATACACCATGGAATACTATGCAGCCATAAAAAATGATGAGTTCATGTCCTTTGTAGGGACATGGATGAAATTTGAAATCATCATTCTCAGTAAACTATCTCAAGAACAAAAAACCAAACACCACATATTCTCACTCATAGGTGGGAATTGAACAATGAGATCACATGGACACAGGAAGGGGAACATCACACTCTGGGGACTGTTGTGGGGTGGGGGGAGTGGGGAGGGATAGCATTGGGAGATATACCTAATGCTAGATGACGAGTTAGTGGGTGCAGCGCACCAGCATGGCACATGTATACGTATGTAACTAACCTGCACAATGTGCACATGTACCCTAAAACTTAAAGTATAATAAAAAAAAATGTTCTCTATAAAGACCACAAGTAATCTGAAATTCTACTCTTCCTTTATGGAAAAGTTCTATGAGTTCCTAAGAACTAGGATTTCATTTGCGGGATAATGAGTGGTTCAATTTTCTTTAGGCTCAGTGCAAAACAAAAACAAAAACAAAAACTACTGTTGTTTATTGCCGACGTATAAATCTGTAACCTCACAATTAAATGTTTTCCACTTTCTCATGTTCTCAGGAAAATGTTGGGCTTTGTAAAGTTAGGTAACATATTCTTCAGAGATTTGTGGGAAGAAGGAAGTTTTCAATAATCCCAGTTAAACAGACTTCTGTTGTTCAATTTGAAAAGGAATGTGACCTCTCAACCTAAGGATCAGAAATGAATTGCTTCTCTGCCTAATAGTAAAAGTAATACTAAATGTTTCTGTAATCTAAGAATGCTTTTCCCCTTTTATATTTCCCAATATGAAAAACAGAACATAAGAATCTGACAAATACCTTGGCGTATCATATGGATTGTCCACCTCAAAAATATATTTTGCCATGAACAATATGATTAAAAGACATTTTAAGGGAAATGCTAGCAATCCTCAAAAACCATTGAAAGCTTGAACTTATTAAACCTTCTCTGAACCAATTTATCACATGCTTAGGTTCCACATGAAGCTTATCTATTACTTGAGTTTACAGATCATCAAGTGAGAGGGGACTTGAAATATCACTGCATCTCATCACTCCCTCATGATGATGAAACAGGACTAGAATTCAGGTTGCCTGATTTCTTATCCAATATTGTTTGCGTTCTGCCTAATGCAGCTAGTGAGGGAAAAATTCCAATTCTATAAAAACAATGTGCATTTCAAGGAATGTTTATCATTTTGACGGTGAACATTTATTTTGAAAATTTACAATAACTTTTCTTAAAAACTGTTTTTTCAATTATAGGGTAATTTTTTTGTTTTTCTGATAAAAATGTACAAAAAGTAGAGCGATGAGTGGACTTCATAAAAAACATTAACAGTGAATTCACTGGGCTGAAGTACACGACAATCATATTCAGTACCCCTTTGGCTATATATATTCTTAGATAATTCATCACAATCTATTTTATATGTACACCATCTCTTTTTTTTCACTAACAAAAACATAAAAGAATCAGTAAATATAAAGACTGGTACTTGCTGACCAAAAAAACTAGGATCAAACCATAAACATAAAAGAAAAAGAAAGGCTTTGAACCAGTGTTTTGTCTTCCACTGTAACAAGCTCCTTGGTAGATTGCAAGCTTGTTATTTTGTTATTAGTTCTCTATTTTTTATTTATTTATTATTCAGGTGGCTGTTTTTTTTCATGGGACAAAGTATTACATATGATGGTACCTTTGAACAGTAGAGAGTATACTTCTGAAGATATAACTGGGTTTTTTAATCCTGATTTTTAAATTATTAGGCATGAAAATATGCTCAACCACCCATTCATTGGGCACAGAGGAAGATGAAGTGAAATGTCCCTGTAGTCTGGGGTCCCCACATAGCAGTGACTCAGACGGGCTCTCAGGATGCAGGAAAGAGGAGGAGGATGAATGAGAAAATTGAGCTCCTTTGCACAACCAGAGATTTATGAATGGTTGGTGGTGACATCATCTTGATAACAATAAATAACTGAAATATTGTTTTCTCAAGAGCAGTCTAATGGCATGACTCATTCTTTTTAGATCACAGTGAAATCACTCAGCCTGTAGTCAGGTACTCTGCTGAAGCAAGTTAATCACCTAGAAACTCACTGACAGTCAGTTATCATCAAATTATCATTTGAGATACATGTAATTTGTCCCCAAGACCAAGGACATCATATTATCTCTCCATAATGTATTGCCACTGAAGGAGTCAGTGTCTGACGATCAGCTCCACCAGAAGCAATCTGGCATTCTATAAGCTTGCATTTCTGAGCCACATTCACCAGTATTTCTGAATGGAGATAGTCAGATAATTTTAACTTTTGTTCTGATTACTTAAAGTTCTTTAAAACCGAAAAAGGAAAAGAAAAGTTTCTTGTAATTTCCTGACCCAAAGATAATGTGTCTGCACCCCCAGGTACGGATCACACTGCCTGTGCTAAGAAGAATCTGAGGTGTGAACTTGCAAAGCAAGGCCAAATCAAGGAATGATGAATTCATCAAAGTAAATCAGACCTTGCCGGCCATTTGGTAGCTGGGCTGTCAGCTGACTTATTCCGAGACACTAGAACTCTTTGTACCTTCCATTCAAACCTCAACAACCAAATACTCAACTTCTGACCATATTTTACAATATAGCTGTTTTATAATAAAGAGGGCATGACCATTACACCTGTAAGCAATTTACATGATCATTTTCAAGAAATGAAAGATCAAGCTTAATTTTTTTTAAATCCTATCCTCTTTGTAAATGTGGAATCTTTTTAGAGAAACAGCAAGGAAAGTTCATTGTATAAGACTGAGAATATTACCTTCAACTATGTCATGTCTTTTTTTCTAAGGAGCTAACACATACTGTAAATGCGAAAATGACAAACTCCATTTATAGCTCATTCTTTCTCATTACTTTTCACTGAGGAAGGTAAGATAACTCTTCTTATTTCTCTAGGGAGTTAAAAAATTCGATCTCGTCTTCATTAACAGGTACGAATGACAAACGTTATTTGGGTTAAAAATAACACCTCTAAAATCTTACTACTGCACACAATATTCTGACCTCCTACTATGGTAAATTCCACTACATGCTGCTTGAAGAAATATTTTCTTACTTGTTTCAAATGTACTTGACATTTAATTCCTTTGAGTGAGCTCTTGTTTTTGCCACCTAAAGCAGAAATTAAACAAGGAAGTAATAAACCTCTAGATTCACACCTTATTTTATTAGTTGGACACCCCCTGGTTAACCTTTCTATTGTAGATGAAGCTTTTCCCTGGAGCAATTACATCATGATAGAAAAAGAGGGGAATGAGGGGGAGGAAGCTAGAGAGGAAACTCAGAGAAGAGTTTTGTAATAAGAGAAAAAAGTTATTAACAAAAGAGAAGAAAAAGTAAGAGAGAGCAGAAAGTGGTGAAGAAATCAAGAGGGAGGAGGTTAGAGAAAAAGTAGAGAAAGATTCATATATGATCAAAATAGTGAACCATTAAACTCCAAATATTAAATGATAATTCCATAACCTGAAAATGCACAGATATACGAGAGGTTCTGGCAAGGGTATGTCATCAGAGAAAATATTTATTGTGTCTGATTTTTTTCATCTATTCACCATCTCCTGTAGCCACTTGCTGTTGAGAAAATGAAAGGTTTATGCTCCCTTTCACCAGCACTGCCTTTCCGGCTCACTGCCCATGGGCGTGTTGGACACTGAGCAAAGTGGAGATACTTTTATTATCCAATTTATTTCTCAGTTGTTTGTTCATCAGTCTTACTTCTTTCTGATTACCTAGAAAATCCACTTATATTGTAGTTCTCACACTTGGCTACTAAATGGAGGAGTCTTCTGTTTTTTATTATTTATGGCATGGGGGTTGTCCAAGATACTAATGAACTATAAAGTGGTTTTACTGCTTGTTTGACTTCTTTTCGTTTGTGGGCTAAGCTATTATTAAATAAAGTTCCAGCTAGAATAACTCACCCATCATCTTGAAATCTCAGTATTTCTATACTATTTGTTCAGACAATTATGTTTCTCAAAGGAATTTTAGTAAGCCAAATCACCAATCTTTTTCCTTATTTCATATTAATTGCTCCAACAAATTAGTATTTTCAGGAGAATACCAGATGCAGCAGAGTCTGTGATCGCTATTTCCCCGGTCCTGTAATATTGTCATTTACATATGAAAATGGAAATGTTCTAGTCTTTTCTTGATTCTAGCAATCCAATGCAATGCCAATCATGGCTTTAGCTTCCTTTGTTGTAAATTGTGGACCTTTCTGTATCATTATCCAACTGATGGAGGTCTTCTTGTACCACAGGACCTGAAACAACTTTATTTGTGGCTTTCTTGATGTTTCACATCTCTGTTGGCATCACAACCCAGTCATCTAAGATGCTATTTCTGAGGAGTAACTCCTGTTCTTCCCTGATCTCTGCTGAGTAGGACATCTCTGCTATTATTATTGTTCTATCATTGTGCTGGAGGGGAAACATCTGTTGTCATCTAGTTGCCAGTTATCATTGTGTTTTTTAATAGTTCTACATTTCCCACTAGAACATCAGAGCCTGGTGATATTAGAGCTCTGGATGCCTTCTGTGATCTTCGGAAAATAAGCATTAAAGGGATAACTTAAGTAAAACAAAGATCCTCTCTGACTTTGTAATTGCTTAAAGGGTAAAACTCTTCTTGAGAAAACTAAAATCCATTCATGTTTTAGTTCCTTTGCAGTCTCTCTCTGTCTCAAGTTATGAACCAGAAATATCTCCTATGTCTTATTTTTTTCATTGCCTTTCTTCTTATTGAAATTTTTACTGAGGGAAATTTACACACAATGAGATACGCAGATCTCAGGTTCTGAAAATGCATCCATCTATGTAACCCACATCCTCTCATGATATACAACATAATCATCACCCCAGAGAGGTGCCTCATGCCCTTTACCAGTCAACTCTCTGTCCCCGAAACAACTACTGATCTTATTTCTATCATGTTAACTTTGCCTAATCTGGATTTCATACAACTGGAATGAACTCTTGGGTCTGGCATCTTTCCTTCCTTCCTTCCTTTTTTTTTTTTTTTTTTTTTTTTTTTTTGAGACAGAGGCTCACTCTGTCACCAGGCTGGAGTGCAGTGGCATTATCTCGGCTCACTGCAACCTCCGCCTCCTGGGTTCAAGTGATTCTCCTCCCTCAGCCTCCCGAGTAGCTGGGACTACAGCTGCATGCCATCATGCCCAGCTAATTTTTGTATTTTTCATAGAGACAGGGTTTCACCACGTTGGCCAGGATGGTCTTGATATCTTGACCTTGTGATCCATCTGCCTTGGCCTCCTAAAGTGTTCAGATTACAGGCGTGAGCCATTGTGCCTGGCCTGGCATCTTTTCATTCAACTTAAAATTTTTGAGATTCATCCATGTTGTTGCGACTGACAATAATTCATTCCTCTTTATTGCCGAATGTTAATAGTATTCAATTGTGTGCACATATCACTGTGGTGTATCCATCCTCCTGTTGATGAACACCTGGGATGATTCTAGTTTTTGGCTGTTAGGTATAATTATTTTTCAAAAAAATCAAGAATTTCCCCATTCACATAAAATACTGGCACTGTTTATATTATAGTGCAATAATTTAATTCATAAAAAGAAACTATGGATATGTAGTTGATGTTCAATAGTAGCTGCATAAGTAAAGTGTTAATAAAATACGACGTATTTGTGGTCCCTTACATTCTTCTGAATTTAGTTATACGAGGTTTTCCTTCCCATTTTGTTGGGGGAGGTTTTGGAGGGTTGTTGCTGTATGACTAAGACACTATTGATGCCCTCTGTCATCAGTAGTGCAGCCACATTGAACACACTTGCTAACAGCACTGGTAAAGTGGTATTCATTCATTTGTGCTCTCCCTCACCCTCTTGGGTTCAATGGCACATTGGAATTGATGCAATTCATGTTGAGCTCCAGAGGTATAGTGCTTGTGGTCCAGGGTAAAGTGCAGAAGCTTCATTCTCATCAAGGTTGAGCTACCATTATATTCACATGAAGGGATTTTGTTACTCTCTTCACTTCAAACTTCACTTCTCATCTCTCATTCAAACAAGTCAATCAGCAGCCGCTGGGGGAGTGGGGATATGAAGGGCCACTTCCCTAGCAAAGCCCCAGAGAGATCTAGGAGGCAAAGAGTAGAAGGAATCTATGCTCTGCATATGAAGGAGGCAGAAGGACCAGAGTTGCACAATTGCACACCAGAGTACAGCACAGAAAAGATGCCCATGGCCCAGGACTGGGAACAGCAGAACAGTCTCCATGCCCTCAGGCTGGGCTCAAAACAGAACCACTGCTCAGAAACAGTGGTGAGGACAGGGACAAAGCCGGGCTGTGTGGACTAGTCACCAGACTAGATGAGATAATGGAAGATTCAGTGGATATCTGCAGGAACAGATAGATGGCTGGGGACCAGAGGTGCATCCTCATTCTACCTTCTACCTTTGCACTAATAAGACACCTGACACTTAGCTCAAAAACAAACAAAAAAAAATAGAAGAGACAAGCCAGAGTTGACTGAAATTAAGTTTCCACCAACATGGTAGGAGGAGGAGAATATAAAGAAATTAGGTTGGGTTATGGAAGAATAAAGAAAGTTTTATTTCTCTGATACTCAAGTTTCTGGACAGAATTCATAACTGCTACACTTGTGTAAGCATGAACAATTTCCAGAAGGACTCACAGAAACTATTACCCAAGTTGTTGACCCTGGAGAAAGAATAAAGGTCTAATGTGGGAAGGAGGCTTACTTTTACTGCTTATATTTTTGGATTATTTGAAATTTTAACCACATAAATTTTTAAATTTTTAAATAATTTGAAATATTCAAACTGAACAGATAGTACATTCAATATTGAGTTGACATAAAAAACATTTCTTATTTCTATTCCAACTGTCATAAAAAACTTGGAAGAGTAACTTATCTGTTACCTTTATTTATAATATCATTTTATGTTCCTCATTTTTTATGTACATGTACAGTCATTAGTAAATGAGATAAACTTGAATATTAAAGAATTATGTGAGATAGAATTAAAAGTTGAATTCATTAGGTGAAGTTAATGGAAGTAAATACATTGTGAGTGTTTTAACTTTTAAATTGACCTACCTCTCTAAGATTGTACAGACATAACTAGTTTCTTAATTTCTCTTTTGCTTAACAATAAGAAGTACAGAGTAAATAATTCACATAAAGCTTTTAGAATCCCAGGGGGAAAATATGCTCTTATAAGTAGCACATTTTTTCTTTTGAGGTAAATTATTTGGTGGTGTATTCAGTTATGGGAATTTGGCTAAATGCAGCATACCCAGGCACTTTGCTTCTATCTGGTGGTGTGTGGCAGTGGCATAGGGACCATGTTTGCCACAAGGATTCCCTTTTCCATACTGTTACAAAGCTCCACTGGGTTTCTGACTCTTTTCTGGGGTAAAGAGAATCAAAGACAATATTATAAGGGACAAAACTCAAGTGACAAAACATGTAGCAAGAAAATAGAAGCTTTGGGAGAGTTAAAACTGCTTATCAGTTTCCAAAACAAACTGGGGCTTTGTTAGTTTATTGGAAATATTTCATGGGGATATCTGATTTCACTAGATGCTTGTTTCTGACTTTAGGAAGTTTACATTGACTTCTAAGGGGTTCGAGACATCTAACACCTTATTTTTCCCTCCTTTATGATGTTGCTGTAATGCTATTTTCATCAATATATATTCCATAGATTTTATAATATAAATATATTTAATTTGGCATTTGTTTTTTATGAAAATGCAATGAAGGAAGACTTGGGGACTCAGTTAAATAAATTAGCTTAAGATTATTTTAATAATAATAATGTTTTAATCATGTCTGGGCTTAGAAGGGATAGTCTAATGTACAAATATATCACAAGAGAAAAAAAGGAGGATGGGAGGGAAGAAGGAAGAAAAGGAGGGTGAGGGGAAGTAAAAGTGGGAGAGAAAAGAGAAGAGGGAGGAGAGGGAACGGGAGAGGAAGAGATGAAAGCAAGAGAAAGGGAAGAAGGGAAGGGAAAAGACAGGGAGGGAGGGAAAGAGAGGAAGGCAGAGACGAAAGTGATGGGTATTGAGCACCTAGAATACACTAGACCTCTTCACACTGCAACTGTAATACAATGCTGCAAGAAGATATTTGAGGGGGAGAAGAGCCAAGATGGCCGAATAGGAACAGCTCCGGTCTACAGCTCCCAGCGTGAGCGACGCAGAAGATGGGTGATTTCTGCATTTCCAAGTGAGCTTTGAAGAGAGTAGTGGTTCTCCCCGCACGCAGCTTGAGATCTGAGAACGGGCAGACTGACTCCTCAAGTGGGTCCCTCACCACCGAGGAGCCTAACTGGGAGGCACCCCCCAGTAGGGGCGGACTGACACCGCACACGGCCAGGTACTCCTCTGAGACAAAACTTCCACAGGAACGATCAGGCAGCAACATTTGAGGTTCACCAATATTTGCTGTTCTGCAGCCACCGCTGCTGATACCCAGGCAAACAGGGTCTGGAGTGGACGTCTAGCAAACTCCAACAGACCTGCAGCTAAGGGTCCTGTCTGTTAGAAGGAAAACTAACAAACAGAAAGGACATCCACACCAAAAACCCATCTGTACGTCACCATCATCAAAGACCAAAGGTAGCTAAAACCACAAAGATGGGAAAAAAACAGAGCAGAAAAACCGGAAACTCTAAAAATCAGAGCGCCTCTCCTCCTCCAAAGGAACGCAGCTCCTCACCAGTAACGGAACAAAACTGGATGGAGAATGACTTTGACAAGTTGACAGAAGAAGGCTTCAGACGATCAAACTACTCCAAGCTACAGGAGGAAATTCAAACCAATGGCAAAGAAGTTAAAAGCTTTGAAAAAAAATCAGACGAATGGATAACTAGAATAACCAATGCAGAGAAGTCCTTAAAGGAGCTGATGGAGCTGAAAACCAAGGCACGAGAGCTACATGACGAATGCAGAAGCCTCAGTAGCCAATGCGATCAACTGGAAGAAAGGGTATCAGTGATGGAAGATGAAATGAATGAAATGAAGCGAGAAGAGAAGTTTAGAGAAAGAATAAAAAGAAACGAACAAATCCTCTAAGAAATATGGGACTATGTGAAAAGACCAAATCTACGTCTGACTGGTGTACCTGAAGTGACGGGGAGAATGGAACCCAGCTGGAAAACACTCTGCAGGATATTATCCAGGAGAACTTCCCCAATCTAGCAAGGCAGGCCAACATTCAAATTCAGGAAATACAGAGAATGCCACAAAGATACTCCTCGAGAAGAGCAACTGCAAGACACATAATTGTCAGATTCACCAAAGTTGAAATAAAGGAAAAAATGTTAAGGGCAGCCAGAGAGAAAGGTCGGGTTACCCACAAAGGGAAGCCCATCAGACTAACAGCTGATCTCTCAGCAGAAACTCTCCAAGCCAGAAGAGAGTGGGGGCCAATATTCAACATTCTTAAAGAAAAGAATTTTCAACCCAGAATTTCATATCCAGCCAAACTAAGCTTCATAAGTGAAGGAGAAATAAAATACTTTACAGACAAGCAAATGCTGAGAGATTTTGTCACTACCAGGCCTGACCTAAAAGAGTTCCTGAAGGAGGTACTAAACATGGAAAGGAACAACCGGTACCAGCCACTGCAAAAACATGCCAAATTGTAAAGAACATCAAGGCTAGGAAGAAACTGCACCAACTAACAAGCAAAATAACCAGCTAACATCATAATGACAGAATCAAGTTCACACATAACAATATTAACCTTAAATGTAAACGGGCTAAATGCTCCAATTAAAAGACACAGACTGGCAAATTGGATAAAGACTCAAGACCCATCAGTGTGCTGTATTCAGGAAACCCATCTCACGTGCAGAGACATACATAGGCTCAAAATAAAGGGATGGAGGAAGATCTACCAAGCAAATGGAAAACCAAAAAAGGCAGGGGTTGCAATCGTAGTCTCAGAAAAAACAGACTTTAAACCAACAAAGATCAAAAGAGACAAAGAAGGACGTTACATAATGGTAAAGGGATCAATTCAACAAGAAGAGCTAACTATCCTAAATATATATGCACCCAATACAGGAGCACCCAGATTCATAAAGCAAGTCCTGAGTGACCTACAAAGAGACTTAGACTCCCACACAATAATTATGGGAGACTTTAACACCCCACTGTCAACATTAGACAGATCAACAAGACAGAAAGTTAACAAGGATACCCAGGAATTGAATTCAGCTATGCACCAAGCAGACCTAATAGACATCTACAGAACTCTCCACCCCAAATCAACAGAATATACATTCTTTTCAGCACCACACCACACCTATTCCAAAATTGACCACATAGTTGGAAGTAAAGCACTCCTCAGCAAATGTAAAAGAACAGAAATTATAATAAACTGTCTCTCAGACCACAGTGCAATCAAACTAGAACTCAGGATTAAGAAACTCACTCAAAACCGCTCAACTACATGGAAACTGAACAACCTGCTCCTGAATGACTACTGGGTAAATAATGAAATGAAGGCAGAAATAAAGATGTTCTTTGAAACCAATGAGAACAAAGACACAACATACCAGAATCTCTGGGACACATTCAAAGCAGTGTGTAGATGGAAATTTATAGCACTAAATGCCCACAAGAGAAAGCAGGAAAGATCCAAAATTGACACCCTAACATCACAATTAAAAGAACTAGAAAAGCAAGAGCAAACACATTCAAAAGCTAGCAGAAGGCAAGAAATAACTAAAATCAGAGCAGAACGGAAGGAAATGGAGACACAAAAAAACCCTTCAAAAAATTAATGAATCCAGGAGCTGGTTTTCTGAAAAGATCAACAAAACTGATAGACCACTAGCAAGACTAATAAAGAAGAAAAGAGAGAAGAATCAAATAGATGCAATAAAAAACGATAAAGGGGATATCACCACTGATCCCACAGAAATACAAACTACCATCAGAGAATACTATAAACACCTCTATGCAAATAAACTAGAAAACCTAGAAGAAATGGATAAATTCCTCAACACATACATCCTCCCAAGACTAAACCAGGAAGAAGTTGAATCTCTGAATAGACCAATAACAGGCTCTGAAATTGAGGAAATAATCAATAGCTTACCAACCAAAAAAAGTCCAGGACCAGATGGATTCACAGCCAAATTCTGCCAGAGGTACAAAGAGGAGCTGGTACCATTCCTTCTGAAACTATTCCAATCAATAGAAAAAGAGGGAATCCTCCCTAACTCATTTTATGAGGCCACTATCATCCTGATTCCAAAGCCTGGCAGAGACACAACCAAAAAAGATAATTTTAGACCAATATCCTTGATGAACATCGATGCAAAAATCCTCAGTAAAATACTGGGAAACCGAATCCAGCAGCACATCGAAAAGCTTATCCACCATGATCAAGTGGGCTTCATCCCTGGGATGCAAGGCTGGTTCAATATACGCAAATCAATAAATGTAATCCAGCATATAAACAGAACCAAAGACAAAAACCCCATGATTATCTCAATAGATGCAGAAAAGGCCTTTGACAAAATTCCATAGCCCTTCATGCTAAAAACTCTCAATAAATCAGGTATTGATGGGATGTATCTCAAAATAATAAGAGCTATCTATGACAAACCCACAGCCAATATCATACTGAATGGGCAAAAACTGGAAGCATTCTCTTTGAAAACGGGCACAAGACAGGGAAGCCCTCTCTCACCACTCCTATTCAACATGGTGTTGGAAGTTCTGGCCAGGGCAATTAGGCAGGAGAAGGAAATAAAGGGTATTCAATTAGGAAAAGAGGAAGTCAAATTGTCCCTGTTTGCAGACGACATGATTGTATATCTATAAAACCCCATCGTCTCAGCCCAAAATCTCCTCAAGCTGATAAGCAACTTCAGCAAAGTCTCAGGATACAAAATCAATGTGCAAAAATCACAAGCATTCTTATGCACCAATAACAGACAAACAGAGAGCCAAATCATGAGTGAACTCCCATTCACAATTGCTTCAAAGAGAATAAAATACCTAGGAATCCAACTTAAAAGGGATGTGAAGGACCTCTTCAAGGAGAACTACAAACCACTGCTCAAGGAAATAAAAGAGGATACAAACAAATGGAAGAACATTCCATGCTCATGGGTAGAAAGAATCAATATCGTGAAAATGGCCATACTGCCCAAGGTAATTTATAGATTCAATGCCAACCCAATGAAGCTACCAATGACTTTCTTCACAGAACTGGAAAACACTACTTTAAAGTTCATATGGAACCAAAAAAGAGCTCACATTGCCAAGTCAATCCTAAGCCAAAAGAACAAAGCTGGAGGCATCACGCTACCTGACTTCAAACTATACTACAAGGCTACAGTAACCAAAACAGCATGGTACTGGTACCAAAACAGAGATATAGACCAATGGAACAGAACAGAGCCCTCAGAAATAATGCTGCATATCTACAACTATCTGATCTTTGACAAACCTGACAAAAACAAGCAATGGGGAAAGAATTCCCTATTTAATAAATGGTGCTGGGAAAACTGGCTAGCCATACACAGAAAGCTGAAACTGGATCCCTTCCTTACATCTTATGCAAAAATTAATTCAAGATGGATTAAAGACTTAAATGTTAGACCTAAAACCATAAAAACCCTAGAAGAAAACCTAGGCAATACCATTCAGGACATAGGTATGGGCAAGGACTTCATGTCTAAAACACCAAAAGCAATGGCAACAAAAGTCAAAATTGACAAATGGGATCTAATTAAACTAAAGAGCTTCTGCACAGCAAAAGAAACTACTATCAGAGTGAACAGGCAACCTACAGAATGGGAGAAAATTTTTGCAACCTACTCATCTGACAAAGGGCTAATATCCAGAAGCTACAATGAACTCAATTTTACAAGAAAAAAACAAACAACCCCATCAAAAAGTGGGCGAAGGATATGAACAGACACTTCTCAAAAGAAGACATTTATGCAGCCAACAGATACATGAAAAAATGCTCATCATCAGTGGCCATCAGAGAAATGCAAATCAAAACCACAATGAGATACCATCTCACACCAGTTAGAATGGCGATCATTAAAAAGTCAGGAAACAACAGGTGCTGGAGAGGATGTGGAGAAATAGGAACACTTTTACACTGTTGGTGGGACTGTAAACTAGTTCAACCATTGTGGAAGTCAGTGTGGCGATTCCTCAGGGATCTAGAACTAGAAATACCATTTGACCCAGCCATCCCATTACTGGGTATATACCCAAAGGACTACAAATCATGCTGCTACAAAGACACATGCACACGTATGTTTATAGCAGCACTATTCACAATAGCAAAGACTTGGAACCAACCTAAATGTCCAACAATGATAGATGGATTAAGAAAATGTGTCACATATACACCATGGAATACTATGCAGCCACAAAAAATGATGAGTTCATGTCCTTTGTAGGGACATGGATGAAACTGGAAACCATCATTCTCAGCAAACTATCGCAAGGACAAAAAACCAAACACCGCATGTTCTCACTCACAGGTAGTAATTAAACAATGAGAACACATGGCCACAGGAAGGGGAACATCACACACTGGGACCTGTTGTGGGGTGCGGGGAGGGGAGTGGGATAGCATTAGGAGATATATCTAATGCTAAATGACAACTTAACGGGTGCAGCACACTAATATGGCACATATATATATGTGTAACAAACCTGCACGTTGTGCACATGTACCCTAAAACTTAAAGTATAATAATAATAAAATTAAAAAAATAAAAAGAACGGTATTTGCCTACTTTTACCGCACAGAAATAGAGCTCATAGAGGTGAAGCAGCTTTTTGCTTTTCTCATGGTATCCATTTGGCAAGTGGCTTGGTGAAGAGTCAAACCAGGGTAGTCTGATATCAGGGCCTCTGCCACCTTTTGTTTAACAGAACAGTCATCTCTCAAATAATGACAGTTTCACCGTTCCCTACTCTCACTTTTTTTTTTTTTTTTTTTTGGAATCTTAAAGAGGCTAAATGAAGGAGACTGTGGGCAATAAGGGATAAAGTAAAATTACTCCAAAGCATATTTGATAAAAGGCAGAAGGACTCGGCTTTTAAAGACAAAAAAGGACTGTTTTAAAAATTAGGAAAAAACTTTTTTAAAAAAAGGTAGGAAAAACCACAGCTTAAGTAAAAGAGACATAAAATCCATAACTTTGGTCAAGAAAGCATCTATCAGATCAGTCATGAAAATGGGCGAAGAAAAATCAATCACATTTTATTGATTTAAACAACAACAGAATTTGCACCACCGAACAGTCACATTTTGTATTTGTCAAGAAAACTCACTGAAGAAAATGAATTAGCTTCACAGAAATGAATTTGCCCTGAAAGAAACAAATCATATGATAACATCTATATTAATGGCATATAAAAAAGCAAAATGTCTGAAGGAAAAAACTTTTCCTGGGTAAAAGTGCTACTTAGAAAGGTTTTTTTTTTTTTTTGGCTTCTTATTAATAAATATTTTCAATTTATTTTAAGAAAATGTATATTTAGGGAAGCAGAGTTCTATTGATAAACTGTTTCTTTAAATGGCATATAAAGTATAAGACTTTATGACTAGACTTTCTGGCTAGCCTGATAATATTTTTTTCTATATTTATACTATCTAGATGTATATTTCTTTCTAGAAAAGAAATAAAAGTTTCTTGTGTAATATTGAAGCCTCAACACTCTATATGTCATCTTCAACTCTTAGGTCAAGGGCAACTTTCTCGAACAAACTCCCACCAGAGTCATCTCTCCTTTCTTTGGAACTCCTCTTCGGAACACATTTAAGGACTTCTATCCTGTATCACAAGCTTTTTAAAGATGTGGTCTTAGTGTCTTCTCTACTAAACCATTCGTTACTTGAGAGAACCATACCTCTTTTTAATTTACTATAAAAATAAAATGATTATTGCTAAATATTTGTTAAAAAGTGAAAATAAAACAGAAATGAATATCATATGCTGACATTCAAGGATGAAATGATTATTTTCTTTTTAGTCTTGAGTATTACATTACTTGAACTTAGTTTACATTAGAGTTGCTAATTTATCTTGAACTCTTCTGTCCAAACAAAAAACATTTAGTATAATAGAAAATCCAAATTCAGATATTGTTCCAAATTATGCAAATTGATTTTCATTGTAACTCTGGGTCGATAGACCTATTTCTTCAAAGTCAGCAAAAATGCAACAGATTGCCAACAAATTCATGCATCCATTTATGTATTAGACAAGCTTTTAATGAGTGAATTTTGGCTCATTATTTATTTCCCCTCAAAAATCCCACAGAGTTACACTTAAACAGCTTTTGAAGGAAAGACTGGAGTATACATAATGAGTTGACCTAATAATTTAGAAATTATTTGGAAGTATGACTCAAATCATTTGTCATTTCAGATAAACCATTTCCCTTCTTTGCTTGGCATAAATGAAATTATTAGACATATAATAGCATAATATTTTCTATGTAAGGATATTGCAAAACTGAAAAAAAAAATCTAACCACACTCATGGCTTTGAGGAGAACCTGGATTCAGTTCTTAAAGAAGTCAAGTAATAGACATTATATGCAGTCTACATTAAGCCCAGTTCCATAGCTTAACAAGTCTCACTGATAGCTTAGCACTAAAGATCAACTTAATTTTAAGTAACTGCTCCTTAAAGGAGCAGTCAGCATCATTTGTTACATTAAGCAAACCAAAGTGAGGAATGTTCCTGTAACTTACCATATATTTGGATTTAATTGCAGTTGGTGGTAGGAGTCAAAGTCATCTCTCAGGATAATGCTGTCACTATGTATTTCAGCTAAAAGAAAAAGGAAGTATTTAGGAAAGAAATATACTACAACAGTACATTTAGCTAAACACAAGTGCCAACATGCTGTATTTATGAAGAATAATGTATCCTAAAACTAAATTTTAAATGAGCAGTTGATTATATTTGCTTTGTCCCTCAAACTACTAAGGGACAAGGGTAAAAAGCTCTGCGGTTTAAACACCTAGAAGTTGGGAAAACCAAAGACCCCAAAAGGAAATCTATGAAGCTATCACTAGGCAGGCAAGGCAGGAAGGCCAAAATCAGCACCAACCTACAAGGAGAGGCTATTCGGGACTTGTCTTCCTTCAGTATGTCTTGGCTGTGTCCCTACCCAAATTCCATCTTGAATTGTAGTTCCCATAATCCCCATATATCGTGGAAGGGACGGTGGGAGGTAATTGAATCATGGGGGCAAGTTACTCTCATGCTGTTCTCATGACAGTGAGTTCTCATGAGATTTGATGGTTTTTTTTTATTTTTTGAGACAGAGTCTCGCTCTGTTGCCCACGCTGCAGTGCAGCGGCATGATCTTGGCTCACTGCAACCTTAGTCTCCTGGGTTCAAGCAATTCTCCTCTTTCAGCCTCCTGAGTAGCTGGGATTACAGGTGCCTACTACCATGACTGGCTAATTTTTATATTTTTAGTAGACGGGGTTCCGCCATGTTGGCCAGGCTGGTCTTGAACTCCTGACCTCAGGTGATCCACCTGCCTCGATCTCCCAAAGTGCTGGGGTTACAGGCGTGAGCCACTGTGCCCAGCTGAGATTTGATGGTTTTATAAGGGGCATTTCCCTCTTTTGCTCGGCACTTCTTGCTGCCACCATGTGAAGAAGGACGTGTTTGCTTCCCCTTCTGCCACAATTGTAAGTTTCCTAAGGCCTTCCCAGCTATGCTGAATTGTGGGTCAATTAAACCTCTTTCTTTTAAAAATAACCCAGTCTTGGGTATGTCTTTATTAGCAGCGTGAGAATGAACTAATATATCCATATTTCAACATATACTCATCCATGGCTTCCAAGAGACTGCCCAGACAGCGTCAGTGTCTAATTCACTTTAAAGCATGGAATTGGATAGAACATTCTGGCTATTTATTCTCAGCTAAAATTGCTGTAATCTACTAACCCATTTTTTCTTCTCTTTCCCACTATCCTTCTTGCCCTGGCTTGCTTTCTCTCCTTCCCTATATTCACTCATCTTTTACTGAATGTTTTTAAATTTGTGAACTTTTTTTCTCTTTCAGAACTGCATAAGAGAATTTATCTATATAAGTAAAATTCCTAAATAAAATCAATTTAGAAGTCAGGAGGAATGCCAGGGAGCCATACATGGTTTTAAATATATTATCACTACACATTTGAGGTATATTGAATACCTATTTTTAAGTTCTAGAAGAACTTTGGGCATGTCAAGTGCAATATTTTCACCAACTGTAGAGTTCATATTTCTGCTGAATAGATGATGAATAAGTAAACTCACTTTCATGGCTGGCTACGGTGTAAGTGTGCTTATTTTAAAGGTTGTGTGAGAAATGATAATTATTTCTATTCATGTTGTAAAAATTAATTTAGTACTTTAACAATGCTCTCATCTGATTCATGGTTTGCTTAGGAAGTTTGTTCCAGCTACTCTAACTTCTTTGGGTCTTGACAATTTTGTTTGAACTAGCTAACAGACTGTCTTTTGGAAAAATTAAAATAATATCTGATTAACAAAAAACTCTCATAACTTTTTCTTTTAAAGGTGATATTTTTATGTTTTTTAGGCTCACTCAAATATAATTCTCTGAAATCACTGGGTAATTAAAATTACTTCCCAATATCAGGAAGCATAATTTCACATTCTCTTTGGTGACATCCCCAGCCATGGCAGTCCTTGCCTCCTTTATACCAGGTAGGCCAGCAGGCAAGCACGTAATGAAGTCATGGAAACCAGTGAATCAGCATGTACTGAGAGGACTGGATGCTCAGACGCGAAGCCTCAGGCATGAGAACAGGGAGAATATGGATATACACTGGAGAGAACGCTGTGATGTATTCTGTGCATGGGAGTGATTTAATGATTCCTCTGAGCGATGAGATGCAGTGCCTCAGATGCCTACAGGGTACAGCTCTCTCAGATACCCAATCTGGCCGAGACTTGGCTGGGCCACTGCGGGTCACCAGCCTGTCTTGGCTGCCAGAAGGCATGCTTCTAAGCGCTTGCATTTGTCTGCCAAATAAGAGGAGCCCCAAGCTGTAGCATTACATAAAAGTAGAGCTTCTCAAGGCAGATTTTCCAAAGAGGAAAAATAAATTAATTGGGTTTATAGGTTGAAAGGAAAAGCCCAAGAGACAAATAACTGACCTATCTAGAAAGTCCCATAGTGAAAGACATTTGAAAAGGCTGCAACCAGCTAGGATGATTTCTTTTCATTCTTATTAAATACTATAGTGTAGGAAATTGCTTTTAAAATAAATCTTCACTGACACAAATGAGAAAATTAACGCTTAAAGATCACTTGTTTTCTAGAGACTTTTTTATTTACAAAGGCAATGGGTAAGCCTCATTGGATACCTGTTTGTGTATTGATTTACTTCCAAACACCACTATATTATTTACCATACACTTTATGAAAACAAAATCATTTATTCCTTATACCAACCCTATGAGATAGATACTATTATTAATTCTACTTTGCAGATGAGAAAACTGAGGCACAGAGAGGTTAAGTAACTTGCTCAATATTGTGTGGCTAGCAAGTGGTAAAAGTGAGATAAACCCAGGCAGTTTCCCAGAATCTGTGATCCTAACCACTATATACCCTGCCTCAAGAACTGTGGGCCACTAAGAGCATGACATTATGAAAAATCCATGGTGCCATTTTAAGAAGCAGGTATTTATTTAAACAGTCTCATTTCAATTTTTTTTTAAAGAAACAGGATCTTGCTCTGCTGCCCAGGTTGGAGGACAGTGTCACAATCATAGCTTGCTGCAGCCTTGAAATCCTGGTTTACATGATCCTCCCATCTCAGCCCCCAAAGTAACTAGGACTCCAGGTGCACAACCACCACACTGACTAATTTTTAACATTTTTTTTTGGTAGAGATGGGGGTCTTGCTCTGCTGCCCAGGCTGGTCTTAAACACCTGGTCTCAAGTGATCTTCCCACCTCAGCCTCCTAAACTGTTGGGGTTACAGGCATGAGCCACCATGCCCAGCTTCAGTTCAATTTTTAAAGAAATGACAAAATAATTTCTTTTTCTTAACAATTCAGTACTAATTTGAGCATAAATCCCAAATCTTAAATGACTTCAGTTCTTCCACATTCATGGCTTCTTGCCCACTAGCTCCATGCTCTAATATTTATGATGGGCATCTAGTATTATGAGGGACTCTGGGGAAAATTAAGCATTAGAATGCAAAAGCTTACACTCAATAGGATCTCAGGGCTGAGGGTACTAACAGGTGTGAAAGTTCCTGCATGAGCCCCCCGCTGGGCAGCATGAATGTTTCCTCAAGGAGGTTCTGTGTTCAAGTATAATCCGTACCCAAGTCCAATTTCAGTGACTGATCAATGATCAGAGAGGACAGCTTCCTTGCCTCTATAACATCTGCTCGTATAGCCAGAAAAGCCAAACAAGTAGATCAAGTACTAAAGTTAATGACATCAGAGTCTTAAACACTTACCTAGATGTGGGTGCACAGTGACATCTGTTGGAGCTGAATCAAGAGAGGAAAGAAGAAAGACAACTGATCAGGAATGAAAGCAAAATCCAGTAATAAAGAGTCACAACACAGTTATAAAACTTAAGTCACATTAAGCAAATCAAATGGCTACAGACTTTTTAGTCTTTTTAGGAGTTTCTGGAACCCTTGAAAAAATAGAAGACAATAAATTTAATGATCTTGTATTTTGTGCCAACACTTATTGGTTAAATCAGAGAAGAGTTTTGCAAAGATTCACTGAATTGTTAGCTCTAATTAAAGATTTTCTTGAAACAAAAGGAATACTTGCCAATTATCCAATAATGAATAACAAAAACCTGGCACAATGATATACATTCTCTCACCAGTATCACAGTGCATATGAACAAGCCAAATCTGAAGCTTCAAGGAAAACAAGGGTTTATTTGCAAACTAGCTGGAAAAGTAGGAAAATTTATGTTGAAATTGAAACTTTGAAAATACAAATTAATAATGGTTTTACACATGAATTTCCTAACGTGAATTGTGTCTCCAGAAGATTTTAACTGTAATTTCCAGTATCTTCTAAATTGTCTGCAAAAACCTACAAGAAAAATTTGAAGAATGTCTTGATGTTAATTATTTTAGACTTGCTTTTCAATGTATGCAATATTTCTGTGAATTCCATGTTAATAATACTATGCTGACACAAGAATAATACTTGGACATAGTTTTGAAACTGATATGTTTTTGCATTAAAGGTAAATCAGCTCTTCTAATAAAAATGAAAACATTTTGTCAAGGTGGATCTGGACATTAAAGGAAAATGATTTTTGATACTCAATTCAGTTACTGGAAGATCTTTAAGCAGGTAAGAAACACTGGGTATGTGGATCTACATTTCAATTGTCAATTTTATGAACTCTTAATACAGGCCAAATATTTCTTAAGATGTGCTATAAGTGTAAAGTACATACTAGATTTTGGAGATTTAGTACACAAAATGTAAAATATCTCATTAATAGTTTTAAATTGACCACATTATATCCAAATGTTTAATATTTTACATATTCTGTGTTAATAAAATACACTATTAAATTAATTTCATCTATTTCTTTCCATTTTATAGATGTGACTACTAGAATATTTAAAATTGCACACGGGGCTTACATTATACTTCTATTAGTGCTGAACTACAGCTAGGAGGGACATTTGTACTGTATATCAATTAGGAAATCGTTATCAAGCAGGAGGTGGTGGAGTTACAAAAGGAAGACCGAGTCACTCAGAGAGAATGTAAGGTATAAAGTGAGGCTGAGAGAAGTAGCTCATGCCTGTAATCCCAGCACTTTGGGAGACTGAGGCAAGAGGATTACTTGAGGCCAAGAGTTTGAGACCAGCCTGAGCAATATAGTAGGAGACCTCGTCTCTAAAAAAAACATTAAAAATTAGCTGGGCATGGTGGTGCACGCCTGTAGTCCTAGCTACTCAGGAGGCTGAGGCAGGAGGATCACCTGAGGCCAGGAGTTTGAGGATGCAGTGAGCTAGAAATGCAACATCACACTCCAGCCTGAGCAAGAGAGTCAGACCCTGTCTCTAAATAAATAATAAAAAGAAAGAAGTGAAATGCACAGTCAAATATATATTTAACGGACAGGTGGAAGAAGACAAGCTAGCAAAGGTGACTGAGTTAAAGTGCATTCCATTAAGGAAATAAGAAAAAGAGTTTTAAGAGCTAAGAGAGTTGAAGGAGAGGCCAAAATAATCCTAATAAAGCTGATATCTACGAAGAACATCCTGCTATTAAGGCACTGTGCTAAGGAGTGTCTATAGATGAACTCAGGGATTTTGGCCTCAGAGTCTAGACTCAACAGCTGTGCAGACTGCTCTTTCAAGAAGGTTAGCTGCAAAGGTGAGAAATGAGATCTTATATGGAGATGAGGACCGAAGGGATTTTTTTGTTGTTTGTTTTGTTTCTTAAGATATTATGATAGTGGCCGGGCCCGGTGGCTCATGCCTGTAATCCCGGCACTTTGGGAGGCTGAGGTGGGCGGATCACGAGGGCGGATCACGAGGTCAGGAGATCGAGACCATCCTGGCTAACACAGTGAAACTCCGTATCCACTAAAAATAAAAAAATAAAAAAATGGCCAGGCGCAGTGGCTCACGCCTGTAATCCCAGCACTTTGGGAGGCCGAGACGGGCCGATCACGAGGTCAGGAGATCGAGACAATCCTGGCTAACACGGTGAAACCCCATCTCTACTAAAAATACAAAAAATTAGCCGGGCGTGGTGGCGGTCGCCTGTAGTCCCAGCTGCTCAGGAGGCTGAGGCAGGAGAATGGCGTGAACCCAGGAGGCGGAGCTTGCAGTGAGCTAAGATCGCGCCACCGCACTCCAGCCTGGGGGACAGAGCGAGACTCTGTCTCAAAAAAAAAATAAAAAAAATAAAATAAATAAAATAAAATAATTAAATAACATAAAAAAATTAGCCAGGTGTGGTGGCGGGTGCCTGTAGTCCCAGCTACTCAGGAGGCTGAGGCAGGAGAATGGCGTGAACTTGGGAAGCGGACTTGCAGTGAGCTGATCGCACAACCGCACTCCAGTCTGGGGGACAGAGTGAGACTCCACCTCAAGAAAAAAAAAAAAAAAAGATATCATGATAGTTTACCATGCCTAACGTTAGCTATATTGCAAAAGGGATTCTCTGTATTCATGTTATAAAGTGTTAAAAAGAAAAGAAAAACCCTGTCTACACAGTATGGAACTTTTCAAATTATTTCACAGGTTGTGAAATAAACTGGTTAAATTAAATGTAGGAAAAGTTATGACAATTATTAATTAGAAATATTTACTATGCAATACAATAATTAGATATGTATAACAAAATATCTGCAGAAATATTGTTGCCTACTTTACATTAAATGACTTTGGTGACTAAGGCCTCAACTCAATAAAGGGAATGAGTTATAAAATGCTTTACTTTAAATTGTTTATTGAAATGGACATCTACCTTTGCTAAATTATCTGGACACATGGAAGCTTTCACTGAAACATATACATCACAATCAGCAGGAGAGGGCCATTTTAGAAAGACCCACTGAGTCAGAATCTCTGAGGGTGGAGGCCCGGAAGTTGTATTTTTTAAAACCTCCTTGACCGATTCTGATAGAAAGCCAGATTTAAAATTCACTGGTTTAAACTACACAATCCACTGCTTATTTTTATAGCATGCTGAACTGTTCTCTGTGTTAAGTACTCATCTTTGCTCTGAAGAAGAAATAGGCTCCTCAAAAGCAGAAAATATGTCCACCCAAGACATAAGCCAAAGCTGGTAATAGTGTCTCAATAAATAATAAATTGATTTGAAAGCTACTCCTTAGTTGTAATATATTTTATGATATTTCAGAAAATAATTGAAGATCCAAACCTTTAAAAAATGCCAGAATAGACACATAACATTGTCCAAAAGTCCTTTATTATAAGTGGTCTGGGGAGCTTCAACACCAAGTCAGTATTTACCTGGATTTAATTTAACTCAACAAATTTACATCGTATTTTAAATCACTAGTTAGGAAGGTTTAATATATTTTAACAAAAA